>NC_000019.10:52865874-53490874 GCF_000001405.40 Homo sapiens
TATATATTATACATATATTTATATATATGATTATACACATATATTTATATATGATTATACACATATATTTATATATTATACATATATATTTATATATTATACATATATTTATATATATGATTATACATATATATTTATATATTATACATATTTATATATATGATTATACATATATATGATTATACATATATTTATATATATGATTATACATATATTTATATATGTATGATTATACATATATTTATATATGTATGATTATACATATATTTATATATGTATGATTATACATATATTTATATATATGATTATACATATATTTATATATATGATTATACATATATTTATATATATGATTATACATATATATATATATAAAATCATAAGGCTGGATGCAGTTACTCATGCGCTGGGTGCAGTGACTCATGCCTGTAATCCCAGCAATCTGGGAGGCCGAGGTGGGCAGATCACCTGAGGTCAGAACTGTGAAACCCCTCCTGCAGGAACCCTCCACATACATGTAGTGAAGTCAACACACTCAGAGGCAGCCAGGGTGGCATTCTTGGTAACGGTGAAAAACTGGGAAGGACTCACACGTCTTCATTCAGAAAATGCTCCAAGGAGGATGAAAAACAGCAAACTATCTTGTTTCCTACCTTGAAAATGTGGAACATTTTAACACTTGCAGGATAAAATACCAGAACAAAACATTTATCATGTCGAGCTCTTTGGCTCACGCATGTAATCCCAGTACTTTGGGAGGCCAAGGAGGGAGGATCACTTGAGGCCAGGAGTTTGAGACCAGCCTGGCCAATATGGAGAAACGCCATCTCTACTAAAAATATAACCATTAGCCAAGCATGATGGCACATACCTGTAATGCAGCTACTCAGTTGGCCGAGGCTAGAAAATCATTTGAACCCATGAAGCAGAGGTTGCAATGTGCTAGTAAGTTCCAGCCTGTTGACAGGGTGAGACACCTGTCTCACAAAACATACAAAAAAAAAAAAAAAAAAAAAGAAAAGAAATGACTAACAGTGTCAGACGGCTGAATTATGATGTCACGACTACAGTTAAATAACAGTCAGGCAATACGGCAATTCTATATACACATATTGCCCTTAGTTATCTAGTTCACTATGCGTAAGATATAAAACATAGAATGTGTACTGGGAAAATTGATAAACTGGGATCAGAGAAAACATAGTATAAAACAAATCGTATAATAAAAACATAAAAAAAGATGCAGGCTCCCTGGTCTGGATGTTCATATTGGCCAAAAGCCATGTTTGGATTTAATTAATTAATTAATTAATTAATTTATTTATTTATGTATTTATTTTTTGAGATGGAGTCTCACTCTGTTGCCAGGCTGGAGTGCAGTGGCATGGTCTCGGCTCACTGCCACCTCTGCCTCCTGGGTTCAAGTGATTCTCCTGCCTCAGCCTCCCAAGTAGCTGGGATTACCGGTACGTGCCACCACCCCCAGCTAATATTTGTATTTTTAGTATAGACGGGGTTTCACCATGTTGGCCAGGCTGGTCTTGAACTCCTGACCTCATGATCCACTTGCCTTGGCCTCCCAAAGTGCTGGGATTACAGGCATGAGCCACCGTGCCCAGCCCATATTTGGATTTCTTATTCTCCAACAGGATGTTCCTGCAGATGTGGCATTTGAGATAATTTGGTCATGGGTGTTGACTACTCATGAATAGGACCAGTGCTTTTATTTTTATTTTTTTTCTTTCTTTATTTTTGAGAAAGAGTTTCACTCTTGTTGCCCCTGCTAGAGTGCAGTGGCCTGATCTTGGCTCACAGAAACATCCGCCTCCTGGGTTCAAGTGATTCTCCTGTATCAGCCTCCCGTGTAGCTGGGATTTCAGGCATGTGCCACCACACCCAGCTAATTTTTGTATTTGTAGTTGAGATGAGGTTTTACCATGTTGGCCAGGCTGGTCTCGAAGTCCTGACCTCAGGTGATCTGCCCGTCTCGGCCGCCCAAAGTACTGGGATTACAGGCTTGAGCCACCGCACCCGGCCATTTTTTTTGTTCAGTAGATTCAAGGATTCAGCATGTTGGACTGACTGGTCTCAAACTCCTCACCTCAAGCAATCTACCCCCATCAGCCTCCCAAAGTGCTGGGATTAGAGGTGTGAGCCACCATGGCCAGCCAGTCTACGCCGTTTCTGACAGGACAGTGAAATGACGGAGACAGGAAAAGGAGCATGTCATCATCAACATTGCTGAAGGCTGACAACTCTTATTACACAAAGGCAGTTTACAGCCTGTCATATAAAAGCTGCAATGTGTGAAGCCATCTAATAGCACTAACTTGTTTAAAAACCTGGAGGCATCCAGGCGCAGTGGCTCACGCTTGTAATCCCAACACTTTGGAAGACCGCGGTGGGTGGATCACCTGAGGTCGGGAGTTCGAGAGCAGTCTGACTGACATGGAAAAACCCTGTCTCTACTTCAAATACAAAATTAGCTGGGTGTGGTGGTACATGCCTGTAATCCCAGCTACTTGGGAGCCTCAGGCAGGAGAATCGCTCGAACCCCCGGGGCGGAGGTTGTGGTGAGCTCGGATTGCGCCACTGTAGTCCAGCCTGGGCAAGAAGAGCGAAACTCTGTCAAAAAAAAAAAAAAATCTGGAGGCAAATTAACATTATTTCTCAAATAAGTTCTCAAATAAGTACAGCAGGCCCACAGTGTTCATGTACATGACCCCAATTTGCACATACAGTAAGTGAGGGACAAACTTGATTCTTGGCCTGAAGGATCCCACGACATGTTTCTAAGCAAAATAGTCCACCAAGAAAGTACAGAAAACAACCAGTCACAAAAAATGCTGCAAGGAGAACAGAATGAAATACTACAAGGGGGATACAAGCAAGGGCTGAGCTGGGACACAAGCGCTGAGCTGCGCTGCTGACAGTGGTTCTGAAGCCATCCCTCATGGATCATGTGCTGAGTCATGATGCCCTGCACACACTGATTTAGGCAGCCTCCAATAATTTTGTCCAGTGGATGAATAAGGTCTTGACTTACTCAGTGAGAGTAGTGTTGGAGGGGAGGGGCTCACGGGGAAATTGGGGTGTTCACTTTTACAAAGTCAATAGGCTGGTATTTGCATCCAGATCAATGTATCATGTGAGGCAAGGCCAGGAAAGGAAGGGCAAGGGTGGAGAGCAGGAAGTAATGGGCATGTAGGAGTGAACTTTGTGCATGCACCTCTGTGGGAATATAATTCCACTAGGATAGACCAAATCTTGAGCTTGGAAGAAAGTGGAACTAATTTAGCAAATGGTAAAATATTGACCCAAGGTTAAATATGCAAATTACAATATGGGCAAGGGACAAGAATGAAAGAGATCCAAAAAAGCAGCAGTATGGTGGCCTAAGGTGAAAGCAGTTTTACATCTCTTAAATTAAATGGCCTCTGATACCTAGTTTCAAGAGTATACACAACAATATACCAAGTATAGATTCCAGAATTTCATACACACAGAAAAAAATGAGTAAAGTCTATGAGGAGTGCAGCAGCGAAGGAGACCATGGATGTGAAGAATTCCCTGGCTGAGTAGGTAGAGCTGTGTTTGTGAAAACAGAGACAGACTGAGCGCAGTGGCTCATGCCTGTAATAACAATAATAATAATAATGACAGGTTTTTTTTCTTTTTTTGAGATGGAGTGTCACTCTTTTGCCCAGGCTGGAGTGTAGTGGTGTGATCTCGGCTCACTGCAACCCCTGCCACCCAGGTTCAAGCAATTCTCTTGCCTCAGCCTCCTGAGTAGCTGGGATAACAGGTGCCTGCCACCGGGCCTGGCTAAATTTTCTATTTATTTATTTATGTATTTATAGAGACAGAGTCTTCCTCTCTCACCCAGGCTGGAATGCAATGGTGCGATCTCGGCACACTGCAACTTCCGTCTAATGGTTTCACGCCATTCTCCTGCCTCAGCCTCCTGAGTAGCTGGGACTACAGGCACCCGCCACCACATCTGGCTAATGTTTTTTGTATTTCATTAGAGATGGGGTTTCACCGTGTTAGCCAGGATGGTCTCGATCTCCTGACCTCGTGATCCACCCGCCTCAGCCTCCCAAAGTGCTGGGATTACAGGTGTCAGCCACAGCGCCCATCCTAAATTTTGTATTTTTAGTAGAGACAGGGTTTCACCATTTTGATCAGGCTGGTCTTGAACTCCTGAGAACCTGCCTCAGCCTCCCAAAGTGCTGGGATTACAGGCATCAGCCACCATGCCCAGGCCCTTCTTACTATTAACTCATTATTGTGATAGTTGATGACAATGAAAAATACTTAAAATAGCCAGGTGCGGTGGCTCACACCTGTAAACCCAGCACTTTGTGAGGCCGAGGTGGATGGATCACGAGGTCAGGAGATCAAGACCATCCTGGCTAACACGGTGAAACCTCGTCTCTACTAAAAATACAAAAATTAGCTGGGCATGGTGGCAGGCACCTGTAGTCACAGCTACTCAGGAGGCTGAGGCAGGAGAATGGTGTGAACCTGGAGGCGGAGCTTGCAGTGAGCCAAGATCGGGCCACTACACTCCAGCCTGGGCAACAGA
Source organism: Homo sapiens (assembly GCF_000001405.40). Taxonomy (NCBI): domain Eukaryota; kingdom Metazoa; phylum Chordata; class Mammalia; order Primates; family Hominidae; genus Homo; species Homo sapiens. The sequence continues at coordinate 52,870,463 of NC_000019.10, forward strand.
GCCAGACTCCGTCTCAAAAAAAAAAAAAAAAAAGAAAAATACTTAAGATCATTACAATTATTATAAAAAATAAAACTTATGGCAAATGTTGTGTTTTCTACATAAACCATAGGTTTATCCATCCATGTATTTATGCACACACATCACATCATGCCATTACACGTGTGGTGGTGCACACCTCTAGTCCCAGCTACTCGAGGTGCTCAGGCAAAAGAATCACTGTAATCCAGGAGGCAGAGGCTACAGTGAGCCTAAATCTCACTACTGTACTCCAGCCTGGGCAACAGAGGGAGACTCAACTAAAAAAAATAAAATACAATCAATGATGTGATAAAGCATTCTACACCACTGATGTGTATCTTCACTTTCCATTCCATTCCAAGTCATTAAAAATGCAGAGTCTAGCCTGGCATGGTGGCTCAGGCCTGTAATCCCAGCACTTTGGGAGGCTGAGGTGAAAAAACACAAGGTCAGGATTTCCCGACCAGCCTGACCAATATGGTGAAATCCCATCTCTACTAAGAATACAAAAAAATTAGCCAGGCATGGTGGCACATGCCTGTAATCCCAGCTACTCGGGAGGCTGAGGCAGGAGAATTGCTTGAACCCAGGAAGCAGATGTTGCAGTCAGCTGACAGCCTGTCACTGCACTCCAGTTTGGGCAATAGAGCGAGACTCCATCTCAAAATAAATAAATAAATAAAACAATTAGCCGCTTGTGGTGACACATGCCTATCATTCAAGCTCTTTGGGAGGCTAAAGTGGGGATTGATTGAGCCCAGGAGTTTCAGGCTGCTGTAAACTCTAAATTGTGCCATTGTACTCCAAAACTAAGCCACAGAGCGATATTTTCTCCCACTCTCTCTCCAACATGGTGAAACCCCATCTCTACCAAAAATACAAAAAATTAGCCAGGCATCCTGGCACACATCTATGGTCCTAGCTACTTGGGAGGCTGATGCAATAAGATCACTTGAGCCTGGGACACAGAGGTTACAGTGATCCAAGACTTTACCACTGCATTCCACCCTAAGTGACAGAGTGACACTCCACTTCGGAAAAAAAAAATTCCAAAACCATCTTGTATATTCCTGAGCAAAAGAAACTTCTTTCGAGGTCTACGGTTCTGATGGCATCAATCCCAAACATGTAATTACTCACTCCCAGAAAATCACAGAAATATGTTCAAAATGTACACATTGTGAACACATAGCTGCAGGTGTTTAAAACACTGAAAAATTGTGCACACATAGCTCTAGGTGCTTAAAACACTGAAAAAGAGGCAGCTGTAGCAATGAGATCTGAGCAAATGCTTTTCTCATGAACACATGGGCTCTGCTAAACCAAGGTTCCAAGTCAATCCAGCCCATCCTTCAACATCTGCAGAGAATATTATGGACCAGAGGGATTTAAATTAATTATGTTACAAAGAGAGGAAGCAACACGTCATCACTTCATCATCACATCCAATCAACTCACCGCTCATCTGCACCCAGGGTCCCCCTTCGTCTTCATTACTGTTTCCCTCCATCATTCTGTACATAGCTCTCATTCTCACCTTCTCTGAAATTGGGATTAGCCAGGTGTGGTAGCACCTGCCTGTCATCCTGGCTCCTTGAGAGGCTAATGTGGGTATCACTTGAGCCCACGAATTTGAGGCTGCTGTAAACTAGAATTGTTCCATTGCACTCCAGAAAGGGCCCCAAAGTGACACCCTCTTTCTTAAAAAAGAAAGTTTGGAGTCAGAGACATATTGACTCACTGGTGTAGCTTCAAATCCATTACAAAAGCAGACACAAAATATCTCCCATAGTTTGTTTCCTTTTCCAGAATTTACCAGATACCAGTGTATATTAATGTACTGAAGGGGGCCTGCCCCTCCACACCTGTGGGTATTCCTCAGAAGGTGGAGATAAGAGACTGAGAAAAGAAATAAGACACAGGGACAAAGTATAGAGGGAGAAAAGTGGGTCCGGGGGAGCAGCGCTCAGCAAGTGAGGACCTGCACCGGCATCGACCTCTGAGTTCCCTCAGTATTTATTATTTATTTATTTATTTGAGACAGAGTTTTGCTCTGTCACGCAGGTGGAGTGCAGTGGCATGGTTTCGGCTCACTGAAACCTCCGCCTCCCGGGTTCATGCCATTCTCCTGCCTCAGCCTCCCAAGTAGCTGGAACTACAGGTGCCCACCACCGGGCCCGGCTAATTTTTTCTATTTTTAGTAGAGACGGGGTTTCACCGTGTTAACCAGGATGGTCTCAATCTCCTGACCTCGTGATCTGCCTGCCTCGGCCTCCCAAATTGCTGGGATTACAGGCGTGAGCCACCGCGCCCAGCCTCTCTCAGTATTTATTGATCACTATCTCTACTATCTTGGTGAGGGGAATGTAGCAGGACTATAGGGTGATGGTGAGGAGAGGGTCAGCAGGAAAACACGTGAGCAAAGGACCCTGTGTCATAAATAAGTTTAAGGAAATGTGCTCTGCCTGGATGTGCATGTAGGCCAGGTTTATGTTTGACTTTACACAAACATCTCAGTGCAGTAAAGAGCAGTATTGCTGCCAGCATGTCTCACCTCCAGCCATAGGGCGGTTTTCTCCTATCTCAGTAAATAGAATGTACAATCGGGTTTTACACCGAGACATTCCATTCCCAGGGAGGAGCAGGAGACAGATGCCTTCCTCTTATCTCAACTGCAAAGAGGCCTTTCTCTTTCGCTAATCCTCCTCAGCACAGGCCCTTGTCGGGCTGAGGGACCTGTAAGGTCTTTCCCTTCCCATAAGGCCATATCTCAGGCTGTCTCCATTGGGGGAAACCTGGACAATACCCAGGCTTTCTTGGGCAGAGGTCCCTGCAGCTTTCTGCAGTGCATTTGTGTCCCTGGTTAATCAAGAATGGAGAATGGCGATGCCTTTCACAAAGCATATTGCCTGCAAGAACTTTTTAAACAAAGCACATCCTGCACAGCCCGAGATCCATTAAATCTTGATTCAACACAGCACATGTTTCTGTGAGCACAGGGTTGGGGCTAAGGTTACAGATTAACAGCATCTCAAAGCAGAACAATTTTTCTTAGTACAGATCAAAATGGGGTTTCTTATATCTTCCTTTTCTACATAGACACAGTAACAATCTGATCTCTCTTTTATTCCCCCACAACGTATGACTTTCATACACAGTTTCTCTGATCTGGTCCACAAAGAGCTAAACGTCCATCCAGATGTGGCCCTTGAACAAACCCTGCTGCCCAACATCACTGACACCATGGGGCCCACACCCCATTTCCATCCATGCCTGGTGTGAGCCCTTCCCAGGACCATGCCCAGTGGAGCCTCTTCCCAAGCTCACATCACTAGGTTATAGGAGATGGAATTTAAGTGAAGATGACAAGGACTGAGAAAAGGCATGGGTGAGTGTGAGCAAACGTGTGAGGCAGGACGCTTCAGACTCACAGGAGACTGACTACTACAATACCTGGCATTTCAGAAAGGAAAGAGACAGAAGAATCCAATGAGAAATATCACTTCACCTGAGGAAGAGCCATCCCTGGCTCCTTTTCTTTGCCTTCTTGGTGTCTTCCTCAAGTAACATAAGTCTCTGGAAATCAATCCTGTATGTGAAAAAAATCAGAGATTTAATGTTTAGAAATCACTCCCTCCTTTTCTGTGGCAAAACACACACACGGGAGATCTCACCTGGGAGAAAGACAGCCCTCTGCTGCCCACTACACCAGAGATTATGCGGAGATAAGAAGGTGCCACAGGAAGACCTACAAGGGTAATTTTGACCCATTTTCAGATCTTTCTCCCCTCCTGGAAAAGTCCACACACACGCTGCAGCAGGACACAGACCTTCAGGACACAGATCTGGCCCTAACCAAACCCCATGCAGAGCACAGCCCCCTCAGCTCCCTGTGGATCACAGGCTGATCTCAGCTCTCAACATGGAGGAAACTGCCTTGATTTTCAATGCTGGAGACAGATAAGGATCACCAGTGCCATAGTAAATATTACTGAGGGTGGGTTTAAATCTATGATAATAGCAATCTCTGATAAAACAGCATAAAAGATGTATTTGCAAAATGCCTGAGAACCCTAATGTGAAGTCAGGGTTGAGCTCCACTCAGTGGGTGCCAGCCTAGCACAGCCCCACCTTCTGGCTCTGCTCTCCACTTGGGGACTTTTTCCCACCAGGATCCAGTGAACAGCGAAGGAGCAAAAAGAATCACACAGAACAGGCAACATGGATCAGAGGTGGGGGTGAAGGTGGGGCTGTCATGTCATATGGGGGCTGTGGGTGATCACAAAAGTTTCCATAGAAAAAAGTGATGTCAGAACAAAGACTTAGGGAAGAAACGCTGCTTGTCACTTGCAGCTGAGGGGCCAGAGAGTCCTAGGTAGGGGGACAGCCCAGGTGAAGGCCCTGAGATAGGAGCAACCTCAGTCCCAGAAAAAGGAAAGAAGCCTGCGTGGCTGGAGCAGAGGGAGCGAGGAGGACACAGGCAGGAGATGAAGTCAGAGGGGTCCTGGGAGCCCAGATCTGCAGGGATGAGGCCTTGAAACATTTTTCTCCCACACCTCAAAGGAATTTTGGAAACGATGTATTTTCTCACTCCTTTCATGTATACATGCAAATGTCTCTTTACATTATAAATGACAACACTTACAAATAATGTAATTTATCTCCCATACTTAAAATACATGCTGTCAAGTTTGGCTAAGCTTCCAGAAATACACTGTCACCCTCATCTGAGACATGTAGGACTGTAAGGGAATGTGTTTGGGGGTTTAGGAAGTCACTTATGGACACGTGAAGGTGGAGATGCCTGTTTGATGTCCCAGCAGAGAGCTGAGGAGACAACTGCACACAGGATTGTAGAGCTCAGTGGAGAGGCCTGCAGGGGACATGGGTAGGTGGGTTAAAGCTGTGAGATGAGATAAGGAAAAGCAGTGGGTGTGGACAGAGACAAGAATAGGTTCAAGATGATTTGAGTCTAATCCCGTTTTTCCATTCTGGTATTTGTGATTTTTACATTTTTGGAGGACTGGAATCCATTTAACATTCAAATTACATCTGAGCAGTACCCTCTCCTAAAGGAAAAGCCACACACTATTTGGCAAAGTATTTCAGGGCTCAGTGAAATTCCATCTCTACCAAAAGTACAAAAAATTAGCCAGGCGTGGTGGTGTGCATCTGTGGTCTCAGCCATTTGAGGGGCTGACTGTGGTGGATCTTTGGGCCTGGGAGGCAGAGGTTGCAGTGAGTCAAGATGGTGCCACTGCACTCAAGCATGGGTGACCGAGTGACACTCCATCTCAAAAAAAGAAAAAAAAAAAATTCCAGGACAATTTTATACACCTGAGCAAATGAAATGTCTCTTTCAATGTCTAAGGTCCTGATGGCATGAATCCTAAACATGTAATTATTTTCCCAGAAAAATCATAGTAATATCTTCAAAATAAACACAATTATGAATCCCTAGCTATAGGTGTTTAAAACACTGAAAGAGAGGCAGTGGTACAAATGAGATCTGAGCAAATGTTTTCTTCATGAACACATGGGCTCTGCTGGAACAAGGTTCCAGGCCAATCCTGTCCATCCTTGAACATCTGCAAAGAATATTATGGACCAGAGGAACTTGAGGGGAAAGCTTATTTAGCAGCTCACAGCTCACCATTTAATTAGATGACATAAAGAAAGAAGATGGAATAATAGGCTACTTCAACTAAATTTTAATGTTAGCATAAAGAAAAAGTTCCTTGATATCTTTATCAAGTACACATCGAAACAACCTAAAATCATTTATCAGGTACTAGAAAATGTTTCCAATGTATGATACAGACTAGAAAGCATGCAGTCCTCAATGTAAACTAAACACAATAAATTTCAGAGAAAAACAATTTTAAAATGGCTTAAAAATATATCTAATGAAATGTGGGGTCAAAGAAGAACATTTTGAACACATACCGTAGTTGCAAAACAATGATGTTACCTCGTAAGATTATACCAAAGCTTTCATGAGAAGCAGTTTTTTATATTACTTTAATTTTATTTTAGAGATGGAGTCTCGCTCTTGCCCAGCCAGAGTGCAGTTGCAGGATCTCAGCTCACTGCAACCTCCGCCTCCCGAATTCAAGCCATTCTTCTGCCTCACCCTCCTGAATAGCTGGGATTACAGGCACTCGCCACCACACCAGGCTAATTTCTATATTTTGGTCAAAACGAGGATTCGCCATGTTAGCCAGGCTGTTCTCAAATACTTGATCTCAGGTGATCTGCCCACCTTGGCCTCCCAAAGTGCTGGGATTACAGGCATGAGCCAGAGCACCTGGTCTATTTTTTTTTTTTTAAATTAAGAAACACGTTGGTCATGGTGGCTCATGGCTGTAATCCCAGCACCTTGGGAGGCCAATACGGCTGGATCGCTTGAGCCCTGGAATTCAAGACCAGCTCGGGCAACATGGTGAAAGCCCATCTCTACTAGGAACACAAAAATTTGCCCGGTGCGGTGGCACCTGGCTATGGTCCTAGCAACTTTGGAGGCTGAGGTGGGAGGATCCCTTGAACCCAGGAGATTGAAGCTTCAGTGAGGGCTGATCCTGTCACCGCTCTCATGCCTGGCCAACAGAATGAGACCCATCTTTAATAGAAATGAAGAAAAAGGAAACACATGCGTCCTGGGTCTGGGGACAGGGAGAGTCTAAGGCCAATTAACACGAACCTCAGGAGGTCCTGATGACGTGTGTCCATGGTGTTGAGGCTGCAGTTTGGTTTCACACATTTTACAGACACACGAGACAGCAATCAGTACATATATACATTGGTCCGGTCTGGAAAGGTGGAATAACTGGAATTGGGGACCTTCTGGGTCACAGGTAGATAACAAATAACATTCTTTGAATCTTTGATCAGCCTTTCACTAAATACACAATTTATATGTGAGCAGGGAGGAGGGATAAGTCACTTATGCCTTAGGCTGGCTCAGGGACCCTGTATTTTTACATAAATAGGGCAAGGGAAGCAATCAGATAGACATTTGACTCAGGTGTGCAGAGGGATGGGCTCTTTCCCACATCTGTGAAGATAAGCTCTCAGTTTACATCGCCAGGGTGAAATTCAACAGAACTATTTTAGGGTGGAGATCTTGAGGTTCCCGGTTTGGGAGGGGCATATGTAGCTTTTTAAAAAATCTTTGTAACTATCTTGTTTAGGAATAAAATGGAAGGCAGGTTTGTCTGACGCAGTTCCCAGATTGACTTTTCTCTTTGGCTTAGTAATTTTTATTTTCCTTTCACAAGCTTGTGACAGCCATAATGCTTTGACACACTGATACTGTTTTATATAGATTTTTCCACAACAGTAAAGTCCAAGGGTCTGTCATGAACCGGGTTAGAGAAGATGAGAAAATTTTCAGAAGACTCCATCTCAAAAAAACAAAACAAACAAAACAGAATTTAAAATACAGAATTAAGTCATTTGACTTTTTTTAAATGAAAAGTCTCACATATTTATTACTGAACCAAGCCAACAAAGGTGTTCATAACAGATCCAGAGAAAAAAAATACATTCTCAATAAAACATGTCCAACTCTCCAGATAGTGGTGACATTTTCAGCTTGATATGGTAACGTGACTGAATCTTCAGACAGCATGAATATGTGTGCCATCTCATATGCAATTCCTTATAGATCCAGCTTGGCTCTTCTCCAGTGTCGTCTTTGACAGTTGTACCTATAAAACTTATGTGGATGGTCTGCCTGCCACTCTGTGCATCACTTTCTTTTTTTTTTTTTTTTTTTTTTTTTTGAGATGGAGTCTCGCTCTGTCACCCAGGCTGGAGTGCAGTAGCATGATCTCTGCTCATGGCAAGCTCCACCTCCTCGGTTCATGCCATTCTCCTGCCTCAGCCTCCTGAGTAGCTGGGACTACAGGCGCCCACAACCACGCCTGGCTAATTTTTTGTATTTTTAGTAGAGATGGGGTTTCACCGTGTTAGCCAGGATTTTCTCGATCTCCTGACCTCGTGATGCTCTTGCCTCGGCCTCCCAAAGTGCTGGGATTACAGGTGTGAGCCACCACACCTGTCCTGTGCATCACTTTCAACATCATCTTGTCCCAACTTAAAATAAGTTTTCCATTTACAAACTGGTGATTTATTTTGGGAATCGTCCCCATAACCTTTTCATAAAGCATCAATGATTTCATTGTCCCTCTACCCAAACTTTACCAGATTCATTTTTCGATACACTATCTGTCTCTGTCACCCATGCTGGAGTACAATGGCATGATCATGGCTCCCTGCAGCCTCGAACTCCTAGGCTCAAGCCATCCTCCCACTGCAGACTCCACAGAAGCTGAACCAGCAGACATGTGCCACAATGCCCAGCTAATTTATGTATTTTTTGTAGAGAAGGTGGTTTCACCATTCTGCCCAGGCTGGTCTTGAGTACCGGGGCCCACGTGACCCAACTGTCTCAGCCTCTGAAAATTATGGGATTACAGGCCTGAGCCACAGCATCTGGTCTCATCGCAAATTTGATGTTTCTTCTTGTTTCAGTTTTAGCAGAATTTACATTGCCTTGATTGAGTCTCTTTTCAAACTCATGTCTTACCCATCTGAGTGCCTCAAACCAAACCCTGTTCAGACATGTTATAACGGATTTGTATCAGTTTATCTTGGTGCAAAAAATGTGATATCATGCACAATTTTCTCATAATATGTATTTTTCCATGAACTTCCTGAAGACCCCTTGTACTAGCGAACTGTATTCAAGAGGTTATAAAAAGGATTGTTGATATGCAAGTGCCACTTATTTCTGGGATGCAAAATGGTTCAACATAGTCAAGCAAATCAATGTGATATACCACTTGAACATAATGAAAGATGAAAACCACATCATCTCAATACATGGAGAAAAAGCATTTCACAAAATTCAACATCCAGTCATCATGGAAATCCTAAACAAAATAGAAAGAGAAGGAAATTTACCTCAACAATACAAAGACCATCCATGAAATGACCACAGCAGAAATAACCAGTCAGGGAAAATGGAATGCTTTTCCTGTAGGATCTCACATGATGCAAGAATGCTCTCACCCCTTCTATTCAATCAATACTGGCTGTCCTAGCTAGAGCAATGAAATAGCAAAAGAAATCAAACTCATCCAAATCAGAAAGAAAGAAGTAAAACTATTTCTTTGTAGATGACATGATCTTCTGTGTAGAAAATCACAAAGAGTCAACCAAAATGCAACTGGAACTAAAAAACATATGCAGTGGATTTGAAGAATAGAATAACAGCACCAAAAATTAGTTGAATTTCCATACATTAACAATAAACAATTTAAAAAGAAAATTAAAAAAACACTTTCATTTGCTAAAGAACTTAAAGTAAGAAATACTTAGGAATAAATGAAAAAAGTTGAGAAGTTTCTACCTTCAAATCTACAAACATTGATCAAAGTGATAAAAACATGTGCAAATAAGAGATACAAGCCATATTGAATGGAATAATATTGCTAAATGATTATAACTGAATGTGATGTAGATTCAACACAATACCCAGAGAAATTTCTATAACTTTTTGTTAAAGAAACAAAAAACAGGCCAGGTGTGGTGGCTCACGCCTGTAATCTCAGCACTTTGGCAGGTGGAGGCAGGTGGATTTTAAGGACAGAAGATCGAGACCATCCTAGCTAACACGGTGAAACCCAGTCTCTACTAAAAATACAAAAAATTACCCGGGCATGGTGGCACGCACCTGTAGTCCCAGCTACTCAGGAGACTGAGGCAGGAGAATTGCATGAACCTGGGAGGTGAATGTTGCAGTGAACCGAGATCACATCACTGCACTCCAACGTGGGCGACAGAGCAAGATTCCATCTTAAAAATAAATAAATAAATAAAAGAACATACAGGCTGGGAAAAGTGGCTCCCGTCTGTTGGCCAGGCTGGTCTCAAATTCATGACCTCAAGTGACCTACCTGTCTTGGCCTCTCAAAGTGCTGGGATTACAGGTGTGAGACACCACGCCTGGCCCAATCCTCTTAACATAAACAGTTTAATGTCGATTAATGCTTGAAATCAATGTTAAGTCAACTCAAACTCAGGTCAATGCTGATTTGACTCTGATGTCAATTAATGCTTGATGGTTTGCTATACTCATTGCACTTGAAACAATTGTCTCCAAAAGGAATTTTCTGATGTTCTGCAAGGAGTGACCTCAGACTAAAGACCTTGCCACACTGATGACATTTGTAAGATTTCTGTCCAGTATGGATTCTCTGATGCCTAATAAGGTGTGAAGGTGAATTAAAGGCTTTACCACAATCACCACACTTGTGAGGTTTCTCTCCTGTATGAATCCTCCTATGTCTTTCAAGGTGTGATTTGCGAATGTAAACTTTGTCACATTCTTCACATTCGTAAAGTTTCTCTCCAGTATGAAGTTTTTGATGACATGCGAGGTACGCTTTTGTACTAAAAACCTTGCCACATTCATTACATGTGTAAGGTCTCTCTCCAGTATGAACTCTCTGATGTTCTGCAAGACGTGAATCACTCCGGAAAGCCTTGTCACAAACCTTACATTTGTATGGTTTCTCTCCAGTATGAATCCTCCTATGTCTTTCAAGATGTGATTTGCGACTGAAAACTTTGTCGCATTCTTCACATCTGTAAGGTTTCTCTCCAGTGTGAACTCTACGATGTCCTGCAAGAGTTGCTCGTTGCTTAAAAACCTTGCCACATTCATTACACTTATAGGGTTTCTCTGCAGTATGAACTGCCTTATGAATTACGAGGACTGAATTTCGAGCGAAGGTCTTGCCACACTCATTACATTTGTAAGGTTTCTCTCCAGTATGCAGTCTATGATGGTACACAAGGTGTGATGTCTGACTAAAGGTCTTGCCACACTCATTACACTTATAAGGTTTCTCTCCAGTATGACTTCTATGATGACATGCAAGGGTTGCTTTTTGATCAAAAACCTTGCCACATTCATTACATGTGTAATGTTTGTCTCCCCTGTGAATTCTAGTATGTTTTGCCAGGTGTGAATCATGCTTAAAAGCCTTGTCGCAAACCTTACATTTGTATGGTTTCTCTCCAGTATGAATTATCCTATGTATTTCAAGATGTGATTTGCAACTGAAAACTTTCTCACATTCTTCACATTTGTAAGGTTTCTCTCCAGTATGAATTCTCCTATGTCTTCGCAAATGCAAATGAAATCTTGATTCAAGCTGACCTTTAATAGGCTTGTTTCCAGCATGCCTTTGATCATATCGGTCTGTACTACTAGTCAACTTTTTTATTTCTGTCATGGGTGCTTCATGGTCATTTGTTTCATCTTCTTGCCACTGAAACACAAAGTCATGAATGTCTTTCTCAATTTCCTGGGAGCAAAATGCTCCAATGTGATAACTTGCTTGTCTCTGCAATGTCCCTGTGTGGATCACTTCTGTATTGCCTTGCCCTGTTGATGACAATGTATTCATCATGCATTTGGAAGAGATATCTACAAAATATAAACACCAATAGGTTTCCAATTAAGTACAGATGGTATAAAACACTGAAATGTATAAATATCACACACACACAAAAATACTTATTTTAAACTTCCCAAACATGAGCTTCAAAGTTTAGGAACACAAAACAAGTAAGATTCTTTAATAAATAAAGGCCAATTACATGTACTTCAAATCATTTTTACAGAAGCCTATTTCCAATATCATGACAAAACACTGACAGGGCACAAACACACATAAGCCTAAAGTAAGGAGTATTTTTCCACTTTAATCCTAAGGGGTATCACACAGTGCAAAAAATATATCACTGTCACATCAAAGAAGAGAAAAATATGTATTCTTCATATATACAGTATATTTAGTATACAGAAATAAATGTTAAAAAACCAGACAATGTACTATATTGGTAAATAATCCACAACAAGCTCTTGTAAGGATAATCAAAATCAATGGAAATTCTGTATTATCAAACAATCATAGCACTGAGAAGATAAGATTACAAAAATTAGCCAGGTGTGGTAGCCCACCCTGTCGTCCCAGCTACTCAGGAGGCTTAGGCACAAGAATTGATTTAAGCCAAGATGCAAAGTTTGCAGTGAGCCCACATCGCACCACTGCACTCCAGCCTGGGTGACAAAGTGAGACTCTGTCTCAGAAAACAAAAAAAGGCAGGGGGTGGTGGCTCGCGCCTGTGATCCCAGTACTTTGGAAGGCGGAGGCAGGCACATCGCCTCAGGTTAGGAGTTTGACCAACCTGGCCAACATGGCGAAGCCCTGTCTCTGCTAAAAATAGAAAATGTAGCCGGGCATGGTCATGGGCAGCTGTAATCCCAGCTAGCTGAAAGGATGAGGCAGGAAAATCACTTGAACTCGGGAGGCAAAGATTGTGGTGAGCTGAGATCACACCATTGCACTCCACCTTGGGTGACAGAGTGAGACTCCGTCTCAAAAAAAAAAGAAAATGTTAATAGCATATTTTTCTGAATAACTGTTACAAAATTACCTATATCCATGTGGAACAGGCATGTTGTAACTTAAAAAAAAAATTTTGTATTTTTATTTTTTTGAGATGGAGTCTCACTCTGTCACCCAGGCTGGAGTGCAATGGCATAATCTTGGTTCACTGCAACCTCCGCCTCCTGGGTTCAAGCGAGTCTCTTGCCTCAGCTTCCCGAGCACCTGGGATTACAGGCGCACACCACTATGCCCAGCTAATTTTTATACTTTTAATAGAGATGGGCTTTCACCATGTTGGCCAGGCTAGTCTCGAACTCCTGTGAACTCCTGTGATCTCGAACTCTGGTGATCCACACTTCTCGGCCTCCCAAAGTCCTGGGATTACAGGCATGAGCCACTGTGCCCAGCGGCAGTTTGTGACATTAACGAAGGGAGTGTGTCAGTTATATTGAATACCACATACCAAAAACTCATAAAAGGAAGAAAATAATAAGTCAATTTATACTGCCTGCAGAATTCTAAACAATTCCCTCTTAAGAAAAAGGCCATAACTTGTAGTTACCACCCGTACACAACATAAGAACTGAAATACATGTTAAAATCACTACCTTCTGAAGTATGAGGTGAAGAAAATACACAGAATTATAAGGAATAAGAATTGACTAATGGCCGGCCACGGTGGCACATACCTGTAATCCCAGCATTTTGGTAGGCTGAGTCGGGTGGATCATGAGGTCAGGAGTTTGAGACCAGCCTGGAACAAATGGTAAAACCCCATCTCTATTAAAAATACAAAAAAAATTAGCTGGACGTGGTGGCAGGTGCATGTAATCCCAGCTACTTGGGAATCTGAGGCAGGAATCATTTGAACCCAGGAGGCGGAGGTTGCAGTGAGCCAAGATAGTGCCACTGCACTCTAGCCTGGGCAACAAGATGAGATTCCATCTCAAAAAAAATAAAATAAGATAAATAACTACTTCTCATATAAGCTTTGGTAGATGTGGTATTCTCTAATAGGATGTTCCTGCAGATGCAGACTTTGAGAGAATTTAGTCATGGGTGTTGACTCCTCATGAATAGGACTAGTGCATTTATAGAGACATTAAAGAGCTCATTGCCTGTTCCTCTTTCTACCATATTGGGACATGGCAGGAAGATGGCTGGGCTAAACCGTGAAGAAGCCTCTCACCAGGAATCAATTTGGCTGGCACCTTGCTCTTGGATTTCCCACTTTCCAAATTCATGAGAAATAAATTTCTGTGTCTTAAGCTTCCCAGTTTAAGCTACTTCCTTTTTCGTTTATTCTTCAGATCGAGTCACGCTCTTATCACCCAGGCTAGAGTGTACTGGCAGGATTCTCCTACCTCAACTGATTCTCCCTCCTCAGCCCAGAGTCTCACTCTGTTGCCCGGGCTGGAGTGCAGTGGCGTGATCTCAGCTCCCTGCAACCTCCACCTCATGGGTTCAAGTGATTCTCCTGCCTCAGCCTCCCAAGTAGCTGGGATTATAGGCGCAAGTCACCATGCACAGCTGGTTTTTGTGGTTTTAGTAGAGATGGGGTTTTACCATATTGGCCAGGCTTGTCTTGAACTCCTGACCTCAAGTGATCAACCTGTCTCAGCCTCCCAAAGTGCTGGGATTTTAGGTGTGAGCCACTGCGCCTGGCCCATTTTTGGCATTTAGTACATTCCAGGTTTCACCATGTTGGCCAGACTGTTTTCAAACTCCTGACCTCAAGCAATCTACCCACCTTGGTCTTTGAAAGTGCTAGGATTAGAGGCATGAGCCACCGTGGCCAGTCAGTCTAAGCTATTTCTAACAGTGAAATGACAGAGAAAGGAACAGGAGCATCTCATCATCAACATCACCACAGGCTGACAAATCTTATTAAACAAAGGATGTTTAGGGTCTCTACTATAAATCTTGCAATACTTGAAGCCATCTAATAGCACTAACATGTTTTAAAAACCTTGAGACATGTAGGGCATGGTAATCCCAGCATTTTGGGAGGATGAGGTGGGAGATTCCTGAGGTCAGGAGATCAAGACCATCCCAGCTAACAAGGTAAAACCCCATCTCTGCTAAAAAAAAATACAAAAAAATTAGCCTGGCATGTTGGCACTCGCCTGTAGTCCCAGCTACTTGAGAGGCTGAGGCAGGAGAATCACTGGAATTTGGGAAGTGGAGGTTGCAGTGACCCAAGATCACACCACTGCACTTTAGCCTGGGTGAGAGACTGAGACTGTGTCTCAAAGAAAAAATAAATAAATGACAGAAGGCTAAAGAATAACTCCAACCCACAAACATATATAAAGTTCTCCAGTAAAGGTAAATAAAAAAAACGGGTAGGCTGGGCATGGTGGTTCATGCCTATAATCCCAGCACTTTGGGAGGGCAAGCCAGGCGGATCACCTGGGGTCAAGGGTTCGAGACCAGCCTGGACAACAAGGAGTAAACCCTGTCTCTACCAAAAATACAAAATTAGGCCAGGCGTGGTGGCTCATGCCTGTAATCCCAGCACTTTGGGAGGCTGAGGTGGGTGGATCACAAGGTCAGGAGATCGAGACCATCCTGGCTAACACAGTGAAACCCCGTCTGAACTAAAAATACCAAAAATTAGCCAGGCATAGTGGCCAGCACCTGTAGTCCCAGCTACTCAGGAGGCTGAGGCAGGAGAACTGCTTGAACCTGGGAGGTGGAGGTTGCAGTGAGCTGAGATTGCACCATTGCACTCCAGCCTGGGAAACAGGAGTGAAACTCTGTCTCAAAAAAATAAATAAATAAATAAAACAATAAAAATACAAAATTAGCTGGGTGTGGTGGCGCATGCCTGTAATCCCAGCTACTCGACAGGCTGAGGCAGGAGAATTGGTTGAACCGGGGAGGTGGAGGTTGTGGTGTCAAGATTGCAGCACTGCACTTCAGCCTGGGTGACAAGAGCAAAACTCTGTCTCATAAATACATAAATTAATTAATTAATAAAAGGACAGATACAGAAACTCGCATACGTATACCTTTTCTTCATAACTAAACTTTTTTTCATATTATTAAAAATGAAAATGTATGAAAAAACACTGTACATATATGTTAACAGAAATGCAACATACACAAAAATAACTCTGACAAAAATAAAAAAGTTCTACTGGAGAAGAAGTAGTTTTTGTAGGTTATGGAATTTTTTTATTTTTATTTTTATTTTTTTGACATGGAGTCTCACTCTGTCTCCCAGGCTGGAGTGCAATGGTGCGATCTTGGCTCACTGCAACCTCCACCTCCCAGGTTCAAGTGACTCTCCTGCCTGAGCCTCCTGAGTAGCTGGGATTACAGCTGCCCACCACTGTGCCTGGCTAATTTTTGTAAATTTAGTACAGATGAAGTTTCATCATGCTACCCAGGCTGGTTCTGAACTCCTGACCTCAGGCGATCTGCCCACCTCGGCATCCCAGTGCTGGAATAACAGGTGTCAGCCACTGCACCTGGCCAGGTTATGGAAATTTTAAGCTTCATTATTGTGCTATAAGTTTAAGATGTTTAACATACCTGCAACAATAACCTCTCCCCATATATCAATACAACGCACTTCACTTCTGCGTACTGAACGGAATGGACACTAATGTGGTTGTTATATTCACACTGGAATCATGTTTAAACCACTTATGTTTACTAAGAACTAAAAGACAAAACTATTTAAAAGAATAACCATGGTTGGGCATGGCAGCTCGCGCCTGTAATCCCAGCATTTTGGGAAGCCGAAGCAGGTGAATCACTTGAGATAAGGAGTTTGAGACCAGCCTGAACAACATGGTGAAACCCCATCTCTACTAAAAACACAAAGTGAGCTGGGCATGGTGGTGAGCGCCTGCAGTCCCAGCCTCCAAGAAAGGTGGGGCACAAGAATCCTTTGAGCCTGAAAGGCAGAGGCTGCAGTTAGCCAAGATCGTTCCACTGCACTGTAGCCTGGATGAAAGAGTGAAACTATCAAAAGAAAAAGAAAGAAAAGAAGAAAGAAAGAAAGAAAAGAAAGAAAGAAGGAAGGAAGGAAGGAAGGAAGGAAGGAAAAGAAAAAACAAAACAAAAGAAAAGAAAAGAAGTAAATAAGGAAAGAGCAGAGGGATAAGTGAGGGCAAAGAAAGATGTCCCTTCAGAGATCTCAGGATTGAAACTTTTCTTTTGCCACAGAATTCTCCCACTTGCAGAGAGTTTCCCCACACACTATTTGAAGGTGGAGCTTCCACTCTGCCCATCTGAGCTCTTACCTGCGTTTACACCTGTAATACATTCCCACCCATCTGGAGTTTTTTGTTATTTTCACTTAACTCTCCACAGTCCAGGGCTCTTTCCCTTGCTCCAACATGGAGATAACAGGTCAGAAAGAGACTCGTGCTTATAAAAAGAAAGGACCATGATGTGCTGGAGCTTTTCTAGAGTCCCAGCCCTATATTTCTGTAGGAAAGAAGACATTACAGGTGGATCTAGGAAAATATTTCACAAATTCCTCCACTGACTGCCTCATTCTGAATGCTGTTGGAGCACTGTAATATGTAATATGTGGACATCGGGCTATCTTCCAAGAACTAATGAGTTGAAAGCACAGGAGAAGCAAACAGGGAACTGGATATGTTTAAAGTCTACCATAAGGTTTTGTTTTTGTTTTTTGAGACAGTCTTGCTCTGTCGTCTGGGCTGGAGTGCAGCGGTGTGTTCTCGGCTCACTGCAACCTTGGCCTCCTGGGTTCAAGCAATTCTCTCTCCTCAGCCTTTCTAGGAGCTGGGATTGCAGGTGTGCACCATGACGTCCGGCTAATTTTTGTATTTTTAGTAGAGACAGGGTTTCACCATGTTGGCCAGGCTGGTCTCAAACTCCTGACCTGAAGTGATCCACACACCTCAGTCTCCCAAGGTTCTGGGATGACAGGCATGAACCACCATGCCCAGCTTGCCATAAGGTTTTATGCCTACTTTAGTTCTGGAACCCACATTGAGGTATCATGAAGAACGCAGAACATCTAAACAAAGGGGACAGTGAAAGTCCAGATGCTACATCATGAAGCTTTTCATTTCAAAATCAATACAGCTTCCATTTTAGTCAAGCAAGGATGCAACTCCCAAGAGAAACAAGAGAAAATACAAAGATCCACAAGGGCACATCCCCACTTCTGGAGGGAAGTTATCCTCACCCAGGGAGACCAGGTTCCTATAATTCTCCAGCATCACGTCTCTGTATAGAGTCCTCTGAGCAGGGTCCAGGCATTTCCACTCCTCCTGAGAGAATTCTATGGCCACATCCCTGAATGTCAGTAGACCCTGAAAGGAAAACACATTTTAAGCAAATGGTTATGGGAGGAGATCTTATCTTTACAGAAAATGAGAAGAGGAGAGGGGAAAGCATGGATTTAATTGCAGAGAATGTTCCGACAAATCCAAGTAAGGGATTCTTCACCACATGATGTCTTCCCAGTGGTGTTTGATTATACTTTCTGAAGAGCTCAGGATACCCTCTCAGTATGAATTGCTTACGTTAGAAATAAATAATTAGCCGGGTATGGTGGCAGGCATCTGTTGTCCCAACTACTTGGAAGGCTGAGGTGGGAGGACGGCTTGACCTTGATGGTGGAGGTTTCAGTGAGCTGCGATTGCACCAAGGCATTCTAGCCTGGGCAACAAAGCAAGACTCTCTCTCAAAATAAAATAAAATACATGAAAGTAAAATTACACAAAGCACAAAAATCCATTTTGTAAATGTTCACAAAATAATAAAACCTACACAGACTGAAAAAAAACTAGATGTTAATACAAAGGGTTGTCATTTGTCCCAGATTTTCAAAATATAAAAGATTTTCAAAATATATACGTGTGTGTACATATGTATGTATGTATAAATGTGTGTGTATGTGTGTGGGGATGTGTATGCATATACATATATAGGTTTTACAAATATAAAAAGTAGCAAGTTTTGCAGGGCGCAGTGGCTCACGTCTGTAATCCCAACACTTTGGGAGGCTGAGGCGGGTGGATCATGAGGTCAGCAGTTTGAGACTAGCCTGGCCAACATGGTGAAACCACATCTTAACTAAAAATACAAAAATTAGCTGGGCGTGGTGGCACGCACATGGAGTCCCAGCTACTGGGGAAGCTGAGGCAGGAGAATTACTTGAACCTGGGCGGCGGAGTTTGCAGTGAGCCGAGAAATCGCCATTGCACTCCAGCCTGGTGACAGAGTGACACTCCGTCTCAAAAAAAAAAGAAAAAAAAAGTAGCAAGTTTTGTTTAACTGAAGAGGAATCTCATCTTGCTGGAAAAGGATACTTTGGCAGCTGCTGGTGGGTGGAATCTCATCAGATCTAGGGAAACAGGAAATGCCCCATCCTAGATGAATCAATTACCCTTTTAACTGCCTGGCCTGGAGGACAGAGAATGGCTTGAATTCGGGAGGCAGAGGGTGCAGTAAGCCAAGATCATGCCACTGTACTCCAGCGTGGGTGACAGAGCAAGACTCCATTTCAGAAAAAATAATAATAATAGTTATAGGTGGAATAAGAATATGGCTTTATCCTCTAGGATAAAAAAGAAGTACCGCTGCCATATTTGAGAAAAATTGTAACCAGTTTTACCACAAACACCTGTTTCACAAGCCTCTCCACAGGAACCCCACAGTCTCCATGAGCGTAATGTGCTAAGAATGGTCTAACGAATCTCCTGCTATTATTTAGGTTGATTTCCTATTCTTAAAATAATGATAGGATCATTCTTGTATCATTCATATCTATGTATGAAGTTTCCATTCTAATTAGTAAGATTTTTTGAGTCAGAAACACAGTAAGTCACTCAATTACCTAAAAATGTACTATAATGTCAGGCAGAAAAGATTTCCTATTATTGGTCTCTCTTTCTAGAATTTACCATGCACTTTGTGCACATTAATATGTGACTTCCATTGGCAGCTGCTCTAATCCTGGTCCACGGAGAGCTGACAGAGCATCCAGATGTGGCCCCTGAACAATCCCTGCTACCCAACAGCACTGACACCATGGGACCCTCACCCCGTCTCCATCCATGTCTGGGTGTGAGTCCTTCCCAGGACCATGCCCAGTGCAGCCTCTTCCCAACTTCATGTCACTTGGTCACAGGAGATAAAATCTAAGTGAGATAAGAGGGACTGAGGGAAGGCATGGGTGATTGTGAGCAAACCTGTCAGGCAGGATGCTTCAGACTAAGAGAAGATTCCCAACTCCAGGCGCCAGCATTTCTGAAAGGAAGGAGACAGAACAATCCACCGAGAATATCATCTCACCTGAGAAAGAGCCATCCCCGACTCCTTTGCTTTCCTCTTCCTCTTCTGGGTTTCTTCCTCAGGTACCAAGAGTCTTTAGAAGTCAATCCTAAATGTTAGAAATATGTTGTTTATCACTGAGAATCAACACACCCCCTCCCCATAACACAATGACACATACAAAGGAGGCCTCACCCTGGGAAATATGGTCCCCTCTGCTGCCCACTGCCCCAGGGATGATAAACTCCTACAGGAAAACTCCCACTACCCTACTGGAGGAGTCCACACACACGCTGCAGCAGTGGGGAGCTGGGCTGGGATGAGCTCCCCTTCAGGGCACAGACTCAGACCTAACCAAACCCCACACAGAGGCTGGGTGTGGTGGCTCATGCCTGTCACCCCAGCACTCTAGGAGGCCGAGGTGGGTAGATCGCTTGAGCTCAGGAGTTTGTGACTAGCCTAGGCAACATGGTGAAACCCCATCTCTACAAAAATACAAAAAGTTAGGAAGGTATGGTGGTGCACTTCTGTGTGTCTGTGGTCCCAGCTACTTAGGGAGCTGAGATGAGAGGATCACTTGTGCTCAAGAGTTCGAGACCAGCCTGGCCAACATGGTGAAACCCTGTCCCTACTAAAAATACAAAAATTGGGCCGGGCGCGGTGGCTCATGCCTGTAATACTAGCACTCTGGAAGGCCGAGGTGGGTGGATTACTTGAGGTCAGGAGTTCTAGACCAGCCTGGCCAACATGGTGAAACCCTGTCTCTTACTAAAAATACAAAAAGTAGCTGGGCTTGGTGGGCATCTGTAATCCCAGCTACTCGGGAAGCTGAGGTTGGAGGATCACTTGAACCTGGGAAGTGGAGGTTGCAATGGGCCGAGATCGTGCAACTACACTCCAGCCTGGGTGACAGAGTAAGACTTAAAAATAAAACAAAACAAAATAAAATAAAATAAAACAAAACTACAAATACAAAAATTAGCCAGGTATGGTGGCGGGTGGCACGCACCTGTATCTCAGCTACTTGGTAGGCTGAGGCACAAGAATCACTTGAACCCAGGAGACAGAGGTTGCAGTGAGCCAAGATCAGGAGACTGCACTCACAGCCTGAAGGACAGAGTGAGACTCTGTTTGAGGAAGAGAAAAAAAAAAGCGTTTCTGATGTGATAGAGATAATAAAACCTGAGTAACATGATAGAGATTGATGGGCAGAGGGAATTTCAGATGGGGGTGGGAGGGCATGGGAGACAGCTCTGAGCCTAGACCTGAAGGAGCAGAAAGGGAGATGGCTGTGATCATTTAGGGACATAGGGTAAGAACGGGGAAAATGACCTGAGACAGGAAGGGTTTTGATGTTTGGGGAAAGAGATAAGCAAATGTGACTGGGGCGGAGGGAGTCATTAGATTAGGGCAAGCTCCCAGGAGGAGGCTGGACACTGGCAGGGGCCCTGGACACAGGGCTGTGGAGCCACACTGATGAGTTGGGCTTTTGTCCTGGGGAACACGGGAAGCTGGTGGAGGGTTCCCTGCCAGGGACTGATGTGACCTGCTTTACATTTAGCTGTGATATCCTCAGAGTGGGGACATATTCACCGAGTTACCCTGAGAAGGTCTGAGATGAGTGAGAAGGTGTGTCTGAATTCTTACATGGGGGCCCAGAAGGGCTAATGGAAAGGGTTGGTCTTATCACCTCTCTTTGAAAATTAGAGAAGCATCTTTCACATACCTGGGCTAAAGAAACTTCTTTTGCAACGTTCTGATGCTATTGACTTTCAACATTTAATTCTTCTTACAAGAAAATTATAGTAACATATATAAAATGCAGAAGTGAAAACACACAGCTACTGACCTTGAAAACAGGGAGGCCAGGCAGGGTGGCTGAGGCCTGTAATCACAGCACTTTGGGAGGCCAAGGCAGGCAGATCACCTGAGGTCAGGAGTTCGAGACCAGCCTGAGCAATATGGAGAAACCCCCGTCTCTACTAAAAATACAAAAATTATCTAGGCATGGTGGCTCATGGTTGTAATCCCAGCTACTCAGGAAGGTTGAGGCAGGAGAATCACTTGAACCCGGAGGCGGAGGTTGCGGTGAGCTGAGATTGCACCATTGCACTCCAGCCTGGGCAACAAGAGTGAAACTGTGTCTCAAAAAAACAAACAAACGAACAAACAAAAAAAGAAAATAGGGAAAGAGGGTCAGCTGTAGAACTACTATATAAGCAAATGTTTTCAATCAAGAAAACATGGGTGGCCAGATACAGTGGCTCATGCCTGTAATCCCAGCACTTTGGGAGGTCAAGGCAGGTGGATCACCTGAGGTCAGGAGTTCGAGACCAACCTGGCAAACACAGTGAAACCCTGTCTCTACTAAAAATACAAAAATTAGCCAGGCTCCATCTCCACAACTCATTTAATCTCTTGCTGCTCCTTCTCCCCAATCTTTAGATCATCCTCAATCTCTATAGATTTCCACCTCTTCTCCCATCTCTGTGCATCCTCTGCTCTCCCTGTTAAATTGTCTCTTCCTTGTTATACCTCCCTGGCCCCACTCTCTGGCACCCCAGATCCCCAGGTGTCCTCCCTGCTGTGCTTCTCCCTCTGTTCTCCTTGCCACCAGCACCACTCTGCTCTGTCTGCCCTGGCTCCAAATCCCTCCTCCTCTCCCTCACTCTGATGAGACTCCCTCTTTGCTGTCCCTCTCCCTACCTTGCTGTCCTTCATCTCTCTGTACATCTAGCTTTTCTCTACATTTCTCCAGTTGCTTTTCTCCTCCTGCTTTCTTATTTTTTTTTTCACTTTTGCTGTCTCTTGGCAAATCCCTCACCCATCTTCTACTTTGCCATCTGTTATGGGCCTTTCTCATTCTTCTTTTCTCTGTCTCAGGTTTTTTACTGCTCTCTCTCTGTCTCCTGATCCCTTTGGCCCACACAATCACAGGAGGGTTTGGACACCTTCATGTCAGAGGAGCCCATTTTCCAGGGGCTGGCACTGGGCAGGGAAGAACACCTTGTGTCACCATATAGGCCCCAGGCACCTCCCCAATGCGGGCCTGGGCAACAGAGCAAGACTTTCTCAAAATAATAATAATAACAATAATAATTATGTATATATATTGCAAATGCTGTGTTTTCTACGTAAACCATGGGCTTGGCCACACGCATTACCTCATGCCTGTAATCCCAGCACTTTGGGAGGGTGAGGCGGTGGATCATGAGATCAAGAGGTTGAGACAATTTTGGCCAGCGTGGTGAAACCCGCTCTCTACTACAAGTACAAAATTAGCTGGGCTTCTCGGCACGCCCCTGTTGTCCCAGCTACTTGGGAGACTGAGGCAAAAGAATCACTTGAACTCGGGAGTCAGAAGTTGCAGTGAGCTGAGATGGCACCAGTGCACTCCAGCCTGTCGACAAAGTGAGACTCTGTCTCAAAAAAAAATCATGGGCTTATCCATTAATGCACTTCTGCACATACTTCAAATTACATCCACACACACTTAAATTAACTTGCGTTCAGAAGGTATAAGCAAAAACCTGGAGAGGACACAACCAAAGCTACTCACCAGGCTGAGGTGGGAGAATTGCTTGAGCCCGGAGAGCAGAGGTTGAAGTGAATCAAGATCGCACAACTGCCCTCCAGCCTGGGGGACACAGCGAAACTCCATCACCTCCACCCCCCAAAAAGTTGGAAGCTCACTGAATTAAGATACAACTTCAAGAAATCATAAAAGCAATGCATGAAGAACATGAGAAGGACAACCAACATACAGAAATTATGACGAACTACACAGAAACTCTCGGGATAAAAATACAGTAACTAAATGGAAAAACTCAATACATGGGTTCAAAATCAGAATTCATTATGTAAATTAAAAACTAGTGAAGAGGGGTCAGGCAAGGTGGCTCACACCTGTAATCCCAGGACTCTGGGAGGCCGAGGTGGGTGGATCACTTGAGGTCGAGTTCAGAGAACAGTCTGGCCAATATGGTGAAACCTTGTCTCTACTAAAAATACAAAGATTAGCTGGGTGTGGTGGCTGGCTCCTGTAGTCCCAGGTACTCTGGAGGCTGAGTCAAGAGAAGCACTTGAACATGGAAGGCAGAGGTTGCAGTGAGCCGGATTGCCCCACTGTACTCCAGCCTGGGTGACAGAGCAAGACTGTCTCAAAAAAAAAAAAAAAACCAAAAAACAAAGAAAGAAAATTCCAGGACTATCTTTTATACACCTGAGCAAAAGGAATGTCTCTCTCCATGTCTAAGGTTCTGATGGCATGAATCCTAAACATGTAATTATTTTCCCAGAAATATGACAGTAATACGTTCAAAATAAACACAAGTGTGAACACATAGCTATAGGTGTTTAAAACACTGAAAGAGGCCAGGCGCGGTGGCTCACGCCTGTAATCCTAGCACTTTGGGAGGCCGAGGCAGGTGGATCACGAGCTCAGGAGATTGAGACCATCCTGGTCCACATGGTAAAACCCGGTTTCTACTAAAAATACAAAAATTAGCCTGGCATGGTGGTGTGTGCCTGTAATCCCAGCTACTCGGGAGGCTGAGACAGGAAAATCATTGGAACCCGGGAGGCAGAGGTTGCAGTGAGCCAAGATCACACCACTGCACTCCAGCCTGGGTGACAGAGTGAGACTCCTTCTCAAACAAAACAAAACAAAACAAAAACCAAAACAACAACAACAACAAAAAACACTGAAAGAGAGGCAATGGTAGTCATAAGCTGTAAGCAAATGTTTTCTTCATGAACACATGGGCTCTGCTGGAACAAGGTTCCAAAACAATCCAGCCCATCGTTCAACATCTGCAAGGAATATTATGAACCAGAGGAACTTGAGGGAGACATTTACTTAGAAGCTCACAGCTCACCATTTTATCAGATGACATAAGGAAAGAAAATAGAATAGGCTACTTGAACCAAATTTTGATGTTAGCGTAAAGAAGAAAGGTCCTGGGGCCGGGCGTGGTGGCTCACACCTTAAATCCCAGCACTTTGGGAGGCCGAGGTGGGTGGATCACCTGAGGTTGGGAGTTTGAGACCAGCCTGACAAACATGGAGAAACCCCATCTCCACTAGAAATACAAAATTAGCTTGGCGCAGTGGCACATGCCTGTAATCCCGGCTACTGGGGAGGCTGAGGCAGGAGATCACTTGAACCCAGGAGGCGGAGGTTGTGGTGAGCCAAGATCGCGCCATTGCACTCCAGCCTGGGCAATAAGAGCAAAACTCCATCTCAAAACAAACAAACAAAATAGGTCCTTGATATCTTTATAAAGTACACATTGAAACAACCTAAAATTGGCCAGGCACGGTGGCTCACACCTGTAATCCCAGCACTTTCTGAGGCTGAGGTGGGCGGATCACCTGAGGTCAGGAGTTCAAGACCAGCCTGGCCAACATGGTGAAACCCCGTCTCCATTAGAAATACAAAAATTAGCCAGGCGTGGTGGCAGGCGCCTGTAATCCCAGCTACTTGGGGGCTGAGGCAGGAGAAGAGCTTGAACCCAAAAGACGGAGGTTGCAGTGAGCCGAGATCGTGCCATCACACTCCAGCCTGGGGGTAGAAGGGAGACTTTGTCTCAAAAAAAAGTAAGAAAGAAAAAAAGAAACAACCTAAAATCATTTATCAGGTACTAGTAAATGCTTCCAATATATGATACAGACTAGAAAGCATGCAGTCTTCTATGTAAACTGAACACAACAAATTTCATAGAGAAACTTTTAAAATGGTTAAAAATATATACATCTAAAAATGTATATATCTAATAAAATGTAGGGTCAAAGAAGAAAATTTTGAACTCATATCATAGTTGGAAAACAATGATGTGAGCTCATAAGATTCTACCAAAGCTTATTTGAAAAGTAGTTATCTTACTTTTTTCAGACGGAGTCTCGCTCTGTCACCCCAGGCTGGAGTGCAGTGGCATGATCTCAGCTCACTGCAACCTCCCCCTCCCTGTCCAAGGGATTCTGCTGCCTCAGCCTCCTGAGTAGCTGGGATTACAGGCGCCCGACATCACACCTGGCTAATTTCTGTATTTTATTCGACACGAGATTTCGCCATGTTGACTAGGCTGGTCTCGAACTCCTGACCTCAGGTGATCTGCCCGCCTTGGCCTCCCAAAGTGCTGGGATTACAGGCATGAGCCATTGCACACGGCCTTTATTTTTATTTATTTATTTTTTAATTAAGAAACAAGGCGGGCATGGTGGCTCATGCCTGTAATTCCAGCATTTTGGGAGGGCGATACAGCTGGATCGCTTGAGCCCTGGAGTTGGAGACCAGCCTGAGCAACAAGGCAAAAGCCCGTCTCTACCAAGTACACAAAAATTAGCGCGGTGTGGTGGCGCGCGGCTGTGGTCCCAGCTACTCTGCAGGCTGAGGTGACAGGATCGCTTGAGCATAGGATGTTGATGATGCAGTGAGCTGTGATCCTGTCACCGCTCTCCCGCCTGGGCAACAGAGTGAGACCCCATCTCCAATAAAAAAGAATAAAAAAGAAATACCTGGGTCCTGGGTCTGGGGGCAGCGAATCTAAGGCCAATTAAGGCAAACTTTCTAAAACTAGACAAAAAGGAAAAACCCCATCTCCCCATCCGGAGTAACAAAGGATCAAAGGCCGCTGTCCCTACCGCCCTCCTCCTTCCACCACGTCTCAGAAAGGGAAAGAGCCCAGGAGTGGCCATGGCCAAGCACCGGCCACACCTTCATCTGCATAGGGCACCCATCTGCTCCGGCCTCGGGCCAATTCACCTCAGCATTTCGTTGGCCAAGGGCCAAAAATCCTTCATCCAGATAAGGGGTAGCCCATAGGGACCTCAAAATAAATACTTTAACCCCCTAAAACTTTCTAAACGGGTCCCCGGAGACGCTGGCTCGGGCCCACTCCCCTCTGTGGAGTGCTTTCTTGATTGCATATATTCGTTTTCCAGGAGTTGGAACTAGGTAGCAACACCGCACAAGGAGGGAGGTGGGGAGCGACGGAGCCTTCGGACAGGGGTGGCGTCTGCAGGATCTTAGGACCAGGCAGAGGACGCGGCCTCCCGGGAACCGGGGTTGAGGCGCGGCGCTCCTGAAGCCGCCGAGAGCGACGGTGGGAGGCGCCTAGGGCTGGAATCCAGCTCGCGGGTGAGGACTTGAAACAGCGCGAGGCGGGAGGACAGGTCAGGAAGGGTTTTGAGAAGGAAAATTCCGCGATAGGAGGTGTCTGCACGACCCCACTGCAGAAAGACCGAGGACGGGACCTGCCTCAGGGCCACTTTAAACTCGAAGGGACTCACGGACTCTCACCCGGACGTCTCAATTTGCTCTGGGTTGAGAAAGAGGGGCCGCAATTTCCAGGTCTGTGGGGACTCAACGTCCCCGGTATAGCAGCACCACAGGACTGGGAAGCACACATAAAACAGAGCGAAACTCACGCGCTGTGGTGTGACCTTCAGTCCCTGCCATCCGCTTCCGGGTCTATGCCAATCAGCGCAGGACAGAGGCCAGGCCTGGGCGGGACCCCCGAGAAGGTAGGCGGGGCCTGGACTAGGCCGGGATGAGACGCGAAGAGGTGGGCGGGGCCTGAACAAGGCCGGGGCGGGGTTGAGAAACAAGGGGCCTGGCTGGGAGAAGAGTCCTGGGCTATGAGGGGTCGGCGGGGGCGAGAAGCGGGTGGGTCCTGAGCTTTCCTCCATCTCGCTCTCTGCGCCTTTTTTCCAGGTTTTGGAGGCGAAAGCCGCCAGTGAGGCTGGAGCAGCTCAGCAGTCATTGAAATAGTACCTCCCTGAGAAGTCAACGTGAGGCGGTCATTGGACCCAGGAAAGTTCCTTGCTATTGAAATTAATTTTAGCAATTTATGTCCAAAATCTGGAAGTTGTCAAGGGAAGGAATGCAAACTAGAATGCGAAATACAAAGCTCTGCCTCAGCGAAACCTCCAATTTCCTGCTGACGGCCCACAGAACAGAATAGCAAATCCTCTCCCTTTCTATTTTCCATTCACTGGGGTGGGAGAATCCACCCTGTGCTCAGCTCCAGAGACTTCCTCAGGGCCACCGCCTGGGGTGCGGAGCGGAGGCCTCAGGCCAGGGAGGAGTGAGGTCACCACCTCCTGCTTAAACACAGCAGGGATGTGGGCGAGGTGGCGAGTCTGGGGTCCCGGCTACTCAGGAAGCAGGAGCCGCAAGACCGCTGAGCCCGGAGGTCCAGGCCAGCGTGGGCGACAAAGTAAGACCCTCTACCCCAGAGCTCCTTCCTCCGCCTCAATAAGAAAAAAAGGGATTTTTAAAAAAAGCATTGACATTGTAACAGTGTGTAGCAGGGCTAGCGGCAGACAAAACTTCTCAGACACTGAGTTGTAGAAGGAAGGGCTTTATTCAGCTGGGAGCGTCAGCAATCTACTGCCTTGAAATCCGAGCTCCCTGAATGCACAATTTCTGTCCTTTTTAAGGGTTCACAACACTAAAGATTTCACATGAAAGGGTCGTGATTGATTTGAGCGAGCAGGCGGTACGTGACAGGGGATGCATGCACCGGTGGTCAGAGAGAAACAGAACAGAGCGGGGAGTTTTACAATGTTCTTCTATACAATGTCTGGAATCTATGAATAACATTGGGTTCTAAGCCATAAGTTGATTTTTAACTACTGGGTTTAGGCCAGGCAGGCCCAGGCCTGGTTTCGGGCCTGGCCCCGGGGCTGCCTGTCTTTGGTTTTACTTTCTTGTTGTTTTTTCTTAAAACAGGTACTGAGTATAAAACAATATGAGAGGGTCTCTGTCTTCCTTTATTTCTTCTTTTTGAGAGTCTCACTTTTTATTAGTGGGAGTTCTTACTCTTGTTTTTGCTACTTATGTCTTTTTGTGTAATAGATTGATAGTGATTCATATAGTACACTTGTGCTGAATCATTTTGGTGAACTAAGGTAGCGATGAAGCTTTTTATCATTTGAAGAGGTACAGGTAGCAAACAAGAGAGCAGTAAGCAGCTTTTTATTACTATTATAACTCTTATTATAAGAGTTTTAAATCCTCCTATTGCTGGGAACTAATTTTTAAACATGGCTCCTGGATTGAGTCCGTGCCACACCTGTACGGGTACATGTGTCAGTTTTGTTATATTTTTAACTATGTCTTCAACTACTTTCCTCTGATGATCTATGTGTAGACAACAATTAGTAAGGTTAAATTTTCTACAAACTTTTCCTTCAGCTGCTAGCAAGTAGTCGAGAGCTAGTCTATTTTGATAGATAGCATTTCTTTTTCTTTTTTTGGTGATGGAGTCTCGCTCTGTCACCCAGGCTGGAGTGCAGTGGTGCAGTCTCAGCTCACTGCAAGCTCCACCTCCCGGGTTCACGCCATTCTCCTGCCTCAGCCTCCCTAGTAGCTGGGACTACAGGTGCTGCCACCGCACCCGGCTAATTTTTTGTATTTTTAGTAGAGACGGGGTTTCACTGTGTTAGCCAGGATGGTCTTGATCTCCTGACTTTGTGATCTGCCCGCCTCAGTCTCCCAAAGTGCTGGGATTACAGGCGTGAGCCACCGCGCCCGGTGATAGATAGCATTTCTTATCAGAGTCTCTTGCCGGGCAAGAACAGTCAAGGCTTGACCGGTTTTATTAGTAATAATTTTTAAAACAGCTTGCAACTGTATGATTCGGTTGAGCATGTAGATGGGGGTTCGATAACCTCATGAGCTGTCTTGTGTCTAAGTGGCAGGCTTACAGTATTATATAATTCTTTAGGAGGTCATTTATCATCTTTCTAATTACCTATGGCTATGCTTCGTTTTTCACAGGAAGCATAGACTGGGAAGCCTAGAAGTTCACCTGTATTTATGGGCAGTAAGAGGAAAGATGGCTTACTGGTGCCAATTACACAGCTACCTGTCCACTGATCAGGCAGCTTAGCATGAGCTCTGTCTATGTATCTGGTATAACCTGGTGGGGGCCGTCTAGTCCTGGTGGAATTCCGGGTGGGCCTCAACAGTCTGCAACTTTGGAAATTTACTGAATGGATTTCTTTTTGTGTAACTGGAACTTTAGTATGTAACTGTTTTTGTGGTACTATTATACAACTTTTGCCTAAGACAACTAAGCCGCCTTACAGGATGATGAGTGAATTTTTTTCTTTCTCTAGCTATGCAATACCGTCTAATAATTGAGACTTTTAGAACTTAAAAATTGTCAGGGTGGTTCTTTTGGGCTGGGAATTCATCAGGAACTGGGTTTGTAGGAACTAATTCTCGGGCTTCCTATGGCCATTGATCTCTTGTTACAGTTCTTCTACAAACATAACATGAGGTGACTTGTAGAGACTGGGCCTCATGTTAGGCTAATTGCAAAAACAAATTTTTAGTTTTTCCTGGAATCTTAGGTACTGGCACATTTATTTCATCATAGAAAGCCTGAAATACTGGTTCTGGAGAGCATTTTTCAACTTCTTTTTTTATTAGGATGTTTACGCTAGGATCTAGTTTTTTTTCATCAATGCTTAATTTACATTTTTTTTTTAATTGTACTTTGGGTCTGATGGGTTTGTGATTATCAATTTTAAAAGGCTGCAGCCCCCACTCATGCAAGAGGGGCTGACTTTTCTTTTTTGGAGCTAAACAGGATTATTTTTATCTTCTTTTTAAGTAGCCCAAATGACATAAGACTAGTATTGACACATCTCACATAAATATGATTCTTGACAGATATACTTATTTTTTTTTTTAACTGTGTAACTTTTTTTCTAATTTAGAGAACTGCATCTTATTCTATGCTGCTTACTATCAATAGTGGCACAAGCATCAAATTTTAAGGTTATATTTTTGGGGACCCCTCTTCTGTTCTAGCTATTATTTTACTTGTGTCACTTAGAAAAAGACTAGTCTTTAATTTTATTTTAAAAACTGTAATCATGGGAGGCTTAAAATGGGTTATAACACACATCAGGTTGGTTATTCCTTGGGCTACATACTTTGGATAGAATAGCATTATACAAACAAATTTCTTTTAGAATCCTGGTACACTTATAATAACTATAAAATAATAGGACTGTAGCAATCTTTTGTCTAACTTCAGTGACTTGATGTAGATACTGGAAACAGTTCTTTGTCTGAGGAAGGTCAGTTGAAGTCCTTACTGTACAAGTCTAAATTTTAAGGAAAATGAGTCCTGCGATGAGTTTCTTCCTGCTTCAGTCGTGCGTGGACCAGTCAGCTTCCGGGTGTGACTGCAGCAGGGCTTGTCATCTTCTTCAGAGTCACTTTGCAGGGGTTGGCGAAGCTGCTCTTATCTACGTACAGCTCCTAGTCTACTGATGTTTAAGGGTGGTCTCAGAGGTTGGGCCCACTAGAATAAACTGAGTCCAGCACCTCTAAACAGTTATGTTTAACTGGGCTCTTTGATACTAGGAGTAAGGTGGCGGGGTTAGGGTGTTGCAAACTTCAATGGTTATGTGGGGATTTTCACAGAGCAAGCTTTGGTATCTAGTTAGTCTAGCGTTTATTAGCTAATGATGTCTTTTGTTATTTATTAAAGGGACTTTATGTTTATGTTTTGCCTAAGAGTTAGCTTATCTGCTTCTTGTGCTAACAGGGCCATTGCTGCCAGGGCCCTTGGACATGGGGGCCAGCCTTGGGAAACCTCGTCTAGTTGTTTTGAGAGTCAGGCTACTGGCCTTGGCCAGGGCCTTACAGTCTGGGTTAAAACTTCAACTGCCATTTTTTTTTTTCTTTCTGACACATAGAGTGCAAAGAGTTTTGTCAGGTCAGGTAGCCTCAGGGCTGGGGCTGACATGAGTTTTTCTTTTTTTTTTTTCTGGTTGATGAAATACCAGGGTGAAATGGACTAAACCATAAGTGCCACTCTAGTTATTCGGCAGAGTGCCTACTAAAGGTCTACTACAATACCACCACACATCTGCTCAGAGATGAACAAGGGCTGACCGATTGATAAGCTCTTGAAAATTCTTAAGCTCACTGCATCCTTTCAGGTCTCCAAGGAATGCTAAATCTCCTCTCTGCCGTGAGATACAAGAAGTGAACTTAGTATTGGGAGACGGAAGCTGGAAGGCCCTCGGGGGCTGATCCGCAGGGACTTCGGGATATAGCAGAGAGAGCTATATGTTACTCCAGGCTGTAGAATCCTGGAAAAGAGCTACCATGCAGCCCACACCTGGTCAACTACAGGACCACCTTAGTGGAAGGGGGACAATCAGGGCCTCTGGCCTGCCATGTGCACAAGCATAACAATTGCTTTTGTTTAATGTGCAGATGGAATATTTGATCTATTTCAACCAGGCATTTGCATCTTGGTATGCTGTCTCAATTGCCAAAGTTTGTTTTAAGTCTTTAACTTCTATCATCCTCTAGTAAAATGAATGCTTCCTTTAGCACCGATTTTTATTAGTTTTTAGACCAAAGAAAGCTGAACACCATTTTATATTTAATAATGCTTCTTGTATGATTTTTATACCAGATAAGCTAAATTTTACTTTTATATTAGTGTGTTACTAATGTTAAATTTAATTTTAATGAAACTTTGTAGACATATTTATCTAATTTTTCATGTTTGACCATAAGGTTAGATTTTGTAGACTCTTTTTAACTTTTTGTAATTTTTGTTAAAGAGCAGGTTGATGCTTTAAGAAAAAACCTGTTGCATTTTTACTTTGATGTCCGTTTCACAGAAAAACTGGATGATACCTTTTTAACTTTAGCTAATATGTTTACACACAGAATTTTCTTTACAATTAATGTTTTAAAACTTGCTTAAACTTTCAAACAATAATTTTTTTAACTTTTTAATATAGGTAAAAATCCACATTCTTATGCCTCCTTATAATCTTTTTACTATAGGTATATTTTACTTTTCTTATACACCTTGTACATAAACTGTTTCTTCAATAATAGGAGGCCTTATTACTTTTAAATTATACATTTTTTGCATAAAAAAATTTTTTAAAGCAAACTTTATGTCTTTGGACTAGACTGTCTAAGGCTACCAGATTAGAAGTTACTATAATACATGCTACGCTGTTAACTTTTAGCAAACTTCACTTTTGTTGAAAACCTTGTAAGTTTGGGACTTCAATTATCCTTTGCTATTAATAAGACCTTGTTTAGTCTAAATTAACTTAGAATTGGTATAGATGGCCTCTTTTTCTCTCTGCTGGTCTTTTCTTGCCTCTGCCAGCCACTTATGCTGCTGTTCTTTTAACTACTGTGGGGGGCGGGGGGAGGAGGTCTAAAACCAGGTGTAACTGTCTGTGTACTGAAACTGGTCTGGGTGCCTTGGCTTACAGGTTACCTTGTGCCATATCTTTGAAACTAGGGACCCATCCAGGCTTCCTTCTGATGGCTAACCTACCTCAAATGCTGGCCAGTCTATTTCACACAAAGTTCTAAGTTTTCCTGGGGTCACAGTTACACCATAATCTCCTTTAAATTCTTTCTTGAAATTCTTTAACATATTTCTTAGTGGGGTGGGCTTACTTTGTGCCTGAACTATGTTTTTTTTTTCTTCTGAGACAAAATGCCATGCTCACACCACACATACTCACCACAAGAATGGGTAAAGAGGGCACACACACGCACTTTTACCGTTTATACCAAACCAAAATCATGAAATTCAAAATCTGAGTACTAAAAAATTCAAGCCAAGTCAAAACCAAAACTAAAGTATCTAACAATTCAAATCAAGTCAAAACCAGAACAAAAGTGCCAATGCAGGCATGCTGTGGGTGATCAGGCCACGCTTCCACTCAGATGGAGTGGGGCAAGTTCCAAAGACTAGTCTTACTAAGTAAAGCCAAGTCAAAACCAGGACAAAAGTGCCAATACAGGCATGCTGTGGGTGATCAGGCCACGCTTCCACTCAGGTGGAGTGGGGCAAGTTCCAAAGATTAGTCTTACCAAGTTTCAGATGTCTGGACTCCAAGTGCCAGTTCCTTCCTGGTGTTCAGCCACTGCGTTAATCCTCCGTGGGGGCCTGCTATGCACCGCTCTGGCGAGGCATTCCATTGGGGCAATTTCCTACCCAGGAGCGCTCTTTGGATCGTGTCACTCAGGCTGGCCAGAGTCCCCCGCGGGGATGCTCCACAGGGCAGGCCTAAGCCACCTAAAGGGCTGCCTCGGCCATCCATCAGTTACCTCATTTTCAGGTCAGGGAACCAAGAAAAGTAGCAGGATGAGCCTCAGACAAAACCTCTCAGACACTGAGTTGCAGAAGGAAGGGCTTTATTCAGCTGGGAGCATCGGCAAGCTACTGCCTTAAAATCTGAGCTCCCCTAATGCACAATTTCTGTCCTTTTTAAGGGCTCACAACACTAAGGATTTCACATGAAACGGTCGTGATTGATTTGAGCAAGCAGTGGGTATGTGACAGGGGCTGCATGCACCGGTGTTCAGAGTGGAAAAGAACAGAGCAGGGAGTTTCACAATGTTCTTCTATACAATGTCTGGAATCTATGAATAACATCAGTTTCTAAGTTATGAGTTGATTTTTAACTACTGGGTTTAGGCCAGGCAGGCCCAGGCCTGGTTTCAGGCCTGGCGCCGGGCTGCCTGTCTTTGATTTCACTTCCTTGTTTTTTTCCTAAAACAGGTACTGAGTATAAAACAATATAAAACAATATGAGAGGGTCTCTCTCTTCCCTCAAAACTACTAAATAAATTCAGTGGATTTGCACAATACAATATCGGCACCAAAAATTACTTGAATTTCCACACATTAACAATAAACAATTTTAAAAGAAAATTTAAAAACACTTCCATTTGCTAGAGAACTTAAAGTAAGAAATACTTAGGAATAAACGTACAAAGCTGAGAAGTTTGTACCTTGAAATCTATAAATGTTGATCAAAATGATTAAAAACATACATAGAGATACAACCCATATTGATAGTTTGGAAAAATTAATATTGTTAAGTAATTATATAACCCAATGTGATTTAGATTCAACACGGTACCCATAAAAATGCCTATCAGTTGACATTCCACCACAAAAGAAGTGAAATTGGCTGGTCCCTGCCTTAACTGATGACATTACCTTGTGAAATTCCTTCTCCTGGCTCATCCTGGCTCAAAAACTCCCCCACTGAGCACCTTGTGACCCCCACCTCTGCCAGCCAGAGAACAACCCCCTTTGATTGTAACTTTCCACTACCTACCCAAATCCTATAAAACGGCCCCACCCCATCTCCCTTCCCTGACTCTCTTTTCGGACTCAGCTTGCCTGCACCCAGGTGATTAAAAAAAAAAAAAATCTGTATCTGTTTTTGTTAAAGAAACAAAAAACAGGCTGGGAAAAGTGGCTCACGCCTGTTGGCCACACTAGTCTCAAACTCCTGACCTCAAGAGATCCACCCACCTTGGCCTCCCACAGTGCTAGCATTACAGGTGTGAGCCACCGCACTCAGCCTAATCCTCTTAACATAAACACTTTAATGTCAATTAATGCTTGAACTCAACGTTAAGTCAACTCAAACTCAAGTCAATGCTGAACTGACTCTAGTGTCAATTAATGCTTGATGGTTTGCTATACTCATTGCATTCGGAACTATTATCTCAAAAATAAATTTTCTGATATTCTGCAAGGAGTGATCTCAGACTGAAGACCTTGCCACACTGATGACATTTGTAAGATTTCTGTCCAGTATGGATTCTTTGATGTCTAATGAGGTGTGAACGTGAAGTAAAGGCTTTGCTCACAATCATCACACTTGTGAGGTTTCTCTCCTGTATGAATTCTCCTGTTTTGCATAGGATGAAGCTTGACTGAAGACCTTGCCTCAATCATGACATTTGTAAGGTTTCTCTCCAGTATGAGTTCACCCATGAACTACAGCGTATGAACGATGTCTGAAAAATTTGCCACATTTACTACACTTGTAAGATCTCTATTCATTATGGATTCTTCAATGATTTGCAATGGTTGTAGCGTTACTGAAGACTTGGTGACAATCATTACATTAGTCAAGTTTCCCTACACCATGGATTGCCTGATGGTGAATAAGTGTTGACTGTGCACGAAAGGCTTTGCCACACTCACTACACTTGAAAGGTTTCTCTCCAGTATGAATTCTAGTATGTTGTGCCAGGTGTGAGTAACACTTGAAAGCCTTGTCACAAACCTTACATTTGTATGGTTTCTCTCCAGTGTGAACTCTCTGATGTTGTGCAAGGTATGAATCACGCCCAAAAGCCTTGTCGCAAACCCTACATTTGTATGGTTTCTCTCCAGTATGAACTCTCCTATGTATTTCAAGGTGTGATTTGATATTGAAAACTTTGTCACATTCTTCACATTTGTAAGGTTTCTCTCCAGTATGAAGTCTATGATGACATGCAAGTTGTGACTGTGTCCTAAAAACCTTGCCACATTCATTACACTTGTAAGGTTTCTCTCCAGTATGAAGTCTATGATGATATGCAAGGCTTGATTTGTGATTAAAACTTTTGCCACATTCATTACACTTGTAACGTTTCTCTCCAGTATGAATGACCTTATGCATTACAAGAGATGAATTTTGAACGAAGGTCTTGCCACACTCATTACACTTGTAAGGTTTCTCTCCAGTGTGAATTACAGTATGTTGTGCCAGGTGTGAATCACGTCTGAAAGCCTTGTCACAAACCTTACATTTGTATGGTTTCTCACCAGTGTGAATTCTCCTATGTCTTTCAAGGTGTGATTTGCGACTGAAAACTTTGTCACATTCTTTACATTTGTAAGGTTTCTCTCCAGTATGAAGTCTATGATGACGTGCAAGGTTTGATTGTTGATTGAAAACCTTGCCACATTCATTACACTTGTAAGGTTTCTCTCCAGTATGAATTGTCTTGTGAACTAAGAGGGCTGAATTTTCACCAAACGTTTTGCCACACTCATTACACTTGTAAGGTTTCTCTCTAGTGTGAATTACAATATGCTGTGCCAGGTGTGAATCATGTCTGAAAGCCTTGTCACAAACCTTACATTTGTATGGTTTCTCACCAGTGTGAATTCTCCTATGTCTTTCAAGGTATGATTTGCGACTGAAAACTTTGTCACATTCTTTACATTGGTAAGGTTTCTCTCCAGTATGAACTCTATGATGACGTGCAAGGTTTGATTGTTGATTAAAAACCTTGCCACATTCATTACACTTGTAAGGTTTCTCTCCAGTATGAATTGTCTTGTGAACTAAGAGGGCTGACTTGTCACTGAACGTCTTGCCACACTCATTACACTTGTAAGGTTTTTCTCCAGTATGACGTCTATAATGACGTGCAAGGTATGCTTTTTTATTAAAAACCTTGCCACATTTATTACACATGTAAGGTTTCTCACCAGTGTGACATCTACGATGGTGTGCAAGGTATCGCTTCTGATTAAAGTCTTTGCCACATACATCACATTTATATTGTTTCTCTCCTAGATGAATTATCTGATGTTTTTTAAAGAGTGAGCTACAATTAAAGGATTTGCCACTCTCATTAAATTGGAAAGATTTTTCTTTCCTGTGTACATCCTGTTTCTGTGTGAGTAATGAAGAATGGAAGAAATTATTCCCATAGTTATTAGAAATATGGGTTTTGGGCCTACAAGAAATTCTTTGGGATGTTGAAACTGAGGAAGCATTGTTGATAGACTTCTCAAGTTGATTACCAATTTTCCCTTCGGGCTGAAATATGTGCAGTTCAGGCAGATGTGAATGAAAGCTTGATCCAAGCTGATATTTAATAGGCTTGTTTCCAGCATGCCTTTGATCATATTGGTCTGTACTACCCGTCAACTCTTTGATTTCTGTCATGGGTGCTTCATGGCCATTTGTTTCATCTTCTTGCCACTGAAACACAAAGTCATGAATGTCTTTCTCAATTTCCTGGAAGCAACATTCTCCAATGTGATGACTTGCCAGTCTTTGCAATGTCCCTGTGTGGATCACTTCTGTATTGCCTTTCCCTATTGATGAGAACTCCATCATGCATTTGGAAGAGATATCTACAAAATATAAACGCCAATAGTTTTCCAATTCAGTACAGATAATATATAATACTGAAACGTGTAAATATGACACCAAAAACAATACTTATTTTAAACATCTCAAACATGAGCTTCAAAGTTCAGGAACACAAAAGGAGGAAGATCCTTTAATAAATGAAGGGCGATTACATGTACTTCAGATCATTTCTATGGAAGCCTATTTCTAATATCATGACAAAACACTGACAGGGCACAAACATGTGTAAGCCTAAAGTAAGGAGTATTTTTCCATTGTGACCTTAAAGTGTGTCACAGTTTGCAAAAAATTTATCACTGTAACAACAAAAAGAAGAAAATATATATTCTTCATATTTACAGCATATTTACTGTATAGAAATAAATGCTAAAGGACCGGACAATGTACTATATTGGTAAATAATCAACAACAAGCTCTTGTAAGGATAACCAAAATCAATGGAAATCCTGTACTGTCAAACCATCACAGCACAGAGAAGATAATAAAAGATTACAAAAATTAGCCAGGTGTTGTGGCCCGTGCCTGTAATCCCAGGTACTCGGGAGGCTGAGGCACAAGAATCACTTTAAGCCAAGAGGCAAAGGTTGCAGTGAGCCAACATCGCACCACTGCACCACAGCCTGGGTGACAAAGTGAGACTCGAGTCAAAAAAAAAAAAAAAAAAAAGGCAGGGCTTGGTGGCCCACACCAGTAATCCCACTACTTTGGGAGGCCGAGGCAGGTGGATCTCCTCAGATCAGGAGTATGACCAGCCTGGCCATCGTGGCAAAACCCCGTCTCTACTAAAAATACAAAAAGTAGCCGGGCGTGGTCGCGGGAGCCTGTAATCCCAGCTACTTGGGAGGCTGAGGCAGGAGAATTGCTTGAACCCGGGAGGCGAAGATAGTGGTAAACTGAGATCGCACCACTGCACTCCAGCCTGAGCAAAAAAGTGAGACTCCATCTCAAAAAAAAAAGAAAATGTTAATACCATATTTTTCTGAATAACTGTTACAAAATTACCTATATCCATGTGGAACAGGCGCTTTGTAACTTTTTAAAAAAAATTTTTGTATTTTTTTTTTTTTGAGATGGAGTCTCGCTCTGTCACCCAGGCTGGAGTGCAGTGGCACAATCTGGGCTCACTGTAACCTCAACCTCCTGGGTTCAAGCGAGTGTCTTGCCTCAGCCTCTTGAGTACCTGGGATTACAGGCACACACCACCATGCCCAGCTAATTTTTAAATTTTTAGTAGAGATGGGGTTTCACCACGTTGGCAAGGCTCGTCTCGAACTCCTGACCTCAGGTGACCCACATGTCTCAGCCTCCTAAATCCTGGGATTACAGGCATGAGCCACTGCGCCCGGGGGCACTTTTGACATTAATGAGTGGAATCTCTCAGTTATATTGCATACCACGTACCAAAAACTCACATGTAAAATCATAAAATCAATTAATAAAATATATTATTAATTCATTAATCAAATAATAAAATACTGTAACCCATGATAAAACAAGCAAGAAAATAAGTAGATTTATACTGCCTGCAGAATTCTAAACAATTCCCTCTTAAGAAAAAAACCACAACTTGTTCTTACCACCAGTACACAACATAAGAACAGAAATACATGTTAAGATCACTACCTTCTAATATATGAGGTCAAGAAAATACACAGCATTATAAGGAATAAGAATTGACTATGGCCAGGCATGGTGGCTCATGCCTGTAATCCCAGGACTTTGGGAGGCCAAGGCGGGTGGATCACCCAAGGTCAGGAGTTCTAGAACAGCCTGGCCAACATGGTGAAACCCCGTCTCAACTAAAAATACAAAAATTAGCCGGGCGTGTAATCCCCACTACTTGGGGGACCCGAGGCAGGAGAATCACTCGACCCTGGAAAGCGGAGGTTGCAGTGAGCATAGACTGCACCATCGCACTCCAACCTTGGGGACTAGAGCGAGACTTCGTCTCAAAAAAAAAAAAAAAAAAAAAAAAAAAAGAACTGAATAACACCAGGGCGCGGTGGTGCATGCCTGTAATCCCAGCACTTTTGGAGGCTGAGGCAGGTGGATCATGAGGTCATAAGTTCAAGACCAGCCTGGACAACATGGTGAAACCCCATCTCTACTAAAAATACAAAAAAAATTAGCTATGCATGGTGGCGGGTGCCTTTAATCCCAGCTACTTGGGAGGCTGAAGCAGGAATCATTTGAACCTGGGAGGCGGAGGATGCAGTGAGCCGAGACCATGCTACTGCACTCCAGCCTGGGTGAGAGAATGCGACTACATCTCAAAAAAATAAGATAAATAACTACTTCTCAAATAAGCTTTGGTAGATGTGGTATTCTCTAATAGGATGTTGCTGCAGATGCAGACTTGGAGAGAATTTAGCCATGGGTGTTGACTACCTGTGAATACTAAAAGTGCATTTATAAAGAGACATTAAAGAGCTCATTGCCTGTTCCTCTTTCCACCATGTTAGGACATGGCAGGAAGATGGCTGGGCTAAACCATGAAGAAGCCTCTCACCAGGAACTTATTTGGCTGGCACCTTGCTCTTGGATTTCTCCCTTCCCAAATTCATGAAAAATAAATTTCTGTCTCTTAAGCCTCCCAGTGTAAGCTATTTCCTCTTTTGTCTTTGAGATTGAGTCATGCTCTATCACCCAGGCTCAAGTGTAGTGGCATGATTCTCCTACCTCAAGTGATTCTCCCTCCTCAGCCCAGAGTCTCACTCTGTCACCCGGGCTGGAGTGCAGTGGGGTGATCTTAGCTCACTGCAACCTCCACCTCCTGGGTTCAAGTGATTCTCCTGCTTCAACCTCCCAAGTCTGGGATTACAGGTGCACAGCACCATGAACAGCTAATTTTTGTACTTTTAGTAGACACGGGATTTCACCATGTTGGCCAGGCTTGTCTCGAACTCCTGACCTCAAGTGATTGGCCCGTCTCAGCCTCCCAAAGTGCTGGAATTACAGGTGTGAGCAATTGCACCTGGCCCATTTTTGGCATTTAGTATATTTGAGGTTTCACCATGTTGTACAGACTGGTCTCAAACTCCTGACCTCAAGCAATCTGCCCACCTTGGTCTCCGAAAGTGCTGGGATTAGAGGAGTGAGCCACCACAGCCAGCAGTCTAAGCTATTTCTTTTTGTTTTCTTTTCTTTTTTTTTTTTTTGAGACGGAGTCTTGCTCTGTCGCCCAGGCTGGAGTGCAGTGGCATGATCTCAGCTCACTGCAACCTCCATCTCCCGGGTTCACGCCATTCTCCTGCCTCAGCCTCCTGAGTAGCTGGGACCACAGGCGCCCGCCACTATGCCCAGCTAATTTTTTGTATTTTTAGTAGAGACGGGGTTTCACCATGTCAGCCAGGATGGTCTCGATCTCCTGACCTCGTGATCCTCCCACCTTGGCCTCCCAAAGTGCTGGGATTACAGGCGTGAGCCACCGTGCCCAGCATCAGTCTAAGCTATTTCTAACAGGACAGTGAAATGACAGAAACAGGAAAAAGAGCATCTTATCATCAACATCACCGAAGGCTGACAAATCTTATTAAACAAAGGAAGTTAAGAGCCTGTGCTGTAAGACTTGCAATAAATGAAGTCATCTAATAGCAGTAACATATTTTATTTTATTTTATTTATTTTTATTTTTTTAAGATGGAGTCTCACTCTGTCGCCCAGGCTGGAGTACAGTGGTGCAATCTCAGCTCACTGCAAGCTCTGCCTCTTGGGTTCAGGCCATTCTCCTGCCTCAGCCTCCCAGGTTGCTGGGACTACAGGCACCCGCCACCACACCCTAATTTTTTGTATTTTTAGTAGAGAAGGGGTTTCACCGTGTTAGTCAGGATGGTCGCGATCTCCTGACCTCGTGATCCACCCGCCTCGGCCTCCCAAAGTGCTGGGCTCACAGGAGTGAGCCACTGTGCCCGGCCTTTATTTTTATTTTTTTTTGAGACGGAATCTTGCTCTGTCACCCAGGCTGGAGTGTCGTGGCAAGATCTCGGCTCACTGCAAGCTCCGCCTCCCGGGTTAGCGCCATTCTCCTGCCTCAGCCTCCCGAGTAGCTGGGACTACAGGCACCTGCCACCGCGCCCGGCTAATTTTTTGTATTTTTAGTAGAGATGGGGTTTCACCATGTTAGCCAGGATGGCCTCTATCTCCTGACCTCGTGATCCGCCCCCCTCGGCCTCCCAAAGTGCTGGGATTACAGGCATGAGCCACCGTGCCTGGCCAGCAATAACATATTTTAAATACATTGAGACAGGCCGGGCACGGTGTCTCATGCCAGTAATCCCAGTATTTTGGGAGGCTGAGGTGGGAGGATCACGTGGTCAGGAGATTGAGACAGTCCTGGCTAACAAGCTGAAACCCCATCTCTACTAAAAAAAAAAAAAAAAAAATTAGCCCAGCATGTTGGCAGTCACCTGCAGTCCCAGCTACTTGAGAGGCTGAGACAGGAGAATCGCTTGAACCTGGGAGGTGGAGGTTGCAGTGGGCCGAGATCACACCACTGCACTTTAGCCTGGGTGACAGACTGAGACTCTGTCTCAAAGAAAATAAAAATAAATGAAAGAAGGCTAAAGAGTAACTCCAACCCAGAAGCATATACAAAGTTCTCCAGTAAAGGTAAATTAAAAAACAGATAGGCCGGACATGGTGACTCATGCCTGTAATCCCAGCACTTTGGGAGGATGAGCCAGGCAGATCAACTGAGGTCGGGAGTTTGAGACCACCCTAACCTACAAGGAGAAACCCTGTCTCTACTAAAAATACAAAATTAGCCGGGTGTGGCGATGCATGCCTGTAATCCCAGCTACTCCGGAGGCTGAGGCAGGAGAATTGCTTGAACCCGGGAGATGGAGGTTGTAGTGAGCCAAGATCGCAACATTACATTTCAGCCTAAGTGATGAGAGCAAAATTATGTCTCATAAACACATAAATTAATTAATAAAAGGACAGATACAGAAACTGGCATATGTGTACCTTTTCTTCATAACTAAACTTTTTTCATATTATTTAAAAGTCATGAAAAAACACTGTAAATATATGTTAATGAAAATGCAACATATACAGAAATAATTCTGGCATAAATTTAAAAAGTTCTACTGGAGAAGAAGTAGTTTTTGCAGGTTATGGATTCTTTTTTTTTTTTTTTTTTTTTTGAGATGGAGTCTCACTCTGTCACCCAGCCTGGAGTGCAATGGTGCGATCCTGGCTCACTGCAACATCCACCTCCCAGGTTCAAGTGACTCTCCTGGATCAGCCTCCTGAGTAGCTGGGATTACAGCTGCCCACCACAGTGCCTGGCTAAGTTTTGTAATTATACTACAGATGAAGTTTCAGCATGTTAGCTAGCCGGGTTCTGAACTGACCTCAGGTGATCCGCCCCCGGCTCAGCCTCCCAAAGTCCTGGGATTATAGGCGTGAGCCACTGTACCCGGCCAGGTTACAGAAATTTTAAGTTTCATTATTATACTATAAGTTTAAGATGTTTAACATACCTGCAACAATAACCTCTGCCCATATATCTATACGACACACTTCACTTCTGCGTACTGAAAGGAATGGACACTAACGTGGTTGTTATATTCACACTGGAATCATGCTTAAACCACTTATATGTTTACTAAGAACTAAAAGACAAAACTATTTAAAATAATAACGGTTGGGCATGGTGGCTCACGCCTGTAATCCCAGCCCTTTGGGAAGCTGAGGCAGGTGAATCACTTGAGATAAGGAGTTTGAGACCAGCCTGGCCAACATGGTGAAACCCCATCTCTACTAAAAACACAAAGTTAGTTGGGCATGGTGGTGAGAGCCTGCAGTCCCAGCTACCCAGAAAGCTGGGGCACAAGAATCCTTTGAGCCCAAAAGGCGGAGGCTGCAATTAGCCAAAATTGCACCACTGCACTGTAGCCTTGGCGACAGAGTGAGACTCTGTCATAAGAAAAGAAAGAGCAGAGAGATAAGTGAGGGCAAAGAAAGATGTCCTTTCAAAGAT
This sequence comes from Homo sapiens, assembly GCF_000001405.40. NCBI lineage: Eukaryota > Metazoa > Chordata > Mammalia > Primates > Hominidae > Homo > Homo sapiens. The sequence continues at coordinate 52,914,182 of NC_000019.10, forward strand.
CTCAGGATTGAAACTTTCCTTTACCCACAGAATTCTCCCACTTGCAGAGAGTTTCCCCACACACTATTTGAAGGTGGAGCTTCCACTCTGCCCATCTGAGCTCTTACCTGCGTTTACACCTGTAATATATTCCCACCCATCTGGACTTTTTTGCTATTTTCACTTCACTCTCCACAGTCCAGGGCTCTTTCCCTTGCTCCAACATGGAGATAACAGGTCAGAGACTCCTACTTATAAAAAGAAAGGACCATGAAGTGCTGGAGCTTTTCTAGAGTCCCAGCCCTATGTTTCAGTAGGAAAGAAGACATTGCAGATAGATCTAGGAAAATATTTCTCAAATTCCTCCACTGACTGCCTCATTCTGAATGCTTGGGGAGCACTGTAATATGTAGTATGTGGACATCGAGCTCTCTTCCAAGAACTACAGAATCGAAAGCACAGGAGAAGCAAACAGGGAACTGGATATCTTTAAACTCTGCAGTAAGGTTTTGTTTTTGTTTTTTGAGACAGAGTCTTGCTCTGCCATCTGGGCTGGAGTGCAGTGGTGTGTTCTCGGCTCACTAGAACCTTCACCTCCCGGGTTTGAGTGATTCTCTTTCCTCAGCCTTTCTAGGAGCTAGGATTACAGGTGTGTGCCACCATCCCTGGCTAATTTTTGTATTTTTAGTAGAGACTGAGTTTCTCCATGTTGGCCAGGCTGGTCTCCAACTCCTGATCTAAAGTGATCCACATACCTCCCAAGGTGCTGGGATGACAGGCGTGAGCCACCATGCCCAGCCTGCCATAAAGTTTTATGCCTACTTTAGTCCTGGAACCCACATTGAGGTATCATGAAGAATGCAGAACATCTAAACAAAGGGGACAGTGAAAGTCCAGATGCTACATCATGAAGCTTTTCATTTCAAAATCAATACAGCTTCCATTTTAGTCAAGCAAGGATGCAACTCCCAAGAGAAACAAGAGAAAATGCAAAGATCCACAAGGGAACATCCCCAGGAAGGAAGTTATCCTCACCCAGGGAGACCAGGTTCCTATAATTCTCCAGCATCACGTCTCTGTATAGAGTCCTCTGAGCAGGGTCCAGGCATTTCCACTCCTCCTGAGAGAATTCTATGGCCACATCCCTGAATGTCAATAGACCCTGAAATGAAAACACATTTTAACCAAATGGTTATGAGAGGAGATCTTATCTTTACAGAAAATGAGAAGAAGAGAGGGGAAAGCATGGATTTAATTGTAGTGAATGTTCTGACAAATCCGAGTAAGGGATTCTTCACCACATGATGTATTTTTTTTCTTCTTTTTCTGTTTGAGATGGAGTGTCGCCCTGTCGCCCAGGCTGGAGTGCAGTGGCATGATCTCGGCTCACTGCAAGCTCTACCTCACAGGTTCATGCCATTCTCCTCCCTCAGCCTCCCAAGTAGATAGTACTACAGGCATCTGCCACCATGCCTGGCTAATTTTTTTGTATTTTTAGTAGAGATGGGGTTTCACCATGTTGGCCAGGATGGTCTCGATCTCCTGACCTCGTGATCTGCCCACCTCGGCCTCCCAAAGTTCTGGGATTACAGGCATGAGCCACCATACCCGGCCTCACATGACGTCTTTATTATACTTTTTGAAGAGGTCAAGACACCCTGTCAGTATGAATTTCTTATGTTTGTAAAAAATATAAGAAATAAATAAAAAATCAGTGCAGGGTTCCTGCTATAGAAATGTTTGAAACTTTTATGGACACACCAAGTGACATTCAGTATCTCGAAGAGACAGAGCATGAGTGATGTCTTCACAGATGACAACGTCCACAGTAAAAGATCAGCCAGGTGCAGTGACACATGCCTGTAGTCCCAGCTATGTGGGAGGCTGAGGCAGGAGAATGGCTTGATCCCAGGAGGCAGAGGTTGCAGTGATCCCAGATCACGTCACTGCACTCCAGCCTGGGCAACGGAAACTAGGTCTCAAAATTAAAAATAAAAAATCAGCCGGGCATGGTGGCAGGCACCTGTGGTTCCAATTACTTTGAAGGCTGAGGTGGGAGGATGGCTTGACCCTGAGGGTAGAGGTTGCAGTGAGCTACGATCATGCCAGGGTGCTCCAGCCTGGGCAACAAAGTGAGACCCCGTCTCAAAATAAAATAAAATACATGAAAACAAACTTACTCAAAGTACAAAATCCATTTTTTAAATGTTCACAAAATAATAAAACCTACACAGACTCACAAAAAACTAGATGTTAATACAAAGGGTTGTCATTTGTCCCAGATTTTCAAAATATAAAAGATTTTCAAAATATATATGTGTGTGTACATATATATGTGTATGTACATGTGTGTGTGTACCTATATATGTGTGTGTATATGTGTGGGGATGTGTGTATATATATTATATACATACATACACATATATATGTATTATATACATACATATACATATACATATATATATATATATATATATATATAGGTTTTAAATATATAAAAAGTAGCAAGTTTTGTTTAAGTGAAGAGGAATCTCACCTTGGCGGAAAAGGACACATTGACAACTGGGGGCTGGGGGGAATCTTGTCAGATCTAAGAAAACAGGAAATGCCCCATCCTAGAGGAAGCAATCACCCTTTCAACTGCCTGGCCTGGAGGATGAAGAATCACTTGAACCCGGGAGGCAAAGTTTGCAGTAAGCCAAGATCATGCCACTGCACTCCAGCCTGGGTGACAGAGCAAGACTCCGTTTCAGAAACAAACAACAGAAATAATAATAATAGGTGGAATGAGAATATAGCTTTATCCTCTAGAATAAAAAAAAAGTACTGCTCCCATATTTGAGAAAAATTGTAATCATTTTTACCAAAAGCCTGTTTCACGAGCCTCTCCATAGTAACACCACTGTCTCCATGAGCGTAATATGCTAAGAATGGTTGAATGAATCTCCTGCTATTATTTATGTTGATTCCATATTCTTAACATAATGATGGAATCATTCATGTATCATTCATTTCCATTATATTTATTTATTTATTTAAGACAGAGTTTTGCTCTTGTTACCTGGGCTGGAGTGCAATGGTGCAATCTCAGGTCACTGCAACCTCCGCCTCCCGATTTCAAGTCATTCTTCTGCCTCAGTCTCCTGAGTAGCAGGGATTGCAGGCACACACCACCATGCCCAGCTAATTTTGTATTTTTGCTAGAGACAGGGTTTCTCCATGTTGGTCAGACTCACTCAATTACCTAAAAATGTAGTTTAATATCAGGCAGAAAACATTTCCTCTTATCGGTCTTTTCTAGAATTTACCATGTTCTTTGTGCACATTAATATGTGACTTCCATTGGCAGCTACTCTAATCTTGGTCCACAGAAAACTGACAGTGCATCCAGATGCGGCCCTGAACAATCCCTGCCGCCCAACACCACTGACACCATAGGACCCTCACCCCGTCTCCATCCATGTCTGTGTGTGAGCCCTTCCCAGGACCATGCCTACTGCAACCTCTTCTCATGTTCATGTCATTGGGTCACGAGAGATGGAATCTAGGTGAGATGAGAGGGACTGAGGGAAGGCATGGGTGAGTGTGAGCAAACCTGTCACGCAGGATGCTTCAGACTCAGAGAAGTTTCCCAACTCCAAGGCCCAGCATTTCTGAAAGGAAGGAGACAGAACAATCCACAGAGAATATCATCTCACCTGAGGAAGAGCCATCCCTGACTCCTTTGCTTTCCTCTTCCTCTTCTGAGTTTCTTCTTCACATACCCAGAGTCTTTAGAAGTCAATCATGAATGTTAGAAATATGTTGTTTATTGCTCAGAGTCAACATACCCCCTCCCTGTAAAACAACGACACATACAAAGGAGACCTCACCCTGGGAAATATGGTCCACTCTGCTGCCCACCATACCAGGGACAATAAACTCCTATAGGAAAACTCCCACTCCCCTTCTGGAGAAGCCCACACACACGCTGCAGCAGTAGGGATCTGGGCTGGAATGAGCTCCCCTTCAAGGCACAGACCCAGACCTGACCAAACCACTTGCAGAGGCTGGGTGCGGTGGCTCATGCCTATCATCCCAGCACTCTCGGAGACCAAGGTAGGTACATTGCTTGAGCTCAGAAGTTTGAGACCAGCCTGGGCAACATGGTGAAACTCCTTCTCTATCAAAAATACAAATACTTAGCCAGGTATGGTGGTGCACATCTGTGTTTCTGTCACCCCAGCTACTTAGGAAGCTGAGGTGGAAGGATCACTTGAGGTCAGGAGTTTGAGACCAGCCTGGCAAACATGGTGAAACCCTGTCTGTACCAAAAATATAAAAATTGGGTCAGGTGCAATGGCTGAAGCCTGTAATACTAGCACTCTGGAAGGCCAAGGTGGGTGGATTACTTGAGGTCAGCGTTCAAGACCATCCTGGCCAACGTGGTGAAACCTCATCTCTACTAAAAATACAAAAAGTAGCCAGGCTTTGTGGGCATCTGTAATCCCAGCTACCCAGGAGGCTGAGGTTGGAGGATCACTTGAACCTGGGATGTGAAGGTTGCAGTGAGCCAAGATCACACCATTGCACTCCAGCGTGAGTGACAGAATAAGACTCTAAAATAAAATAAAATACAAATACAAATACAAAAATTAGCCATGTGTCGTGGCACACACCTGTAATCTCAGCTACTTGGGAGGTTGAGGCACAAGAATCACTTGAACCCAGGAGACAGAGGTTGCAGTGAGCCAAGATCATGACAGTGCACTCACAGCCTGGAGGACAGAGTGAGACTCTGTTTGAAAAAAAAAAAAAATCTCCCTCTCCCTCCCCCTCCCTCTCCCTCTCCCTCTCCCTCTCCCTCTCCCTCTCCCTCTCCCTCTCCCTCTCCCTCTCCCTCTCCCTCTCCCTCTCCCTCTCCCTCTCCCTCTCCCTCTCCCTCTCCCTCTCCCTCTCCCTCTCCCTCTCCCTCTCCCTCTCCCTCTCCCTCTCCCTCTCCCTCTCCCTCTCCCTCTCCCTCTCCCTCCTCTCGCTCTCCCTCTCCCTCTCCCTCCACGGTCTCCCTCTGATGCCGAGCCAAGGCTGGACTATACTGCTGCCATCTCGGCTCACTGCAACCTCCCTGCCTGATTCTCCTGCCTCAGCCTGCCGAGCGCCTGCGATTGCGGGCGCGCGCCGCCACGCCTGACTGGTTTTCATGTTTTTTTTGGTGGAGACGGGGTTTCGCTGTGTTGGCCGGGCTGGTCTCCAGCTCCTAACCGCCAGCCTCGGCCTCCCGAGGTGCCGGGATTGCAGACGGAGTCTCGTTCACTCAGTGCTCAATGGTGCCCAGGCTGGAGTGCAGTGGCGTGATCTCCGCTCGCTACAACCTCCACCTCCCAGCCGCCTGCCTTGGCCCCCCAAAGTGCCGAGATTGCAGGCTCTGCCCAGCCGCCACCCCATCTGGGAAGTGAGGAGCGTCTCTGCCTGGCTGCCCAGTCTGGAAAGTGAGGAGCGTCTCTGCCCGGCCGCCATCCCATCTAGGAAGCGAGGAGCGCCTCTTCCCCGCCGCCATCCCATCTAGGAAGTGAGGAGTGTCTCTGCCCGGCCACCCATCGTCTGAGATGTGGGGAGCACCTCTGCCCCGCCGCCCTGTCTGGGATGTGAGGAGCGCCTCTGCTGGGCCGCAACCCTGTCTGGGAGGTGAGGAGCGTCTCTGCCCGGCCGCCCCGTCTGAGAAGTGAGGAAACCCTCTGCCTGGCAACCGCCCCGTCTGAGAAGTGAGGAGCCCCTCCGTCCGGCAGCCACCCCGTCTGGGAAGTGAGGAGCCCCTCTGCCCGGCCAGCCGCCCCGTCCGGGAGGTGAGGGGCGCCTCTGCCCGGCCGCCCCTACTGGGAAGTGAGGACCCCTCTGCCCGGCCAGCCGCCCCGTCCGGGAGGGAGGTTGGGGGGTCAGCCCCCCGCCCGGCCAGCCGCCCTATCCAGGAGGTGAGGGGCGCCTCTGCCCGGCCGCCCCTACTGGGAAGTGAGGAGCCCCTCTGCCCGGCCACGACCCCGTCTGGGACGTGTGCCCAGCGGCTCATTGGGGATGGGCCATGATGACAATGGAGGTTTTGTGGAATAGAAAGGCGGGAAAGGTGGGGAAAAAATTGAGAGGCCGGGTGGTTGCCGGGTCTGTGTGGATGGAAGTAGACATGGGAGACTTTTCATTTTGTTCTGTACTAAGAAAAATTCTTCTGCCTTGGGATCCTGTTGATCTGTGACCTTATCCCCAACCCTGTGCTCTCTGAAACATGTGCTGTGTCCACTCAGGGTTAAATGGATTAAGGGCGGTGCAAGATGTGCTTTGTTAAACAGATGCTTGAAGGCAAAAAAAAAAAAAAAAAAAAAAAAAAAGAAAAAAAAAGAAAAGGAAAAAAAAAAAAAAAAGGAATTATTTGTCACTTACTGTCTCTCTAAGGGCAGCCATTGTAAGACCTCAAAGAAACTTTAGCCTCCACAATCTTTTCTCTTAACCTGAACATTTCCTTTCTATGGATCCCAGGTTTTTAGACAAACTCAACCAATTGTCAACCAGAAAATGTTTAAATTTACCTATAGCCTGGAGGCCTGCCCACCACCCCTTTGAGTTGTCTCGCCCTTCTGGACCAAACAATGTCTTTCTTTAATGTATTTGATTGATGTCTCCTGTCTCCCTAAAATGTATAAAACCAAGCTGCGCCCCGACCACCTTGGGCATGTGTTCCTGGGACCCCCTGAGGCTGTGTCACAGGTCAGGGTCACTCATGTTTGGCTCAGAATAAATCTCTTCAAATATTAAAAAAAAAAAAAAAAAAAAAAAAAAAAAATCTTCATTTCTGATGTGGTTGATGCAGAGATAATAAACCTGAGTAACGTGATAGAGACTGATGGGCAGAGGGAACTTCAGATGGCAGTGGGAGGACATGGGAGATATCTCTGAGCCTAGATCTGAAGGAGGAGAAAGGGACAGGGCTGTCACCATTTAGGGACATAGGATAAGAGCAGGACAATGACCTGAGACAGGAAGTATTTTGATATCTGGGAAAAGAGAAAAGCAAATGTGACTGGGGCAGAGGGATTCATGAGATGGGGGCAAGCTCCCAGGAGGAGGCTGGACACTGGCAGGGGCCCTGGACACAGGGCTGTGGAGCCACAGTGAGGAGATGGGCTTTTGTCCTGGGGAACACAGGAAGCCAGTGGAGGGTTCCCTGCCAGGGAATGACATGACTTACTTTAGATTTAGCTGTGATGTCCTCACAGTGAAAACATTTTCACCGAGTTACCCTGAGAAGGTCTGAGATGAGTAAGAAGATGTGCCTGAATTCTTACATGGGGGCCTGGAAGGGCTAATGGGAAGGGTTGGTCTTTATCACCCCATCCTTGAAAATTAGAGAAGCATCTTTCACATACCTGGGCTAAAGAAACTTCTTTTGCAAGGTTCTGATGCCATTAATTCCTAACATTTAATTTTTCCTTACAAGAAAATTACAGTAACATTTACAAAATGCAAAAGTGTAAACACACAGCTATTGACCTTGAAAATAGGGAGGCCGAGGTAGGTGGATCACCTGAGTTCAGCAATTGTAGACCAGCCTGACCTACATGGAGGAACCCCGTTTCTACTGAAAATACAAAAATTATCCAGGCATGGTGGCGAATGGCTGTAATCCCAGCTACTCAGCAAGGCTGAGGCAGGAGAATCACTTGAACCAGGGAGGTGGCGATTGCAGTGAGCCAAGATCGTGCCATTGCACTTCAGCCTGGGCAACAAGAGCAAAACTGCATCTCATAAAAGAAAAGAAAGAAAGAAAGAAAGAAAAGAAAACAGGGAAAGAGAGTCAGCTGTTGAACTAAGACAGAAGTAACTTTTTTCATTCAAGAATACATAGGTGGCCAGGTGTGATGGCTCACACCTGTATTCCCAGCACTTTGGGAGGTCGAGGCAGGTGGATCACCTGAAGTCAGGAGTTTGAGACCAGCCTGGCCAACATGGTGAAATCCTGTCTCTACTAAAAATACAAAAATTAGCTGGACTCCATCCACAGCTTATTTAACCTCTTGTTGCTCCTTTTCCCCAATCTTTAGATTGTTCTCAATGTCCATAGATTTCCACCTCTTCTCCCATCTCTCCTGAGCTCTCCCTGTTAAATTCTCTCTTCCCCGTTATACCCCCCTGGCCCCACTCTCTGGCACCCCAGATTTCCCAGGTGTCCTCCCTGCTGTGGTTCTCCCTCTGTTCTCCTTGCCACCAGCACCACTCTGCTCTGTCTGCCCTGGCTCCAAATCCCTCCTCCTCTCCCTCATTCTCATGAGCCTTTCTGTTTGCTGCCCCTCTCCCTACCTTGCTGTCTGTCCTTCATCTCTCTGTACATCCAGCTTTTCTCTACATTTCTCCAGTTGCTTTTCTCCTCCTGCTTTGTTATCTTTTGTTTTTTCACTTTTGCTGTCTCTTGGCAAATCCCTGACCATCCCCTACTTTGCCATCTGTTATGGGTCTTTCTCCTTCTTCTTTTATCTGTCTCAGGTTTTCTACTGCTCTCTGATTCCCTCTCTCTGTCTCCTGATCCCTTTGGCCCACACAATCACAGGAGGGTTTGGAGTAAGACGCCTGCATCCCAGAGAAGCGCATTTTCCAGGGGCTGGAGCTGGGCAGGCAAGAACACCCCGTGTCACAGGACAGGCCCCGGGTACCTCCCCAACGCGGGCTCAGGGAAAGCGGTGACTGCGGAGGGGAGACTTGGGGAGCAACAGGGCCCGGCATGAGGAGGGAGGTGGGGGGGAGATGACGCCTTCGGACAAGGGTGGGGTCCGCAGGATCCCACCACCGGGCAGAGAACGCGGCCTCCCTGGGACTGTGGTGTCAGCGCTGGGCTCCAGGGGCCGACGAGGGTGAGGCTGGGAAGCGCCAGAGCAGGGATCCACCTCTCGGGTGAGGACTTTAAAAAGCGCGGGGTGGGAGGAGTCAACAAACGGTTGTGAACGGGAAAACTACGCGATACAAACTGTATACATTGCCCTATAGCAAAAAGACCGAGGACAGGGCAGCCTCAGGGCGACTTTAAACCCAAAAGGAAGTGACTTCCGGACTCCTAGGGGAATGTCTCCATTTGCTCTTGTTGAAGGAAGAAGGGCGAGAATTTCCAGGTCTGTGGAGACCCCACATCCCAGGTACAGAATTGCCGGGGACCTGGAGGCACAGCCTCAATACAACACAGAGCAAAACTCACCGCCGCAGTGTGACTTCCAGTCCACGCGATCCGCTTCCTGGTCCGGGCGAATCTACAAGCACAGGACAGAAGCCAGGCCTCCGTGGAGCCAACGAGGTGGGCGGGGCCTGGGCGAGGTAGGGGCGGGGCCTGGGCGAGGTAGGGGCGGGGCGCCAGGCGGAGAGACCTGCCCTGTAGAACCGGCAGACGCGGGGCGGGGGCGGATCTGTGCTTCTCTCAGCCGCGTACCTAGCCGCTGTTTTTCGGGTTTTGGTGAGGGAAGAGACAGACCCTCTCATATTGTTTTATATTGTTTTATACTCAGTACCTGTTTTAAGAAAAAAAACAACAAGGAAGTAAAACCGAAGACAGGCAGCCCTGCGCCACGCCCAAAACCAGGCCTGGGCCTGCCTGGCCTAAACCCAATAGTTAAAAATCAACTCATAACTTAGAAACCAATGTTTTTCATAGATTCCAGACATTGTATAGAAGAACATTATGAAACTCCCTGCCCTGTTCTGTTTCTCTCTACCAGTGCACGAAACCCCTGTGTATATATCTGGGACTGTAGTCCCTGTTACGTATCCCCTAGATTGCTCAATCACGACCCTTTTATGTGAAATCTTTAGTGTTGTGAGCCCTTAAAAGGGACAGAAATTGTGCACCCGGGGAGCTCGGATTTTAAGGCAGCTTGCCGATGCTCCCAGCTGAATAAAGCCCTTCCTTCTACAACTCGGTGTCTGAGAGGTTTTGTCTGTGGCTCGTCCTGCTACACCGGAGGCAAGAGTGGCCAGGAAGGCTGAGGCATGATTCAAAAGCCCTGGAATTGTCTGGAACAGGGATGCAAACTAGAACGTGAAATGCAAAGCCCTGCCTAGGCAGAAAGTACGATCTCATGCTGATGGTACACAGAACAGAATAGAAATCTCTCCCTTTCTATTCTCCATTTGCTTCGGAGGGAGAGTCCACCCTGTGCTCAGCTTCAGAGACTTCCCTAGGGCCACCGCCTGGGATGCCGGAGGGAGTGTTCAGGCCAGGGAGGAGTGAGGTCACCACCTGCTACTTAAACACAGCAGAAATGTGGAAGTGGGGGCGGGAGCCTGAGGTCCAGCTACTCAGGAAGCAGTGGCGGGAGGATCATTGAGCCCGGAGGTCCAAGCCAGCCTGAGTGACAAAGTAACACCCCCTGCCGCAGGGATCCCTTCCTCATCTCTTTTTTTTTTAATTTTTAAAATAAAATTTTCATTGTGTGAGATAGGGATCCAACTTTATTCTTTTCCATGTGGATATCCAGTTAGTTGTCCCAGCACAATTGTGGATGACATCTATTAGTTTCTTTTTTTTATTTACTTTTTTTTCTTTTTCTTTTTTTTTTTTGAGACAGAGTATTTCTCTGTCACCCAGGCTGGAGTGCATTGGCAAGATCTCGGCTCACTGCAGCCTCTGCCTTCTGGGTTGAAGCAATTCTTCTGACTCAGCCTGCATAGTAGCTGGTATTACAGGCACGTGCCATCATGCCCGGCTAATTTTTGTTCTTTTGGTAGAGACAGGGTTTCACCATGTTGGCCAGGCTGGTCTCAAACTCCTGACTTCAAGTGATCCGCCTGCCTCGGCCTTCCGAAGTGCTGGGATTACAGGCGTGAGTCACCGTGCCGGGCCCAAGAAATACTCTTTACTTCACTTTTTAAATGTTGAGAAAATACAATTGAAAACTAAAAAATCTTCCCCAGATGAAAAATCATCTTCACTATGATAACAGAGAAGGAAATAACAACCATTTTATTAATAAAGAGCCTTAGACCTGAATGTAATGGGAAATAGAGGCAAACAGTTGAGAGGTTGAAAACAGAGAGAGAAACTTCACTGTTCTATACAACCCATTAAGTACATGTTTTCTTTTGTCTTTTTTCTTTCTTTTTTTTGGAGACAAGAGTCTCACTCTGTTGCCCAGGCTAGAGTGCAGTGGCAAGATCTCAGCTTACTGCAGCCTCCACCTCCTGGGTTCAAGCAATTCTCCTGTCTCATCCTCCTGAATAGCTGGAACTACAGGCGTCTGCTACCATGCTGGGCTAATTTTTGTATTTTTAGTAGAGACGGAGTTTGACCTTTTTGGTCAGGCTGGTCTCAAACTCCTGACCTCAGGTGATCCACCTACCTCAGCCTCCCAAAGTGCTGGGATTACAGGCGTGAGCCACCGCGCCCAGCCTAAGTACATGTTTTCAAGATAAACACTAATCAGTCCTCAGGGAAGAGGACTTGACAATACCCTTGGTCACACATAGTTCATCCTGGCTCTACTTGGTAATGGAGGTGACCATTTGTGTCAGCTAATTAGCTTCATCCTGAGGAAGGGGGGAAAACGCTAACCCATGTCTTTTTGACAAGTGTGAGTTTTACAACATGGCGACAGGTGCCATCTCTAGTGAGGCTCCTACAATCCGACAGAAACCGACATCAGCAGTAAATAATAAAATTTAGAATACATGATTAAGTATAGAGTTTATGTGAACACAAAACTTGAGGATAGCCACCTGGAAACATCAACTCCAAATGAAGGGGGTCTGTGTTCCCAAGTAGAGATGTTAAGGTTTCACACACAGGGAAAGACAGAGAAGCTTTACCAGAATCAACACATTTTCCATTCAAGACCAGTGGATAAGTTGCAGCAACTTGACTGGTGATGGATTGATACAGTTCAAGAAAGGTTACTTTATCACTACATAAGAAGGGACAATCGGCCAGGTGCGGTGGCTCACGCCTGTAATCCCAGCACTTTGGGAGGTGAGGCGGGCAGATCACAAGGTCAGGAGATCGAGACCATCCTGGCTAACACAGTGAAACCCATCTCTACTAAAAATACAAAAAATTAGCCGCGTGTGGTCATGGGCGTCTGTAGTACCAGCTACTTGGGAGGCTGAGGCAGGAGAATGGGGTGAACCCAGGAGGCGGAGCTTGCAGTGAGCTGAGATTGCACCCCTGCACTCCAGCCTGGGTGACAGAGAGAGACTCCGTCTCAAAAAAAAAAAAAAAGAAAAAAGAGGGACAATGATGTCAAGAGGTCTTGTCTCTGGGGCTGCTCAGTCTTCCTAATTATCTACAGGAAAACTTTTGTGTTTTTTTCTTTTCTTTTTTTTTTTGAGACAGAGTTTCGCTCTTGTTGCCCAGGCTGGAGTGCTATGGCACTATCTCGGCTCACCACAGCCTCCGCCTCCCAGGTTCAAGCAATTCTCCTGCCTCAGCCTCCCGAGTAGCTAAGATTACAGGCATGCATCACTACGCCTGGCTAATTTTGTATTTTTAATAGAGACGGGGTTTCTCCATGTTGAGGCTGGTCTCGAACTCCTGACCTCAGGTGATCTGCCCACCTCAGCCTCCCAAAGTGCTGGGATTACAGGCGTGAGCCACCGCGCCCGGCCCTCTTTTTTTATTTTTTTGAGACAGTCTCGCTCTGTCACCCAGGTTGGAGTGCAGTGGTGTGATCTTGGCTCACTGCAACCTCCGCCTCCTGGGTTCAAGCAATTCTTCTGCCTCTGCCTCCTGAGTAGCTGGGACTACAGGTGCACACCACCATGCCTGGCTAATTTTTGGTATTTTTAGTAGAGACGGGGGTCTCACCGTGTTAGCCAGGATGGTCTCCATCTCCTGACTTCGTGATGCTCCCGCCTTGGCCTCCCAAAATGCTGGGATTACAGGTGTGAGCCTCTTTGCCTGGCCAAAACTTTTCTTTTTTAAATTGATATTAGGAAACTGAATTATATAGCTTTTTTTTTTTTTTTTTTTTTTTTTTGGTACGGAGTCTTGCTCTGTTGCCCAGGCTGGGGTGCAGTGGCATGATCTTGGCCCACTGCAACTTCCACCTCCCCGGATCAAGCAGTTCTCCTGCCTCAGCCTCCCAAGTAGCTGGGAATACAGGCGTGCCCCACCATGCCCTGTAATGGCTTTGTATGTTTACTGGAGACGGGGTTTCACCACGTTGGCCAGGCTGGTTTCTAACTCCTGACCTCAAGTGATCCGCCCACCTCGGCCTCCCAAAATGCTGGGATTACAGGCTTGAGCCACTGCGCCTGGCCAGGAAAACTCAAAAAAGTTGCGCCTGCGGCTGGGCGCGGTCATTCATGCCTGTAATCCCAGCACTTTGGGAGGCTGAGGTGGGTGGATCACAAGGTCAGGAGATCAAGACCATCCTGGCTAACACAGTGAAACCCTGTCTGTACTAAAAATACAAAAAATTAGCCGGGAGTGGTGGTGGGTGCCTGGAGTCCCAGCTACTGGGGAGGCTGAGACAGGAAAATGACGTGAACCCAGGAGGCGGAGCTTGCAGTGAGCTGAGATCGCACCACTGCACTTCAGCTTGGGCGACAGAGCGAGACTGTCTCAAAAAAAAACAAAAAACAAAAAAGAAAAAACCTTGTGCCTGCATGCCACTGGACTCTTGTTGCATGACCACGTTCCTCTCAAGGCTCAGAATTATTTAAAGGTCGGTAGCTTTTAATTTGAAACATTTGATGTTTGAATTATTTAATTTCCTACTAAGATACAGGTACTATCTCCCTTGTTTGCCTTAAAAGGATCGCTCCCAAGTCCTTCAGAAATACATCCCTGGGTCATTAAACTGAAAAAAGGTTTAGTTACTTTCTAAAAAATACCACTTCAGGCCGGACGCGTGGCTCAAGCCTGTAAATCCAGCGTTTTGGAAGGCCGAGGCGGGTGGATGACCTGAGGTCAAGGGTTCAAGACCAGCCTGACCAATATGGAGAAACCCCATCTCCACTATAAATACAAAAATTAACCAGGCGTGGTGGCATGCACCTGTAGTCCCAGCTACTTGGGAGGCTGAGGCAAGAGAAACGCTTGAGCCCAACAGACAGAGGGTGCAGTGAGCCAAGATTGCACCATTGCACTCCAGCCTGGGCAATAAGAGTGAAACTCCGTCTCAAAAACAAAAAATTAATAACAATAATAAATAAGGCCAGTGCAGAGGCTCGCTCAGGTGAGACTCCGTCTTAAAAAAAAAAAAAAAAGAAAGAACACTACCACTTACACAGTAGGGCATTCTCAAAAACAAGGGCAACGCCACCTCTTTTAAGTTTTGTCTTTCAAGATGTGATTTGCGACTGAAAACTTTTTCACATTCTTCACATTTGTAAGGCTTCTCTCTAGTATGAAGTCTATGATGACGTGCAAGGTGTGCTTTCTGATTAAAAACCTTGCCACATTCATTACACTTGCAAGGATTCTCTCCAGTATGAATTGCCTTATGAATTACAAGGGCTGAATTTCAACCAAAGGTCTTGTTATGCTCACTACACTTGTAAGGTTTCCCTCCAGTATGAAGTCTACGATAGCATGTAAAGGATGACGTCTGACTGAAGGTCTTGCCACACTCATAACAACTGTAAGGTTTCTTACCAGTGTGACATCTATTATGGCATACAAGGAATCAATTCTGATTAAAGACCTTGTCACATACCTCACATTTATATTGTTTCTATCCTAAATGGATTATCTGATATTTCCTTAAGAGTTAGCTATAATTAAAGGATTTGCCACTCTCATTACATTGGAAAGATTTTTCTCTCATGTGTACTTCCCAATTTTTGTATGGGTAATGAAGAATGGAGGGAATTATTCCCATAGTTATTAGAAATACGGGTTTTGGGACTACAAGAAATTCTTTGGGATGTCAAAATTAAGGAGGCATTGATGATAGACTTCTCAACTTGATTACCAATTTTCCATTCAGGCTGAAATATGTGGAGTTCAGGCAGATGCGAATGAAAGCTGGATCCAAGCTGATCTTTAATAGGCTTGTTTCCAGCATGCCTTTGATCATGTCGGTCTGTACTACCAGTCAACTCTTTGATTTCTGTCATGGGTGCTTCGTGACCATTCCTTTCCTCTTCTTGCCACTGAAACTCAAAGTTATGAATATCTTTCTCAATTTCCTGGAAGCAAAAATCTCTAATGTGATGACTTTCATGTCTTTGCAATGTCCCTGTGTGGATCACTTCTGTATTGCCTTGCGCTGTGGATGAGAACTCCTTCATCATGCATTTGGAAGAGATATCTACAAAATATAAACACCAATAGGTTTCTAATTAAGTACAGATGATAAACAATACTGAAATGTGTAAATATGAACCAAAAAAACAATTCTTATTTTAAACTTTCCAAACATGAGCTTCAAAGTTTAGGAACACAAAAGGAGTAAGATTCTATAACAAATAAAGGGTGATAGCATGTACTTCAAGTCATTTCTATGGAAGCCTATTTCTAATATCATGACAAAACACTGACAGGGCACAAACATGTGTAAGCCTAAAGTATGGAGTGTTTTTCCACTGTGACCCTAAAGTGTATGAGAGTTTGCAAAAAACATATCACTGTCTATGAAAGAAGAAAAAAATGTATTCTTCATACTTACAGCATATTTACTGTATACAAATAAATGCTGTAGGACCATACAATATACTATATTGGTAAATAATCCACAACAAGCTCATGTAAGGATAATCAAAATCAATGGAAATTCTGTATTGTCAAACAATCATAGCACTGAGAAGATAACAAAAGATTACAAAACTTAGCCTTGTGTCATGGCCGGCACCTGTATTCCCAGCTACTCAGGAGGCTGAGGCAGAAGAATTGCTTGAACCTGGGAGGGAGAAGTTGCAGTGAGCCGAGATCGCACCACTGCAATTAAGCCTGGGCGACAAAGTCAGACTTTGTTTCAAAAAAAAAAGAAAACAATAAAAGAAAATGTTAATACAATATTTTTCTAGATAAATATCATAAAATTACCTTTATCCATGCAGAACAGGCACTTTGTGACTTTAAAAAAATTTGGTAGTTTTATTTTTTTGAGACAGAGTCTTGCACTCCAGGCTGGAGTGCAATGGCAGGATCTCGGCTCACTACAACCTTTGCCTCCACGGTTGAAGTGATTCTCCTGCCTCAGCCTCCTGAGTAGCTGGGATTACAGGCACACGCCACTATGCACAGCTAATTTTTGTATTTTTAGCAGAGATGGGGTTTCACCATGTTGGCCAGGCAAGTCTCAATCTCCTGACCTCAAGTAATCCACACGCCTTGGCTCCCCAAAGTTCTGGGATTACAGGTGTGAGCCTCTGTGCCTGGTGGCACTTTGTGACATTAACAAGTGGAATGTGTCAGTTATATTGCATACCAGATACTTAAAAGCCATATGTAAAATCAGAAAAATTAATAATATATTGTAACCCATGATAAAACCAGCAAGAAAATAAGTACATTTATATAGCCTGCAGAATTGTAAGCAATTCTCTCTTAAGAAAAAGTCCACAATGTCTACTTAACCACCAGCACACCATATAAGACCTGAAATACATATTAAGATCACTACCTTCTAGACCAGGCATGGTGGCTCACGCCTGTAATCCCAGCACTTTGGGAGACCGAGGCAGGCGGATCACAAGGTCAAGAGATCGAGACCATCCTGGCCAACATGGTGAAATGCCGTCTCTACTAAAAATACAAAAATTAGCTGGGTGTGGTGGTGTGTGCCTGTAATCCCAGCTACTCGGGAGGCTGAGGCAGGAGAATCACTTAAACCCGGGAGGTGGAGGTTGCAGAGAGCCGAGATCGCACTACTGCACTCCAGCCTGGTGCAGAGCAAGACTCCGTCTCAAAAAAAAAAAAAAGCCCACTACCCTCTGATGTAGGAGGTCAAGAAAATACACAACAATGCTGGGCACGGTGGCTCACACCTGTAATCCCAGCACTTTGAGAGGCCAAGTCGGGCAGATCACGAGGTCAGGAGATCGAGACCATCTTGGCTAACATGGTGAAACCCTGCCTCTACTAAAAATACAAAACGTTAGCTGGGCGTGGTGGTGGGCACCTGTAGGCCCAGCTACTCAGAAAGATGAGACAGGAGAATGGTGTGAACCTGGGAGGTTGCAGTGAGCCGAGATGGCGCCACTGCACTCCAGCCTGGGGGACAGAGCTAGACTCTATCTCAAAAAAAAAAAAAAAAAAAAAAAAAGAAAGAAAGAAAGAAAAGAAAAGAAAAGAAAATACATAGCATTAAAAGGAATAAGAATTGACTAACGGCCGGGCACGGTGGCTCACACCTGTAATCCCAGCATTTTGGGAGGCTGAGGCTGGCGGATTATGAGGTCAGGAGTTTGAGACCAGCCTGGCCAACATGGGGAAACCCCATCTCTACTAAAAACACAAAAAAATCAGCTGGGCATGGTGGTGGGCACCTGTAATCCCAGCTACTTGGGAGACTGAGGCAGTTCTTGTGGGTGGAGGATTACCCGGGTGCCGAGGCAAGAGACTGAAGGCACAAACCATTTCAGTATAATAAAGAAAATAGTTAGAATAAGAACAATCACAACACAAATTAGATACAGAGATGATCATGGACAATTATCAATCATTATTATAAACAGTATAAATCTTTAGCTTTTAATATTACTCTTTGTGGCATTACTAATATAACCTAGGAATAACTGGCGGGTATAGGGTCAGGTGCTGAAGGGACATGGTGAGAAGTGACCTAGAAGGCAAGAGGTGAGGCCTCTGTCACACCCGCATAAGGGCCGCTTGAGGGGTCCTTGGTCAAGCGGTAACGCCAGTGTCTGGGAAGGCACCTGTTACTTAGCTGACCGCGAAAGGGAGTCTCCTTTCCTTGGAGGAGTCAGGGAACACTCTGCTCCACCAGCTTCTCGTGGAAGGCTGGATATTATCCAGGCCTGCCCGCAGTCATCCCGAGGCCTAAACCCCTCCCTGTGGTGCTGTGCTTCAATGGTCAAGCTCCTTGTCCACTTTCATGCTCCTCCCGTACTCCTGGCTCCTCTTTGAAGTTCATAGTAGATAGCGGTAGAAGAAATAGTGAAAGTCTTAAAGTCTTTGATCTTTCTTATAAGTGCATAGAAGAAAATGCTGATGTATGCTGCCTTCTCTCTCTGCTTCGGCTACCTAAGAGGGAAGGGCCCCCTGTCCCGTGATCACGTGACTTTCTTCACCTTGTCAATCACTTAGAAGATTCACCCTGCTTACCCTGCCCCCTTGTCTTGTATGCAATAAATACCAGCGAGCCCAGCCTTTCTGGGCCACTACCGGTCTCCTCAACTTGATGGTAGTTGTCTCCCAAGCCCAGCTGTTTTCTCTTTATCTTTTTGTCTTGTGTCTTTACTTACTACAATCTCTTGTCTCTGCACACGGGGTGAATACCCGCTAAGCCCCATAGTGCTGGACCCTATAAGTTCTATATATATGCATTGAAGGGGGCCTGACCCTCCACACCTGTGGGTATTTCTCATCAGGTGGGATGAGAGACTCAGAAAAGAAAGAAGACACAGAGACAAAGTATAGAGAAAGAACAGTGGGCCCAGGGGACCGGCACACTCAACATGCAAGGACCTGCATCGGCGCCAGTCTATGAGTTTCCTCAGTATTTATTGATCATTATTTTTACTATTTTAGCGAGGGGAGTGTAGTAGGGGAACAAGTGGGGAGAAGGTCAGCAGGGAAACATGTGAGCAGAGGAATCTGTATCATGAATAAGTTCAAGGAAACATACTGTGCCTGGATGTGCAATTAGGCTAGATTTTTGTTTCTCTTCACCCAAACATCTCAGTGTAGGAAAGAGTAAAAGAGCAGTATTACTGCCAGCATATCTCGCCTCCAGCCATGGGGCGCTTTTCTCCTGTCTCAGAAGAGAACGAATGGGAATGGTCGGCTTTACACCGTGACATTCCATTCCCACGGATGAGCAGGAGACAGAAGCCTTTCTCCCTTTTTTTTTTTTTTTTTTGAGATGGAGTCTCGCTCTGTCGCCCAGGCTGGAGTGCAGTGGCACGATCTCAACTCACTGTAAGCTCTGCCTCCCAGGTTCACGCCATTCTCCTGCCTCAGCCTCCCAAGTAGCTGGGACTATAGGCACCCGCCACCACACTTGGCTAATTTTTTAGATTTTTAGTAGAGACGGAGTTTCACCGTGTTAGCCAGGATGGTCTCGGTCTCCTTTTCCCGTGATCTACCCGCCTTGGCCTCCCAAAGTGCTGGGATTACAGGTGTGAGCCACCACACCCAGCCTACAGAAGCCTTCCTCTTTTCTCAACTGCAAAGAGGCCTTCCTCTTTCACTACTCCTCCTCAGCACAGACCCCTTATGGGTGTCAGGCTGGGGGATGGTAAGGTCTTTCCTTTCGCATGAGGCCATATCTCAGGCTGTCTCAGTGAGGGGAAACCTTGGACAATACCCAGGCTTTCTTGGGCAGAGGTCCCTGCGGCTTTCCACAGTACATTGTGCCCCTTGTTAATCGAGAATGGAGAATGGCGATGACTTTTAGCAGGCATACTGCCTGCAAACATATTGTTAACAAGGCACATCCTGCAGGGCGCTGTGGCTCATGCCTGTAATCCCGGCACTTTGGGAGGCCGAGGCAGACAGATCACGAGGTCACGATATCGAGACCATCCTGGCTAACACGGTGAAACCCGTCTCTACTAAAAATACAAAACAAATTAGTCCGGCATGGTGGCGGGCACCTGTAGTCCCGGCTACTCAGGAGGCTGAGGCAGGAGAATGGCATGAACCCAGGAGGTGGAGCTTGCAGTGAGCCAAGATTGTGCCACTGCAATCCAGTCTGGGAGACAGAGCGAGACTCCGTGTCAAAAATTAAAAAATAAAAAAAAATAAAAAAAAAAAAAAACAAGGCACATCATGCACAGCCCTAAATCCATTAAACCTTGATTCAGTACAGCACTTTTCTGTGAGCACAGGGTTGGGGCTAAAGTTACAGATTAACAGCATCTCAAAGCAAAACAATTTTTCTTCATATGGACCAAAATGGAATTTCTTGTCTTCCTTTTCTACATAGACACAGTAACAATCTGATCTCTCTTTCTTTTCCCCACAATGCATTGCCCTTATATAGTTTGCTATGCATAAAATGCAAAACATAGAATGTGTACTGGGAAAATTTATAAACTGAGTCAGAGAAAACTTTGTAGAAAACAAACTGCACAGCAAAAACAAAAAATATGATGCAGGCTATCTGGCCTAAATGTTTGTATTGGCTAAAAGTCATTATCAGATTTCTTATTCTCCGATAGGATGTTCCTGCAGATGAGGCCTTTTATAGAATTTGGTCTTCTGTGTTGACTGTTCATGAATAGGACTAATGCTTTTATTTTTATTTTTTCTTTATTTACTGATTTTTGAGACGGAATTTTGCTCTTGTTGCCCAGGCTGGAGTGCAATGGCATGATCTTGGA
Source organism: Homo sapiens (assembly GCF_000001405.40). NCBI lineage: Eukaryota > Metazoa > Chordata > Mammalia > Primates > Hominidae > Homo > Homo sapiens. The sequence goes on from NC_000019.10 coordinate 52,934,615, forward strand.
TCACCACGACCTCGGTCTCCTCAGTTCAAGCGATTCTCCTGCCTCAGCCTCCCGAGCAACTGGGATTACAGGCATGCGCCACCACGTCCGGCTAATTTTGTAGTTTTAGTAGAAACGTGGTTTCTCCATGTTGGTCAGTCTGGTCTCGAACTCCCGACCTCAGGTGATCCGGCTGCCTCGGCCTCCCAAAGTGCTGGGATTACAGGCAAGAGCCACGGCGCCTGGCCAGGACTAGTGCTTTTATAAAAAAGAGACAGTAAAGTGTTCATTGCCTGTTCCTCTTTACACCATGTCAGGACACAGGAGGAAGATGGCTGGACGAAACCATGAAGAAGGATCTCACCAGGAACCAATCTGGTTGAAATCTTGCTCTTAGATTTTCCACTTTCCAGATTCATGAGAAATAAATTTCTGTGTCTGAAGCTTTCTAGTTTACACTATTTCTTTTTTTGTCTGTTTTTGAGACTGAGTCACGCTTCATCACCCAGACTGGGGTGTAGTGGCACGATTCTCCTGCCTGAGGAGATTCTCCCGCCTCAGCCTCTGGAGTAGCTGGGACTAAGGCACACGCCACCACGCCTGGTTAATTTTTTTTGTTGGGGGGGGGAGACAGAGTCTCCCACTGTCACCCAGGTTGGAGGGCAGTGGCACGATCATGGCTCACTGCAGCATAGCCTCCCGGGTTCAAGTGATTCTCCTGTCTCAGCCTCCCAAATAGCTGGGATTACAGGTGCACCAAGCTCAGCTAATTTCTGTATTTTTAGTTGAGACAGGGTTTCACCATGTTGGCCAGGCTGGTCTTGAACTTCTGACCTGAGGTGATCTGTCTTTCTCAGCCTCCCAAAATGCTGGGATTACAAGGGTGAGCCATTGCGCTCAGCCAATTTTATTTTCATTTAGTAGATTTGAGGTTTCATTATGTTTGTGCAACTGGTCTCAAAATCCTGACCTCAAGCGATCTACCCACCTCGGCCTTTCAAAGTGCTGGAATTAGAGGTGTGAGTCACCGCGGCTGGCTAGTGTAAGCTATTTCTGACAGAACAGTGAAATGAGCGAGACAGGAAAAGAGGCATCTCATCACCAACATCACCGAAGGCTGACAAATCTTATTAAACAAAAAAAGTTTACAGTCTGTACCATAAAACTTCCAATATGTGAAGCAATCTAAAAGCATTAACTTTTAAAAACCAGGCGGGTGAATCACTTGAGGTTGGGAGTTCGAGACTAGCCTGACCAATATGTAGAAAGTTCATCTCTACTAAAGATACAAAAATTAGCCAGGCACTGCCGGGAACGGTGGCTCACGCCTGTAATCCTAGCATTTTGAAAGGCCGAGGCGGGCGAATCACGAGGTCAGGAATTCGAGACCAGCCTGACCAATATGGTGAAACCCCATCTCTACTAAAAATATTAAAAAATAGCCGAGCTCTGTGGTGCACCGTGAGGAAAAGCAAGAGAGATCAGATTGTTACTGCGTCTACGTAGAAAAAGGAAGACAAAAGAAATTCCACTTTGATCTGTACTAAGAAAAATTGTTCTACTTTAAGATGCTGTTAATCTTTAACTTTTGTCCCAACCCTGTGTCACAGAAACATGTGCTGTATTGACTCAAGGTGTAATGGATCTAGGGCTGTGCAGGGTGTGCCTTGGTGAAAATGTGTTTGCAGGCAGTATGCTTGGTTTACCACTGCCATTCATTGCCATTCTCCATTCTCTATTAACCAGAGACACAATACACTGCGGAAGGCCGCAGGAAACCCTGCCCAAGAAAGCCTGGGTATTGCACAGGTCTCCCCCGACTGAGACAGCTTGAGATATGGCCTCATGGGAAGGGAAAGACCTGACTGTCCCCCAGCCTGACACCTGTAAACGGTCTGTGCTGAGGAGGATTAGTGAAAGAGGAAGGCCTCTGTGCCATTGAGATAAGGGGGAAGCATCTGTCTCCTGCACGTCTCTGGGAATGGAATGACTCAGTGTAAAACCGACCAGACATTCTATTCTGAGATAGGAGAAAACCGCCCTATGGCTGGAGGCGAGACATCATGGCGGCAATACTGCTCTTTACTGCACTGAGATGTTTGTGTAAAGTCAAACATAAATCTGGCCTACATGCACATCCAGGCACAACACCTTTCCTTAAACTTATTTATGACACAGAGTCTTTTGCTCACATGTTTTCCTGCTGAACTTCTCCCCACCATCACCCTATAGTCCTGCCACATTCCCCTCTCCAAGATGGTAAAGATAGTGATCAATAAATACTGAGGGAACTCAGAGGCCAATGCCGGTGCAGGTCCTCACTTGCTGACCGCCGGTCCTCTGGGCTCACTTTTCTCCCTCTGTACTTTGTCTCTTTTCTCAGTCTCTCACCTCCACCTTGTGAGAAATATCCATGGGTGTTGGAGGGACAGGACCCCTTCACAAAGTGGTAGAACTATGGGCGTGAGCCACTGCACCCAGCTACACATTTACATTATAGCATCTTGACCTTCGGCTCCCCAGCTGCCTTGTGACTCGGTGTGTGTGTGTGTGTGTGTGTGTGTGTGCATGCTCGCGTGTTGTGACAGGCAAGAAAAAGCCACTAGAGCATCATCGCCACTGGCCTGGTAGGAGGAGGTTGCCCTTGGGCTGCAGTTCACTGTGCTGTTTGCACTCTTGATCCTTGGAAGAATCTTCCTGAAGTCACGGAGCCTCCAGCTCCTCTGGAACAGAACTAGTTGTGTAGGAGTGTGTCCTTCATGCCCTCAGGTCCCTGACCTTCTCCCCACCCTTCCTGAAGGGAATCCAGAACCCCTGACTCTGAGCTCATCACCTGCTTGTGGCAAAGTCCCTGCCCATAACGGCCAAACTGGGTCCTGGTGATGTGCAGAGCACGGAAGACCCAGGAGCTGGAGTAAGGCAGTGGCACAGGTGATAAAAGTGGGGATGCCTCGGCACTGCCTGAGGACACAGGGTCTGGCCTGTAAGGCTTTTCTGACCCTAGTGAGGCCTTCTCTTCTTATTTTGACTGAAATAAATAGCCACAGGAAGTTCAGATCAATTAGAGTTGAAATTTCAAGAAGAAATGTGGGACCATCCTCACACTTGCCCCAGGCCCTGAGTCTTCCCTGAGGATGCCTCAGCATCTGAACTATAACCCCAGAGTAGGTGCTGCAGTTGTCCTGTGGCCAAGATGAGAACTGTGCATCCTTCAGTGAAGGGAGACACAAAATTTTCAAAATAACCCATGCAGAAAGGTGTTTCTGGGTGGGCACGGTGGCTCCCGCCTATAATCCCAGCACACTGCTAGGCCGAGGCAGACAGATCACCTGAGGTCACGAGTTCAAGACCAGCCTGGCCAACATGGTGAGACCCTATCTCTACTAAAAATACAAAAATAGGAGCAGGTGAGTTGGCTCATGCCTGTAATCCTAGCACTCTGGGAGGCCGAGACAGGTGGATTACTTGGGGTTAGGAGTTCGAGACCAGCCTGGCCAACATGGTGAAACCCCATCTCTACTAAAAATACAAAAAGTAGCTGGGCTTGGTGGGTGTCTGTAATCCCAGCTACTCGGGAGGCTGAGGCAGGAGAATCGCTTTAACCTAGGAGGTGGAGGTTGCAGTGAGCCAAGATCGTGCCACTGCACTCCAGCCTGGGTGACAGATTGAGACTCAAAAGTAAAATAAAATTAAATTAGAATTAAAATACAAAAATTAGCCAGGTGTGGTGGCACACACCTGTAATCTCAGCTACTTGTGAGGTGAGACACAAGAATCGCTTGAACCCAGGAGACAGAGGTTGCAGGGAGAGATGTCATGAGACTGCACTCACAGCCTGGATGATAGAGTGAGACTCTGTCTCAAAAAATAAAAAAATAAAAAGAGCATTTCTGATGTGACTGATGCAGAGATAATAAAATCTGAGTAATGTGATAGAGACTGACAGGCAGAGGGAACTTCAGATGGGGGTGGGAGGGCATGGGAGACATCTCTGAGCCTAGACCTGAAGGAGGAAATAGGGAAAGGGCCATGATAATTTAGGGACATAGGGTAAGAGCAGGGACAATGACCAGAGACAGGCAGGATTTTAATTTTTGGGAAAACAGATAAGCAAATGTGACTGGGGCAGAGGGAGTCATGAGATGAGGGCAAGCTCCCAGGAGGAGGCTGGACACTGGCAGGGGCCCTGGACACAGGGCTATGGAGCCACAGTGAGGAGTTGGGCTTTCAACATTTGTCCACATGGACCAGAGGGCCTTGAGGGAAACATGCACTTAATAGCTCACAGCTCAAGATTTTAACAATGACATAAGGAAAGAAAACTGAAAAACAGACTAACTGGTTAAACCACATTTTGATGTCAAAGGTTGCCAATAAATAATAAAGAGTAGAAAGCATGCAGACCTCGATCTGAACCGGACGCAACTAATTTCAAACAGAAACTACTTTGAAATTGTTTTGTAAAACTCGAACAAATTCAGATGTCAACGGGAAAATAACTAGAACATATACTTGTACAGAAAGGAATGATGTGAGCTGATTATAGGATGCCACAAAGGCATCTTTCAGAAGAAGTGATTATGGATTAAAAAAGGAATTTTTAAAATTAACATTTATCTCAAACTCCAAAAAAAAAAAAAGAAAGAAAAAAAAAAAGAAAGAAATGAAGAGGAACCAGAAAGAAAAAAAGGAAATCTATTACACAACGAGAACAAAAGCACTTTTGATGTCCCTTTTGTTTTTTAATTTTTTGTTTTTTTTTTTTTGAGATGAAGCCTCGCTCTGCCCCCCAGGCTGCAGTGCAGTGGTATCATTTCGGTTCACTGCAACCTCTACCTCCCAAGTTCATGTGATTCTCATGCTTCAGCCTCCCGAGCAGCTGGAACTACAGGTGCACGCCACCACGCCCACTTTACTTTTTAGTGTTTTTACTAGAGACGGGGTTTCACCATGTTGGCCAGAATGGTCTTGAATTCCTGACCTTAGATGATTGGCTCCCAAAGTGCTGGGATTACAGTCATGAGCCACCACGCCCAGGTTTGATGTGCCTTTTTTTTTTTTTTTTCCATTTTTCTTTTTTGAGATGGAGTCTCACTCTCGCCCAGGATGGAGTGCAGTGGCGCAATCTTGGCTCATTGCAACCTCCACCTTCCACCTTCAAGTGATTCTCCTGCCTCAGCCTCCTAAGTAGCTGGAATTACAGGCACGTGCCAACATGCCCAGGTAATTTTTGAATTTTTAGGAGACAGGATTTCACCATGTTGGTCAGGCTGGTCTCAAACTCCTGACCTTGTGATCTTTGTGATCCACCCGCCTCAGCCTCCCAAAGTGCTGGGATTACAGGCGTGAGCCACTGCACCCTGATGTCCCTTTTAAAAAGTACTATGGGATGGGCATGGTGGCTCACGCCTGTAATCCCAGCATTTGGGAGACTGAGGTGAGCGATCACCTGAGGTCGGGAGTTCGAGAGCAGCCTGAACAACATGGAGAAACCCCATCTCTACTAAAAACAAATTTAGCTGAACGTGGTGGCTCATGCCTGTAATCCCAGCTACTAGGGAGACTGAGACAGTAGAATCGTTTGAACTCGGGAAGTGGAAATTATGGTGAGCCGAGACTGTGCCATTGCACTCCATCCTAGACGAGAGCAAGATTCCACCTCAAAAAAAAAAAAAAAAAAAAAAAAAAAAAAAAGACTCTGTAGGCCAGGTGCGGTGGCTCCTCTCTGTAATCCCAACTGTAATCCCAGTAATTTGGGAGGTCAAAGCAGAAGGATCCTTTGAGCCCAGAATTTTGAGACCAGCCTGGGAAACATAGTGAAACCCCTTTTCTACAAAAAAAAAAAAAAATACAAAAGCTAGCCAGGCTTGATGGCTCATGCCTGTGGTCCCAGCTACTCGGGTGGCTAAGGTAGGAGGATCGCTTAAGCCTAGGAGGTCGAGGCTGCAGTTAGAGGAGATCATGCCACTGCACTCCAGCCTGGCCGATACAGCCAGACCCTGTCTCAAAATATTAATTAATTAATTAAATTTATACTATTATATGATAACAGAAAGTGATTTTTTTCTCCCACTTCACTGCCCCACTTCCTATTCCATCCTGGGAAAAGGGAAGAGAGTGTCTAACAAGTGAATGAAGACACAACCCTCTGGCTGAATAGGGATTCCAACTGGAAGCTAACCTCTGATGCCAAGATTTATAGAATGTACATGTCTCATAGATAGGAATTTTAAAATTCTCAATCTCATCTGTATAATTTAAACAAGTTTTAAGTTATTAAACTACATACATAGAAGTCAGCATGTCACAACGAATCATATCTAATGAACTCACCCACTCATCTGAACCCAAAGTTCCCCGCCCCTTTTTTTCTTTTGAGACAGGGTCTTGCTCTGTTGACCAGGCTGGAGTGCAGTGGCATGATCTCGGCTCACTGCAGGCTGGACCTCCTGGGCTCAAGTGATCCTCCTGCCTCAGCCTCCAGAGTAGCTGGGATTACAGGTGTGTACCATCACATCCAGTTAATTTTTTTTTTCTTTTGGCAGAGATGGGGGTCTCACTATGTTGCCCAGGCTGGCCTCGAACTCCTGGACTCAAGCAATCCCCTTGCCTCAGTCTCTTAAAGTGCTGGGATTACAGGCGTGAGCCACTGCGCCCAGCCCCTCTGTCTTCATTACTGTGCTTCCCTCCCTAATTCTGTACATATCTCTCATTCTCCCCTTCTCTCTCTAGCTCTTGTTTTCTTTTCTTTTTCCCTGGGATTCTGCTCTTCATTTTGTACCCCTCTCCTCTCCTGCTGTTTATCCCCTTCTTCCCTCTATTACTTCTCTTCCACCTCTTCTGCTCCATCGTCGCAAATTCTTTAACCTCTTGTTGCTCCTTCTCCCCAATCTTTCGATCATCCTCAATCTCCATATATTTCTGCCTCTTCTCCCATCTCTGCGCCTCCTCTGCTCTCCCTGTTAAATTATCTCTTCCCTGTTAAATCCCCCTTTCCCCAATCTCTAGCACCCCAGATCCCCAGGTGTCCTCCCTGCTGTGCTTCTCCCTCTGTTCTTGCCACCAGCACCACTCTGCTCTGTCTGCCCTGGCTCCAAACCCCTCCTCCTCTCCCTCACTCTGATGAGCCTCCCTCTTTGCTGCCCCCTCCCTACCTTGCTCTTCTTCATCTCTCTGTACATCAAGCTTTTCTCTACTTTTCTCCAGTTCCTTTTCTCCTCCTGTTTTTCTTATCCTTTTTTTTTTTTTTTTTTTTTCCACTTTTGCTGTCTCTTGGCAAATCCTTCACCCATCCTCTACGCTACCATCTGTTATGGCCTTTCTCATTCTTCTTTTCTCTGTCTCAGGTTTTCTACTGCTCTCTCTCTCAGTCTCCCGATCCCTTTGGCCAACACAATCACAGGAGGGCTTTGAAGTAAGATGCCTGCATCCCGGAGGAGCGCATTTTCCAGAGGCTGGTGCAGGGCAGGCAAGAACACACGGTGTCATAGGACAGCCCCGGGCACCTCCCCAACGCGGGCTCAGGAGAAACGGTGATTACGGAGGGAAGACCTGGGGAGCATAAGGGCCCGGCACGAGGAGGGAGGTGGGGGGCGACGGCGCCTTAAGACAAGACTGGGAGGCGCCCAGGGCGGGAATCCGCCTCGCGGTAAGGACTTTAAAAAGTGCGGGTTGGGAGGAGTCAGAAAAAAGTTTTGAGCAGGAAAACTACGCGATGGGAAGTGTATACGTTACCCTATAGCAGAAAGATTCGGGACGGGACCGGTCTATGGTGACTTTAAACCCAAAAGGAAGCGACCCCCAGACTCTCACGGGGACTTCTCAATTTGCTCTGGGTAAAGAAAGACGGAGGAGAACTTCCAGGTCTATGAGGACCCCACGTCCCAGGTACAGAAGCGCCTGGGACCCGGGAAGCGCAGACTTAACACAACACAGAGCAAAACTCACCCCCGCGGTGGGACCGTCACTCCACGCGACCCGCTTCCGGGTTTGTGCGAATCTGCTCTCTGGGGACAGAAGCCAGGCCTGGGCGGGACCCGCGGGGAGGTAGGCGGGGCCTGAGCGAGGTAGGGGCGGGGCGCGAGGCGGAGAGACCTTGCCCTTCAGAACAGACAGAGGGCGGGGCGGGGGCGGGGCCGGGGCGGGACCTGTGCGTCTCTCAGCCTGGCTCCCAGAGCCTCAATTTTTCGGGTTTTGGAGGCGAGACCGGCCAGGAAGGCTGAGGCATGATTCAAAAGCCCTGGAATTGTCTGGAAGGGGATGCAAACTAGAATGTGAAATGCAAAGCCCTGCCTGGGCGGAACATACGATTTCATGCTGACGGCCCACAGAACAGAATAGAAATCCTCTCCCTTTCTATTTTCCATTCACTCAGGAGGGACAGTCCACCCTGTGCTCAGCTTCAGAGACTTCCCCAGGGCCTCCGCCTGGGATGCGGGACCGAGTGCTCAGGCCAGGGAGGAGTGAGGTCACCACCTGCTGCTTAAACACAGCAGGAATGCGGGCGCGGGGGCGGAAGTCTGAGGTCCCAGCTGCTCAGGAAGCAGCGGCGGGAGGATGCTGAGCCTGGGGGTCCAAGCCAGCCTGGGCGACAAAGTAACACCGCCTCCCGCAGCGCTCCCTTCCTTGTCTCTCTCTCTTTTTTTTTTTAACTTTTTTTTAAATAAAATTTTTGATTTTGTGAGATGGGGATCCAACATTGTTATTTTTCATGTGGATATCCAGTTAGTTGTCCCAGCACATTTGTGGAAGAGATCTATTACTTTCATTTTTATATTTACATTTTTTCTTTTCTTTCCTTTTTTGAGACAGAGTATTTCTCTGTTGAACAGGCTGGAGTGCAGCGGCGAGATCTCCGCCTTACTGCAAAATTCACCTCCCGGATTAAGGTAGTTCTCTTGCCTCAGCTTCCCAACTAGCTGGGATTACAGATGCGCGCCACCAAGCCTGGCTAATTGTTTTGTATTTTTAGTAGAGACTGGGGTTTCATCACGTTGGCCGGGCTGGATTCGAACTCCTGACCTCAAGTGATCCACCCGCCTTGGTCTCCCAAAGTGTTGGGACTACAGGAGTTAGCCACCGCGTCTGGCCAGGAAAACTCTTAGAAGTTGCGTCTGCAGCCGGGCGCCGGTGGCTCACGCCTGTAATCCCAGCACTTTAGGAGGCTGAGGCGGGCGGATCACGAGGTCAGGAGTTTGATGCCAGCCTGGCCAATACGGTGAAATCCTGTCTCTACTAAAAAATACAAAAATTAGCCAGGCGTGGTGGTGCGTGAATGTAGTCCCAGCTACTTGGGAGGCTGAGGCAGGAGAATCGCTTGAACCCAGGAGGCGGAGGTTGCAGTAAGCTGAGATCATGCCACTGCACTCCAGCCTGGGTTACATAGTGAGACTACGTCTCAAAAAGAAAAAAGAAAAAAGAAGTTGCGTCTGCATACCACAGGACACAGGTTGCATGACCACATTCCTTTCAAGGCTCAGAATTATTTAAAGGTCCATACCTTTAAATTGTTTAAATTGGAATTATTTGATATTTCAAACGTTTAATTTCCTACTGAGTTACAGGTACCGTCTCTCTTGTTGTTTGCCTTTCAAAGAGAGACCCCAGGTCCTTCAGAAATACATCCATGGGTTATTAAGCTGAAAAAAAGTTTAGGTTGTTTCTAAAAAATACCACTTCAAGCCGGGAGCGGTGGCTCATGCCTGTAATCCCAGTGTCAAACCACCGAGGCAGGCAGAACGCCTGAGATCAGGAGTTCGAGACCAGCCTGACCAACATGGAGAAACCCCGTCTCTTGTGAAAATACAGGATTAGCCGGGCATGCTGGTGCATGCCTGTAATCCCGGCTACTCTGGTGGCTGAGGCAGGATAATCGTTTGAAACTGGGAGACAGAGATTGCGGTGAGCTGAGATTGCATCATTGCACTCCAGCACTGGCAATAAGAGCAAAACTCTGTCTCAAAAAAAAAAAAAAAAAAACCCTCAGAAGTGAAGGGGGCCTGCCCCTACACACCTGTGGGTATTTCTCGCAAGATGGAGATGAGAGACTGAGAAAAGAAATAAGACACGGAGACAAAGTATAGAGGAAGAAAAGTGGGCCCAGCGGACCAGTGCTCAGCATACGGAGGACCCGCGCCGGCACTGGTCTCTGAGTTCCCTCAGTATTTATTGATCACTATCTCTACCATCTCGGAGAGGGGGATGTGGAAGGACTATACGGTAATGGTGGGGAAGGGTCAGCAGGAAAACATGAGAGCAAAGGACTCTGTCATAAATAAGTTTAAGGAAAGGTGCTGTGCCTGGATGTGCACGTAGGCCAGATTTATATTTGAGTTTACACAAACATGTCAGTGCAGTAAAGAGCAGTATTGCCACCATGATGTCTAGCCTCCAGCCATAAGATGGTTTTCTCCTATCTCAGTAAATATAATGTACGATCGGGTTTTACTCTGAGACATTCCATTCCCAGGGACGAGCAGGAGACAGACGCTTTCCTTTTATTTCAACTGCAAAGAGGCCTTTATCTCTCACTAATCCTCCTCAGCACACACGGTTTACAGGTGTCGGGCTAGGGGATATAAGGTCTTTCCTTTCCCACAAGGCCATATCTCAGGCTGTCTCAGTGGGGGGAAACCTGGACAATACCCAGGCTTTCTCAGGCAAAGGTCCCTGCGGCCTTCCACAGTGCATTGTGTCCCTGGGTAACCGAGAATGGAGAATGGCGATGACTTTTACCAAGCATACTGCCAGCAAACACATTTTTAACAAAGCACATCCTGCCCAGCCCTAAATCCATTAAACCTTGAGTCAACACAGCACATGTTTCTGGAGCACAGGGTTGGGGCTAGGGTTACAGATTAACAGCATCTCAAAGCAGAAGAATTTTTCGTAGTACAGATCAAAATGGTGTTTCTTATGTCTTCCTTTTTCTACATAGACATAGTAAGTCTGATCTCTCTTTTCCCCACACAGAAGACAGAGAAAATGCATTTACAAATTTTCTAAATAAATGTCCCAAGAAAAGAGGCAAAAAAAAATCTTTTTTTTTTCAAAGGAGGAATTATACCTCTATTTCCTTGTTTGTTTGAGACAGGGTCTAGCTCTGTCACCCAGGCTGGAGCGTGGTGGAGAGATTAGAACTCACTGCAGCCGTGAAATCCCTGGCTCAAGTGATCCTTTCACCTCAGCGCCCCGAGCAGCTGGGACCACAGGCGCACACCACCACACCTGACTCGTTTTTTGATTTTTAGTACAGACAATGTCTCACTACGTTGCCCCGGCTGATCTCGAACTCCTGGGCTCAAGCAATCTTCCTGCCTCAGCCTCTCAAAGTGCTGGGATTACAGGTGTGAGCCACCGCTCCGGGCCCTGACTTTATTTCCATGAAATATGAAACCCCTATCCTCCACCTCCTGTGTGTAATAGGCAGTTTTGCTTGTCACTTTTCAGTTTCCATTATCCACTCAAACAACCCAGGACCTTGCTTAGTTTAATAAGCCGTTCTGTCAGTTCCCGCTGCAACCAGCGCCCCACTCCACCCCTTTACCGAGGTCCCTGCCCCTCTCCCCCGCCCTGCCCCAGACTGAGGGGAGCTCGCCCCGCCTGCAGGACGCACGACTCTACCTGCTCCAAAAAGGCGCTTTGCATTAAAACCATTTTCAATTTAAGAAGAGAAACTATTCAGCGTTCAGCACACGTGGTCTACTACAATAAGTTGTTTTACCTTCGATTGTTTGAAATGTTAACTTAAAACGGGCAGGAAGCATCCATGTGATATTAGGGGTAACATCACGGCACAAGAGAATGAATCCACCAATCAGAACTCGGAGGATCCAGTCCTAGAGGGAGAGGATGACAGCAGGAGACATCCACGGCCCAGCTGAGAAAGCCCGAACCCGCCCCCTCCAGGCCTGGCCCTTTAGAACAACCCACCTTCCAGAGCCCGCCCCCTAGACGGCGTCAACCCTCTGGCCTGGCTCCTGCCCGCAGTCCGGCCCGGCCCCCAGGCAGCCTTCTCCCTTTTGCCCCGCCCCAGGCCCCGCCCCCACAGCGGCCTCCACTCTCTCGCCCCGACCCAGCACCTGTTCAGGCCCCGCCCGCTCAGCAACCTTTTCTCTCCTGCCCTGTCCCCGCTTAGTGTCCAGAACCCTCCCAGACAGGGTCCAGGACCAGCCCATGGTTGTTCTGCACGGAGAGCCCGGGGCTGACGCAGGTGAGTGATTTTTTGTCTTTCTGCTTCAAACCTGCCTTTCTCAGCACCCCAGCCCCCAGTCCAGCCATACCAGGAATTTGGGTGCGTCGGGATGTTGAAATCCCCACGCGAGTTTGTGCAGTTGTCAGGGAGTCCCAGCTTCGCCATGGGAAGCTCGCAGACCCGGTGGCTCTGCAGCGTTTGTATCGTTTTAGCCCATGTCCTCCCCCTTTCAGGTGGCAAAATCTCGGCTCACCACAATCTCTGACTACTAGGTTCAAGCGATTCTCCTGCCTCAGGCTCCTGAGTAACTGGAATTACAGGCGCCCGCCACTACACCCAGCTAATTTTGTATTTTTAGTAGAGACTAAAAATGTTGGTTACACCATGTTGGTTATGCTGGTCTGGAAAACCCAATCTCAGGTGATCTGCCCACCTCGGCCTCCCAACATGCTGGGATTACAGGCGTGAGCCACTGCGCCCAGCCTCTAGGTAGCTTTTTTTAGTCTTTGTAGCTATGTTGTTTAGGAATAAAATGGGAGGCAGGTTTTTCTGTCCCAATTCCCAGCTTGACCTTTCTCTTTGGCTTGGTAATTTTTATTATCCTTTCACAAGCTCAGACAGACATAATGCTTTGACACAATGATATTGCTTTATATAGATTTTCCACATCAATAAAGTCCAAGGGTCTGTCATGAACTGGGTTAGAAGAGACGAGAAGATTCCCAGGAGACTCAGTCTCAAGCAATCCTCCCACCTCAGCCTCCCAAGGTGCGTGGACCACAGGTGTGATCCACTGAACACAGTGGAGTCTCCAGCTCAAAAAAACAAAACAAAGGTTAAGGTACTCTATCGAATTACGTCATTTGACTTATTTTATTTTTATTTTTTATTTATTTATTTTTTTTCTGAGATGGAGTCTTGCTCTGTCAACCCAGGCTGGAGTGCAGTGGCGCGATCTCAGCTCACTGCAACTTCCGCCTGCCGGGTTCATGCCATTCTCCTGCCTCAGCCTCCCGAGTAGCTGGGACTACAGGCGCCCGCCACCACGCCCGGCTAATTTTTTGTATTTTTAGTAGAGACGGGGTTTCACCATGTTAGCCAGGATGGTCTCGATCTCCTGACCTTGTGATCCACCTGCCTTGGACTCCCAAAGTGCTAGGATTACAGGCGTGAGCCACCACGCCCAATTGACGTTTTTTTTTTTTAAATAAAATGTTTCACATATTTATTACCGAACCTAGCCAACCAATGTGTTCGTAACAGAGTCAGAGATAAAAAATATATTCCCAATAAAACATGTCCAACTCTCCAGATAGGGGTGACATTTTCAGCTTGATATGGTTGCGTGATTGTGACCTTATTATCAGTTTTCATGCGAATCCACTGGGGAATGGAACAATTCTGCTTTTGTTTCTTGGCCAGGACTCTCTTAATCCTGAAAGTCTTGTGAGAAGACATGGCAAGAAGCCAAGTCAAGCACACACTACGATGACGGAGAGAGGAGAAGGGTCTTGATTTTTTCTTTTTTTTAGACTAAGTTTCTTTCTTTTTGCCCAGGCTGCAGTGCAATGGTGCGATCTTGGCTCGCTGCAACCTCCGCCTCCCGGGTTCAAGTGATTCTCTTGCCTCAGCCTGGCGAGTAGCTAGGTTTGGCCAAAATATGAACTAGAAAGGCAGGAACCTGGCCAAAGGTGGGGAGCTTGAATGTTATTACCTTATTCCTGCTTGACCTTTACTGCCAACGCCAACACAAATGGTCAGAGGTCCCTTATATGAAAATCTTCATGATCTTGTGGGAAAACCCTGATTTTTGTAAAGGCTGCAAAACAGGCTCAAAAATAAATAAATAAATAAAATTACATTTAAAAGAGCCAGTTGCAGTGGCTCACGCCTGTAATCCCACCACTTTGGGAGGCCGAGGTGGGTGGATCAGCTGAGGTTAGGATTTCAAGACCAGACTGACCAACATGGAGAAACACCCTCTCTACTAAAAATACAAAAATTAGCCAGGCTTGGTGGCGGGCACCTGTAATCCCAGCTACTTAGGAGGCTGAGGCAGAAGAATTGCTTGAGCCCAGGAGGCAAAGGTTGCAATGAGCCCAGACCATACCACTGCACTCCAGCCTGGGTGACAAGAGCAAGACTCCATCTCAAAACAAAAAAATAAAATAAAATAAAAAATAAATAAAAATACAAAAATTAGCATGGTGTGGTGGCATGCATCACTAATCCCAGCTACTCAGGAGGCTGAGGCAGGAGAATTGCTTGAATGCAGGAGGTGAAGGTTCCAGTGAGCTGAGATCATGTCATTGCACTATAGCCTGAGTGACAAGAGCAAGACTCCATCTCAAAAAATAAAAATAAAAAACAGGCTGGGTAAAGTGGCTCAAGTCTGTTGGCCAGGCTGGTCTCAAACTGCTGACCTCAAGTGATCTACCTGCCTTGGCCTCCCAAAGTACTGGGAAAACAGGCATGAGCCACTGCACCTGACCCATTCTTCTTAACATTAACACTTTTTATGTCAATTAATGCGTGAACTCAATGTTAAGTCAACTCAAACTCAAGTCAATGTTGAATCAACTCTAATGTCAATTAAAGTTTTATGATTTTTTATATTCATTTTATTTGGAACAATTATCTCAAAAATGAATTTTCTGATGTTCTGCATGGAATGACCACAGAGTGAAGACCTTGCCACCCTTACATTTGTAAGGCATCTGTCCAGTATGAATTCTCTGATGTCTAATGAGGTGTGAACATGAAGTAAAGGCTTTGCCACAATCATCACACTTGTGAGGTTTCTCTCCTGTATGAATTCTATGTTTTGCATAGGATGAAGCTTGACTGAAGACCTTGTCACAGTCATGATATTTGTAAGGTTTCTCTCCAGTATGAGTTCACTGATGAACTACAAGTTATGAATGACGTCTGAAAAATTTGCCACATTTATTACACTTGTAGATCTCTCTTCAATATGGATTCTGTAATGATTTGCAATGGTTGTAGCATTACTGAAGACTTTGTGACAATCATTACATTTGTAAAGTTTCCCTACACCCATGGATTGCTTGATGGTGAATAAGTGTTGACTGTCCAGTAAAGGCTTTGCCACACTCATTACACTTGTAAGGTTTCTCTGCAGTATGAACTCTCTGATGTTTTGCAAGGCTTGCTTTTTGATTAAAAACCTTGCCACATTCATTACACTTGTAAGGTTTCTCTCCAGTATGAACTCTCTGATGTTGTGCAAGGATTCCTTTTTGATTAAAAACCTTCGCACATTTATTACACTTGTAAGGTTTCTCTCCAGTATGAACTCTCGTATGGTTTGCAAGGCATGAATCACTCCGGAAAGCCTTGTCACAAACCTTACATTTGTATGGTTTTTCCCCAGTATGAATTCTCCTATGTCTTTCAAGGTGTGATCTGCGACTGAAAACTTTGTCACATTCTTCACATTTGTAAGGTTTCTCTCCAGCATGAAGTCTATGATGACGTGCAAGGTTTTCTCTTCGACTAAAAACCTTGCCACATTCATTACATGTGTAAGGTTTCTCTCCAGTGTGAAGTGTATGATGGTATTGAAGGGATGACTTCCGACTGAAACTCCTGCCACATTTATTACACTTGTATGGTTTCTCTCCAGTATGAACTCTCTGATGTTCTGCAAGGTATGAATCACTCCGGAAAACCTTGTCACAAACCTTACATTTGTATGATCCCTCTCCAGTATGAATCTTCCTATGTCTTTCAAGGTGTGATCTGCGAATGTAAACATTGTCACATTCTTCACATTTGTAAGGTTTCTCTCCAGTGTGAAGTATATGATGGCATTGAAGGGATGATTTCTGACTGAAGGTCTTGCCACACTCATTACACTTGTAAGGTTTCTCTCCAGTATGAATTGCCTTATGAATTACAAGGGCTGAATTTCGACCAAAAGTCTTGCCACACTCATTACACTTGTAAGGTTTCTCTCCAGTATGAAGTCTACGATGGCATCTAAGGGATGACTTCTCACTGAAGGTCTTGCCACACTCATTACACTTGTAAGGTTTCTCTCCAGTATGAAGTCTACGATGGCATACAAGGGATGACATCTGAGTGAAGGTCTTCCCACACTCATTACACTTGTAAGTTTTCTCACCAGTGTGACATCTATGATGATATACAATGTATTGCTTCTGATTAAAGATCTTGCCACATACATCACATTTATATTCTCTCTCTCTTGAATGGGTTATGTGGTGTCTCCTTAAGAGTGAGCTATAATTAAAGGCTTTGCCACACTCATTACTTTGGCAAGGTTTTTCTCTCATGCATATTTCCTGTATTTGTGTGAATGAAGAATGGAGGAAATTCTTCCCATACTTATTAGAAATATGAGTTTTGAGCCTACAAGAAATTCTTTGGGATTCTGAAGCTGAGGAAGCACCGATAGACTTGTCCAATTGGTTACTAATTTTCCCTTTAGTCTGAAACATGTGGAGTTCAGGCAGATGCGAATGAAAGCTTAATCCAAGCTGATCTTTAATAGGCTTGTTTCCAGCATGCCTGTGATCACTTCGGTCTGTACTACCAGTCAACTTTTTGATTTTTGTCATGGGTGCTTCATGGCCATTTCTTTCAACTTCTTGCCACTGAAACTCAAAGTGATGAATATCTTTCTTCATTTCTGGGAAGCAAAAATCTCCAATGTGATGACTTTTATGTCTTTGCAACGTCCCTGTGTGGATCACTTCTCCTGTAATACTGTGCCTGGTTGATGAGAACTCCATCATGGATTTTAAAGAGCTATCTAAAAAATATAAAGACCAATAGGTTTCCAATTAAGTACAGATGGTAAATAATAGTTGATATTCAGATGTGTAAAAATTACACAAAAAGCAATACTTATTTTAAACTTCCCAAATGTGATCTTCATAGTTTAAGAACACACTGTCTCTACTGAACATACAAAAATTAGCCAGTCATGGTGGTGGGTGCCTGTAATCCCAGCTACTCAGGAGGCTGAGGCAGCAGAATTGCTTGAAGCCAGGAGGCAGAGGTTGCAGCATGCGGAGATCACCACATTGCACTCCAGCCTGGGCAACAAGAGCAAAATTCTGTGTAGAAAAAAAAAAGAGTTCAGTCAAGAGCCTCATATATATGAGGCAGTGAGCCTGAATGATGTCCTCCCTAAGAGGAATTTCTACAGCAGTGACTACTGCTTAGAGAAGATGACCATTCGTTTATGTGATGAACACTGTCACAGTGCTAGTGAGAGATGCTTCTGTGATGGTTCTCAAAAACCAGAATGAAAGGCCAAGCATGGTGGCTCACGCCTGTAATCCCAACACTTCGAGGCTGAGGTGGGCAAATTGCTTGAGGCCAGGAGTTCAAGACCAACTTGGCCAACATGGTGATACCCTATGTCTAATAAAAATATGAAAATCTGCCAGGTATGGAGGCATGTGCCTGTAATTCCAGTTAGGTTGAGAGGCTGAAGTACAAGAATTGCTTGAACTCAGGATGCAGAGGTTGCAATAAGATGAGATCAAGACTCTGCACTCCAGTCTGTTCAACAGAGGGAGACTCTGTCTGAAAACAAACAAACAAAAAGAAAACAAAACCACAAGCACAGCTGGAAACACTTGTCAATCAGTGTCATGCTTTCTATCTCGTATCCTGGGCCATGCTGACCATTCTGCTCAGGGCTTCCAGGGACATCTCTTCCTAGAGCAGGATGATGTTCAATTGTATTAGTCAAAGTGTTCGTGAATTTTCTGTTTTTATGTAAAACCACTCCAAAGAAGAGTCTCTAAGAAGCTGTCCATGACAGATAGGAGGGTCATCACCGCAGAAAACAATGACATGTACATCAAAAGCATGTATGGGGCAAAATCACAAAAGAGAATATAAAACCAGAAAGAGCCAAGATAGACAAGTGCAGATTCCTCATGTCTGGAGGGACATTTTCCTCACCCACAAACTCCAGGTTCCTGTAGTTCTCCAACATCACAGCCCTGTATAAAGCCCTCTGTGCAGGGTTCAGGCATTTCCACTCCTCCAAAGAGAACTCTATAGCCACATCCCTGAAAGTCAAGCGTCCCTAAAATAAAAAACACGTTTCAACAAAACATTATGGAGGAGTGAGTTATTGCCCTCACGTGAAATGAGAAAACAGAAAATAAGTATTGATTTGATCCAAGACTGTGTTCTGACAAATTTATGTTAAGGTATTTTTGAACAATTTTTCAGTATAGTTGCATTTTATTGTACTTTTTCATGATAGCTTTTAAAATCCCCTAAGTCACTGTGGAAGTCTCAGTTTTATGGACAATATAAGGCCAGGAATGGTGGCTCATGCCTAAAATCCCAGCACTTTGTGAGACCAAGGCAGGTGGATCTCCTGAGCTCAGGAGTTCGAGCCCAGGACAATATGGTGTAACCCCGTCTCTACTAAAAATACAAAAAAAAAACCAGGTGTGGTGGCACACGCCTCTAGTCCCAGCTACCTGGGAGGCTGATGCACGAGAATAACTTGAGAACAAGAGACGAATGTTGCAGTGAGCCAAGATCGTGCCATTGCACTCCAGCTTGGGCTGCAGAGTAGGACTCCATCTCAAAAAAAAAAAGAAAAAAAATATATATATACACACATACACATATGTTTTATATATATAATATATACTTATATATATTATATATAAATATATAATATATATTTTAATATTTAATTATATATAATATATATTTATAATATATAATATATAATACAATATTATATATAATATGTATTTATAAAATATAATATATAATACAATATTATATATAATATGTATTTATAAAATATATATGATACAATATTATATATAATATATATTACAATATTGTATCATATATTATATATAATATTGTATAATAAATATATTATTAAATAAAGATATTAAATATATATAATATATATTTTATATATATATATAAAATAAGTCCAGACATGGTGGCTCACACCTGTAATCCCATCACTTTGGGAGACCAAGGTGGGTGGATCACTTAAGGTCAGGAGTTAGAGACCAACCTCTCCAACATGGCAAAACTCCGTATCTACTAAAAATAAAAAAATTGGCTGAGCATGGTAGGGAGGTGCCTGTAATCCCAACTATTCAGGAAGCTGAAACAGGAAAATCGCCTGAACTCTGGAAGCAGGGGTTGCAGTAAGCCAAGGTCACACCATTGCAATCCTGCCTGAGCAACAGACTGAGACTCTTTCTCAAAAAAAAAAAAAAAAAGGTATATATATATTGCAAATAATGTATTTTCTACATAAACCGTGGGATTGGCTGCACACAGTAGGTACACCTGTAATCCCAGCACTTTGGGAGGCTCAGGCAGGTGGATAACCTAAAGTCAGGAGTTTGACACCAGCCTGAAGAACATGGACAAATTCTGTCTCTACTAAAAATACAAAGTTAGCTGGGAATGGTGGCGCATGCCTATATTCCCAGCTACTGAACCTGGGAGGTGGAAGTTGCAGTGAGCCGATATCGTGCCACTGCACTCCAGCCTGGGCCACAAGAATGAAACTCCGTCTCAAAAAAAACAAACAAACAACAACAACAAAAAAGAAATGAAACAAAACTGTCAAGGACTCATGAGTCTTCATTCAGAGAAAGCTCCAAGGAGGATTTAAAAGAGTGAGCTATCTTGTTTTCTACCTTGGAAACATGAAAATTTTCAGAACTTGCAGGATAAAATATCATAACAAACATTCATCAGACCGGGAGCAGGGCTCACACCTGAAATCCCAGCACTTAGGGAGGCCGACGTGGAAGGATCACTTGAGGCCAAAAGTTCGAGACCAGCCTGGCCAACATGGTGAAACCCCATCTGTACTAATAACACAACAATTAGCCAGGAGTGTAGCACGCATCTGTAAATGCAGCTACTCAGTTGGCTGAAGCGTAAGACTCATTTGAACCTGAGAGCCAGAGGTTGCAATGTGCCACTACACTCCAGGCGGGGAGGCCCTGTCTCAAAAAACATGCAAAAAAAAAAAAAAAAAACCCCATTCATCAAATAATTTTTTCTAAAATCTCATAACGGTATATGAATACATTTCTAAAGGATTGCGCCGACTTGCCACAGAACTCTCAACAGCGATTCCCCACTGAGACATGGGAATGGGTGGAAGGCTGGACAGGAAAGGGGATGCATAAGTGCACTTTTCTTTGGACTTTTACTACACAACACATATATACATCATGTGATGTTTAAAATAAAAGAATTACTTAATAATAATGGGTAGAAAAAGAATGGCTCCATCCTCTCTAACGACGTAAGTTGTGCTCTTATGTCAGAGCAAACTTATAATCATTTTTACCTAAAATGTTTGCTTCATCAGAGTCCCTGTAAAAAAAACAAAACAAAACAAAAAACAAAAAAAAAGTCTCTGTGGGGTCAAAGTGCTGAGAATGATTTAAAGAATCCCCTGCAGTTAGATATTTATATTGATTTCATAATTTGAAGTCAATGATGGAATAAAGCTAACTCTATTACTGGTATCTATATCCGCTTTCCATTCTATTCTAAGACATTGAAAGTGCAGAGTCCTGCTGGGCTGTCTCACACCTGTAATCCCAGCAATTTGGGAAGCTCAGGTGGGAGGGCCACTTAAGCCCAGGAGTTCGAGGCTGCTGTAAACTAGAATTGTGCCATTGCACTCCAGACTGGGCCCCAGAGTGACACCGTGTCTCTTAAAACAAAAGTTTGGCGTCAGAGACATATTGACTCACTAGTGTAGCTTCAAATGCATTACAAAATCAGACACAAAATATCTCCCCTAGTTTGTCTCCTCTTCCAGAATTTACCAGATTAACCAGTGAACATTAATGTATGACTTTCATATACAGTTTCTCTGATCTGGTCCACAAAGAGCTAAACATGCATCCAGATGTGGCCCCTGAACAATCCCTGCTGCCCAACATCACTGACACCATGGGGCCCACACCCCATCTCCATCCATGTCTGGTGTGAGCCCTTCCCAGGACCATGCCCAGTGGAGCCTCTTCCCAAGCTCATGTCACTAGGTTATAGGAGATGGAATTTAAGTGAAGATGAGAGGGACTGAGAAAAGACACGGGTGAGTGCGAGCAAACGTGTGATGTAGAATGCTTCACACTCAGAGAAGATTGGCTACTACAATACCTGGCACTTCAGAAAGGAAAGAGACAGAAGAATCCACCAAGGAATATCACTTACCTGAGGAAGAGCCATCCCTGGCTCCTTTTCTTTGCTCTTCTTGGTGGCTTCCTCACGTAACATGAGTCTTTGGAAATCCTGTATGTTAAAAAAGCAAGAGATTTAATATTTAGAAACCATTGACTCCTTTCCTGTGACAAAACACACACACAGGGGAAACCTCACCCGAGAGAAAGATGGTCCTTTGCTACCCACTGCACCAGAGACCATGCAGAGATAAGAAAGTTCCACAGGAAGACCTACAAATGTAATTTTGACCCGTTTTCAGATCTTGCTCCCCTCCTGGAAAAGTCCACACACACGCTGCAGCAGGACACAGATCTTCAGGGCACAGATCTAGCCCTAACCAAACTCCATGCAGAGCACAGCCCCCTCACCTCCCTGTGGATCACAGACTGATCTCAGCTCTCAACATGGAGGAAACTTCCTTGATGTTTAATGCTGGACACAGATAAGAATCACCAGTGCCATTGTAAGTATTATTGAGTGTGGGTCCCATCCTATTATAATAGCAATCTGATAAAACAGCATGCCTGTAATCCCAGCATTTTGGGAGGCCGATGCAGCTGGATCCCTTCAGCTCTGGGGTTGGACACCAGCCTGAGCAACATGGCGAAAGCCCATCTCTACGAAGAACACAAAAATTAGTGTGGTGTGGTGGCACGCAGCTGTGGTCCCAGCTACTCTGGAGGCTGAGGTAGGAAGCAGACCACCACTTCTCCTGCTGCCTTCCTCCCTCCCCCTTGCCTAGTTTATAAGACAGGAGGAAAGGAAGAAAGCAAAAAGTTAGAAAGAAACAGAAGTAAGATAAATAGCCAGACGACCTTGGTGCTACCACCTGGCCCCGGTGGTTAAAAATAATAATAATACCAACCCCTGACCTAAACTACTTATGTTATCTGTAAATTCTAGACATTGTATGAAGAAGCATTGCAAAAGTTTCTGTTCTGTTAGCTGATGCACGTAGTGTCAAGTCACATTCCCCACACTTGCTTGATCTATCATGACCCTTTCACGTGGATGCCTTAGAGCTGTAAGCCCTTAAAAGGGCCAGGAATTTCTTTTTCAGGGAGCTCAGTTCTTGAGACACGAGTCCTCTGATGCGCTGGGCCGAATAAAGCCACTTCCTTCTTTAATCCGTTGTCTGAGAGGTACTGTCTGCGGCTCGTCATGCTACATTTCTTGGTTCCCTGACTTGGAAGCGAGGTAATTAACAGAAGGTCGAGGCAACCCCTTAGGTGACTTAGGCCTGCCCTTTGGAGCATCCCTGCTGGGTACTCCAGCCAGCTTGGGCGACATGGATTCTGAGAGTGCTACCAGGTAGGCATGTGCCCCAGAAAGATACTTAGCCTGGCCATCCGAACTTGCAGTGTAACCAGTGTGCTTACTGTAAAGAAATAGGATATTAGAAGGACAAGTGCCCTCAGCTAAAAGGAAAACAAGGTGGCTCAGAGCAGGAGGCCCCAGAAGGAGCCCTGTTCAATATAGCAGAAGAGTTACTGAACTGAGGAGGACCAGGCTCAACTGCCCCCAAGGAGCCCATGGTCAAGATGACAGTTAGGGGCAAAGACATTGATTTTCGTATTGATACCAGTGCTGAACATTCAGTAGTAACCGCCCCGGTTGCCCCCCTTTCCAAAAAGACTATTGTTATAATCGGAGCCATGGGAGTTTTATCAAAGCAAGCTTTCTGTTGCCCCAGACTTGTACTGTAGGAAGACATAAAGTGATTCACCAGTTCTTGTACATGCCTGACTTGAAAGGACTTGAAAGGACTTGCTTAGCGAGCTGAGAGCCACCGTCTCTTCTACAGAGCACAGCTCTTTACAGCTAAGGTTACCCAGAACGGGAGTCATTATGGCCCTTACAGTCCCCCAGGAAGAGGAATGGAGACTTCTTTTAACTGAGCCAGGCCAAGAGATAAGACCAACTCTGGCTAAGCGGTGGCCAAGGGTGTAGACAGAAGACAACCCTCCAGGGATGGCAGTTAACCAAGCCCTGGTACTTATAGAAGTTAAGCGTAGGGCCCAGCCAGTCAGGCAAAAACAGTACCTGGTCCCCAGAGAAGATCTTGAAAGTATCCAGGTCCATCTCAAGAGCCTGAGAGCCTTTAGAATTACAGTCCCTTGTCAGTCTCCCTGGAACACTCCCCTCCTGCCTGTTCCCACGCCAGGGACCAATGACTACAGGCCGGTACAGGACTTGCACTTAGTCAATCAAGCTACAGTGACTTTACATCCAACAGTACCTAACCCGTACACGTTAAGGTTGCTGCCAGCTGAGGACAGCTGGTTCTCTGGCTTAGACCTGAAAGACACTTTCTTTAGCATTAGACTAGCCCCTCAGAGCCAGAAGCTGTTTGCCTTTCAGTAGGAAGATCTGGGATCAGGTGTCACTGCTCAGTACTCTTGGACCCGGCTTCTGCAAGGGTTCAAGAACTCCCCCACCATCTTCAGGGAAGCACTGGCTCGGGACCTCCAGAAGTTTCCCACCAGAGACCTAGGCTGCGCATTGCTCCAGTACGTTGATGACCTTCTGTTAGGACACCCCATGGCAGTTGAGTGTGCCAAGGGAAAGGATGCCCTACTCTGGCCCTTGGAGGACTATAGGTATAAGTTGTCCAAGAAGAAAGCCCAGATCTGCTGACAGCAGGTACATTACCTAGGATTTACTATCCAACAGGGGGAGCGCAGCCTGGGATCAGAAGGAAAGCAGGCTTTTTGCAACCTACTGAAGCCTAAGACCAGAAAGCAGGTGAAAGAATTCTTAGGTGCTGTGAGGTTCTGCAGACCGTGGATCCCAAACTTTGTAGTACTGGCCAAGCCTCTGTACGGAGTCACAAAGGGGCAGGACCAGGAACCTTTTGAACGGAGATCCCAACAACAGCAAGCCTTTCATGAGTTAAAAGAAAATCTTATGTCAGCCCCAGCCCTGGGGTTACCTGACCTGACAAAGCCTTTTACGCTGTATGTTTCTGAGAGAGAAAATACGGCAGTTAGGGTTTTGATCCAAACTGTGGGGCCCTGGCCGAGGCCAGTGGCCTGCCTCTCTAAGAAACTAAATGGGGATTCTAAAGGTTAGCCCTCATGTTTGAGGGCCTTGGCAGCAACTGCCCTGCTGGCAGAAGAAGCAGATAAACTAACTCTTAGGCAAAACCTGAACATAAAGGCCCCCCATGCTGTGGTGACTTTAATGAATACCAAAAGACATCATTGGCTAATGAATGCTAGACTAAACAAGTACCAAAGCTTGCTCTGTGAAAATCCCCACATAACCATTGAAGTTTGTAACACCCTGAACCCCGCCACCTTACTCTTGGTATCAGACAGCCCTGTTGAGCATAACTGTGTAGAGGTGTTGGACTCAGTTTACTTTAGCAGGCTTGACCTTTGAGACCAGCCTTGGGCATCAGTAGACTGGGAGCTATAAGTGGACAGGAGCAGCTTCAACAGCCCACAAGGAGAGAGATGTGCAGGATATGCGGTAGTAACCCTGGACACTGCCATTGATGCCAGATCGTTGTCCCAGGGCACTTCAGCCCAGAAAGCCGAGCTCATTGCTTTAATTCAGGCCTTAGAACTCAGTGAAGGTAAGACTGAAAATATTTACACTGACTCTCGGTATGCCTTTTTAACCCTTCAAGTGCATAAAGCATTATATAAAGAAAAGGGCCTGTTGAACTCTGGAGAAAAAGACATAAAATATCAGCAAGAAATCTTGCAATTATTAGAAGCAGCATAGAAACCCCACAATGTGGCAGTCATGCACTGCAGAGGACACCAGCGAGCTTCCACCTCGGTTGCCTTAGGGAACTCCAGAGCTGACTCAGAAGCTCGAAAAGCAACATCCACACCCTACTGGGCATCAGTCACAGCCCCCTTGCTCCCTCAAGCACCTGACCTTGTACCTACTTATTCTAAAGAAGAAAAAGACTTTCTCCAGGCAGAGGGAAGACAGGTGATGGAAGAAGGAAGGATCCGGTCACCAAATAGGACAGTACCTGTGCCACAGCTGCTAGGAGCCACAGTTGTACTGGAGGTGCATGAAACCACCCATCTAGGTCAGGAGTCACTTGAACAGTTGTTAGGCTGGTACTTCTACAGCTCACAATTGTCAGCCCTCGCCAAAACCGTGGCACAGCGGTGTGTTACCTGCCGACAGCACAATGCGAGGCAGGGTTCAGCCATTCTGCCCGGCATACAAGCTTATGAAGCAGCCCCCTTTGAAGATCTCCAGGTGGACTTCACAGAAATGCCAAAGTGTAGAAGTAACAAGTATTTACTAGTTCTCGTGTGTACCTACTCTAGGTAGGTGGAGGCTTATCCCACACGAACTGAGAAAGCTCATGTGCTTCTTCGAGATCTTATTCCTAGATTTGGACGGCCCTTACGAATCAGCTCGGATAACGGGCTGGAGTTTGTGGCTGACTTAGTACAGACGACAGCAAAGGTATTAAAGATCACGTGGAAACTGCATGCTGCCTTCTGACCTCAGAGTTCTGGAAAGGTGGAGTGAATGAATCGGATTATCAAAAATAGCTTAAGGCCTTAGGAAAAATTACACAAATGATTTCAGCCCAGGTAAATGAGAGATGCCCCATTAGCTTATTCTCCCCAGTTCACTCTTTCTCCCCGGGTGATTGAGTGTGGATCAAGGACTGGAACGTAGCCCCTGTGTGCCCCCACTGGAAAGTACCCCAGACCGTCATCCTGACCACTCCCACCGCTGTGAAGGTAGAAGGAATCCCGGCCTGGATCCACCACAGCCATATAAAACCTGCAGCGCCTGAAACCTGGGAGGCAAGGCCAAGCCCAGATAACCCCTGCAAAGTGACCCTGAAGAAGACGACAAGCCCTGCTCCAGTCACACCCGGAAGCTGACTGGTCCTACGCACAGTGGAAGCATGAGGAAGCTCATCGTGGGACTCATTCTTCTTAAATTTTAGACTTGTACAGTAAAGGCTTCAACTGACCTTCCTCAAACTAAGGACTGTTCCCAGTGTATTCATCAGGTCACTGAGATAGGACAGCAAATTAAAACAATCTTTCTGTTCTATAGTTATTATGAATGTACAGGCACGTTAAAAGGATCTTATTTGTATAATTCCACTCAATACAAGGTACGTAGCCCAGGAAATGACAAACCTACTATGGGTTATAACCCATCTAAGCCTCCTGCAACCACCGTTTTTCAAATAAGATTAAGAACTGGTCCTTTCCTAGGTGACACAAGTAAAATAATAACTAGAACAGAAGAAAAAAGAATCCCCAAACAAGAAACTTTAAATTTGATGCTTGTGCAGCCATTAATAGTAACAAGCTCAGATTAAGATGTGGCTCTCTTAACTAAGAAAGGAGCTGCACAGTAGAAAATAAATGTTTGTCATGAGGCAGAGGTCTGTGAAAATTTGCCTGTTGCCCATGTGTTATTTAGGCTACTTAGAAAAATGACAAAAAAGACCCGGTTCACTTTCAAAAAAAAGAAGCCAACCCCTCCTGTGCTAGCAGTCACTGTAACCCACTAGAACTAATAATCACTAATTCCCTAGACCCCCGTTAGAGAAAAAGAGAAGGTGTAATCCTGACGGTCAATAGGACAAGGGTAACCCCCCAAGTTGCCATTTTAGTCCGAGGGGAGGTCCCCAGGCCCTTTCCCAAACCAGTGTTTCAAGCCTTTTATAATGAGCTAAATCTGCCAGCACCAGAGCTTCCAAAAAAGACAAGGAACTTGTTTCTCCAGTTAACGGAAAATGTAGCTCATTCCCTCAATGTTGCTTCTTGTTATGTACGCGGAGGAACTACTGTTGGAGACCGATGGCCTCAGGAAGCCCGAGAGTTGGTGCCCACTGATCCAGTTCCTCACACAATTCCAGCTCAGAAGGCCCAAACTAGCAACTTCTAGGTCCTAAAAACCTCAGTTATTAGACAATACTATGTAGCTAAGGAAAGAAAAAACTTCAGCAACCCCGTAAGAAAGCTCAATTGTCTAGGACAGAAGTTGTATACAACAGCACAACAAGGACAGTCACTTGGTGAGGCTTAAACCACACTGAAAAGAACTCATTACGTAAATTTTCTAAATTACAGACTGCCTAGGCTCATCCAGAATTTCATTGAGACTGGACGGCCCCCGCTGGACTATACTAGTCCAGGCACAGAGACTATACTATACTATACTAGTCCAGGCACAGGCTATACTAGTCTGTAGGCACAGAGACCCATCTCCAACAACAAAGAAGAAAAGTGAAAATCTGGGTCCTGGCTCTGGGAATCTAAGGCCAATTAATGTGAACTTTGCAAAACTAGACCAAAAGGAATAACCCCATCTCCCCACCCGTAGTAACAAAGGATCAAAGGGTACTCTCCCTGTAGCCCTCCCACTTCCACCACGTCTCAGATGGAAAGGGAAAGAGCCCAGGAGTGGCCACAAAGCACCGGCCACCCTGGGGCTGCGGGGCTGCAACGCTGCGCTCCAGGGGCCGACTAGAGCGAGGCTGGGAAGCGCTCTTGCCCAGGGCAAGAATCCAGCTCCGGGTGAGGACTTGAAACAGCGCGAGGCGGGAGGACGCGTCAGAAAGGGTTTTGCTAAGGAAAGTTTCGCGACAGGAGGTGTCTGCACGGCCCCACTGCAGAAAGACCGGGGACGGGACCAGCCTCAGGGCAACTTTAAACTCAAAAGGAAGCGACTCACGGACTCTCACCCGGACGTTTCAATTTGCTCTGGGTTGAGAAAAGAGGGGCCGGAACCTGCAGGTCTGTGGGGACCCCACGTCCCCTATATAGCAGCACCAGACAACTAGGAAACGCACACGCCGCCGTGCAACTTTCAGTCCACGCCATCCGCTTCCGGGTCTGTGCCAATCGGCGCAGGACAGAAGCGGGACCTGGGCCAGATCCCCGAGAGGTGGGCGGGGCCTGGGCGAGGCCGGGGCGGGGTGCAAAGGACAAGGGGCCCGGCGCGGAAGAGAAGAGTCTTGGGCTGGGAGGAGTCCGCGGGGGCGGGAAAGGGGCGGGGCCTGAGCTTTTCTCCATCTCGCTCTCCGCGCCTCTGTTTTCAAGGTTTTAGAGGTGAAACCCGCCAGTGAGGCTGGAGCAGCTCAGCAGTCAGGGAAATAGTACCTCCCTGAGAAGTCGCCGTGTGGCGGTAATTGGATCCGGGAAAGTTCCTTGCTATTGAAATTTATTTTAGCAATTTAATTCCAAAGCCTGGAAGTTGTCTACGGCAGGAATGCAAACTAGAATGCGAAATGCAAAGCCTTGCCTGAGCGAAAGGTACAATTTCATGCTGACGGTCCACAGAACAGAATAGAAATCCTCTCCCTTTCAATTCTCCATTCACTGGAGTGGGAGAGTCCACACTGTGCTCAGCTCCTGAGACTTCCCTAGGGCCACCGTCTGGGGTGCGGAGCAGAGGAGTGTGCTTAAACACAGCAGGGATGCGGGCGGGGTGGCAGGAGTCTGGGGTCCCCGCTACTCAGGAAGCAGGGGCGAGAGGATCGCTGAGCCTGGAGTTCCAGGCCAGCCTGGGCGACAAAGTAAGACCCTCTATCCCAGAGCTCCCTCCTCCGTCTCAATAAACAAAAAAGTGATTTAAAAAAAGCACTGACATTGTAACAGTGCATATAAGTTGCCCAGTTGTTTCTTACGTTTATTATTTCATGCTGCACTTAAAATGAGTTATTTTTGTCGTGGAAAAGAATCAAACTGTAAAATATCTTAAGAGATTTATTCTAAGCTAAATATGAATGACCCTCAGGAGGTCCTGAGAACATGTGTCCAAGGTGATGGGGAACAGCTTGTTCTTAGACATTTTAGGGAGGCATTAGACATCAATCAAATACATTTAAGAAATACGCTGCTTTGGTTCAGAAAGGAGGGGCAACTCAAAGCGGGGACTTCTGGGCTACAGGTAAATTGAAACATTTTCTGATTGACAATTGGTTGAGTTTGTCTAAATACCTGGGATCAACGGAGAGGAAATGTTCACGTTAAGGTAAAAGATTGTGGAGACCAATGTTGTTTTCAAGTCTTCTATTGGCTGCCCTTAGAGATAATAGATGATAAGTGTTTTCTATTCAGACCTTTAAACAGTGCGAGATTCTTACTTAATCTCTTCAGGATTGGTAGGGCCTAGAAGAAAAAGATCTAGCTATGTTAACAGAGATTCTTTACAAATGCACATGTACCCCTCACAAAGAACAGCTTTGCAGGACCATTTCAAAATATGGCACAGAAACATGTTTTGGGGTAAAATATTTTGACTTTCTTCTTTGTCACGTTATTCCAGAGTCAGACTGGAAAGTAAGACAGGATATATAGGACTAAATAAAACCCATCTGATGAGTATTTATGGTTTGTAGGGCATGACTCCCCAGACCCTTTAGATAGGAATTTGGGCAAGAGAAAAAAATTAGACCTTGGTCCTCATTCTCAAATTCTTTTTTTAAAAAATAATTCCTAAGTGTATTGTAATATCAAATTCACTTTACGTGCCTTCTGAAAATAAGTAGAAAATGTACTTTTTATCTTCAAGTTGTAATTTTTTTTTCCCTAGAAACAGGACCTAGTTCTGACACCCAGGATGGAATGCAGTGGTGGGAACACTGCCCACTGCAACCTCAACCTCTGGGGCTCAAGCAATCCTCCCGTCTCACCTCCCAACTAGCTGGGGCCACAGGCCCTCACCACCAGGCCTGGCTAATTTTTTAATATTTTGTAGAGTCGGGGGTCCACTATGATGCTTAGGCTGGCCTTGAACTCCTGTACTCAAACAATCCTCCCACCTTAGCTTCCCAAAGTGTTGGGATTAAAGGCGAGCTACCACACCCATCCAATTGTAATCTATTTTGGGTGTTTTCTTTGTTGTTCTCTCCTAAGTGTTCTATCAGGTGTGAACAACAAAGGCTGTAAAATAGGCAGTCTTCAAACATTGGGATTTATTTTCATATAGAGAATAATTATGAGATATTACTAAGGATACATTGCAGTCAGGTTATTCTGTTTTACGTGGGCCCTGAAGAAAATATAACTAAATTACAAAATTGGCTGGGTGTGATGGCTCACACCTGTAATCCCAGCACTTTGGCAGGCCTAGGCGAATGGATCACCCTGAGGTCAGGAGTTTGAGATCAGCCTGGCCAACACAGCGAAACCCCATCTGTACTAAAAATACAAAAATTAGCTGGGCATGGTGGCATGCGCCTGTAATCTCAGCTACTCAAGAGGTTGAGGCAGGAGAATTGCTTGAGCCCAGGCAGCAGAGGTTGCAGTGAGCTGACATCTCACCATTGCACTCCAGCCTGGGCAACAGAGTGAGACTGCATCTCAAAAAAAGAAAAAAAAAATTATAAACTTTTACATCACCGCATTTCTGCATGCAATAATTTTATGGCAATATCTGTAAGTTAACATGTACTATGAACTATATTTTTCACTCACATCCCTAGTTATCGAAGGTTTCATTTATCAAATACTAGTAATTAGCTAAAACATAATTATGTTTAGGAAGAAATTAGCATATCTAAAATATTAGCAAGTTTAAAAAAGCATAATGTGGCCAGGGATGGTGGCTCGTGCATGTAATTCCAGCATGATGGGAGACCGAAGCAGAAAGATAGCTAGTGGCCAAAAGTTGGAGACCAGCCCAGGCACATGGTGAAACCTCATCTTTATATTTTAAATATTTATGTATCTATGTATTCATTTATTCATCTTTGAGATGGAGTTTCATTCTCATTGCTTAGGCTGGAGTGAAATGGTGTGGTCTCGGCTCACTACAACCTCTGTCTCCTGGGTTCACGTGACTCTCCTGCCTCAGCCTCCCGAGTAGCAGGTATTACAGGCATATGCCACCATGCCTGACTAATTTTCTATTTTTACTAGAGACGGGGTACCTCCATGTTAGTCAGGCTGGTCTCGAACTCCCGACCTCAGGCGATCCACCCACCGCAGCCTCCCAAAGTGCTGGGATTAGAGGCCTGAGCCACCATACCCAGCCTCTATGTAGCTTTGTAAAAAATCCTTGTAGCTGTCTCTTTTAGGAATAAAATGGGAGGCAGGTTTGTCTGACACAGTTCCCAGCCTGACTTTTCTCTTTGGCTTAGTAATTTTTAAGCTTCTTTCACAACCTTCTGACAGACATAATGCTTTGACACACTGATATTGGTTTATATAGATTTTCCAAAACAGTAAAGTCCAAGGGTCTATCCTGAACTGGGTTAGCGGAGGCGAGAAGATTCCCAGAAGACTCCTGATCTCAAGCAATCCTCCCACCTCAGCCTCCGAATGTGTGAGGACCACAAGTGTGATCCACTGAACCCAGTGGAGTCTCCATCTCAAAAAAAACCAAAAAGCAATACGGGAATTAAGGTACTCTATGGAATTACATCATTTGACTTTTTTTTGAAATGAAAAGCCTCACATATTTATTACTGAACCCAGCCAACCAACATGTTCATAACAGATTCAGAGAGAAAAAATATATTCCCAATAAAACATGTCCAACTCTCCAGATAATGGTGACATTTTCTGCTTGATATGGTAACGTGATTGTAATGCTCAGACAGCATAAAAATGTGTGCCATCTCATGTACAATTCCTTATAGACACGGATTGGTTCTTCTCCAATGTCTCCTTTTAAAGTTGTACCTGATTTTATTACCAGTTTTCATCTGAATCCACTGGGGAATGGAACAATTTTGCTTTTTTTCTTGGCCAGGAATTGCTTAATCCTGATAGTCTTATGAGAAGATCTGGTGAGAAGCAGAGTCAAGTACACACCATGATGGTGGAGAAAGGAAGAGAAGGGGCTTGACATCTTTTTTTTTTTTTTTTTTTTTTTTTTTTTGAGAGAAAGTTTCACTCTTGTTGCCCAGGCTGGAGTGCAATGGCACTATCGGTTCACTGCAACTTCCACCTCCTGGGTTCAAGCGATTCTCCCACCTCAGCCTCCCAAGGAGCTGGGATTACAGGTGTCTGCGACCATACCTAGCTAATTTTTGTATTTTTAATAGAGATGGCATTTCACCATGTTAACCAGCCTGTTCTCAACCTCCTGACTATTGTTTCTGCTGTTAGCTGTCAGTCCTCTTCATCACGGCACAAACAAGATTATTGTTTTTCTCTGAAACTGATGTGGATGGTCTGCCTGCTGCTCCACGTGTAACCTTCAACATTGTCTTCTCCCAACTCAAAATTAGTTATCCATTTACAAACTGTTGATTTCTTTTGGGCATCGTCCCCATAACCTTTTCATAAAGCATCAATGATATCATAATTCATCTACCCAAACTTTACCATAAGTATTCTTTTTTTGAGACATGCTGGAGTGCAGTGGCAAGATCACAGCTCACTGCAGCCTCGACCTCCCAGGCTCATGCCATCCTCATGCTACAGACTCCACAGTAGCTGGCCCTGCAGTCAGGTGCCACCCTGCCCAGTGAATTTCTGTATTTTTTGTATAGAAGGGGTTTTCACCATGTTGCCCAGGCTGGTCCTGAATGCCTGGGCTCACGTGACCCACCTGTCTTGGCCTCTGAAATTACTGGAATTACAGACCTGAGACACTGCAACTGTTCTCATCATAAATTTTATGTTTCTTCTTGTTTCAATTTTAGCAGAATTTGTATTCCTTTGATACAGTCTCTTTTCAAACTCATGTCTTATCCTTCTCAGTGCCTCAAACTAGAGCCTGTTCAGACATGTTATAACAGATTTGTATCAGTTTATTTTGGTGCAAAAACTGTGAAATTCATGCACAATTTTTCCATAATATGTATTTTTCCATGAGCTTCTTGAAGACCACTTGTACTAGAAAACTGTATTCAAGAGGATATATAAAAGGATTGTAGATATGCAAGTGCCATTTACTTCTGGCATGCAAGGATGGTTCAACATATTCAAGCAAATCAATGTGATATACCACTTGAACAGAATGAAAGATGAAAACCACATCATCTCAACAGATGGAGAAAAATCATTTCACAAAATTCAGCATCTGATCATCATAGAAATCTTAAACAAAATAGATGGAGAAGGAAATTTACCTCACCAATAGAAAGACCATTGATGAAATGACCAATGTGGAGATAACCAAGCAGGGAAAATAGAATCCTTTTCCCGTAGGATCTCACATGATGCAAGAACGTTCTCACTTTTTCTATTCAATAAATACTGGAAGTCCTAGCCAGAGCAATGAACTAGCAAAAGAAATGAAATGCCTCAAAATCAGAAAAAGTAAAATTATATTTTTTGTAGATGACATGATCTTCTGTGTAGAAAATCACAAAGAGTCAACCAAAATACTACTGTGACTAATAAACACATCAGTAGATTTGCACAATACAATATCAGCACCAAAAATTCGTTGAATTTTCATACATTAACAATAAACAATTTTAAATGAAAATTTAAAAACACTTCCATTTGCTAGAGAACTTAAAGTAAGAAATAGGAATAAATGGAAAGAAGTGAGAAATTCATACATTGAAATCTACAAACATTGATCAAAATGATTAAAAACATATATAAAGATATAACCCATATTGATGTTTTGGAAAAATTAATACTGTTAAATGATTACATAACCCAATGTGATTTTGATTCAACACAATACCCATAAAAATCTCTATCAGTTTTTGTTGAAGAAACAAAAAACAGACTGGGAAAGGTGCTCACCTCTGTTGGCCAGGCTGCTCTCAAACTCCTGATCTCAAGTGATCTACCTGTCTTGGCCTCCCAAAGTGCTGGGATTACAGGTGTGAGCCACCGCACCTGGCCTAATCCTCTTAACATAAACACTTTAATCTCAACAAATACTTGAACTCAATGTTAAGTCAACTCAAACTGAACTCAATGCTGATTTGAATCTAACATCAATTGTGCTTGATGGTTTGCTATACTCATTGCATTTGAAATTATTACCTCAAAAATGAATTTCCTGATGTCCTGCAAGGAGTGACCTCAGACTAAAGATCTTGCCACACATATGACTTTTGTAAGATCTCTGTCTAGTATGGATTCTCTGATGTGTAATGAGGCATGAACCTGAAATAAAGGCTTTGACACAATCATCACCCTTGTGAGGTTTCTTTCTTGTATGAATTCACCTGTGTTTTGCATAAGATGAAGCTTGACTGAAGACCTTGCCACAATCATCACATTTGTAAGGTTTCTCTCCAGTATGAGTTCGCTGATAAACTGCAAGGTATGAACGAAGTCTGAAAAATTTGCCACATTTATAACACTTGTAAGTTCTCACTTCATTATGCATTCTCCAATAATTTGCAATGGTTGTAGCATTACTGAGGACTTTGTGACAATCATTACATTAGTAAAGTTTCCCTATGACATGGATTGCTTGATGGTGAATAAGTGTTGACTGACCACTGAAGGCTCTGTCACACTCATCACACTTGCACGGTTTCTCTCCAGTGTGAATTCTAGTATGTTGTGCCAGGTGTGAATCACACCCGAATGCCTTGTCACAAACCTTACATTTCTATGGTTTCTCTCCAGTATGAACTCTCCTATGTATTTCAAGGCGTGAATTGAAATTGAAAACTTTGTCACATTCTTCACATTTGTAAGGTTTTTCTCCGATATGAACTCTATGATGATGTTCAAGGTTTGATTTTCAATTAAAAACCTTGCCACATTCATTACACTTGTAAGGTTTCTCTCCAGTATGAAGTCTATGATGACATGCAAGGTTTGATTTGTGATTAAAAACCTTGCCACATTCATTACACTTGTAACATTTCTCTCCAGTATGAATGACCTTATGCATTACAAGAGATGAATTTTGAACAAAGGTCTTGCCACACTCATTACACTTGTAAGGTTTCTCTCCAGTGTGAATTACAATATGTTGTGCCAGGTGTGAATCACGTCTGAAAGCCTTGTCACAAACCTTACATTTGTACGGTTTCTCTCCAGTATGAATTCTCCTATGTCTTTCAAGGTGTGATTAGCGACTAAAAACTTTGTCACATTCTTCACATTTGTAAGGTTTCTCTCCAGTATGAAGTCTATGATGACTTGCAAGATATGCTTTTTGATTAAAAACCTTGCCACATTCATTACACTTGTGAGGTTTCTCTCCAGTATGAATTGCCTTGTGAATTACAAGGGATGACTTGTAACTGAAGGTCTTGCCACACTGATTACACTTGTAAGGTTTCTCACCAGTGTGACATCTATGATGGTATGCAAGGTATCGCTTCTGATTAAAGACCTTGCCACATATATCACATTTATATTTTTTCTCTCCTAAATGGATTATCTGACATTTTTTTAACAGTGAGCTACAATTAAAGGCTTTGCCACTCTCATTACATTGGAAAGATTTTTCTCTCATGTGTGCTTCCTGGAGGAAATTATTCCCATACTTATTAGAAATATGGGTTTTAGGAATACAAGAAATTCTTTGGGATGCTGAAACTGAGGAAGCATCATTGACAGACTTCTCATCTTGACTATCAATTTTCCCTTTGCTCTGCAATATATGCAGTTCAGGCAGATGTGAATGAAAGCTTGATCCAAGCTGATCTTTAATAGGTTTGTTTCCAGCATGCCTTTGATCATATCAGTCTGTATTACCTGTCAACTTTTTTATCTCTGTCATGAGTGCTTCATGGCCATTTCTTTCATCTTCTTGCCACTGAAACTCAAAGTCCTGAAAATCTTTCTCAATTTCCTGGAAGGAAAAATCTCCAGTGTGATGACTTGCTTGTCTTTGCAATGTCCCTGTGTGGAACACTTCTGTATTGCCTTGCCTTCTTGATGAGAACTTCCTTGTCATGCATTTGGAAGAGATAGCTACAAAATATAAACAACAATAGGTTTCCAATTAAGTGCAGATGGTAAATAATACTGAAATATGTAACTAGGACACAAAAAACAATATTTATTTTGAAATTCCCAAACATGATTTTCAAAGTTTAAGAACACAAAAGGAGTAAGGTTCTTTAATAAATAAAGGGCGATTACAAGTCCTTTAAATCATTTCTACAGAAGCCTATTCCCAATATCATGACGAAACACTGACAGGGCACAAACATGTGTAAGCCTAAAGTAAGGAGTGTTTTTCCACTGTGACCCTAAAATGTATCACAGTTTGCAAAAAGCATATTACTGTCACATCAAAGAAGGAAAAAATATATATTCTTCATATTTATAGCATAGAGTATACAAATAAATGCTAAAGGACCGGATAACGTACTATATTGGTAAATAATCCACAACAAGCTCTTGTAAGGATAATCAAAATCAATGGAAATTCTGTATTGTCAAACAATCACAGCACTGAGAAGATAAGAAAAGAATACAAAAATTAGCCAGGCATGGCGGCCCATGCCTGTAATCCCACTACATGAGAGGCTGAGACACAAGAATCACCAAGAGGCAAAGGCTGCAGTGAGTCAATATCGCACCACTGCACTCCAGCCTGGATGACAAAGTGAGACTCCATCTCAAAAAAAAAAAAAAAAGCAGGGCATGGTGGCTCACACCTGTAACTCCAGTACTTGTTTGGGAGGCAGAGGCAGGTGGATTACCTCAATACAAAAAGTAGCCGGTAGCCAGGCATGGTGGTGGGCACCTGTAATCCCAGATACCTGAGAGGCTGAGGCAGAAGAATTGCTTGAATCCGAGAGGCAAAGATTGTGGTAAGCTGAAATCGTGCCACTGCACTCCACCCTGGGCGACAGAGTGATACTCCATCCCCCAAAAAAGAAAATGTGAATACCATATTTTTCTGAATAACTGTGAAAAATTTCCTATATCCATGTGGAACAGGCACTTTGTGACTTTTTAAAAAAATGTTTATTATTTTTATATTTTTGAGATGGAGTCTTGCTCTGTCACCCAGGCTGGAGTGCAATGGCACGATCTTGGCTCACTGCAACCTTTACCTCCTGGGTTCCAGTGAGTGTCTTGCCTCAGCCTCCTGAATACCTTGGATTACAGGCAAGCACCAGCATGCCCGGCTAATTTTTGTATTTTTAGTAGAGATGGGATTTCACCATGTTGGCCATTTGGGATTACGGGCATAAGCCACTGCACCCAGTGGCACTTTGTGACATTAATGAGTGCAGTGTGTCAGTTATATTGCATGCCACATACTGAATACTCACATGTAAAGTCATAAAATTCAATTAACAAAATATTGTAACCAACGATAAAACAAGAAAATAATATGTACATTTATACAGCCTGCAGAATTGTAAACAATTTCCACTTAAGAAAAAAGCCAAAACTTCTACTTACCACCAGCACACAATATAAGAACTGAATTACATGTTAAGATCACTACCTTCTGATATATGAGGTCAAGAAAATACACAGCATTGCCAGGCGCAGTGGCTCATGCCTGTAATCCCAGCACTTTGGGAGGCCGATGCGGGCAGATCACGAGGTCAGGAGATCGAGACCTGGTTAACACGGTGAAACCCCGTCTCTACTAAAAATACAAAACGTTAGCCGGGCGTGGTGGCACATGCCTGTAGTCCCAGCTACTCAGGAGGCTGAGGCAAGAGAATGGCGTGGACCCGGGAGGTGGAGCTTGCAGTGAGCAGAGATCGCGCCACTGCACTCCAGCCTGGGTGACAGAGTGAGACTGTCTCTCACAAAAAAAAAAAAAGAAAAAAAAAAGTACACAGCATTTAAACGAATAAGAATTGACTAATTGCCAGGCGTGGTGGTGCATGCCTGTAATCCCAGCACTTTGGGAGGCTGAGGCAGGCAGATCACGAGGTCAGGAGTTCGAGACCAGCCTGGCCAACGTGCTGAAACCCCATCTCTACTAAAAATACAAAAAAATTAGCTGGGCATGGCGGAAGGTGCCTGTAATCCCAGCTACTTGGGAGGCTGAGGCAGGAATCGTTTGAATCCAGGAGGTGGAGGTGTCAGTGAGCTGAGATCATGCCACTGCACTCCAGCCTGGGCAACAGGATGAGACTCAAACTACTCAACTACTTCTCAAATAAGCTTTGGTAGATGTGGTATTCTCTAACAGGATGTTCCTGCAGATGCAGACTTGGAGAGAATTTAGTCATGGGTGTTGACTACCTGTGAATACTAAAAGTGCATTTATAAAGAGACATTAAAGAGCTCATTGCCTGTTCCTCTTTCCCCCATGTCAGGACATGGCAGGAAGATGGCTGGGCTAAACCATGAAGAATGCTCTCAGCAGGAACCAATTTGGCTGGCACCTTGCTCTTGGATTTCCCACTTTCCAAATTCATGAGAAATAAATTTCTGTGTCTGAAGCCTCCCAGTTTAAGCTATTTCTTTTTTTGTTTGTTTTTGAGACAGTCATGCTCTATCAGCCAGGCTGCAATGTAGTGGCACAATGATTCTCCTGCCTCAAGAGATTCTCCCGCCTCAGCCTGGAGTATCACTCTGACGCCCAAGCTGGAGTGCAGTGGCACAGTCTCAGCCCACTGCAACCTCTGCCTCCGGGGTTCAAGTGATTCTCCTATCTCAGCCTCCTGAGTACTTGGGATAACAGGCACTTGCCACTGTGCCCAGCTATCTGTTGTATTTTTAGTAGAGATGGCATTTCACTATGTTGGCCAGGCTGGTCTCAAACTCCTGACCTCAAGCGATCCACCCACCTTGGCCTCCCAAAGTGCTGGGGTTAGAAGCATTAGACACCAGGGCCGACCAGTCTAAGCTATTTTTGACAGGACAGTGAAATGCCTGAGACAGGAAAAGGAGCATCTCATCATCAGCCTCACAGAAGACTTACAAATCTTATTAAACAAAGGAAGTTAACAGTCTGTACTGTAAAACTTGCAATACTTGAAGCCATCTAATACCACTAACAAGTTTTCAAAACCTTAAGGCAAGCAGGGCATGGTGGCTCGCGCCTGTAATCCCAGCACTTTGGGAGGCTGAGGTGGGAGGATCACGAGGTCAGGAAATTGAGACCATCCTGCCTAACACGGTGAAACCATGTCTTTACTAAAAAAATACAAAAAATTAGCCGGGTGTGGTGACACGCACCTGTAGTCCCAGCTACTTGGGAGGCTGAGGCAGGAGAATCCCTTAAAATCAGGAGGTGGAGGTTGCAGTGAGCCAAGATCGCATCACTACGCTCCAGGCTGGGCGACAGACCGAGACTCCATCTTGAAATAAAAAAAAGAAAGAAAGAAAGAAAGAAAAAGAAATGAAAGAAGGCTAAAGAGTAACTCCAACCCACAAATATATATAAAGTTCTCCAGTGAAGGTAAATAAAAGGACAGATAGGCCAAGTGCAGTGGTGCA
Organism: Homo sapiens; assembly: GCF_000001405.40. NCBI lineage: Eukaryota > Metazoa > Chordata > Mammalia > Primates > Hominidae > Homo > Homo sapiens. The sequence continues at coordinate 52,974,293 of NC_000019.10, forward strand.
GCTTATAGCTTGCAGTGAACGCCAAGAATGAAGTACTCAGATAATTCCAGCTGAGTGGGGCGGGGAGCAAACCTTCTGAGAGAGTGCTGCCCCAGAATCCGTCCTCCAAGTATTTATTGAAAGGGCTTGTTTAGACCGGTCGCGGTGGCTCACGCCTGTAATCCCAGCACTTTGGGAGGCCGAGGCGGGCGGATCACGAGGTCAGGAGATCGAGACCATCCTGGATAACACAGTGAGACCCCGTCTCTACTAAAAATACAAAAAAATTAGCCGGGCGTGGTGGCGGGCGCCTGAAGTCACAGCTACTCAGGAGGCTGAGGCAGGAGAATGGTGTGAACCCGGGAGGCAGAGCTTGCAGTGAGCCGAGATCGCACCACTGCACTCCAGCCTGGGCGACAGAGCGAGACTCCGTCTCAAAAAAAAAAAAAAAAAAAAAAGGGCTTGTTTAAACTACACTTCAGACAAACAAAAAACATACACCATGGAGCTCTTTGCAGTCGGGTCGTGAGGCACTATGGCCTTGTAAAAGCACTCAGACCACATTCACAGGAGACTGTTTCAGCGTTTCTTATCACACATTCTACTCCTTGTCCTGATTTCAGGGTCAAGGAGTGACAGTCTCATACACAAACAACATACACACAGTGCCTCAGTAATTTTCCATTCCTCAATCTCAAATGCCTTGTACATAAGCTTATGTTGCCGCGCATCCATCAAAGTTGGTTCACACCCGTAATCTCAGCACTTTGGCAGGCCAAGGCAGGTGGATCACCTGAGTTTGGGAGTTCGAGACCAGCTTGACCAACAAGGAGAAACCTTGTTTCTACTAAAAATACAAAATTAGCCGGGCATGATGGTGCATGCCTGTAATCCCAGCTACTCGGGGGGCTGTGGCAAAAGAATCACTTGAAACTGGGAGGCGGAGGTTGCAGTGAGCTGAGATTGTGTCATTGCACTTCAGCCTGGGCGACAGGAGCAAAACTTTGTCTCAGAAATAAATAAATAAATAAATAAATAAATAAGTAAGTAAATAGACAGATACAGAAACCTGTATAAGTGTATCTTTTCTTTATAACTCAACTTTTTTTTCCAATTATTTAGCAGAAAAAAGCACAAAAAAAACACTGTACATATATGTTAATGAAAATGCAACATATACAGAAATAATTCTGACATAAATAACAAAGAGTTCTAGTGGAGAAAGTAGTCTTTGCAGGTTATGGAAATTTTTGTTTGTTTCTTTCTTTGTTTTTTTGAGACGGAGTCTTGCTCTGTCGCCCAGGCTGGAGTGTAATGGTGCCGTTTCGGCTCCTGCAATCTTTGCCTCTTGAATTCAAAGATTTCAGCCTCTTGAGTAGCTGGGATTACAGGTGCCCACTGCACTTCGAATTTTCAGTAGAGACAGAGTTTTGCCATGTTAGCCAGGCTGGTGTTGAACTCCTGACTTCAGGTGATTTGCCCACCTTGGCCTCCCAATGTGCTGAGATTACAGGGGTGAGCCACTGCACCTGGCCAGGTAATGGAAATTTCAAGTTTTGTTATTATGCTATAACTTCAAGATGTTTAACACACCTTCAACAATAACCTCCCCCTAAATATCTATACAACACACTTCGGTTCTTCATATTGAAAGGAATGGACACTAACGTGGTTGTTATGTTCACATTGGAATCATGCTTAAGCCACTTATATGTTTACTAAAAACTAAAAGACAAAACTATTTAAAATAATAATAATGGCTGGGCACGGTGGCTCACGCCTGTAATGCCAGTACTTTGGGAAACCGAGACAGGTGGATCACTTGAGATCAGGAGTTCGAGAACATCCTGGCTAATGTGATGAAACCCCGTCTCTACTAAAAACACAAAAATTAGCTGGGCGTGGTGGTGAGCGCCTGTAGTCACAGCTACTCAGAAGCTGGGACACAAGAATCGTTTGAGCCCGGGAGGTGGAGGCTACGGTTAGAAAGATCGCACCACTGCACTGTAGCCCGAGTGACAGAGTGAGACTTCACCACAAAAAAAAGTAAATAAGAAGAGAGTCAAAGCATGTCTACAGAAAAAAAGTAATTAAACACAAAAAGTAGGAAATGAGAAATGAAGAACAACAATAAAAACCTACAAGAAATACAGATAATATGTAACAAAAACGCAACGGTAAGGTCTTCTCCATCAGTAATTATTAAAATGTAAATATTTAACTCTGCATTCAGGAGGCAAAGACTGGCTGAATCAACAGGAACCAACTACATGTTGTCCACAGAAGACTCATATTAGCCCTAAGGACACACATACGCTAAAATTTAAAAAATAAAAACCAATAATTAGGTATGGGGGTTGGGGCCTATAATCCCAGCTACTCAGGAGGCCAAAGAGGACCTCTTGAGCCCAGGAGATCAAGACCAACTTCAACAACACAGCATAAAACTGAAAAATAACCTGGAGAAAGCAGGGAAGGATAGTCTGCTGGTTTACCATTTTGATCCCTGGTACAGACAGCTCCTCTATTTGTGCCCCCTGGCTTATAGCACAGGCTCCATAGCTACTGAGTCAGTGAATGAATGAGAATGACTGAGTGATACTAGTATGTCTTCTCTGGGGTCTCATGTGTGCCAGGGTCCTATTTGACCTTGGAATGGTCTTCATCGTGATGAGGGAGCTGAGCAGGAGCAGCTGAGCGGGACAGCCCAGAGTCCCTCATGCAGACCACTCTGCTTGCCCAACCGGTAAGAAGGACAAGTGTATGTTCACTCAGAAACACATCTGGCTGATCCAACGGGTCACTGCCTGACCCTGAGCAAACTTACATTGGCAATTAAAGACCCTAAACTCCGCAGAAAGAGGAGAGGCTTCCTTGCTGCCCGGACTCTCAATGAAGAAAAATTCCTGGGGTCTAAGACTTCTGACTTGGCAATGACATTGGCTTAAATATTCCCAGACTCAAATCCTTGGGTCTTAGTTGGGTCTTGGGATGGTGCAAACCGATAGAATTGCAGGCAATGAGTGTCAGAACAGAACAGCGGACAGGAAGGTGGAAGACTTGAGGGAGGGGATCAAGGACAGGCAAAGAAACCACTCCCCTCCCTCAGACGCCCACCTGGGGAAGCATCAACTTTGTCATTCTAGAGAAGACAACGGGAAAGGAAGGACTGTGCATAGGGTAGGTGACGGTGTGTGCTGGGTGGAGAGAAAAACCCCTTTTTCTAAATGTGACTCCAATAGCTCAGCCCATTTATTCTACTAACTGCTGAGCACAGAGGCATCCTGTGAGGATAAATACGGCTTTTCCTTCCTCCAATTCCTGAATCTCCAGGCCATGACTAGTGCTGTAACCCTCAAAATCCCTTCCCAGGACCCAGCGTTCCCTCTGTGGGAAAAATATCTGTGCTCCACATTTAGATTATAGCTTATTTATTTATTAACTTATTTATTTATGTTGAGATGGAGTCTCACTAAGTTGCCAGGCTGGAATACAGTGGCACGATCTCAGCTCACTGCAACCTCTGCCTCCTAAGTTCAAGCGATTCTCCTGCCTCAGCCTCTTGAGTAGCTGCGGCTACAGGCGTGTGCTACCAAGCCCAGCTAGTTTTTGCATTTTTTCAATACAGACAGGGTTTCACCATGTTGGTCAGAATGGTCTTGATCTCTTGACCTTGTGATCTGCCCGCCTTGGCCTCCCAAAGTGCTGGGAATACAGGCATAAACTACCATTCCCGGCCATCATTTTTCATCTTTTATTTTTATTTTTATTTTTATTTGAGACAGAGTCTTGCACTGTTGCCCCGGATGGGGTGCAATGATGCTTCCATCCAGAAGACAGAAGAAGAAACCTCTGTCTTCTGGGTTCATGTGATTCTCCTGCCTCAGCCTCCTGAGTAGCTGGGATTACAGGTGCATACCACCACACTCAGCTAATTTTTTTTTTTTTTGTATTTTTAGTAGAGACAGGGTTTCACTATGTTGACCAGGCTGGTGTCAAAGTCTTGACTTCATCATCCACCTGCCTTAGCCTCCCAAAGTGCTGGGATTACAGGCGTGAGCCACCACACCCAGCCCCACATTTACATTATAACATTTTGATCCTCGGCTCCCCAGCTGCCTTCTGACTGTGTGTGTGGGTGTGTGTGTGTGACTGTGTGTGTGTGTGAGTGTGTGACTATGTGTGTGAGTGTGTGACTGTGTGTGTGTGTGCACGTGCGCACACACTCATGTGTTGTGACAGGCAAGGAAAAGCCAGTAGAGAGTCATCGCCATTGGCCTGGCAGGAGGAGGTGGCCCTCAGGCTGCAGTTCACGGTGCTGTTTGCACTCTGATCCTTGGAAGAATCTTTCCTGAAGTCACGGAGCCTCCAGCTGCTCCAGAACAGAACTAGTTGTGTAGGAGTGTGTCCTTCATGCCCCTCAGGTCCCTGACCTTCTCCCCACCCTTCCTGAAGGGAATCCAGGACCCTCACTCTGAGTGCATCACCTGCTGGTGGCAAAGCCCCTGCCCATCATGGCCAAACTGGGCCCTGGTGATGTGCAGAGCGTGGAGACCCGGGAGCTGGAGTGAGGCAGTTGACACAGATGACAAAAATGCAGATGCCTCGGCACTGCCTGAGGACACAGGGTCTGGTCTGTAGGGCTTTTCTGGCTTTAGTGAGGTCTTCTCCTTTTAATTTGACTGAAATAAATAGTTACAGAAAGTTCAGATCAATTAGAGTTGAAATTTCCAGAAGAAATATGGGACCATCCTCACACTTGCCCCAGCCCCTCAGTCTTCCCTGAGGACACCTCAGCATCTAAATCACAACTCCAGAGTAGGTGCTGCAGTTGTCCTGTGGCCAAGATGAGAACTGTGCATCCTCCAAAGGGGAGACACAAAACACTCAAAATAATCCATGCAGAAGGGCGTTTCTGCCTGGGCATGGTGGCCCATGCCTGTAATCTTAGCACATTGGGAGGCCAAGGCAGGCAGATGACCTGAGGTCACAAGCATGAGACCAGCCTGGCCAACATGGTGAAACCCTGTCTGTACTAAAAATACAGAAATTGGGTCGGGTGCGGTGGCTCATGTCTGTAATCCTAGGACTCTAGCACTCTAGCGGTCTGGAAGGCCAAGGCGAGCAGATCACTTGAGGTCAGGAGTTCCAGACCACCCTAGCCAACATGGTTAAATCCCATCTCTACTAAAAATACAAAAAGTAGCCAGGCTTGGTGGCTGTCTGTAATCCCAGCTACTCGGGAGGCTGATGCAGGAGAATCGCTTGAACCCAGGAGGTGGAGGTTGCAGTGAACTGAGATCGTGCCACTGCACTCCAGCCTGGATGACAGAGTGAGACTCAAAAATATGCCAGGAACTGACATGACCCACTTTAGATTTCGCTGTGATGTCCTCATACAGAGAAAGGCCTCGAAGATGGTCTCTGTGTCTAACTGAATCTACACCTCTGTTTCTTTCATTCTGCCTTTTTTTGTTTTATTTTTGGGGTACTGCACCTATTTAAAATTCTAGTTACAACTGAACACTCCTTTCTCACAGAAGAAAAGCCACGCCCAGACACGCACTCTATTTTGCCAATCATTTCAGGGGCCAGGGTCACTCGGGTTGAGCTTTTCTGGTGTAGCCCCTCATCTCCAAGTTACAGGGAGGCTCACTGGGGCCACAACTGATAAGTCACTGTCCTCTGGCTGAAGAGGGGTTGCAGAGGGAAGCTGCCTCTGACGCCATCATTATAAAAGTCACCACACTTAGACACAGGAGTTTGGCAACTCTCATTCTCATCTGTATAATTTAAACAAATTTTAAATTTGTTACCTTATAAACAGAGAAAACAACATGTCATCACTTCATCGTCACATCCAATCAACTCACCGCTCATCTGCACCCAGGGTCCCCCTTCGTCTTCATTACTGCTTCCCTCCATCATTCTGTACATAGCTCTCATTCTCACCTTCTCTGAAATTGGGATTAGCCAGGTGTGGTAGCACCTGCCTGTCATCCTGGCTCCTTAGGAGGCTAATGTGGGTATCACTTGAGCCCACAAACTTGAGGCTGCTGTAAGCCAGAATTGTTCCATTGCACTCCAGACTGGGCCCAGGAGTGACACCCTGTCTCTTAAAAGAAAACTTTCAAGTCAGAGACATATTGAGTCACTAGTGTAGCTTCAAATGCATTACAAAATCAGACACAAAATATCTCCCCTAATTTGTCTCCATTTCCAGAATTTACCTGATGCCAGTGCACATTAATGTATGACTTTCATATACAGTTTCTCTGATCTGGTCCACAAAGAGCTAAACGTCCATCCAGATGTGGCCCCTGAACAATCCTTGCTGCCCAGCATCACTGACACCACGGAGCCCACACCCCATCTCCATCCATGTCTGGTGTGAGCCCTTCCAGGACCATGCCCAGTGCAGCCTCTTCCTAAGCTCATGTCACTAGGTTATAAGAGATGGAATTTAAGTGAAGATGACAGGGACTGAGAAAAGGCATAAGTGAATGCAAGCAAATGTGTGAGGCAGGATGCTTCAGACTCACAGGAGACTGACTACTACAATACCTGGCATTTCAGAAAGGAAAGAGACAGATTAATCCACCGAGAAATATCCACTTCACCTGAGGAAGAGCCACCCTGGCTCCTTTTCTTTGCTCTTCTTGGTGTCTTCCTCATGTAACAGGAGTTTTTGGAAATCAATCCTGTTTGTGAAAAAAAAAAAATAAGAGATTTAATGTTTAGAAACCACTCACTCCTTTCCTGTGACAAAACACACACACAGGGGAGACCTCACCCAGTAGGAAGATGGTCCTCTGCTGCCCACCACACCAGAGATCATGCCAAGATAACAAAGCCCCACAGGAAGACCTACAAGTGTAATTTTGACCCGTTTTCAGATCTTGCTCCCCTCCTGGAAAAGTCCACACACACACTGCAGCAGGACACAGACCTTCAGGGCACAGATCTGGCCCTAACCAAACCCCATGCAGAGCACAGCCCCCTCAGCTCCCTGTGGATCACAGGCTGATCTCAGCTCTCAACATGGAGGAAACTGCCTTGATTTTCAATGCTGGACACAGATGAGAATCACCTGCACCATTGTAAGAATTATTGAGGGTGGGTTTAATCCTATGATAATAGCAATCTCTGATAAAACAGCTTAAAAGATGTATTTGCAAAATGCCTGAGAACCCTAATGTGAAGCCAGGGTTGAGCTCCACTCAGACAGCGCCAGCCCAGCACAGCCCCACCTTCTGGCTCTGCTCTCCACTTCGGGACTTGTTCCCACCAGGATCCAGTGAAAAGCGAAGGAGCAAAAAGAATCACAAAGAACAGGCAACATGGACCAGAGGTGGGGGTGAAGGTGGAGCTGCCATGTCAAATGGGGGACTGTGGGTGATCACAAACGTTTCCATAGAGAAAGCAATGTCAGAACAAAGACTTAGGGATGAAACACTGCTTGTCACTTGTAGCTGAGGGGCCAGAGAGTCCTGGGCAGAGTGACATCTCAGGTGAAGGCACTGAGACAAAAGCAACCTCAGTCCCAGAAAAAGGAAAGAGGTGTGCGTGGCTGGAGCAGAGGGAGTGAGGAGGACACAGGCAGGAGATGACCTCAGAGAGGTCCTGGAAGTGAAGATCCCTAGGGACGAGGTCTTGAAACATTTTTCTCCCACACCTCAAAAGAATTTTGGAAATGATGTATTTCCTCACTCCTTTCATGTATACATGCAACTTTCTCTTTACATTGTAAGTTACAACACTCACAAATAGTGGAATTTATTTCCCATATTTAAAATACATGCTGTCAGTTTCAGCTAAGCTCCCAGAAGTACACTGTCGCCCTCATCTGAGAGGTGTAGGACTGCAAGGGAATGTGTTTGGGGGTTCAAGAAGTCACTTATGACTTCTTGACACATGAAGGTGGAGATGCCTGTTTGATGTCCCAGCAGAGAGCTGAAGAGACAACTGGACACAGAATTGTGGAGCTCAGGGGCGAGGCCTGCAGGGGACGTGGAGTCATACAGGTGGGCTAAAGCGGTGAGATGATAAGGTTCAAGGTGATTTGATTCTAATCTCATTTTTTCCTTCTTGTGCTTTTGTTTTTTACATTTTTGGAGGACTGAAATCCATTTAAAATTCAAATTACAGCTAAGCACCTCCCTGTCCTAAAGGAAAAGCCACACACTCCATTGTGCCCATCATTTCAGGGGTCAGTGTCACTCTGAGCTTTTCTGGTCTTCTCCCTCACCTGTATATTACAGGTGGGCTCAGTGAGGTTCACAGCGGGGGACGTTTCACCAAGTTATCCTGAGAAGCTCTGAGTTTTGTAAGAAGGAGGAGTCGCTGATTTTCATGTGATGGCCAGGAAGGGTCAACAGGCTGCGTTGGTCATCTTCCTCTATAAAATTCCAGGACTGGCCACATGTGGTGGCTCACTCCTGTAATTCCAGCACTTTGGAAGGCTGAAGCAAGTGGGTCAGTTGAGCCCAGGAGTTTGAGACAAACCTGGCAACATGGTGAAACTCCATCTCTAACGAAAGTACAGAAAATTAGCCAGACATGGTGGTGTGCATCTGTGGTCCCAGCTATTTGGCAGGCTGACTGGGGGGGATCACTTGGGCCTCAGAGGCAGAGGTTGCTGTGAGCCAAGATCGTGCCACTGTACTTAAGCATGGGTGACAGAGTAACACTCCATTTCAAAAAAAGGAAAAATATTCCAGGACCATCTTTTATATCCCCAAGCAAAAGAAATGTCTCTTTCAATGTCCAAAATTCTGATGGCACGAATCCTAAACATGTAAATATTTTCCCAGAAAAATGACAGTAATACATTCAAAATAAAAACAATTGTGAACACATAGCTATAGGTTTTTAAAACACTGAAAGAGAGGCAGTGGTAGAAATAAGCTGTGAGCAAATGTTTTCTTCATGAACACGTGGGCTCTGCTGAAACAAGGTTCCAAGTCAATCCAGCCCATCCTTCAACATCTGCAAAGAATATTATGGACCAGAGGAACTTGAGGAGAATGTTTACTTAGAAGGTCACAGTTCACCATTTTATCAGATGACATAAGGAAAGAAAGTAGAGTAACAGGCTACTTGAACTAAATTTTTATGTTAGCATAAAGAAAATAGGTCCTAGGGTCAGGCGTGGTGGCTCATACCTGAAATCCCAGCACTTTGGGAGGCCAGGGCAGGTGGATCACCTAAGGTCAGGAATTCGAGACCAGCCTGACCAACATGGAGAAACCCTGTCTCTACTAAAATTACAAAATTAGCTGGGTGTGGTGGTGCATGCCTGTAATCCCAACTATTTGGGAGGCTGAGGCAGGAGAACCACTTGTACCCTGGAGGCGGAAGTTGCGGTGAGCTGAGATCATGCCATTGCACTCCAGCCTGGGCAACAAGAGTGAAACTCCATCTCAAAAAAAAAAAAAAAAGAAAGAAAGAAAATAGATTCTTGACATCTTTATCAAATATGCATTGAAACAACCTAAAATCATTTATCAGGTACTAGAAAGTGTTTCCAATATGTGGTACAGACTAGAAAGCATGCAGTCTTCAATGTAAACTGGACACAATAAATTTCATAGAGAAACTATATTAAAATGGTTAAAAATATATACATCTAATGAAATGTGGGGTCAAAGGAGAAAATTTTGAACACATAGATAAAAACAATGATGTGAGGTTGGGTGTGGTGGCTCACGCCTGTAATCCCAGCACTTTGGGAGGCCAAGGTTGGCAGATCACAAGATCAGGAGTTTGAGACCAGCCTGGCCAATATGGTGAAACCCTGTCTCTACTAAAAATACAAAAATTAGCCTGGCATGGTGGCGGGGGCCTGTAGTCCCAGCTACTCGGGAGGCTAAGGCAGGAGAATCACTTGAACCTGAGAGGTGGAGGTTGCAGTGAGCCGAGATCGCGCCATTGCACTCCAGCCTGGGCAAAAGAATGAGACTCCATCTCAAAAAAAAAAATGATATGAGCTCATAAAATTCTACCAAAGCTTATTTGAGAAGTAGTTATTTATTTTATGTTTTTGAGATGGAGTCTTGCTCTGTCACCCAGGCTGGAGTGCAGTGACATGATCTCAGCTCACTGCAGCCTCTGCCTCCTGGGTTCAAGCGATTCTCCTGCCTCACCCTCCTGAGTAGCTGGGATTACAGGCACCAGCCACCACACCCAGCTAACCTGTATTTTAGTCCAGATGAGGTTTCACCATGTTGGCCAGGCTGGTCTCAAACTGTTGCTGTTACATTGGGACTGAATGGAGGAGGACGAACACGGGAATGGAGTATGGAGTCAAAGACAAAAGTATCTGTTTGCAAGAAGGGATCGGGGGCTCTTTGCTTCTAGAGAACAAGAGCCCTGAGCTTCTACAGCCCTTCATATTTATTGGGTAGAGTAAACAGAGAGGAAGGGGTAACTGTCAGTCAACTATTTAATTTAACACAGGTGTAAGTGATTGCCTTTTTTGTTCAACAGGCTCCAGATGTTTCTGTAGATAATTTCAAGGAACATGGCACCTGGGATGTGACTGCCCTCAGCATTCCTTCTGGTGGCAGATTCAGTTGTCACCTTGCCAACTGCTTTCACAAGAACAGTTTGCTGTTTGCTCATACAGCCTCCAATGGTATACTGAGTTGACAACCCTCATTCCTTCAGTGTCCAACATCTCCCCCTTTATGTTTTTGCATTAATTGAATAAAGGTAATTCCAGGCTGTGCAACTTTCAATTGCCAGTTGGTGGTCCACCCAGTCTTACAGACTATAAACAGAAAACAGAGACATAATAACATTGTTCCTATAAGTCTAAAAGAGACATTAAGGTGATGTTTAACGTAGGTCTAAGGATTGAGACTTTCTAAACCCTGCTGGAATTCTGTCCAAGTTTCTAAAGAAGGTTGAAACTCTTGAGTCTGCTTATTCAAGTCAAGAATTTTACTTTGTATTTCACTGATATCAAAAGCGACATTGGATGTAAAAGCCCCCTGAATATGGGCTTTTACAAGGTCCCATGGATATTCGATTTGGTTATATTCCAAATTGGCTACACAAATGTGAGTATGGTTAAAATGACAGTGCAATTGCTGTTGCCATTGTAAACTCTGTATTTGCTCCCCTAACCACAAAACAGTAGTCTTTAACATTGCCACCTAAGTTTGTAATTCAGTATTAATTTGATTTTGAAGCATCCATGCCTGGTCGGCTGTGCACATCCAATTTTCCATATATTGGGCTGTTTAAACAGAGCTGTGCAGTGCTACTGAGGACACCACAACAGAGGTTATTAGTGTGACTAAGGAAACAATAGCAAAAATTACCATACCCAAGACTCTAGGAGCATGATGAGTGAGCTGAGTGAGAAGGAGTTTCACAAAGTGTAAAGCCAGGGCAGCAGCCCAAGGTTCAGACAGATTGACAGGGACCCATATCCAAGAATGACATTTACCTTCTTAGAAAAACACAAACTGTAAATTGAGTGGTAATATTCCTTACAAAGGTAACATTAAAACTGTGTTAAGTAACATTATTAGTATTGGAGAGTGTCCCAACCCAGATGCTGCCGTTCGTAAATAGGAGTGCTGCTTTCCATATCGACTCCTGAATTGGGCCCCTCTTTCCTTGATGCTGCCACTGAGGCAAAGGCGAGCTAAAGCCTGCTCTGTGCCAAGCAAGCCGCACAGCCGACTGGGATTGAATCCCAGTGTGATGTAGTGAAGAGATGTTGAAGGTCTGCCACCAGTGCCAGCGAAGTTTGTGCCATGAGGTCTGATTCTCATCTCTTCCATCTAATTAACCACGGGGTCCCCAGTCACCAATGTCTCCCATTAGCATAGACTGTTGTCTAGCTAAAGGACCAAGACATTGGGTCCAAGGAGGGGGGTGGTGAGAACTATCAAAGGGAGCCCATTCTGTATAATCAATACAATTTTGGTGATGGGGGCGGGAGTGGTTGATGAGCACACTAGTTATATTAATAGAGCTAAGGCCTAATAAATACATAACTTTTCCATGGTGACTCAACCATGCCTGGGGTTGGACTGCAAGACAACTGTGGTTGAGTGACATATCTTTGGTGATGCATAAAGGGAGTCCCTCCAATGGGGCGGTATAACTGATGCTATTGTTGTGAGAGTTTAATTGCTCTATATCAGGGGGAGTTAGGGGCCCTAGAGCCCACGCTCCCTGATCATGATATACCTCAGGAGGAATGTCACTCCAGAGTACAGGTCACACTACAGGGTGATTAGGAACATATGCCCAGTATGTTTTGGCCTCTACACAGGGGAAACATACCTCACAGGACACTACTGCTAACATGGCCAAGCACATGGATGCTCCAGCATTTTCTCAGCTTCCTGCTTTGTTTTCTTGATCTGTCCCCATGTTATGGGGGTGGATGTCAGTGTGACTCCAGTCGGCCCTTGCTCCATCTTTGCATTCAAATTCAGCTGGCTCACGACTCCTACTGGAGGGACCAGGTCCACGGTTGGCCAACGTGGGTCCTGCTAGTCTCCCATTTCATGGTCGCACACACCTGGAGGGCACCCACATGGTTTGTCCATCTCCTGTAAAAACACAAGCATACTCTCGTCCCCACATCAGCAATTCCACCGGGCCTTTCCACTGTCCCTCATCTGGAGATTTCCATAACACCTTTGGGTAAACTTGCCTCTTTTCCTCTAACACTTGCCAATGTCGTTCTGCTAGTCTTACCGTCTGTACCAGGAGTCAAAAAGTTTAAAGTAAGCAAGGCTAATGTAATTTTGCCTGAGGTGGTAGTTGGTCTCCTATTCCCCCTTTTTGTTTTTTCAACATACGTTGTACCGTTTGATGTACCCACTCAGTAAGGCCTTGCCCTCGAGGATTGTAAGGAATTCCTGTTTTATGGGTGACTGCCCATAACTAAAAAATTTTGAAAGGCATCACTAGCATAAGCAAGTTCATTGTCAGTTTTCAATTGTTTAGGGACCCCCCTATATGGGCAAATGACAACAATGTCACCAGGCATGACCAGCTATTTCCCCTGTTTGGCATGTGGCATGCAGCATATGGGAGTAGGAGTCTATAGTCACATGGACATAGCTGAGTTTGCCAAAGGTGGCTATATTGGTAACATCCATCTGTCAGATTTCATCTGGAGCCAAACCTCGTGGGGTGCATCCTTCTACACGGGCAACACCAGGGACATACTGGCAAGTGGGGCAGGCTTGCACAATAGCTTAAGCTTGGCTGCAAGGCAGATGAAACATACGAGTAAGTGCAGAGTTGTTTTGATGCAGTAATGCATGAGAAGCTTGGGCTTGTTGAAATATAGAACCGATCAGTTTATCTGCTCTATCATTACCTAGAGATAGTAGTCCAGGGAGTTGTGTGTGAGAGTGAATATGAGAAATATGAAAAGGGGAAGCATGAGAGCAAATAGCTTATTGGAGTCTTAGAAACAAGTTAAGCAGTTCTTGTTCTAGGGTACTCTTAATAGTGGCAGTCTCAATGTGACTGGCTACATTCACAACATAGGCTGAATCACAGACAATATTAATAGGAGATAAATCTGGAAGCTCTAAAACCAGAATAACTGCGATTAATTCTGAACATTGAGCTGAAACTGCAGAGGTCTTTATTGTTTGAGTGTGTTTAGGTCCAGAAACAGCTGCGTGAAATTTGGAGGAACCATCAGTAACATAGGTCTGTCCACCTGAAATAGGCCTGTGATGAGTAATCACAGGAAGGATGAAAGGGTGAACTTTAGAAAATTGCGAGATTCTTTTTTTTTGATTGCTTTTGTCACCCAGGCTGGAGTGCAATGGCACGATCTTGGCTCACGGCAACCTCTGTCTCCCAGGTTCAAGCAATTCTCCTGCCTCAGCATCCCAAGTAGCTGGGATTAAAGGTGCCCGCCACCACACCAGGCTAATTTTTTAATTTTTAGTAGAGATGGGGTTTCACCATGTTTTTCAGGCTGGTCTCGAACTCCTGACCTCAGGCGATCTGCCTGCCTCAGCCTCCCAAAGTGCTGGGATTACAGGCGTGAGCCACTGAGCATGGCCTAAAATTGCAAGATTTTGTCTGATGGATAATGGTTACCTATTATTCCCACAAAATCTGCGAGAGTGATTTGCCAACCAGTCAACATCTCCCAAGCTGCAGCCTGCTGTCAGGAATCCAAAGGAACAATAATTTTATTAGGATCATATCCTGTAAGCATTCCTGATCTATGCCTGCCTATTGTCATAAGTTGTATAATTAAAGAAAGATAAACTTACAAAGTTTTCACTGTCTGATTGGATAAAAAGAGCCATTCTATTACCATTATGGATTTCTCTATGAATTGGCCTAAAAGTCCTGTTGGACAATGAGGGGTAGGAAGAATAAAAAAAGCAAAGGCTTTTGTGATTTCAGCCGAAAGGCCTGTCGTGTTGAAGCATCTGCTCTACAAGCTGTAACTCAGCTTCTGCCTCTTTAGTAAGTTGCCAAGGGGAATCTAATGAAGAATCTCCTTGGAGGGTTTGATAAAGGTGTATGAGTTGGTAAGTAGCAATACCTAGCATCGTGCACAGCCAATTAATATCCCCTAATAATTGTTGGAAACCGTTCAGAGTTTGTAACCTGTCCCTATGGACGGCTACTTTTTGAGGCTGAACATTTCTTTCAGTAAAAATAGTACCTAAGTACTGGTATGGGGCGGTTCTTTGTACCTTTTCAGGAGCTATTTTGAGATTCCATTCAGTTAAGGCCTGCTTTATTTCTCTGAATAACTGGTGTAATATTTGAACTGTAGGAGCGGCCAAAAGAATATCATCCATATAATGAACGATGTAGGCAGTGGGAAACATATTCTGAGAGTCCTTTAATGCTCTTCCTACAAAATGCTGACTTAACGTAGGTGTTGAGCATGCCCTGGGGTAAAACTTTCCATTGATAATGAGAGACAGGCTCTCTATGATTAATAGAGGGCACAGAGAAGGAAAATCGAGGCTTATCTTTCTCATGTAAGGGTATAGTATAAAAGCAGTCTTTAAGATCTATTACTACGAGAGGCCAATCTCTAGGAATGGCTGTTGGGAATGGTAGACCTTGCTGTAGTGCACCCATCGGTTCAATCTGTGCATTAATAGCTCTCAAATCATGAAGCAGTCACCATTTTCATGACTTTTTTGGGATCACAAATACTGGTGAATTCCAGGGGCTGACTCCTCTGTATGTCCTGAATCCAGTTGCTCTTTTACCAGCTGATGGAGTTGAGTCAGTTTCTTCTGTGATAGGGGGCATTGATTCACTGCCACACAGGTTTATCAGTCACAGGGAGGCTCACTGGGGCTCAGAGCGGGGACATTTTCACCAAGTTACCCTGAGAAGGTCTGAGATGAGTGAGAAGGTGTGTCTGAATTCTTACATGGAGGCCTGAAAGAGCTAATGGGAAGGGTTGGTCTTTATCACCCCTATCCTTGAAAATTAGAGAAGCATCTTTCATATACCTGGGCTAAAGAAACTTCTTTTGCAACGTTCTGATGCCACTGACTCCCAACATTTAATTCTTCCTTACAAGAAAATCACAGTAACATTTATAAACTGCAGAAGTGTGAACACACAGCTATTGACTGTGAAAACAGTGAAAGAAGTTCAGCCGTAGAGCTAAGACATAAGCAAATTTTTTCAATCAAGAATACATGGGTGGCCAGGCATGGTGGCTCAGGCCTGTAATCCCAGCACTTTCAGAGGTCAAGGTGGGTGGCTCACCTAGGGTCACGAGTTCAAGACCAACCTGGCCAACATGGTGAAACCGCATCTCTACTAAAAATACAAAAAATTACCTGGTAGTGGTGGTGGGCACCTGTAATCCCAGCTATTCAGGAGGCTGAGGCAGGACAATTGCTTGAACCCGGGAGACAGCAGTTGCAGTGAGCTGAGATCTCGCCATTGCACTCCAGCCTGAGCAACAAGAGTGAAAATACATCTCAAAAAAAAAAAAAAAAGAAGCTGGGCGCGGTGACTCACGCCTGTAATCCCAGCACTTTGGGAGGCCGAGGCGGGTGGATCACCTGAGTGGGTTCAAGACCAGCCTGGCCAACATGGTGAAACCCCATCTCTACTAAATATACAAAAATTAGCCGGGTATGGTGGCAGGCACCTGTAATCCCAGCTACTCAGGGGGCTAAGGCAGGAGAATCGCTTGAACCCGGGAGGCAAAGGTTGCAGTGAGCTGAGATCACGCCACTGCACTCCAGCCTGGGCAACAAGAGCGCAACTTCATCTGAAAATGAAAAAAGAGAGAAATGGAGAAGAACCAGAAAGAAAAAAGAGGAAATCTATTACACAATGAGAAAAAAAGCGCTTTTGATATTCCTTTTGTTTTTTATTTTTTGTTTGTTTGCTTTTTTGAGATGGAGACTCACTCTGCCACCCAGGCTGCAGTGCAGTGGCACAATTTTGGCTCACTGCAACCTCTACCTCCTAGGATCAAGTGATTCTCATGCCTCAGCCTCCCAAGTAACTGGAACTACAGATGCACGCCACCACGCCTGGCTAACTTTTGTATTTTTAGTAGAGACAGGGTTTCACCATGTTGACCAGGGTGCTTTTGAACTCCTGACTTTAGGTGATTCGCTCACTTCGGTCTCCCAAAGTGCTGGAATTACAGTCATGAGCCACCACGTCCGGCTTTGATGTCCCTTTTAAAAAGTATTATGGGCTGGGTGTGGTAGCTCACACCTGTAATGCCAGCACTTTGGAAGGCCAAGGCGGGTGGGTCAATTGAGGTCGGAAGTTCAAGACCAGCCTAACATAGAGAAACCCTGTCTCTGCTAAAAATACAAAATTAGCTGGGCATGGTGGTGCATGCCTTTAATCCCAGCTACTTGGGAGACTAAGGCAAAAGAATCGCTTGAACCGGGGAAGTAGATGTTGTGGTGAGCCGAGATTGCGCCATTGCACTCCAGGGTGGGAAACAAAAGCGAAACTCCGTCTGAAAAAAAAAAAAAGTACTATGTAGGAGAAGCGTGGTGGCTCATCCCTGTAATCCCAGTACTTTGGGAGTCCAAACAGGAGGATCATTTAAGCCCGGGATTTTGAGACCAGCCTGGGAAACACAGTAAAACCCCATTTCTACAAAAAACAAAAACAAAAAAACAAAAAAAAACAAAACTAGCCGGGCTTGGTGGCTCACGCCTGTGGTCCCAACTACTTGGTAGGCTGAGGTAGGAGGACAGCTTGAGCCCAGGAGGTCGAGGCTACAGTTAGAGATCACGCCACTGCACTCCAGCCTGGGTGATAGAGCCAGACACTGTTTCAAAATATTATTTAATTAATTAAATTAAAAGTCACATGTAATAACAGAAAGTGCTTTTGTCTCCCCACTTCACTGCCCCACTTCCTATGCCACCCTGGGAAAAGGGAAGAGAGTGACTCACAACTGAATAAGTCACTGCCCTCTGGCTGAATAGGGATTCCAAGTGGAAGCTGACCTCTGATGCCAAGATTTATAGAATGTACATGACTCATAGATAGGAATTTTAAAATTCTCAATCTCATCTGTATAATTTAAACAAGTTTTTAGTTATTAGATTATATACACAGAAGTCAACATGTCACACTAATCATATCCAATGAACTCACCCACTCATCTGAACCCAAAGTCCCCACCCCTTTTATTCTTTTGAGACAGGGTCTCACTCTGTTGACCAGGTTGGAGTGCAGTGGCATATCTCGGCTCACTGCAGCCTGGATCTCCTGGGCTCAAGTGATCCTCCTGCCTCAGCCTCCAGAGTAGTTGGGATTACAAGTGCGCACCATCCCCTTCTTTGGTCTATTTCTTCTCTTCCACCTCTTCTGCTCCATCCTCACAACTTACTTAACCTCTTGTTGCTTCTTCTTCCCAGTCTTTCGATCGTCCTCAATCTCCATACATTACCACCTCTTCTCCCACCTCTGCGCCTCCTCTGCTCTCCCTGTTAAACTCTCTCTTCCCTGTTAAACCCCCTGTCCCCACTCTCTGGCACCCCCGACCTCCAGGTGTCCTCCCTGCTGTGGTTCTCCCTCTTGCCACCAGCACCACTCTGCTCTGTCTGCCCTGGCTCCAAATCCCTCCTCCTCTCCCTCACTCTGATGAGCCAGGTCCCCCTCTTTGCTGCCCCTCTCCCTACCTTGCTGTCCTTCATCTCTCTGTACATCTAGCTTCTCTCCACATTTCTCCAGTTTTCTCCTCCTGCTATCTTAACTTTTTCTTTTCACTCTTGCTGTCTCTTGGCAAATCCCTCACCCATCCTCCACCTTGCCATCTGTTATGGGCCTTTCTCATTGTTCTATTCTCTGTCTCGAGTTTTCTACTGCCCTTGCTCGGTCTCCTGATTCCTTTGGCCCACACAATCACAGGAGAGTTTTGAGTAAGACGCCTGCATCCCAGAGGAGTGCATTTTCCAGGGGCTGGGGCTGGGCAGGCAAGAACACCCCTTGTCACAGGACAAGCCCTGGGCACCTCCCCAACGCGGACTCAGAGGAAGCGGCGACTGCTGAGGGGAGACCTGGCGAGCAGCAGGGCCCGGCACGAGGAGGGAGTTAGGGGGCGACGGCTCCTTAAGACAAGGGTGGGGTCTGCAGGATCCCAGGACCAGGCAGAGGATGCGGCCTCCTCGGGACGGGGGAGGCGGCGCTGCGCTCCAGGGACCGACGAGGGTGAGGGTGGGAGGCGCCCAGGGTGGGAATCCACCTCTCGGGTGAGGACTTTAAAAAGCACGGGGTGGAGGGAGTCAGAAAATAGTTACAAACAGGAAAACTACGAGATACGAAGTGTATACGTTGCCCTATAGCAGAAAGACCGGGGACGGGTCTAGCCTCAGGGCGACTTTAAACCCAAAAGGAAGCGACTTCTGGACTCTCACCGGGACGTCAAATTTTGCTCTGGGGATTAGCCGGGCCTGGTGGCGCATGCCTGTAATCCCAGCTACTCAGGAGGCTGAGGCAGGAGAATCGCTTGAACCCAGGAGGCGGAGGTTGCAGTGAGCCAAGACCGAGCCACTGCACTCCAGCCTGGCGACAGAGCGAGACTCCGTCTCAAAAAAAAAAAAAAAAAAAAAAAAAAATTTGCTCTGGGCGAAGGAAGAATGGTAGAAATTTCCAGGTATGTGGGGACCCCACGTCCCCTGGGACAGAAGTCCCAGGGACCTGCGGAGCGCAGACATAACACAACACAGAGCAAAACTCACCGCTGCGGTGACTTTCACTCCACGCGATCCGCTTCCCGGTTTACGCTAAACTGGGCGCTCGGGACAGAAGCCAGGTCTCGGCGGGACATGGCAGGGGGTGGGCGGGGCCTGGGCGAGGTGGGGGCGGGGCGCGAGGCGGAGAGACCTTCCCCTATAGAACCGGCAGGGGGCGGGGCGCGAGGCGGAGAGACCTTCCCCTATAGAACCGGCAGGGGGCGGGGCGCGAGGCGGAGAGACCTTCCCCTATAGAACCGGCAGAGGGCGGGGCGGGATCTGTGAGTCTCTCAGCCTCGGCGTGTTTTTGGGTTTTGGAGACGAGACCTGCCAGGAAAGCTGAGGCATGATTCAAAAGCCCTGGAACTGTCTGGAAGGGGAATGCAAACCAGAATGTGAAATGCAAAGCCCTGCCTGGGCGGAACGTATTATTTCATGCTGACGACCACAGAACAGAATAGAAATCCTCTCCCTTTCTATTCTCCACTCACTCAAGAGGGAGAGTCCACCCTGTGTCAGCTTCAGAGACTTCCCTAGAGCCACCGCCTGGGATGCGGGATGGAGTGCTCAGGCCAGGGAGGAGTGAGGTCACCACCTGCTGGTTAAACACAGCAGAGATGCGGGCGCACAAGGGGGCGTGGGAGGGCGCGGGGTGGGATCCTGAGTTCCCAGCTACTCAGGAAGCAGCGGCGGGAGGATCGCTGAGCCTGGGGCTCCAGGCCAGCCTGGGCGATAAAGTAACACCCCCTCCCGCAGGACTCCCTTCCTCGTCACTCTCTCTCTGTTTTTTGTTTTGTTTTGTTTTTAAACTTTCGTAAATAAAATTTTTTATGGTGTGAGACAGGGATCCAACATTATTTTTTTCCATGTGGATATCCAGTTACTTGTCCCAGCACATTTGTGGAAGAGCTCTATTACTTTCTTTTTTCACTTACTTTTTTCTTTTCTTTTTCTTTTTTATTTATTTATTTATTTTTTTTGAGACAGAGTATTTGTCTGTCGCCCAGGCTGCAGTGCAGTGGCGAGATCTCAGCTCACTGCACACTCTGCCTCCTGGGTTGAAGCGATTCTCCTGCCTCAACCTCCAGAATAGCTGGCATTACAGGCGTGCGCCCCCATGCCCGGCTAAGTTTTGTATTTTTTGGTAGAGACGAGGTTTAACAGTGTTGGCCAGGCTGGTCTCGAACTCCTGACTTTAAGTTATCTGCCTGCCTCAGCCTCCCAAAGTACTGAGTTTACAGGCGTGAGTTACCGTGCCTGTCCCAAGAAATACCCTTTTTCTTTCTTTCTTTTTTGAGACGGAGTCTCGTATTGTCACCCCAGCTGCTGTGCAGTGGCGCGTTCTTGGCTTGCTGCAACTTACGCCTCCCGGGTTCAAGCGATTCTCCTGCCTCAGCCTCCCGAGTAGCTAGGAATACAGGCGCCTGCCACCATGCCTGGCTAATTTTTTGTCTACTAAAAAGTAGAGACCAGGTTTCACTATGTTGGCCAGGCTGTTCTTGAACTCCTGACCTCGTAATCTGCCCCACTCGGCCTCCCAAAGTGCTGGGATTACAGGCGTGAGCCACCGCGCCTGGCCAAGAAATACTCTTTACTTCACTTTTTAAATGTTGAGAAAATATAATTGAAAACAAAAAAAATCTTCCCCTAAATGAGATATCATCTCCACCACGATAATAAAAGACTTTGCCACATACATCACTTTCATATTGTTTCTCTCCCTCTCCCAAATGGATTATCGGATGTTTCCTTAAGAGTGAGCTACAATTAAAGGCTTTGCCACTCTCACTACATTGGAAAGATTTTTCGGCCGGGCGCGGTGGCTCACGCCTGTAATCCCAACACTTTGGGAGGCCGAGGCGGGTGGATCACTAGGTCAGGAGATCGAGACCATTCTGGCTAACATGGTGAAACCCCGTCTCTACTAAAAATACAAAAAAATTAGCCAAGCGTGGCGGCGGGCGCCTGTAATCCCAGCTACTCGGGAGGCTGAGGCAGGAGAATGGCGTGAACCCGGGAGGCGGAGCTTGCAGAGAGCCGAGATTGCGCCACTGCACTCCAGCCTGGGCGACAGAGCGAGACTCCGTCTCAAAAAAAAAAAAAAAAAAAAAAGGAAAACAGCAAGCTATCGTGTTTCCTACCTTCAAAACACGGAAATTTTCAAAACTTGCAGGATAAAATACCACAACAAAACATTTATCATGCCGAGCTCAGTGGCTCACGCCTGAAATCCCAACACTTTGGGAGTCTGAGGAGGGAGGATCACTTGAGGCCAGGAGTTCCAGACCACCTGGCCAATATGGTGAAACCCCATCTCTACTAAAAATAAACAAACAGCCAGGCTTGGTGGTGCACACCTGTAGTCCCAACTACTCTGAACGCTGAGGCATGAGAATCCCTTGAACCTGGGGGGCGGAGTCTGCAATGAGCTGAGATTGCTCCACTGCGCTCCAGTCTGGGTGACAGGCGCATTCATCAAAGAATTTTTTCTAAAATCTCAAAATGGTGTCTGAATACATTTCTGTAGGACTTACGCTGACTTGCCACAGAACTCTCAGCAGTGATTCCCCATTGAGCCATGGGAACGGGTGGAAGGCTGGACAGGAAAGGGGATGCGTAAGTGAACTTTTCTTTGAATTTTTACTACACAACACATATATACATTGTGTGGTCTTTAAAATTTAAAAAAATTAATAATGGGTAGAAGAAGAATATGGCTCCATCTTCTCTAATGATAAGTTCTGCTCTGACGTCAGAACAAAATTATAATCATTTTTACCTAAAATGCCTGCTTCATCAGAGTTCCTGCAAAAAAAAAAAACACTTTTTTTTTCTTTTTTTTGAGACAGAGTCTTGCTCTGTCACCCAGGCTGCGGTGCAGTGGCGAGATCTCGGCTCACTGCAACCTCCACCTGCCGGATTCAAGCGATTCTCCTGCCTCAGTCTCCCCAGTAGGTGGGACTACAGGCTGGCCTGCCACCACGCCCGGCTAATTTTTTGTATTTTTAGTAGAGACGGGGTTTCACCGTGTTTCGATCTCCTGACCTCGTGATCCGCCCGCCTCGGCCTCCCAAAGTGCTGGGATTACAGGCGTGAGCCGCCGCGCCCAGCCAAAAAAGAAAACTTTAATAACTTTAAACATCAGCCATCACACGGTGTGTGTGCGTGTGTGTGTGTGTGTGTAAATAATCTAGGTAAACTACAAAATTAGCCGGGTAAATGTAATGGAATACATGCTTGTAAACAAACTTGTCATAATTTGTGATCTAAGGTTATTATTTGACATTAGCAATCTGGGTAATTTCCAGTTTAAGAATTACAGGGGCCGTGGTGGCTCAACCCTGTAATCCCAGCACTTTGGGAGGCCGAGGCGGGCGGATGCACGAGGTCAGGAGATCAACACCAGCCTGGCCATCATGGTGAAACCCCGTCTCTACTAAAAATACAAAAATCAGCTGGCCGTGGTGGCGCGCGCCTGTAGTCCCAACTACTCGGGAGGCTGAGGCAGGAGAATCGCTTGAACCCAGGAGGAGGAGGTTGCAGTGAGCAGAGATTGCCCCACTACACTCCAGCCTACGCGATAGAGCCATAGAGCGAGACTACGTCTAAAAACAAACAAACTCAGTCTAAAAACAAACGAACAAAAAAACAACAACAAAAAAAAAAAGAAGAAGAGAAAATACAGTTACAAATTTTCTAAATAAATGTCCTGAGAAAAGAAAGGAAGGGAAAGTTGTCCTTCACCTCCAGTGTGCAATAGGCAGTTCCACATGCAGGTCACCCTCCATGTTCCATTATCCGCTCAAACAACACAGGACCTCGCTTAAACAAGCCGTTTTCTGGGGTTTTTTTGTTTGCTTGATTGTTTGTTTGAGACGGAATCTTGCTCTGTCGCCCAGGCTGGAGTGCAGTGGCGCGATCTCAGCTCGCTGCAAGCTCCGCCTCCCGGGTTCACGCCATTCTCCTGGCTCAGCCTCCTGAGTAGCTGGGACTACAGGCGCCCGCCACCATGCCCGGCTAATTTTTTATATTTTTAGCAGAGACGGGGTTTCACCGTGTTAGCCAGGATGGTCTCGATCTCCTGAACTCGTGATCCACCCGCCTCGGCCTCCCAAAGTGCTGGGATTACAGGAGTGAGCCACCGCGCCCGGCCCCTTAAGCTGTTCTAATTCTCAGTCCTGGCTGCAACCAGCGCCACACTCCACCCTTTTACCGAGGTCCTTGCCCCTCGCCCTCCCCCTACCCCAGCTACCCCAGGCTGCGGGGAGCTCGCCCCGCCTGCAGGACGGGCGTCTTTACCTGCTCACAAAAGGCACTTTGCATTTAAACCATTTTCAAATTAAGAAGAAAAACAGGTAATTCCAGCACTTTCGGAGGCCGAGGAGGGCGGATCACCTGAGGTAAAGAGTTAGAGACCAGCCTGGCCAACATGGCGAAACTCCGTTTCTACTAAAAATACAAAAATTAGCCCGGCTTGGTGGTGGGCACCTGTAATCCCAGCTACTCGGGAGGCGGAGGCAGGAGAATCGCTTGAACTCGGGAGGTGAAGGTTGTGGTGAGCCCAGATCACAACATTGCACTCTAGCCTGGGCAACAAGAGCGAAACTCCGTCTTAAGAAAAAAAAAGAAAAGAAAAGCTACCAGTTACACAGCAGGGCTCCTCAGAAAGCAGGGGGAACACCTGTTTCAAGTTTTTCTTGTATAGGGGCCTACGTAAAAGCTAACTGCCGGTGGGCTGATGGTGTGACAAAACTTACTACTTTGTTGATTTAAAACGATCCTTGGTATTTTAGTGTGCAAGTACTTGAAAGCATGGCTGTAATTATCTTAGAAGCACACATTGTCATGAGATATTGGGTCATGTGGACATTGTGTTTCTGTAGGAGTTTGTCCTTGCAAATATCATTAAGCTGCTTTCCTTAACCATTAACATCTTATGACTTTGACTCGCGCAGTAAGGAGTACGTTTTCCTAGTTTTAATGGACTTGAGCTTTGACATCCTGGTTCTCCTAGGTTCCTGCTTAACAGTGTATCCACTCATGCACCACAGAGTCTCAGCACCATTATGGAAGACACCACTCTAGTAATATATCAAAGACAGACTGAGCATCTACTCCAATAACATAAATAGTAATAGCAATGCTACGGAAAATATTAGGAAGTTTAATGTATGTATACAATTGATCATTTATTATTTTCAGTTTTATATTGGCTAAAACTACATTGGATGGGTTATTTTAATCAAATATTAGAAATATCTTTCAAAACTGCGATCTAATATAAACACACACAGTTTGAGACCATTTCCTCTATGTTCAATATATATGAAAGAGTTCAGATTTATGAACTTATTTTATGTTTTTCATTAGATCTAGTTTGTTTTCTATCTTGATTTCTTCTGTGTTCATGAGCTTGTGAACCAAAAGTATCTAATAGGTCTCAATTAATTTAGAAAGTTTACTTTGCCAAGGTTAACGATGTGTTTTTTGCAGCCAATGTGGTCCAGATGCAGCTGGGTTTTATACATTTTAGGAAGACAGGAGACATAAATCAATAAATGTAAGATGTACATTGGTTTGGTCTTGAAAGGCAGAGTAATGAAAATCAGAGACTTCCAGGTTATAGGTAGACAACAGATAAATGATAGCATTTTTAAAATTTATTTTTATTTATTTATTTATTTATTTATTTATTTTTAGAGTCTTGCTCTGTCGCTCAGGCTGGAGTGCAGTGGCGCAATCTCAGCTCACTGCAGCCTCTGCCTCCCGGGTTCAAGCGATTCTCCTGCCTCAGCCTCCTAAGTATCTGGGATTACAGGCACACGCCACCATGACTGGCAAAATGTTTAAATTCACCTATAGCCTGAAACCAACCCATCCCGCTTTGAGTTGCCCCACCTTTCTGGACCAAACCAATGTATTTGTTAAATGTATCTCATTGATGTTTCATGCCTCTCTAGAATGTACAAAACCAAGCTGTGCCCCCAACCACCTGTGGCCCATGTTCTCAGGACCTCCTGAGGACTGTGTCATGGGCCAGCTCACTCATATTTGGCTCAGAATAAATCTTTTCCAGTATTTTACAGAGTTTGACTCTTTTCATCAACACTAATATTGCTATGTCATTAATTTCTAAATATATTGTAATTTCAAATTCACCATGTGCATTCTGTAATAAGACAAATTTCATTTTAAAATTGTAACGTATTTTAGATATTTTCTTTGTTTTCTGTTTCTCAATGTTCTGTCACGTGTGGATAGCAAAGCCAATAAAATACTCTTCAGAAGTCATTTAGATTTATTTTCCCTTAGAGAAAAAATAATTTTGCAATATTTCTAAAGATAAATGGCAGGCAAGTTATTTTCTTTCATAGGAACTCTCAAGAAAGGACAACTCGGCCAGGCGCACTGGCTCATGCCTGTAATCCCAGCACTTTGGGAGGCAGAGGCAGGGGGATCACGAGGTCAAGAGGTCGAGGCCATCCTGGCTAACACGGTGAAACCCCGTTTCCACTAAAAATTAGCTGGATGTGGTGGTGCGCACTCTAGTCCCAGCTACTCAGGAGGCTGAGGCAGGAGAATCGCTTGAACCCGGGAGGCAGAGGTTGCAGTGAGCCAAGATTGCATCACTGCATTCTGGCCTGGAGACAGAGCAAAAAAAAAAAAAAAAAAAGGACAACTCAATTATTAAATGTTTACAAGTAGCCTCATTTCTTCAGGCAATAATTCCATGGCAATCTCCAACTTAACATGTAATATGGAAGTATGTTTTCCTGTCACAGCATTATAATTCTGTATTATGCAATATTGCTAAGTAGCCAAAAAAGAACACTGAGCCTGGACTTCCATGCTTCCATGCAAAAAAAAAAAAAAAGAATTGATTGTGACAGTTTTTGTTAACCTCAGAACGGTAGACAAGAAGCTGATTGTAGCGGAAAGTCATGATTCCATTTTGTATATGTAAAGTTTTGTTGCTTCTAGAAATGTCAAGGAAGCAACATGGACATACTGATTCACAAGAAATTTAAAAGAATATTTCCTGCCGGGTGTGGTGGCCCACACCTGTAATCCCAGCACTTTGGGAGGCCAAGTCGGGCGGATCACCTGAGGTCAGTAGTTCAAGACCAGCCTGACCAACATGGAGAAACTCCGTCTCTACTAAAAATACAGAATTAGCCGGGTGTGGTGGCACATGGCTCTAATCCCAGCTACTCAGGAGGTGGAGGCAGGAGAATCACTTGAACCCGGGAGGCGGAGGTTACAGTGAGCTGAGATAGCACCACTGCACTCCAGCCTGGGCAACAAGAGAGAAACTCCATCTCAAAAAAAAAAAAAAAAAAAAGGATTTTCTTAATCACAGAAAGATTTTGACATATACATCCTTGTAATATCATTATAAGAGAAATGCAAAGTAATTAGATGTTTCCAAAAAGTTAAAATAGAAACTACTTGTTTTTTGAAAAAGGGTCTCACTCTGTCACTCAGGCTGGAGTGCAGTGGTGCCATCTCAGCTCACTGCAGCCTCAACCTTTCTGGTTCAGGTGATCCTCCCACCTCAGCCTCCCTAGTAGCTGGGACTACAGGGCGTGCCACCACGCCCAGCTAATTTTTGTATTTTTTAGTAGAGATGGGTTTCGCCAAGTTGCCCAGGTTGGTTTCTGACTCCTGGGCTCAAGCCATCTGGCCGCCTTTGCTTTCAAACGTGCTGGGATTACAGGCATGAGCCACCATGCCTGAAACTACTTTCATCTATTGAGCTTATATTATAGCCAGTGTCACAGGAAAAAGCATGTGCATATTCTAACACAGACGGAACAATGAAAATGTTTACTACTGGGCCGGGCGCGGTGGCTCATGCCTGTAATCCCAGCACTTTGGGAGGCTGAGGCAGGTGGATCACAAGGTCAGGAAATCGAGACCATCCTGGCTAACATGGTGAAACCCCATCTCTACTAAAAATACAAAAAATTAGCTGGGCGCGGTGGTGAGCACCTGTAGTCCCAGCTACTCAGGAGGCTGAGGCAAGAGAATGGTGTGAACCCGGGAGGCGGAGCTTGCAGTGAGCCGAGATTGCACCACTGCACTCCGGCCTGGGCGAAACAGAGAGACTCCGTCTCAAAAAAAAAAAAAAAAAGAAAACTAAAAAGAAAATGTTTACTACTGTCAAAAAACAAATTTAGATATTGGTTAGATTTTATTCAAAAGGTATATTGCAATAGGGAAAATGCTCCAACCCCAAGATCTGCAAATATATGAGTTGCACAGAAAAGGGCTTCTCTTTTATAAGGAGAAGGAAGCAAGGTTAGAAAGCGCCAGGTACAGGGCAGTGGATAAGCATCTGCTGTGACCTATTCAGTGAATATTTTATCCTAAGGTCAGCTTACTCTTGGGATGGGACATTAAAAAGGCAAAGTTGGGCTGGACGCCATGGCTCATGCCTGTAATCCTAGCACTTTGGGACACCAAGGCGGGTGGATCGCTTGAGGACGGGAGTTCAAGACCAGCCTGGCCAACATGGTGAAACCCTGTCTCTACTAAAAATAAAAAAATTAGCTGGGGGTGGTGGCACAGGTCTGTAATCCCAGCTACTGGGGAGTTTGAGGCAGGAGAATCACTTCAACCCGGGAGGCAGAGCTTGCAGTAAGCCAAGACTCCATCTCTAAAACAAACAAACAAACAAAGAGAAGTTGTTCTCAATCACAGTGCCCATATGTGGTTAAGAAATAGAGGTTGTTAGCCGGGCACGGCGGCTCATGCCTGTAATCGCAGCACTTTGAGAGGCCAAGGCAGGTGGATCACCTGAGGTCAGGAGTTCGAGACCAGCCTGACCAACATGGAGAAACCCTGTCTCTACTAAAAATACAAAATTAGCCAGGCACAGTGGCGCATGCCTGTAATCCCAGGTACTCGGGAGGCTGAGGCAGGAGAATCACCTGAATCTGGGAGGCAGAGGTTGCAGTGAGCCGATATCATGCCATTGCACTCCAGCCTGGGCAACAAGAGTGAAACTGCCTCAAAAAAAAAAAAAAAAAAAAAAAAAAAAGAGAGAGAGAGAGAAATAGAGGTTGTTCTGAATTTCAATGGCCAAGAATAGTCCAACAGTCAGGGGCTTGGAGAAACAGGGAAGCCTAAGGTTTGAGTAAGTTAAGAAGCATTGTTTCCACCATCAGTGAGAAATCCTTGATGAGACAAACCGTGGGAATTTGGAGTTTTTTCTTATGTAAACAAAGAGGGTAAGCTTTGAAGTAAGCTGTTTCTAGGGAAAACAAAAACAAGGGATTGGGCAGGGGAGTGGTTTCCGGTGGGTTTTATTTGTTTTTTTGTTTGTTTGTTTTTGTTTTTGTTTTTGTTTTGCTTTTGCCCTAGAGGCCTCAAGAGGCCTGGGGAACATGTGCTCCTCTGGTGGTTTCTTCAATCTTTGCTATTTCTTCAACCCTTTACTAGGTTTACAGGGTTGTAATAAACTTCAACACTGTCACCACACGTAACATAAAACAAAATTTAAAAAATAATAAATATAGGCCAGGCGCAGTGGCTCACACCTGTAATCCCAGCACTTTGGGAGGCCGAGGCAGGCGGATCACCTGAGATCAGGAGCGAGACCAGCCTCACCAATATGAAGAAACTCCGTCTCTACTAAAAATATACAAAATAGCCAGGTGTGGTGGTGCATGCCTGTAATCCCAACTACTCAGGAGGCTGAGGCAGGAGAATCGCTTGAACCCAGGAGGCGGAGGTTACTGTGAGCCGAGATTGCACCATTGTACTCCAGCCTAGGCAACAAGAGCGAAACTCCGTCTCCAAGAGAAAAAATAATAATACATGTGTAGAATTTGAAAAATAGAACTAAAAATAGGAACAATAGCGATGTTGCCCCATACCTCAGTTTTTGAATGGAACGAAAGGGCCTTGAGTGTTCATTTTGGCTGTGTGTTATTCATTCCTATCACATACAAGAGACATTAGTAATTATTGGAAGATATGGCTCTAAATCTCTAAATTCAGGGGTCTGTGTAACTGTTAAATTGAACAGAAACCTAGAGATATATTAAGACAAATAGTGGGCTGGGTGCGATGGCTCACACCTGTAATCCTAGTACTTTGGGAAACTGAGGCGGGTGAACTGCCTGAGCTCAGGAGTTTGAGACCAGCCTGAGCAACATGGTGAAACCCTATCTCAAGTAAAAATACAAAAAAATTAGCCAGGCGTGGTGGTGTGAGCCTGTAATCCCAGCTAATCGGGAGGCTGAGGCAGGAGAATTGCTTGAACCTACCTGGGAGGCAGAGGTTGCAGTGAGCCAAGATCACACCACTGCACTCCAACCTGGGTGACAGAGCGAGACTCTGTCTCCAAAAGAAAAAGAAAAAGAAAAATGGTGTTTCCTTTTCCATTTTCCTGCTGACCATGGAAAAACACACTCTCACAGTTTTATCAATTCTTTGGTAACAATTACAAAATGCAAGCACTGGTTCACGTCGACAGCCCAGAGTCCGCAAATCCTCTGCTCTGAGCCCGTCCGGACTTCCCCGATCCCAGCCTTCTCTCCTTTGAAAACACTAAGAATGACATCACTGCATCAGTTTTTACTAGAGCCAATCACCTGTCGTGCCTGGAACAGGGATCGTACCCAGATTGCCCTCAGTCCTGATAATCAGGAAGCGCACATCTATAAGAAGCATGGGAGCCAGCGAGTGAAAGCTCGTGAACTCAGTGAGCACAATGGACATATCACAGGCATTCACTGGGCTCCCAAGAGCGACCGCATCGTCACTTGCGGGGTAGACTGCAATGCCTATGTCTGGAGTCAGAAAGATGGTGTCTGGAAGCCAACCCTGGTGATCCTTAGAATTAATCGTGCAGCTACTTTTGTGAAGTGGTCCCCGCTAGAGAACAAATTTGCTGTGGGAAGTGGAGCATGACTCATTTGTTTGTTACTTTGAGTCTGAAAATGACTGGTGGGTAAGCAAGCATATTAAAAAGCCGATTCGCTCCACAGTCCTCAGCTTGGATTGGCATCCCAACAATGTTTTGCTGGCAGCAGGATCATGTGACTTCAAATGCAGAGTGTTTTCTGCTTACATTAAAGAAGTGGATGAAAAGCCAGCCAGCATGCCCTGGGGCACCAAGATGCCTTTTGGGCAGCTGATGTCAGAGTTTGGTGGCAGTGGCACCGGTGGCTGGGTCCACGGGGTAAGCTTCTCTGCCAGTGGGAGCCGCCTGGCCTGGGTCAGCCACGACAGCACCGTTATCTGTTGCTGATGCCTCAAAAAGTGTGCAGGTCTCAATTCTGAAGACAGAGTTCCTACCACTCCTGAGTGTGTCATTTGTCTCAGAGAACAGTGTCGTGGCTGCTGGCCATGACTGCTACCCAATGCTCTTTAATTATGATGACCGCGGCTGCCTGACCTTCGTCTCCAAGTTAGACATTCCAAAACAGAGCATCCAACGCAACATGTCTGCCATAGAACACTTCCGCAACATGGACACGAGGGCCACGATTGAGGACCACAACATGGCCTTGGAGAGGCTGCACCAGAATAGCATCACTCACGTCTCTATTTATGAGGTAGACAAGCAAGGTTGTCGCAAATTTTGCACTACTGGCATTGATGGAGCCATGACAATTTGGGATTTCAAGACCCTCGAGTCTTCCATCCAGGTCCTCCACATAATGTGAAGCTGAGTGAGCCTTCGCCATCTAGCATGACAAACTGTGGCCAACCGCAGCTGTGCCGTGGCACGATGGCGAGGAAGCTAGACCCAAGGAAACACTGAAAACACATAGCAGGCCAATGCTGTGTGGTTTTGTTTGAATATAAAATTGGTGAAAATGCTGGTTTTTTTAAAGCAGTATTTTTTTTTTTATTTTTTTATTTTTTTTGCGATTTCATTCCATTCTTGACCAAAGCTTCCCTTTAAGTAGTTTATTATGGAAAATTGTCACACTAACTTAAAAGACAGGGTGAGGGAGATATGTAAATTGTCCACTAGAAAATTAAATAAAAGAACTAAATGTGGGAAAAAAAAAAAGAAAGAAAGAAAATACAAGCACTTAGGTCGGGTGCAGTGGCTTACGCCTGTAATCCCAGCACTTTGGGAGGCTAAGGCGGGTGGATCACCTGAGGTGGGGAGTTTGAGACCAGCCTGACCAACATGGAGAAACCCCATCTCTACTAAAAATACAAAATTAGCCAAGCACAGTGGTGCATGCCTGTAATCCCAGTTACTCGGGAGGTTGAGGCAGAAGAATCGCTTGAACCCAGGAGGTGGAGGTTGCAGTGAGCCGAGATGGCGCCACTGCATGCCAGCTTGGGCAACGAAAGCGGAAAAAAGAGGCCGGGCATGGTGGCTCACACCTTTGGGAGCACTTTGGGAGGCTGAGGTGGGTAAATCACCTGAGGTCCGGAGTTTGAGACCAGCCTGGCCAACATGGTGAAACCCATCTCTACTAAAAATTAAAAAAAAAATTATCTGGGCATGCTGGCGGGCGCCCATAATCCCAGCTACTTGGGAGGCTAAGGCAGGAGAATCCCTTGAACCTGGGAGGCAGAGGTTACGGTGTGCCGAGATTGCACCACTACACTCCAGCCTGGGTGACAGAGTGAGACTCCCTCCCCACCGCCCCCCCAAAAAAAAAGAAAAAAGAAAAGAAAATACTAGCACTAATTTATATGTCAGATTCATGTCACATCTCAAATTCATCTAAATTTTCTTGACATCCCTTTTTATACCAGTGGAGCCCTGATGAAGACACTTAATAGAAGTTTTCTCTCTATCAGAGAAATAAGTTGATGAGAATAAACTCAACGAAGGTGAAAATTCTGTTTTTTTCTGTGACCTGGGGGAAAAAGCTTAAGGTGAATTTACATTCAGATTGGTTATACAGAGAGAACATACAGAAGTGGATGAACTCGGTGTAATTAAGTTTTTCTATCCACAAACCAGGTGAAAGTATTGCAGGAGGCAGATAGCGAGGCATGAGCAGGTAAGGAGATTCTGTGTCACCCGCAAGGGGTCCTGATCCAGAACCTAAGAGAGGGTTCTTGGATCTCACGCAAGGAAGAATTCAAGGTGAATCCATACAGTAAAGTGAAAGCAAGTTTATTAAGAGAGTAAAGGAATAAAGTATGGCTACTCCATAGTCAGAGCAGCCTCCTGTTTCATCCTATGACTAAGAATGCCTTCACTTACTGGGAATGTAACCCAGCAGGTCTCAGGCTTATTTTCTCCAGCCCCTATTCCAGATGGAATTGCTCTGGTTCAAATGTCTCTGACACTTTGGAAAGGAATATTTAGAAATGCAACTCACTGGCCAGGCACAGTGGCTCATGCCTGTAATCCCAGCACTTTGGGAGGCCGAGACAGGTGGATCACGAGGTCAGGAGATCAAGACCATCCTGGCTAACACAGTGAAACTCCATCTCTACTAAAAATACAAAAACTTAGCTGGCCTGGTGGTGGGCGCATGTAGTCCCAGCTACTCAGGAGGCTGAGGCAGGAGAATGGCGTGAACCCGGGAGGCGGAGCTTGCAATGAGCCGAGATCGGGCCACTGCACTCCAGCCTGGGTGACAGAGCGAGACTCTGTCTCAAAAAAAAAAAAAAAAGAAAAGAAAAAAGAAAAAAGAAATGCAACTCACTGAGAGTCTCCTTAAAGATGCTGCCCACTGACAGCAAGAAAAGATCAGTGGCTACATTGCCTCCACCTGGCCTTGTGGCTGCACTCCTCTGGCCCAGAAGGGGACTTATCAGGGGCTAGCTGGACATAATCGAGATGGGGGATTTTCCCCATTAACAACCATGTGTACTTCTGCAATAACCCACCCTAGAAGAGCCTTCTGCTCAAAATGATACTGAAACACACATCCCTGGCTGGAGATTTGAGATGCTAATGAGATATGTGACGTGTGTACCAGCACGGACCGTCACAGGGCTTTCCTGATCAGAGGACTTCCTGGAACGTGCTTACTAGGAACATCCCTGCACAGCCCCTTCATGAATAATCATGTCAGATTCTCACAAAAAGGCTCTGCCCAACACTAGTAGGGACAGGCTCATTCTTTTGAGGAGCCCACCCTGCTCCACTGTTCAGGGTATCTCTTCTTTCCGAGCTCCTACGCCTTTAGATAAAGGGCACTTACCTGCTTAACTCTTTCTGCGTGTCTCTTGACTGAATTCAAGGAGACCAAGAACCAGAGGACTTCCACGCCCCTCCTGGTAACATCTGGTGTTTTCCCCTGGTGGCCTGTGAACTGTTCTTCTGGGTAAGTGCCAAAAAGCTGGTGCCAGATCCTCTGGTTGACGACCTCTGCTTCTTTCTGCACTGAAGAACCTCCTGCCCTAATGCAGATCTTGCAGCCTTAAGGGGAGGGGCTTTTCCTCTCGGGCTCTGTTCACTATCAACTGCCCAGTACCATTTCCCTTCAGCCACTGTCACTCTGCTCCCTCTGGCTGACTTCTCAGCTCACCCTGAGGGGTGACAAGCAGAGGAGGGAGGATTTAAACTCCACAGTGAGTAGATCTGAGACACGGTGACCCTCCCTGCAGGAGGCTTGTGAAGGTGGCAGAAAATCCACCCTGGCTGTGCAGTGACTGGGGAGCTTCATATCTTCAACTAAAACTACTATTCCATGTTGAGTCGGCTCTTCTACTTGCTGTTCATGGCAGTTCATTCTCCTGGACACAATATGCCGCCACCGGTGAATAATCCCCCAGGTCACTCTGCTTACTCTTTGCTGTCCCTGTCCTCGTCGCCGGGCTTCCTTGAATTCCTCCTTCGTGTACAAGTGCCTTGTCTGTCCTGCTTGTCTGGGACCTGCTGCGTTTGCTTCACTGCCAATCGCCGGAGGCCTGCCCGGGCCTGTGAGGAAGTTTATACTTATTTTTTCCCTAGAGATGAGACCCAGCTTCGTCCTTTCAGTTGCCTCCTTTCTCACTGCAGGGACCGGCACTGGCAGGATGCTCGCTTACAGGCATCCCTCGTTTACTATCGGGTCCTTCTCCGCCCGACTACTCTTCAAGAATGCCTCATTCTGTGGCTCCTCAAGCGAGCTGTCTGGTTCCTCCGGATGGTCATTTATAGGCCTCTTTCTCAGACCCCAGTTTCTCTTTACAACCGGGGTTTCCTGTGGGTCAATGGGAAGTTCTTCATCCGCCTCCTCAAGCCATTGTTACAGACCTGTACGGCAGTCAGGTGCTTTTTGTATTATGTTGAAAAAGCTGACAGAAAATGCCCCCGGCACTCCCCTTGCTGCTTATGTGATCATATCAGGGACGTAAAAAACCAGAATCAACAGCCCAGTCCACTAACTCTGAGCCCCAGGGGCCTTCCATGCCTGTTTAAGCATTTTTTCTGTATGATCCCCAAGGAACCTACTATGACCAGGGGAAGATATCAAATTTACCTCCATTCCTCTAACCATCTGTATGCATTAATCCAATATTATCATGCATTAAGGGGACCTTACCATGGAGTCCCTTCTCTGCAGACTTTAGCAGGGGCAGAACTACTGGACTTCTTGCAGAACCAAGGTCACTGGGAATATGAGAGACAAGAGAACTACTCCCATGCCCGACGTTCTTACATGCTTCCTGGCCCAACACAGAGGTGAGAAAGGCGTCCCTCCTAGGCATCAATCCTAGGAAATCTAAGAAAGGCTTCTGAGCAAAATGAGATACAGGGAGACAATGGATGGTGCAAATGCTAAGGCTAGCTAATTCTGGAGCCCCAGGGTGAAGAACCAATCATCCCTGTAAATAGAGGCATGGACACTTCACCTAGGCCAAGGTGTGGAATGCCTCACCTTCCTGAGGCACCCAATAGGTGGAGAGATGCCTTCTCTATCCTATATTCATTCCTGTCTTCTCTTTCAGATGGGTAACCAGAGCTCCGTACCCCAGGATTCCCCTCTCGGATGCATCCTTAGAAACTGGGATAAGTTTGATCCCCAGGCATTGAAACGAAAAAGATTGGTTTTTCTTTGCAATACAGTTTGGCCAAAATATGAACTAGAAGGGCAGGAAGCCTGGCCAGTGGGGGGAAGCTTAAATGTTAATACCATACTCCAGCTTGACGTCTACTGCCGACAGCAGCGCAAATGGTCAGAGGTCCCTTATGTGCAAACCTTCATGATCTTGAGGGAAAACCCCGATTTTTGTAAAGGCTGCAAGATAGATCCTGCCCTTTTAGCTATCCTCAGTCGTCCACTCCAGAGACCTCAACCAGGAGGCTTCAATGATTTCCTGGTCAACCCACCTCAACCTCCTCTTCCTGAGACCAAAGAGAAAGAGCAAGCACCCCCAGCTCCTTCCTCCTTGTATCGCACTCTTAGCCTTCATGGGTCAGCCTCAACCTACACTAGGCCCTCAGGCCCCCGCTCTGGAATCTGCCTGCTACCAGTGGTGAGCCGACCAGTAGGACCAGTCCAAGTCCAGGTCCCCTTTTCCATGCAGGACTTGTCCCAAGTTAAGGAAGGCCTGGGAAAATTCTCAGAGAATCCGGGAAAATTCCTGGAGGGCTTCCGTAAATTAACCCTCACTTTTGAACTAACCTGGAAGGATGTCGCCATCCTCCTAGGACAAACCCTGTCTCTGGAAGAAAGACAGACCATCTGGGAGGCAGCACGTCAATGCGGGGATGAGCTACACTTGGCAGATGCCAACTACCCCGTGGGAGCTACAGCTGTCCCCCTGCAGGACCCCAACTGGGACTACGATACCCCGGCAGGAATCTGCGCCAGAAATCATATGCTCCTATGCCTGATAGAGGGAATGAAAAGGAGTCAAGTCAAGCCTGTCAATTATAATAAGTTAGCAACCATCGACCAAGGGCCACATGAGAATCCCACGGCCTTTCTCGAAAGGCTCCAGGAAACTCTTATCAAACATACCAACCTAGACCCGGGATCCCCAGAAGGACAACTAGTCCTAAAGGATCACTTCCTCACACAAGCTGCCCCAGACATTAGGAGAAAACTGCGAATGCTGGCTTTGGGAACTAGAGCCCCCATGTCAGAAATCCTCAAATTCGCTTCCTCAGTGTTTTATAACCGAGACCAGGATGAGAGGGACAGGGCCGAGAGGAAGGAAAAACAGAAAGAAGAGAGGCAGGCTCAATTACTAGCTGCTTTGCAAGTTCACCAGCCCCCTCCAGGTTGCCCTAAGGATACCTTCCCAGGGAACTGCTATCAGTGCGGGAAGCCGGGCCATTGGAAGGCAAACTGCCCCTACGGGCCAAGGGGGGAAAAGCCCTGCACGGCCTGTCCCCTCTGCCGTAAGCTCAGGTACTGGAAAGAGAACTGTCCCGAGAGCCAAAAGGGCCCCTGAGCCAATGATGGCTTTGAGCTGAGGGTGCCCTCTGCCTTGGCCAGCTCCCAGATGTGACATCATCATCAAAGGGATGGAGCCCAGGGCAACTCTGGATGTAGCAGGTAGGACAATACATTTTCTATTTGATTTGAGAGCAGCCTGCTCGGTGCTGACCCCCTTCTCTAGGCAACTTTCCTCTGTCAGGTAATCAGGGTAAATGGCATCTCTTCCTAAGATTTACACCTTCTTTATTGTTAAAAGACCAATTAATCTTTTCCCATGAGTTCCTGATACTGTCTGAATGTCCCATACGTCTTTAGGGCAGGGATATACTCTCCAAACTAGGGGCACGCTTCACATTTACCTGAACTTCCCTGAAAGGCTTTCTTTTTTTTTGGAAGACTCACCCATGACATTGCTGAATTATCTTGATCTGGAATCACAAATAACCCTGAGATATGGGCTTTGATACACTAGGAAGGGCAATAACTGCAGTCCCAGTCAAAATCCAGCTAAGAAAACCTTCCACTTCTTTCATAAGAAACAATACTCGCTATGGCCAGAGGCAACAGAAGGACTTGAGCCTATCATTAACCCATTCCTTAGACATGGCCTGTTAAAGTCTGTAACTCTCCCTGCAACACAGGAAATCTATTCTGCTGGTAGAAAACATTTAAAGGGTTCTCCACTACTGAACCCTGATTAAGTCTGGTTTTCTGATGGCGGCAGTTTCATCCAACATGGAGTGACACATGCAGTTATGCAATAGTGTCTCTATTTGACATTATAGAAGCCAAATCCCTTCCTCCAAGAACATTGGCACAGCTAGCAGAGCTCATTTCCTTAACTAGAGCCATAGAAATAGGGAAAAACCCAAAAGCTACAATTTATACAGATTCAAAATATGCCCTCTCAGGACTCCATGCTCATGTGGCCATCTGGAAGGAACAGGGATTTTTACCAGCAAAAGATACCCCTAAGGAATGTGGACCACAGATCCTGGCCCTGCTCTAAGCTGTACACCTATCACAGGAAATAGCTGTAGTCCATGGCCAGGGACACCAAAGGACCAGGGAGAAAATGCCCAGCAAAACAGGAGGGTGGATCAAACAGCCAGGACCACTACCCTGTAGGGAACTCCTCATGGCCCTTAACCCATCTTTACCCAACACCTTACCCACCCACAAAAACCCAAGAGGAAAAGGAATGGGCTATCAAATATGAATCTACCCGAGAACCTGAGGTGTGGTATACAGTGGGAGGAATTCTCCACTTTCCTAGGCCCTCCAGTAAAAACTTGTGAGAGCACTCCATGAGTCATGTCACTTTGGGAGACATCATCTCCAGCACATGTGCAAAAACCTCTTTTCCAGGAAAGGGCTCTACTAGACTATTTGTCAGGTCTTTAACACCTGTGCATCCTGTGCCTGTAATAGCCCCCAGGGCCCTACGCTGCCCTGCTTTTTTTTTTTTTTTTTTTTTTTTTTGAGTCAAAGTTTCACTCTTAGTACCCAGGCTGGAGTGCAACGGCGTGATCTCAGCTCATCGCAATCTCTCCCTCCCAAGTTCAAGCGATTCTCCTGCCTCAGCCTCCTGAGTAGCTGGGATTACAGGCAGGTGCCACCAAAAAAAGACCAAAAAAAATTTTTTTTTTTTTTTGGTATTTTTAGTAGAGATGGGGTTTCTCCATGCTGGTCAGACTGGTCTTGAACTCCCAACCTCAGGTAATCCGCCTGCCTCGGCCTCCCAAAGTGCTGGGATTACAGGCATGAGCCACCGTGCCCAGCCAAATTTTTTTTTTTGTTCAATGTTGCCCAGGTTGGCCTCAAACGCGTAGCCTTGCCTCCTTGTGACCCAGGACAACCGGCCAGAGCCAATGCAGCTCCCTGTCCTGCTTAGTTGAGCCAGTTCAGCATTGGGAAGCTTACCCAGGGAAAGACTGATGGATGTATTTCACTCAATTGCCAGCCTGTAGAGGCTATAAATGCCTTCTGGTGTTTGTGGACACCTTTATTGGGTGGGTTAAAGCCTTTCCTACAAGAACAGAAAAGGCCCAGGAAGTAGCCAAGGTACTTCTTAAAAAAAAAAAAAAAATCATCCCGGCCGGGCGTGGTGGCTCACTTCTGTAATCTCAGCACTTTGGGAGGCCGAGGCAGGCGGATCACGAGGTCAGAGAATTGAGACCATCCTGGCTAACACAGTGAAATCCTGTCTCTACTAAAAAAGAGAAAAAATTAGGTGGGTGTGGTAGCGGGCGCCTATAGTCCCAGCTACTCAGGAGGCTGAGGCAGAAGAATGGTGTGAACCCGGGAGGTGGAGCTTGTGGTGAGCTGAGATTGTGCCACTGCACTCCAGCCTGGACAACAGAGCGAGACTCCGTCTCAAAAACAAAAAGAAAAAAAAAATCACCCCTCAGTGTGGGTTTAGTTTGTGTTTACAAAGTGACAACGGCCCAGTTTTTATTTCACGCACCCTTTAATTAGTGACAAAAGCCCTAGAAATAAAGTACTCCTAGCACTCCTGGAGAACACATTCCTCTGGCAAGGTAGAAAGCACTAATCAAACTATTAAAAGGACCCTGAACAAAGTGTGCCAGGAAACCTCCTCACCATGGTTAGAACTCCTGTCCGTAGCACTGTTCTGAGCATGACCCCTAATATTACTTATGCCTTCCTACATGCAGACCTAATGTTAGATCCAGAAGTTACCCAATTAATCAAATACATAACATCACTGGCCCAATTTCAACAAGCCATCCAGGAGTTTGAGCAAAAGGTACTGCCTGCCACTGACCCCTCCAGTAATCAACCCTTATACTAGCCAGGGTCACAAGTCCTCATCAAAACCTGGAGAGATGGGTCACCCAGGTCTCAACTAGCCTGGGTCTCTCCTTTATGGAAAGGCCCCTTTATTACTTTCTACCCCGACAGCTATCAAAGTTTCTGGAATCTCTAGTTGGATACATCACTCCTGAGTAAAACTGTGAGAAGGTCCCGAAGAACCAACAACAGAATCAGCATCTGAGTAGTCTCATGAGCCAGCCACTGGAGAGCTTCCAATTCCTCTTCAAGTGAAAAGATAAGTAAAGCCTTCTCTCCTTTCACCTCAAAAAAAGGTCTCTCAGTACGGGGAATCTTGGTTGCGGTGGCATCGGTTCTTCTCCTTATTTTGACCCACACTGGCATGCCACCTGAAGTCCCGATAACAGCCTGATTTCTCACTAAACACTCCATCGAACCATTTCATTATTTGTCTCTCCTATTTTCAGCACTTTCCTTTTGCTTTCACAAAGCTTAAGGGAGAATCAGCTATGACAGAGAAATTCCTTTTCCTTTATCTTTCCCTCCTTCCCATGCCCCTACTCTCACAGGCACAGTGGAATGAAAATTCCCTTGTCAGTTTTTCCAAAATAATTGCTTCGGGAAACCATCTAAGCAACTGTTGGATCTGCCACAACTTCATCACCAGGTCCTCATCTTACCAATATATTTTGGTAAGAAATTTTTCTTTAAACCTAACATTTGGTTCAGGAATCCCTGAAGGCCAACATAAATCTGTTCCGCTCCAGGTTTCGCTTGCTAACTCAGCGCACCAAGTCCCCTGCCTGGATCTCACTCCACCTTTCAATCAAAGCTCTAAAACTTCTTTCTATTTCTACAACTGCTCTTCTCTAAACCAAACCTGTTGTCCATGCCCTGAAGGACACTGTGACAGGAAGAACACCTCTGAGGAGGGATTCCCCAGTCCCACCATCCATCCCATGAGCTTCTCCCCAGCAGGCTGCCACCCTAACTTGACTCACTGGTGTCCAGCTAAACAAATGAACGATTATCGAGACAAGTCACCCCAAAACCGCTGTGCAGCTTGGGAAGGAAAAGAGCTAATCACATGGAGGGTTCTATATTTGCTTCCCAAGGCACACACTGTCCCCACATGGCCAAAATCTACTGTTCCCCTGGGAGGGCCTCTATCCCCTGCATGCAATCAAACTATTCCAGCAGGGTGGAAATCGCAGTTACACAAGTGGTTCGACAGCCACATCCCCCGGTGGGCCTGTACCCCTCCTGGCTATGTATTTTTATGTGGGCCACAAAAAAATAAACTGCCCTTTGATGGAAGTCCTAAGATAACTTATTCAACCCCCCCTGTGGCAAACCTCTACACTTGCATTAATAACATCCAACATACGGGAGAATGTGCTGTGGGACTTTTGGGACCACGGGGGATAGGTGTGACCATTTATAACACCACCCAACCCAGACAGAAAAGAGCTCTGGGTCTAATACTGGCAGGGATGGGTGCGGCCATAGGAATGATCGCCCCATGGGGAGGGTTCACTTATCATGATGTCACCCTCAGAAATCTCTCCAGACAAATAGACAACATAGCTAAGAGTACCAGAGATAGCATCTCTAAACTCAAGGCCTCCATAGATTCTCTAGCAAATGTAGTCATGAACAACAGATTGGCCTTAGATTACCTCTTAGCAGAGCAGGGTGGAGTCTGTGCAGTGATCAGTAAATCCTGTTGCATTTATGTCAATAACAGTGGGGCGATAGAGGAGGATATAAAAAAGATCTATGATGAGGTTACGTGGCTCCATAACTTTGGAAAAGGTGATTCAGCAGGGTCCATTTGGGAGGCTGTGAAGTCTGCCCTCCCCTCCCTCACATGGTTTGTCCCTTTACTGGGACCAGCTGCACTTAATAGCCTGCTTTCTCCTCTTTGGCCCTTGTCTCTATAATTCACTAATTAAATATGTCTCTTCCAGGATATGGCAA
The DNA here is from genome assembly GCF_000001405.40 of Homo sapiens. Lineage (NCBI taxonomy): Eukaryota > Metazoa > Chordata > Mammalia > Primates > Hominidae > Homo > Homo sapiens. The sequence continues at coordinate 53,015,562 of NC_000019.10, forward strand.
TTTCACACAGAGCCCCTAAAAATGGAAAGAGATCATCCAATCTTCCTTGGAGGTCCCAGCACCTACAAGTACATATCTCCCTTGGATGCCAGTGGGCAAAGATTCTGCAACTACGGAGGGGCTCCTTCCCTGACAGAGAGCAAGAGAGGGAGACCCTGATGACTTCTTCGTCCCACGTCAGCAGGAAGTAGTTACAGAAGACCCACGACGTCCTTATGCCCAAAGCTTTTCAGGGTCTCCAACTCTTGAGGGGGAATACTGTTAGGGTAGGCAGGTAGCCAGACAAGAGCAGGCAAGGAAGCCCCTGGGAAAGGAATCTTTAGAAATGCAGCCCGCTGATGGCCTCCTTGGAAACGCTGCACGCTGAGTCAGCAAAAGGAGGAGCGTGGCTACACTGGCTACACCTGGCCTTGTGGCTGCATTCCTCTGTTCCAGAAGGGAACTTATCAAGGCCCAGCCAGAGGTTACCAAGGTAGGAGCTATTCCCCACTAAGAAGCATGTATACTTCTCTAATAATTCACCCTAATATACCATTTTGTTCATTAAAATAATAAAAAAAACCACACACCTGTGTGGAGATTTTATTTTTTAACCAGAAATTCCTTGTTAGACTTTAGATCCAAATGACATGGCACATGTGTGCCCAGACCAGTTCCCAACACATGCTTACTAGTAACGCCCCTGCATGACCCCTTCATGAATAATCATGTAAAATTCTCATAAGAAGCATCTCCCCAGCCAGGTGTGGTGGCTCACGCCTGTAATCCCAACACTTTGGGAGGCTGAGGCAGGCAGATCACCTGAGGTCGGGAGCGCGAGACCAGCCTGACCAACATGGAGAAACCCCGTCTCTACTAAAAATACAAAATTAGCTGGGCGTGGTGGCGCATGCCTGTAATCCCAGCTACTTGGGAGGCTGAGGCAGGAGAATCGCTTGAACCCGGGAGGCAGAGGTTGTGTTGAGCCAAGATCGTGCCATTCCACTCCAGCCTGGGCAACGAGAGGGGAACTCCATCTCAAAAAACGAACAAACAAAAAGAAGCGTCTCCCCAGCATTGGTGAGACAGACTCATTCATTTGAGCAGCCCAGCCTGTTCTGTCTTTCAGGGTGTACTGTTTATTTAAAAGCCCCCATAAAAATTCCTCCCAGGCCAGGCATGGTGGCTCAGGCCTGTAATCCCTGCACTTCCTTGGGCGGATCCTCAGACAGATCACAGCTCAGGAGTTTGAGACCAGCCTGACAAACATGGCGAAACCCCGTCTCTACTAAAAATACAAAAAAATTAGCCGGGCCTGGTGGCACGCACCTGTAATCCCAGCTACTCAGGAGGCTGAGGGAGGAGAATCACTTGAAACCAGGAGGCGGAGGTTGCAGTGAGCCAAGATTGCGCCACTGCACTCCAGCCTGGGCTACAGGAGACTCCATCTGGGGAGGGCGGCGGGGAATTCCTCCTAAGTCACTAGCAGCTGACTCACTCTCTGCAGCAGCCAGTTCTGTCTCTTCTTGACCTCCTGTCTTTAAATAAAGGTTACTTAACGATTTAACTCTTTCTGTGTGCCTCCTAGATGAATTCTTTCCTTCAGGAAGATAAACTGAAGGACCTCCACACCCCTCCTGGTAACAAAGGTCTTTGTGCAATCCCTCCTGAAGAAGCAATGGAGGATTTAGTATATCTAAACTAGTAAATACAAACTGTACTCAATTATCCAAGAAATCATTGAAGAAACACTCTTTACTCCATTTTTTATATCTTGGGAAAAATATAATTAAAGACAAAATAATATTTGCCAAACCCAGAAATCCTCACCAAAAAGGAAAAAAATAAATAAACAATCCCAGTTGGTGGCTGGTGAATGCTTCTACCTTAATCAATACATGTTTTGAAGCTGTCAGCTTCTTTTTGCTCATAAGTGACTCCACAGAATCTAGTCTTTGCTTTGCCCTCTAGACAAGGAATACAGAATTTTTAAATCTTATCAGAAACATATAAATTGTTTGGTTTTGCACAATATTTACTAATTTTCTCCACTCATCCACTGTGGAGTCATAGCACAAAATGAGGCACCACCCTCTCGTATTGCAACTAAAACAGACTGAGCTTCTGCTCCATAACCATAAACAGTAATAGCAATACTAATTGAAAGATGAAGTAATTTTACGTAAGTAGGTATAAAACTGATAATTCATTGTTATTTTCAGTTTTACAATAAGTGGGAATTACATAGAATAAATCTTTCTCTCTCTCTCTTTCTATTTCTGACAGTCCCGCTCTGTCGCACAGGCCAAAGTGCCATGGGGTGACCTCAGCTTACTGCAACCTCCGCTTCCTGGGTTCAAGTAACTCTTGTGCCTCAGTCTCCTGAGTAGCTGGGATTGCAGGTGTACACCACCTTGCTTGGCTAATTTTTGTATTTTTCATAGAGATGAAATTTCACTATGTTGGCCAGAGTGGTCTCAAACTCCCAACCTCAGATGATCAGCCTGCCTTGGTCTCCCAAGGTGCTGGGATTACAGGCATGAGCCACCACACCCAACGGAGTTTTCACTCATTTACTTTAATCATCATGGGTTAGAGATATAGCTTTTAAAAATGTAATTGAATATACCCTTACAGTTAGGATCTAAAAAGAGCATTTCCTCTATTAATGTTTATTAAATAATATGGTGGAACTCAGACTTGCTCTGTTGCCCAAGTTGGAGTGCAGTGGCATGATCTTGGCTCAATGCAATCTCTACCTCATGGGTTTAAGTGATTCTCGTGCCTCAGCCTCCTGAGTAGCTGGGATTGCAGGCATACACCACCATGCCTGGCTAAATTTTGTATTTTTACTAGAGACAGGGTTTCACCATGTTGCTCAGGTTAGTCTCGAACTCCTGGCCACAAGTGATCCACCCACCTTGGCCTCCCAAAGTGCTGGGATTGCAGGTGTGAGCCACCACACCAGCTTAATTTTTTTTCTTTTTCTTTTCTTTTCTTTTCTTTTTTTTTTGAGATGGAGTTTCACTCTTGTTGTCCAGGCTGGAGTGCAGTGGCACAATCTCAGCTCACTACAACCTGCACCTCCTGGGTTCAAGTGATTCTCCTGCCTCAGCCTCCTGAGTAGCTGGGATTACAGGCATGTGCCACCATGCCTAATTTTGTATTTTTAGTAGAGATGGGGTTTCTCCATGTTAGTTAGGCTGGTCTTGAACTCCCGACCTCAGGTGATCTGCCCGTCTCAGCTTCCCAAAGTGCTGGGATTACAGGCGTGAGCCATCGTGCCCAGCAATTTTTTCTATCTGAGTTTCTTCCGTACTAATCAGCTTGTGATAGACACATGGTTTCTGAAACAGAAAAGTGCAAGGGCTTTTTATGAGCAGGGTGTGGAAGACTACCAGTAACAAATGCTTTGGCATAAGTGATGAGTGAGAAGGGGAGTGAGAGTCTCTACTGTCCTACCTACTAATTGTGCTTTGGGAATTTGGATTGAAAAAAGCCACCTTAATGGTGTTTGGTTATCATTTATTCTCCCCCACCTGGCAGGAAATAAGGACAGGGTCCCCAAAGCTGCTAGGGCACTTAGGGTGGATATGAAACATTAAAATATGAAACATTAAAACTTCACTTGCTTGAAACCAGAGCAGCCACCAAACTGCTCAAAATTACTGCCAATGATGTCTTGCTTCCTGGCATTCAGAAACCTTCTCCTTCTCTACCCCTGACTCTTCCTTCCCTCTCTATCCCAATCTCAATCACCTTAAGGAAGAGCTGAGTATCCTGAAAAATTTGAAAGGAAAAAAGAGATTCAAACTTTTGTAGCTCTCTTGGTAAGAGGTGCCCCAATCACCTTCCGAGGAGAAATGCTTTGTAGGAGTGTCTCAAACCACCAAGACCTGTGGGACCAAGCACATATGGGGCCCATAGGAAGAAGCCACTGAGCCTCAGGATCCTCCAGATGCTGGGAGGTACATGGAGCAGCAGGCAGCATTATGCTTGTATCAAGCACCCAAGGAGAAAACAAGGCCACTGAGCTGCCCCAGCCTTCCCTGACATGATTGTCTCCTATGGCCCTGGGTTTGTTTGGAGACCTGCAACATAACTGTAATTCCTCCTTCTCCTTTGTGAGTTCAAACTAAGGGTAGGTTTGCTACCAGTCTTTTAAAAAAGATTGGTGCCACTCTTGCTTACAGGGCAGAGAAGGCACCCAGAATGGTGGCCACTGGCACCCCACTCCCAAGCCAATACCACCTCTAGTGTAACCATGCACACAATCTCCAGAAGGGGACCCCAGCCCCTGACCCAGCTGCATTGTCTCTGCCACTGTGGTGAACACTTGCATGGAGGCAGGTACTCTGGCGCCCTCTAGCACTCTGGCTCTTGAGGAGTCAGAGGAAAACACTGGGGCCCAATACAAGTCCCCTAAAGTTAGAGCACACAGTCCAGATAAGTGCTGGCCCCCTAAAATCTTCCAGAAATGAAGCCAGTCAGCTGAATCCACCTTATACCACAATCCACAATCAAACCCTCAAGGTCATCAAATAGTTATGATAAAAGTAAAAAACAAAAACAAAAAACAATCCTCATCCAAAGGTCAGCAACCTCAAAGACTGAAGGTAGATAAGCCCAAAAAGATGAGAAAGAATCAGTGCAAGAACCCTGGAAACTCAAAAAGCTAGAGTGCCTTTTTTCTTCCAAACAACTGCATCACCTTTCCAGCAAGGTTTCTGCACCATGCAGAGATGGCAGAAATAACAGAAATAGAACTCAAAATGTGGATAAGGACAAAGTTCATTGAGCTATGGGAGTATGTTGAAACCCAATCCAAGAAAGATAACAAACACATAAAACAATGGGATTATGTAAAGAGGCCAAATCTATGATTCACTGGTGTCCCTGAAAGAGAGTGAAACCAATTTGGAAAATATATTTTTGCATATTATCCATGAGAACTTCCCCAACCTAGCTAGAGAGGCCAACATTCAAATTCAGGAAATGCAGAGAACCCCAGTAAGATACTTCACAAGAAGATCATACCCAAGCCACATAATCATCAGATTCTCCAAGGTCAAAATGAAAGAAAAAATGTTAAAGGAAGCTAGAGAGAAAGGTCAGGTCACCTACAAAGGAAAGCCCATAAGAGCAGACATCTCAGCAGAAAGCCTACAAGCTAGAAGAGATTGAGGGCCAATATTTAACATTCTTAAAGAAAAGAAATTCCAACCCACAATTTCATAGTTGGCCAAAGTAAGCTTCATAAGCGAAAGAGAAATAAGATCCTTTTCAGAGAAGCAAATGCTGAGGGAATTCATTACCATCAGACCTGCAGTACAAGAGCTCCTGAAGAAAGCATTAAATATGGAAAGACCATTACCAACCACTACAAAAACACACTAAAGGACATAGATCAGTTACACTATACCACCTAACACCATGATAACGGATCAAATCCACACATATCAATATTAACCTTAAATGTAAATGGGCAGCCAGCTGGATGCAGTGGCTCATGCCTGTAACCCCAGCACTTTGGGAGGTGGAGGTGGGTGGATCATGACATTAGGAGTTTCAGACCAGCCTGGCCAACATGGTGAAACCCCATCTCTACTAAAAACACAAAAATTAGCTGGGCATGGTGGTGCATGCCTATAGTCCTAGCTACTCAGGAGGCTGAGGCAGGAGAATCGCTTCAGCCCCAGAGGCGGAGGCTGCAGTCAGCTGAGATTATGCCATTGCACTCCAGCCTGGGCAACAGAGCAAGACTCTGTCTCAGGAAAAAAAAAAAAAAAAGTAAATGGCCTAAATGCCCCAATTAAGAGACAGACTGGCAAGGTGGGTAAAGAACCAAAACCCACTGGTATGCTGTCTCCAAGAGACCCATCTCACAAGCAGTGACACACATAGGCTTAAAATAAAGAAATGGACAAAAATCCAAGTCTTTGCTATTGTGAATAGTGCCACAATAAATATACGTGTGCATGTGTCTTTAGAGCAGCATGATTTATAATCCTTTGGGTATATACCCAGTAATAGGATGGCTGGGTCAAATGGTATTTCTAGTTATAGATCCCTGAGGAATCGCCACACCGACTTCCACAATGGTTGAACTAGTTTACAGTCCCACCAACAGTGTAAAAGTGTTCCTATTTCTCCACATCCTCTCCAGCACCTGTTGTTTCCTGACTTTTTAATGATCGCCATTCTAACTGGTGTGAGATGGTATCTCATTGTGGTTTTGATTAGCATTTCTCTGATGGCCAGTGATGATGAGCATTTTTTCATGTGTCTGTTGGCTGCATAAATGTCTTCTTTTGAGAAGTGTCTGTTCATATCCTTCGCCCACTTTTTGATGGGGTTGTCTTTTTCTTGTAAATTTGTTTGAGTTCATTGTAGATTCTGGATATTAGCCCTTTATCAGATGAGTAGGTTGCAAAAATTTTCTCCCATTCTGTAGGTTGTCTATTCACTCTGATGGTTTCTTTTGCTTTGCAGAAGCTCCTTAGTTTCATTAGATCCCATTTGTCAATTTTGGCTTTTGTTGCCATTGCTTTTGGTGTTTTAGTCATGAAGTCCTTGCCCATGCCTATGTCCTGAATGGTATTGCCTAGGTTTTCTTCTAGGGTTTTTATGGTTTTAGGTCTAGCATGTAAGTCTTTAATCCATCTTGAATTAATTTTTGTATAAGGTGTAAGGAAGGGATCCAGTTTCAGCTTTCTACATATGGCTAGCCAGTTTTCCCAACACAAATGTCCAACAATGATAGACTCGATTAAGAAAACGTGGCACATATACACCATGGAATACTATGCAGCCATAAAAAATGATGAGTTCATGTCCTTTGTAGGGACATGGATGAAGCTGGAAACCATCATTCTCAGCAAACTATTGCAAGGACAAAAAACCAAACACCGCATGTTCTCACTCATAGGTGGGAATTGAAGAATGAGAACACATGAACACAGGAAGGGGAACATCACACACCCGGAACTGTTGTGGGGTGGGGGGAGGGAGGGATAGCATTAGGAGATACACCTAATGCTAAATGATGAGTTGATGGGTGCAGCACACCAACATGGCACATGTATACATATGTCACAAACCTGCATGTTGTGCACGTGTACCCTAAAACTTAAAGTATAATAATAAAAAAAAGAGAAAAAAAACCTGCTTATTAGGAAAGCAGAGTAATTATAGAATGTAAAATTAGTGAAAAAATTTATGAAATTTTGCCTTTATAATGATATTTAAAATAAATACCATCATGCCTCTTTTGCAGGTAAAGAAAATGAAAAACTAGAATATTTAGGCTCAGGGTGGGGTAACTTTAAAAAAGAAGGACTGGTCATGTCTATACAATACAATATCCTTCCTCCCCTAATAAACTAACTCCTAAAATAAAAAAATAAAAAATAAATAAATGGACAAAAATCTACCAAGAAAATGGAAAACAGAAAAAAAGCAGGGGGCCAGGTGCAATGGCTCATGGCTATAATCCCAGGACTTTGGGAGACCGAGGCAGGAGGATCACTTGAGGCCAGGAGTTCAAGACCAGCTTGGCCAACATGGTGAAATGCTGTCTCTACTAAAAATACAAAAAATTAGCTGGGCATGGGGGCTTGTGCCTGTAATCCCAGCTACTAGGGAAGCTGATGCAGGAGAATTACTTGCACACCGGAGGTGGAGGTTGCAGTGAACTGAGATTGCACCACTGGTCTCCAGCCTGGGCAACAGAGCAAGACTCCAACTCAAAAAGAAAAAAAGGAAAGAAAAAGAAAAAAAAAAGCAGGGGTTGCAATTCTAGTTTCTAACAAAACAGACTTTAAACCAACAAAGATTCTAAAAAGACAAGGAAGGGCATTACATAATGGTAAAGGGTTCAATTTGACAAGAAGAGCTAACTATCCTGAATACATATGTACGCAACACAGGAGCACCCTGTATTCCTAATGCAGGAACTTGCTCAAAATGCAGGTTCTTAGAGACTTTCAAAGAGACTTACACTCCCACATAATAACAGTGGGAGACTTTAACACCCCACTGGCAATATCAGACAGATCATTCACACAGAAAATTAACAAAAATATTCAGGACTTGAATTCAGCACTGGATCAAATGGACCTGACAGACATCTACGGAACTCTCTACTCAAAAACAATAGTATATACATTCTCCCCATTGTCACATGGCACACACTCCTTTTTTTTTTTTTTTTTTTTTTTTTGAGATGGAGTCTCACTCTGTCCCCCAGGCTGGAGTGCAGTGGCACGATCTCGGCTCACTGCAACCTCCGCCTCCCAGGTACAAGCAATTCTCTGCCTCAGCCTCCAAAGTAGCTGGGATTACAGGCACCTGCCATGATGCCCGGCTAATTTTTGTTATTTTTAGTAGAGATGGGGTTTCACCATCTTGGCCAAACTGCTCTTGAACTTCTGACCTCATGATTCACCCACCTCAGCCTCCCAAAGTGCTGGGATTACAGGCGTGAGCCACGGCACCTGGCCGGCACACACTCTTAAATAGATCACATAATTGAAAGTAAAATACTCCTCAGCAAATGCAAAATAACTGAAATCATAACAACCTCTTTGATCATAGTGCAATCAAGTCAGAAATCAAGACTAAGAAATTCGTTCAAAACCATATATTACACAGAAATTGAATCACTTGCTCCAGAATGACTTTTACCTCTATAATTGACAATTCTTGTCTCCCATCTTGCTCTTTCTTCTTAAATTTCCTTGGCTATTCCCTCCAAGATGATGTTGGATAAGAGGAGACTAGAAGCTCCTTAGTGTCATTTCTGACTTTAGTGTGACTTTCTGTAACATGTCCCAGATGTTTGTCAATTTGATGAAGATATATCACTTCCTAGTTCACTATTTTTAGGTAACATTATTTCCTGTTAAATACTGCCAATTTTTTTTGCATTTATGAATGTGGGCACCTTATTTTTCTCTCAACATAGAGAGACCCCATCTCTACAAAAAAATACAAAAATCAGCCAGGCATGGTGGCACATGCCTTTGGTCCCAGCTATTCAGGAGACTGAGATGAGAGGATCATGTGAACCTGGGAGAGGGAGGTTGCAGTGAGTGAGTCAAGATCATGAACGCTGCACTCCAGCCTGGGTGACAGAATGAGACCCTGCATGAAAAAAAAAGACTGCATGGCATTGGTGGGGAGTGATATATATATCCATGGAACAGAATAGAGAATGCACAAATATTTTCCTTTCAACTGATATTTGATAAAGATACCAAAGCAGGCCAGGTATGGTGGCTCACGCCTGTAATCCCAGCACTTTGGGAGGCCGAGGCAGGCAGATCACGAGGTCAAGAAATTGAGACCATCCTGGCCAATGTGGTGAAACCCCGTCTCTACTAAAAATACAAAAATTAGCTGGGTGTGGTGACACGTGCCTGCAATCCCAGTTACTCGGGAGGCTGAGGCAGGAGAATCACTTGAACCCAGGAGACGGAGGTTGCAGTGAGCCGAGATCATGCCACTGCACTCCAGCCAGGCGGCAGTGAGACTCCATCTCAAAAAAAAAATTAAAAAAAAAAAAGATACCAAAGCAATTGAAAGCAGGACTTTCAAATAATGGTGCTGGACCAAATGAATATCCACAATGAAAAAAGATCAATCTGCACCTAAATTTGACACTCATTCAAAAAGGACCATGTTGTGAAATGCAAAATAAAGAAACCATCAAATGTTAATCTATCAAGAATTAGAAAAACATACTGTAAACTAATTGGGAACAAGCACACCAAAGAGTTCATAGATATGACACCAAAAGCATGGAAAAAAATGATAAATGAAACTTCGTCAAGTTAAAACTTCTGGTCTGTGATACCAATGGAACAGAACAGAGAACCCAGAAATAAGGCCACAAACCTGCAACTATCTGATCTTCGATGAAGCTGACAAAAACAAGCAATGGAGATAACACTCTCTACTTAATAAATGATGCTGGGATAACTGGCTAGCCACATGTAGAAGACTGAAGCTGGACCTCTTCCTTATACCACACAAAAAATTAAGTCAAGATGAATCAAAGACTTAAATGAGAAATCCCAAACTATAAAACACATGGAAGATAATCTAGGCAATACCATCCTGGACATACAAATGGACAAAGATTTCATAACGAAGACACCAAAAGCAATTACAACAAAAGCAAAAATTGACAAATGGGATCTAATTACACCAAAGAGCTTCCACATAGCAAAAGAAACTATCGCAATGAATAGAAAACCGTACAGAATGTGAGAAACTTTTGTGCAAACTATGCACCTGACGAGTCTAATATCCAGCATCTATGAGGAACTTACACAAAATTATAAGAATAAAACAACCCCATTAAAAAGTGGGCAAAGGACATGAACATTTTTCAAAAGAAGACATATGGCCCAGCTCAATGGCTCAAACCTATAATCCCAGCACTTTGGGAGGCCAATCCTGGTGGATCACCTGAGGTCAGGAGTTCCAGACCAGCTTGGCCAACATGGTGAAACCCCGTCTCTACTAAAAATACAAAAATTAGCCACGCGTGGTGGCTCACGCCTGTAATCCCAGCCACTCGGGAGGAAGAGGCAGGAGAATTGCTTGAACCCGAGAGAGGCGGTGGTTGCAGTGAGCCAAGATCGTGCCACTGCACTCCAGCCTGGGCAACAGAGTGAGACTATGTCTCCAAAAAAAAAAAAGACAGAAAAAAGAAACAACCCAGAGCACAGGAAAAGGGAAGACGCCTGTGTGGCTGGAACAGACGGAGTGAGCGCTCACTAGCAGGAGATAAGGTCAGAGATGTCCTGGGGAAGCAGATCAGATAGGGACAAGGTCTTCAAACAACTCTCTCCCACACCACAAAAGAAATTGGAAATGATTTATTTCCTCACCTGTTTTAAGTAAACATTTAACTTTTTTCTTTCTCGTAGAAGAGAAAGTGATCAACTGTACCACATACTACCAAAAGGAAGAGAAAGATGAGGACAGGAAGTTAAATATTGCATTTAAAAATGGGGAGGTTCTCTGGGCGCAGTGGCTCACATCTGTAATCCCAGCTCTCAGGGAGGCAGAGGCGAGAGGATAGCTAGAGCCCAGGAGTTCGAGACCCGCCTGGGCAATATAGCAAGACCCCGTTGTTCTCCACAAAAAGCAAAAAAAAAAAAAAGACAAAAAAAAGTGTAGGCCAGGTGTGGCGACTCACGCTTGTAATCCCAGCACTTTGGGAGGCCAAGGCGGGCAGATCATGAGGTCAAGAGATCGAGACCGTCCTGGCAAACATGGTGAAACCCCACCTCTACTGAAAATACAAAAATTAGTTGGGCGTGGTGCGCGTGCCTGTAGTTCCAGCTACTCAGGAGGCTGAGGCAGGAGAATTGCTTGAACCTGGGAGGCGGAGGTTGCAGTGAACCGAGATGCACCACTGCACTCCCGCCTGCGCGACAGAGCAACTCTCAAAAAACAAAAAAAAAAAAGTGTAAAAATGGGGAGGTTGGCTGGGCTCAGTGACTCACACCTGTAATCCCAGTACTTTGGGAGGCCAAAGTGGGCAAATCACAATCACCTTAGGTCAGGAGTTTGAGACCAGCCTGGCTAACATGGTGAAGCCCCGCCTCTACTAAAAATACAAAAATTAGCTGGGTGTGGTGGTGCATGCCTGTAATCCCAGCTACTCAGGAGGCTGACGCTGGAGAATTGCTTGAATCCGGGAGGCGGAGTTTGCAGTGAGCAGAGATCATGCCACTGCACTCCAGCCTGGATGACAGAGTGAGACTCCGTCTCAAAAAAAAAAAAAAAAAAGAAAGAAAGAAATGGGAAGTCACTGATGATTGAAAAAGAAGGGATCAGTTGAATGCTGGAAGTGAATGTTTGATTCAAGCAAGAATTCAAGGGTTCAAGTAAAAGTTGGAGGCAAGACTTGAAGAGAAAGTAAAAGCAAGCTTTCAGAGTATGACATTCTTTCTTTCTTTCTTTTCTTTTTTTTTTTTTTTTGAGATGGAGTTTTACTCTTGTTGCCCAGGCTGGAGTGCAATGGTGCAATCTCAGCTCACTGCAACCTCCACCTCCCAGGTTCAAGCAATTCTCCCGCCTCAGCCTCCCAATAGCTGTGATTACAGGCATGTGCCACCACGCCTGGCAAATTTTTGTATTTTTAGTAGACACAGGGTTTCACCATGTTGGCCAGTCTGGTTTCAAACTCCTGATCTCAGGTGATCCACCCGCCTTAGCCTCCCAAAGTGCTGAGATTACAGGCGTAAACCACTGTGCCTGGCCACGAGTATGACATTCTCAAAGGGGCTCAGAAGAGGGGAATTACCATAGAGGGAAATATAGTTACCACTAATTTTTGTTTTAAAGATGGTGAAGGGGGCCTGCCCCTCCACACCTGTGGGTATTTCTCGCAAGGTGGAGATGAGAGACTGAGAAAAGAAATAAGACACGGAGCCTTGGGCCCAGGGGACCGGCGCTCAGCATACGAAGGACCCGCACCGGCACTGGTCTCTGAGTTCCCTCAGTATTTATTGATCACTATCTCTACTATCTCAGCAAGGGGGATGTGGCAGGACTATAAGGTAATGGTGGGGAGAGGGTCAGCAGGAAAACATGTGAGCAAAGGACTCTGTGTCATAAATAAGTTTAAGGAAAGGTGCTGTGCCTCAATGTGCATGTAGACCAGATTTATGTTTGACTTTACACAAGCATCTCAGTGCAGTAAAGAGCAGTATTGCCCCCAGCATGTCTCACCTCCAGCCATAAGGCAGTTTTCTCCTATCTCAGCAAATAGAATGTATGATCAGGTTTTACACCGAGACATTCCATTCCCAGGGATGAGCAGGAGACAGATGCTTTCCTCTTATCTCAACTGCAAAGAGGCCGTCCTCTTTCACTAATCCTCCTCAGCACATACCCTTTACGGGTGTTGGGCTGGGGGATGGTCAGGTCTTTCCCTTCCCATGAGGCCATATCTCAGGCTATGTCAGTGGGGGGGAAACCTTGGACAATGCCCAGGCTTTCTCAGGCAGAGGTCCCTGCGGCCTTCCGCAGTGCATTGTGTCCCCGGGTACTCGAGACTGGAGAATGGTGATGACTTTTACCAAGCATACTGCCTGCAAACACATTTTAACAAAGCACATCCTGCACAGCCCTAAATCCATTAAATCTTGAGTCAACACAGCATATGTTTCTGCGAGCACAGGGTTGGAGCTAGGGTTACAGATTAACAGCATCTCAAGGCAGAAGAATTTTTCTTAGAACAGATCAAAATGGAGTTTCTTATGTTTTCCTTTTTCTACATAGACAAAGTAACAGTCTGACCTATCTTTCTTCCCCCAACAAGATGGGCGAGCAGAAGGGAAAAAATGGCTTTATTCTGTATGTGTGCATGTGTGTTTATGTGTCTTTTAAAGGAGAAGACCATCATTGGAGTATGCTGATGAAAATAATTCCCTTGAGCCTGGCGCGGTGGCTCATGCCTGTAATCCCAGCACTTTGGGAGGCCAAGGCAGGTGGATCACGAGGTCAGGAGTTCGAGACCAGGCTGACCAACATGGTGAAACTCCATCTCTACTAAAAATACAAAAATTAGCCGGGCTTGGTGGCACGTGCCTGTAATCTCAGCTACTCAGGAGGCTGGGGCAGGAGAATCGCTTGAACCCGGGAGGTGGAGGTTGCAGTGAGCTGAGATCGTGCCACTGCACTCCAGCCTGGGCAACTGAGCAAGACTCCATCTCAAAAAAAAAAAAAAAATCAGAGCTTAGTCTTCACTTGTGAAATAGATTTGTGAAGGGAGCACCTGCATCCTTGGAGAGCTCTGTGATTGATCTTCTCTGTATGCCAGATCTTACAATGGGAACCAGTCACTCAATTGAAAAACTTAAATGCAGTGGGAATAACTGGATCTTAAGGAGGTAGGGACCAACTAGCGAGACTTATGGCCCCTCAATTTCCAGACTTGAGCCAGTTTACAGACCCAGGATCCCTTGAATGAAAGGGAAGCTGGATTTCCTTAAGAAAAGATCTCACTGCACGACAATTTATACTGTCAATCTTTCTCCCATCCTTTGCCAAGGAGACCGCTGGCCTTTTACCAGGGTAAATATGCATTGAGGAAAGTGGAATGATCAGACCTTTTGGGGACTAGTGGACCCGGCTCTGAGCTAACATTGATTCCAGGGGACCCAAAACATCATTTTGGTCCTCAGTTACAGTAGGGGTTTATGGGAGATCAGATAATTAATGGAGTTTTAGCTCAGGTCTGATTTACAGTGAGTCCAGTGTGTCCCCAGACTCATCCTGTGGTCATTTCCCCGGTGCCAAAATGCATAAATGGAATAGACATACTTAGCAGCAGGCAGAATCCCCGCATTAGCTTGCTGACTAGTAGAGTGAGGGCTATTATGGTGGGAAAGGCCAAACGGAAGCCACTAGAGCTGCCTCCATCTAGAAGAATTGCAAATAAAAAACATCACAGGCCAGGTACAGTGGCTCACACCTATAATCCCATCACTTTGGGAGGTTGAGGCTGGTGGATCACGAGGTCAGGAGTTTAAGACCAGCCTGACCAATATGGTGAAACTCCGTATCTACTAAAAATATAAAAATACAGGCTGGGCGCGGTGGCTCACGCATGTAATCCCAGCACTTTGGGAGGCCAAGGTGGTCAGATCACGAGATCAGGAGTTGGAGACCAGCTCCAACAGTAAAACCCCATCTCTACTAAAAATACAAAAATTAGCTGGGCATGGTGTCATGTGCCTGTGATCCCAGCTGCTCAAAAGGCAGAGGCAGGAGAATCGCTTGAATCTGGGAGGTCAAAGTTGGAGTGAGCTGAGACGGCGCCAATGCATTCCAGCCTCGGCGACAGAGCAAGACTCCGTCTCAAAAAAAAAAAAAAAGACAAAAAAACCCCACAAAAGTTAGCTGGGCGTGGTGGCGCACACCTGTAGTCCCAACTACTTGGGAGGCTGAGGCAGGAGAATCGCTTGAACCCAGGAGGTGGAGGTTGCAGTGAGCTGAGATCGCGCTGCACTCCAGCCTGGGCGTTAAAGCAAGACTCCATCTCAAAAACGAACAAAAACAACAACATCATGTCTCTGGACTTGAAAGATCCAGGGGTGGTGATTCCCACCACATCTCCACTCAGCTCTCTTATTTGGCCTGTGCAGAAGGCAGGTGGATCTTGGAGAATGACAGTGGATTATCATAAGCTCAACCAAGTGGTGCCTCCAATGGCAGCTGCTGTACCAGATGTGGTTTCACTGCTCGAGCACATTACCACATCTCCTGGTAACTGGTATGCAGCCACTGATTTGGCTAACTGCTTTTTTTTCCTTCCATTCCTGTCCATAAGGCCCACTAGAAGGAATCTGCCTTCAGCTGGCAAGACCAGCAATATACCTTCCCTGTCCTGCCTTGGAGGAATACGGGCTCTCCAGCTTTATGTCATAATCTTGCTCACAGAGATCTTGATCAGTTCGCTTTCATAAGATATCACACTGCTCCTTTACATTGATGACGTTATGCTGAGTGGGCCCAGTGAGCAACAAGTAGCAACCACACTGAATTTATTGGTGAGACATTTGTATGCCAGGGGATGAGAAATAAATCTGGGTAAAATTCAGGATTCTTTCGCCTCAGTGAAATTTCTAGGGGTCCGGTGGTGTGGGGCCGGTCAAGATATTTTTCTTTTCTTTTTTTTTTTTTTTAAATGGAGTTTTGCTCTTGTTGCCCAGGCTGGAGTGCAATGACTCGATCTCGGCTCACTGCAACCTCTGCCTCCCAGGTTCAAGCAATTCTCCTGCCTCAGCCTCCTGAGTAGCTGGGATTACAGGCATTCGCCACCATACCCGGCTAACTTTTTGTATTTTTAGTAGAGACGGGGTTTCACCATGTTGGTCAGACTGGCCTTGAACTCCTGACTTCAGGTGATCCGCCCGCCTCGGCCTCCCAAAGTGCTGGGATTACAGGCATGAGCCACTGCGTCCGGCCAAGATCTTCCTTCTAAGGTGAACGATAAGTTGCTGCATTTGGCCCTTCCTACAACAAAGAAAGAGGCATAACGCCTAGTGGGCCTGTTTGGATTTGGAGACAACACATTTCTCATTTGGGTGTGTTACTCCAGCCCATTTATCAAGTGATCCAAAAGGCTGCCAATGTTGAGTGTGGTCCAGAACAGAAGACTCCACAACAGCTCCAAGCTGTTGTGCAAGCTGCTCTGCCACTGGGCCATATGACCCAGCAGATCCAATGGTACTTGAAGTGTCAGTGGCAGATAGGCATGCTGTTTGGAGCCTTTGTCAGGCCCCTAAAGGTGAATCATAGTGGGGCCTCTGGGATTTTGGAGCAAGGGCCTACCATCCTCTGCAGATAACTACTCACCTTTTGAAAGACAGCTCCCAGCCTGTTGCTGGGCCTTGGTAGAAACTGAATATTTGACTATGGGTCACCAAGTTACAATGAGACCTGATCTGCCTATCATGAACTGGGTATTTTCTGATTCATGGAGCCATAAAGCTGTGCATGCCCAGCAGCATTCCATCATCAAATGGAAATGGTATATATGTGATTGGGCTCAAGCAGTTCCTGAAGGCACAAGGAAGTTACATGAGAAAGTGGCTCAAATGGCCAGGCATGGTGGCTCACACCTACAATCCCAGCACTTTGGGAGGCCAAGGTGGGCGGATTGCTTGAGGTCAGGGGTTCGAGACCAGCTTGGTCAACAAGGCAAAACCCCATCTCTACTAAAAATACAAAAATTAGCCGGGTGTGGTGGTGCATGCCTGTAATCCCAGCTACTCAGGAGGCTGAGGCAGGAGAATCGCTTGAACCCGGGAGGTGGAGGTTGCAGTGAACTGAGATTGTGCCACTGCACTCCAGCCTGGGTGACAGAATGAGACTCCATCTCAAAAAAAAAAAAAAAAAAAAAAGAGAAAGTGGCTCAAATGCCTATGGTCTCTACTCCTGCCATCCTGCCTTCTCTCCCTCAGCCTGCATCAACATCCTCATGGGGAGTTCCCTATGATCAGTTAACAGAGCAAAAGAAGACTAGGGCCCAGTTTACAGATGGTTCTGCATGATATGCAGTTACCACCTGAAAGTAGACAGCTGCAGCACCTTCTAGGACATCCCTGAAGAATAGTGGTGAAGGGAAATCTTCCCAGTGGGCAGAACTTTGAGCAGCACAGCTGGTTGTGCACTTCGGTTTGAAGGAGAAATGGCCAGATGTGTGATTCTATACTGACTCATGAGTTGTAGCTAATGGTTTGGCTGGATGGTCAGGGACTTGGAAGAAGCATGATTGGAAAATTGGTGGCAGAAAAATCTGGAGAACTTCCATCCAAATGTTGATGGACCCGAGTGGTCAAAAACAGTGAAGATATTTGTGTCCCACATGAATGTTCACCAAAGGATGACCTCAGCAGAGGAGGATTTTAATAATGAAATGGATAGGATAACTCATTCTGTGGATACCACTCAGCCTCTTTCCCCAGCCACTCCTGTCATCACCCAATGGGCTCATGAACAAAGTGGCCATGGTAGCAGGGATGGAGGTTACACATGGGCTCAGCAATATGGACTTCCATTCACCAAGGCTGACCTGGCTATGGCCACCGCTGAGTGCCCAATTTGCCAGGAGCAGAGACCAACACTGAGCCCTCAATATGGCACCATTCCTTGGGAGTGATCAGCCAGGTACTTGGTGGCAGGTCTTCCATCATGGAAAGGGCAGCAGTTTGTCCTTGCTGGAATAGACACTTAGGCCAGATATGGATTTGCCTTTCCTGTGATTCTCCCACCTCGGTCTCCCAAGTAGTAGCTGAGATTATAGGCGTGCATTACCACGCCCAGCTAATTTTTGTTTTTTCTCTGTTTTTTTGAGACGGATTCTCGCTCTGTCACCCAGGCTGGAGTGCAGTGGTGTGATCTCAGCTCACTGCAAGCTCCACCTCCTGGGATGACACCATTCTCCTGCCTCAGCCTCCCGAGTAGCTGGGACTACAGGTGCCCACCACCACGCCTGGCTAATTTTTTGTATTTTTAGTAGAGATGGGGTTTCACCGTGTTAGCCAGATGGTCTCGATCTCCTGATCTTGTGATCTGCCCGCCTCGGCCTCCCAAAGTGCTGAATTTTTGTATTTTCAGTAGAGATGGGGTTTCACCATGTTGGCAAGGCTGATCTTGAACTCCTGACCCCAGGTGATCCGCCCGCCTCGGCCTTCCAAAGTGCTGGGATTACAGGTGTGAGCCACAGCGCCCAGCTGACTGCTGAACTTTTTTTTTTTTTTTTTTGAAATGGAGTTCACCTTTGTTGCCCAGGTTGGAGTGCAGTGGCACGATCTCGGCTCACCACAACCTCTGCCTCCCAGGTTCAAGTGATTCTCCTGCCTCAGCCTCCCAAGTAGCTGGGATTACAGGCATGCACCACCACACCTGGCTAATTTTGTATTTTTAGTAGAGAAGGGGTTTCTCCATGTTGGTCAGGCTGGTCTCGAACTCCCGACCTCAGGTGATCTGCTCACTTTGGCCTCCCAAAGTGCTGGGAATAATGAGCCACCAAGCCCAGCCCCAAGAAAAAAAGTTTTTTTTTTCAAAGCTGAAGCCTGGAAGAACATATAGGTGACTAAAAATTAGACAAAAAGAAAAAAAAAAAAACAGAAAAAAAGTCAATGTAGTACACCGCACTGACAAAGTGAAGGACAAAAATCACGTGATCAGCTCAATTGATGCATAAAAAGTATTTGAGAAAATCCAATACTGTTCATGATTTTAAAAAACCATTTAAACTAGAAAGAGAAGAAAATACCAGAACATGAGATTTAGCTGTGATTTCTTGGATACAATATGAAAAGCACTGGCAGAAAAGCAAAAACAGATGAAAGGAACTACATCTAAATGAAAAACTTCTGTGCATCAAAAGAGAATGCTCCAGCAAGGATGTAGAAGAGCGAGCTCCTGTTTCCCAACACAAAAGTAAAATCTCAAAACTTGCAGGTTAAAATATCACAATAAAACATTCACTGAAAAACATGTTTTAAATCTCATATCGATGTATAAATACGTTACTATAAATCTTGTGCTGACTCTTGCCATGAACTGAGAATGGTGGTTCTCCACTGAGCACGAGGAAGGAAGCGGAACAGAAAAGACGATGTGTTACATCTTAGTGCCTAAGCTATAAGTTTGGAGTTTTACTATAAAACATTCACCATGTGATGTTCAAAATAAAATAGAATATTTAATAATTATTGGGTTAAAAAAATGGTTCAATTCTCTCCAATGGCAAAGAAGCTGTGATTCACTGTATGAGCACAGTGATAACCATTCTCACCTAAAACACAGTTCACAGGGGTTCCTCCAGGAATACAACATCTCTGTTCTGGTCTGTCTGAAAATAGTTTAATGTATCTCCTGCTGTTTGACATTTATGTTGACTTCATATATTAAAATGTGAGGAATGAAAAAATCCTATCACTGATGTTTCCATCTAAACTTTCCATTCCATTCCCAGTCATTAAGAGTTTGAACTCAGAAACACAGTGACTCACTTGTTCAGTTCCAAATATAATAAAAACGAGGCAGGAAAGATTTCCCCATAGTGTTCTCATTTTAAAGCATTCAACAGGAACTTGTGCATATTAATACCTGACGTCATGGGCAACTTCTTGAATCCTGGTCTACAAAGAGGTGGCATACATCCAAATGTGGCTCCTAAACAATCCCTGCTCCCCAGAAGCACTGAAACCACAAGGCCCACACCCCATCTCCAATCCATGTCTGGGTGTCAGCCCTTCCAAGGACCATGCCCAGCAGAGCCTCTTCAGAAGTTCATGTCACTAGGTCATGCAGGATGGAATCTAAGTGAGATGAGAGGGACTGAGGGAAGGCATGCGTGAGTGAGCAAACATGTCAGGCAGGATGTTTCAAAGATTTGCAATGACATTTTGTTACAGTAGGTAGCTTACCTGGTATGAGAAGGAGAGGGCTCCCCCTCCCCATTCACACACATCAGGAATGAGCCAGGCAACCATCAGGTGATGGTCAGGTGGTTGTTAACTGTCTCTCTAAAATAATAATTAGTCACAGCCGGCACCAGGGAAAGGCATAGATAGAAAACACCTGAAACTGGTGATCAGCCTCTTCCCATGAGATCTCAGGAGTTGGGCGAGTGGACTAAAGCATGTGCATGTGGACAGCCCACCCCAAGGCAAGAACAGCCCACCCCAAGGAAGCAAGACCCCGGAAGTATGCCAACGTATAAAACCCTAAGTCAAAAGGTCAAACTGCACACTTGCCTTTCAAGTCGATCACTTGGCCCTCTTCCAAGTGTACTTTCCTTCCTTTCAGTTCTGCTCTAAAGCTTTTTCTTTTTTTTTGAGTCAAAGTCTCACTTTGTCGCCCAGGCTGGAGTGCAGTGGTGTGATCTCGGCTCACCACAACCTCCACCTCCAGGGTTCAAGTGATTCTCCTGCCTCAGCCTCCCGAGTAGCTGGGACTACAGGCGTGCACCAGTAGGCTCGGCTAATTTTTGTATTTTTAGTAGAGACGGGGTTTCCCCATCTTAGCCAGGCTGGTATTGAGCTCCTGACCTCAGGTGATCCGCCTGCCCCGGCCTCCGAAAGTGCTGAGATTACAGGCATGAGCCACCACACCCAGAAAAAAATTTAAAATTTAATATGTGTTATATTATAAACAGAGAAATCAATATGTCACAATTTAATCAACTCATCCAATCAACACCCCCAACCTTGTTCATTATTCTGTGTTTCCCTCCCTTATTCCGTACATATCTCTCATTCTCATCTTCTCTAACTCTTGGGTTCTTTTCTGTTTCCCCCTGGGTTTCTGCTCCTCATTTTGAGCCTCTCTCCTCTCTTGCTGTTTCTCCGCTTCTTCCTGCTATTCCATCTTTTCCACCTGTTCTGCTCCAGTCTTACAACTTGTTTCACCTCCTGTCCCTCTTTCTCCCCAATCACTGGATTGTCCCCAGTGTCCATACATTTCTGCCTCTGTCTTTCCCCATCTCTGCTTCCCCTGTTAAATTCCCTCTTCCCTGTTTACACCCCCTTGTCCTCAGTCTCTAGCACCCTCAGATCCCTAGGCTTACACTGAGGTCTATGATCCATTCTGAGTTAATTTATGCACAAAACGTGAGGTTTTTGTCTGGATTTTTTTCTTTTTTGCATTTGGATGTCCAGTTGTTCCAGCACCAAAACTCAAACAGAAACACACAATCTGAACAGGCCTATAGCTTTTAATGAATTTGAACCAATAATCCCTGAGCACCCTGCTGTGGTTCTTCTTCTGCTCTCCTTGTCACCAGTTGCCCCTTCTTGCTGTCCCAGCACCACGCTGCTGCCTGCCGTGGCTCCAAATCCCTCCTCCTCTCCCTCACTCTCTGTCTGAGGAGCCTCCCCTCTGCTGCCCCTCTCCCTACCTTGCTGTCCTTCACCTTTCTGGACATGGAGCTTTTCTCTACATTTCTCCAGTTGTTTCCCCATCCTGTTACTTTCTCAGCTTCTTCTTTGACTCTTCCTGTCTCTTCGCGAATCCCCCACGCATCCTCCATTTTGCCATCTGTTTATGGGTTTCCCTCATTCTCTGTCTCAGTTTGTCTACTTCTCTCGCAGTCCCTGTTTCCAGATCCCCTTGGCCCACACATTCACAGGAGGGTTTAGGGTAAGACACCTGCATCCCGCAGGAGCACATTTTTCCAGGGGGTGGAGCTGGGAAGGCAAGAACACCAGGTGTCACAGGACAGGCCCTGGGCACCTCCCTAACGCGGGCTCAGGGGAAGCGGGGACTGCAAACGAGAGGCCTGGGGAGCAGCAGGGCCCAGCAAGAGTTGGAGGGAGGTGGGGGCGAAGGCGCCTTAGGATAGGGGTGGGGTCTGCAGGATCCCGCCAGGCAGAGGACGCAGCCTCCCTGGGACTGGGGCTGCGGGGCCGACGAGGGCGAGGCTGGGAGGCGCCCAGGACGCGACTCCACCTCGCGGGTGAGGACTTGAAAAAGTGCGGGGCAGGATGAGGGGTCAGTACAGGGTTTCGAACGGAAAAATTTAAGGAAAGAACATGTCTACATGACCTGAAGGCAGAAACACCGGCGACGGAACCAGCCTCAGAATGATTTTACCCCAAATCACTGAAACGACCCCAAGAGTCTCATAGCGATGTGTGACTTACTAGCAGTGAGGGGAGCGGTATGAGAATTTTCAGGCGTGTACGAACCTCCAAATCCGGGGTATGGAGGTGAGAGGACTGCGAAGCCCAAGTTTAATCTTAATAATAGACAGAGGGAAATCCACGCGCCGCCATACCAGGTTCACTCCGCGCGATCTGTTTCCGGGTCTGCAGGAAACTAAGCGCAGAGCGGAATCCTGGGCGGGTCCCGCGAGCGACGGCGTCGGGAGGGAAGAAGGAAGGGGGCGGGGCCTCCGCGGAGTGGGGGGGCCTATGCTTTCCTCTTCTGGCTCCCATGGCATCTCTATTTTTCGGGTTTAGGAGGCAACATTTACCAGTGAGGCTGAAGCAACT
Source organism: Homo sapiens (assembly GCF_000001405.40). Taxonomy (NCBI): domain Eukaryota; kingdom Metazoa; phylum Chordata; class Mammalia; order Primates; family Hominidae; genus Homo; species Homo sapiens. Next base: position 53,038,076 of record NC_000019.10, read on the forward strand.
CAGCAGGATCTCCCTGGGGCAGGGCAAACCGTTGGTGATTGGATCCAGGAAAATTCCTGCTATTGAAAAAGTTTAGCAACTTAATTTAAAAGCCCCAGAATTGTCTGTGAAGGGGATGCAAACTGGAACGTGAAAGGCAAACTCTGCATGGGGGGATGGATCAATCCCATGCTGATGTCCCACAAAACAAAATAGAAATCCTTTTATTTTTTATTTATTTATTTTTTTGAGACTGAGTCTTGCTCTGTCACCCAGGCTGGAGTGCAGTGGTGCGATCTCGGCTCACTGCAAGCTCTGCCTCCTGGGTTCACGCCATTTTCCTGCCTCAGCCTCCCAAGTAGCTGGAACTACAGGCGCCCGCCACCACACCCGGCTAATGTTTTGTATTTTTAGTAGAGATGGGGTTTCACCGTGTTAGACAGGATGGTCTCGATCTCCTGACCTCGTGATCTGCCTGCCTCAGCCTCCCAAAGTGCTGGGATTACAGGCGTGATCCACCGCACCTGGCCCTAGAAATCCTTTTATTTTCTAATCTCCATTTACTCCAGAGAGTCAACCTTGTACTTGTTTCCAAAGACTGACTTTGTTTTTTTTTTTTTTTTGGAAACGTAGTTTCAAATCTGTCAGCCTTGGCTTCCCAAAGTGCTGGGATTACAGGCGTGAGCCACTGGGCCTGGCCTCCAGAGACTTTCATAGACGCAACACCTGGGGTGTTAAGCATGGAAAGCTAGGTCTGTCATCACCCTGGATTCATCTTGTCTCTGCCCAGAAGAGACAGTGCACTGAAAACAGGAGAGTTTTGCAGCAAAGAGTTTAATTATCGCAGGGCTAGCCAAGTGGAACAAGTTGGGAGAGGGGGAAGTTAGTTCTCAAATCTGTCGCCCGAAAAGTTGGGAGACTAGGGTTTTGAGGATAATTCGGAGAGCAAGGGGCTAGGGAATTGGTGTGGCTCATTAGTTGTGGAGAAAATCATAAGAGGGTTCAAAACAGGCCTCCTGGAGCTGAGTCAGTTTCTGGGTGACGGTCACAGGACCGGGCAGTGCCAGTTCTCTGGTACCAGTGAAGAAGACGTCCAGGTGGCCTGAATGACTCTGCCCAATTGTAAAAGTCTGAAAAATACCTCAAAGACCAATCTTAGGTTTTCACAATAGTAGTGTTATCTACAGGAGCAACTGAGAAATTACAAATCACTGGTTATTGTTTCTGTCTACATTTTAGCAGAATTCAGTTACCTCCCATAATCCTAACATTTAGCCTTTCATTAGTCTTAGAAAGTTGGTTTCAGTCACCTGAGAGGGTCACTTTGGGAGGGACTAGTATCATCCTTTCTTCAAAGTCATAACTATAAACTGAATTCCACCCATAGTTAGCTGGGCCAATGCCCAGTAATGAGCAAACACAGCTTGTGAGGTTAGAAGCAACAATTAGGTTAGATTTCTCTCACTATCATGATTTTTGCAAAGGTGGTTTCAGGTTCAGTGATGTTAGATCACCGATTTTTGCTTTAAATAATAAGCAATGGCCGGGTGCAGTGGCTCATGCCTGTAATCCCAGCACTTTGGGAGGCTGAGGCAGGTGGGTCACCTGAAGTCAGGAGTTCAAGACCAGCCTGGCCAACATGGCAAAACCCTGTCTCTACTAAAAATACAAAAAGTAGCCGGGTGTGGTGGTGCATGCCTGTAATCTCAGCTACTTGGGAGGCTGAGGCAGAAGAATCACTTGAACCTGGGAGGCGGAGGTTGCAGTGAGCCAAGGTTGTGACATTGTACTCCAGCCTTGGCGACAAGATCGAAACTTCCTTGAAGAAAAACAAAACAAAACAAAAACCTAAAACATCTGATGGGAGAAAGAACGCACAAATAATAACACAAAACCCCCAAACAATATGATTACTGAGTGCTCTAATGGTAAGGAGAAATTTAAACCAGCTGGTTATTAATCTTAACTTTAGCCAAGACAGAACCCCAAATTCACCTACATACCTAGGAATGGGTATACCATCCTAGGAGGAGGAAAAAAACTGAAATTCACCTTCCCAATTGGAAGCGAGCTTAAACTTTAGAAAGGAGTTACCTGCCTTCTACTGTCATGGAAGCAGGAAAACGTGCCTTCCTTATTGGAAGCAAGTAAAACTCCAGAAAAAGATGTACAGCAAAATAAAGTTAAGATCTCAACCAAATTTTGATAGATCAGGGATTCTCTAGAGAGGGAGCTCCCAGGCCTCAGCCAATTGTCCTACTGGTTTGAGCCATAAGGATAGCTCAATCTGGTACCAAGCACCAATAGGAGATCGTCAAAGGTCAGGGCCCACTCTACTCAGAGTTACTTCCTTGGGTCACCAATTTGTCAACGAAGAGTACCTGAGACAGGTCTCAATCAATTTAGAAAGTTTATATTGCCAAGGTTAACAACATGCCTGTGACACAGCCTCAGGAAATCCTGATGACATGTGCCCAAGGTAGTCTAAGTACAGTTTGGTTTTACACATTTTAGGGAGACATGAGACATTAATCAATATATGAAAGATGTGGGCCAGGCGCAGTGGCTCATGCCTGTGATCCCAACAATTTGGAGGCCAAGGTGGGCGGATCACAACGTCAGGAGTTGGAGACCAGCCTGGCCAACATGGTGAAAGCCTGTCTGTACTAAAAATACAAAAATTAGCCTGGTGTGGTGGCACGTGTCTGTAATCTCAGCTACTCGGGAGGCTGAGGCAGGAGAATTGCTTGAACCTGAGAGGTGGAGGTTGCAGTGAGCTGAGATAGGGCCATTGCACTCCAGCCTGGGCGACAGAGTGAGACTCTGTCTCAAATTTAAAAAATAAAATAAAATAGAAATATATGAAAGATGTCCATCGACTTGGTCTGGAAAGTCACACAACTCAATCAGGGAGGAAGCTTCTAGGTCATAGGTAGATAACAGACAAACTGTTGCATTCTTTTGGAGTTTCAGATTAGGCTTTCACTGAATTCGTGATTTACAGGAATAGTCACTTATGCCTTAGTCTGGCTTAGTGAAACAATAGGACAAAGGAAAAAATCAGATACGCATTTGTCTCATGTGAGCAGAGGGATGACACTGAGTTCTGTCTGTCCTTTGTCCACAAGGAATTTCCTTGTAGGTAAATTTTGAGGAAGGTATGTAGCTTTTAAAAATCTTTGTAGCTATCTTATTTAGGAATAAGGAATAAAATGGGAGGCATATTTGCCTGACAGAGTTCCCAGCTTGACTTTTCCCTTGGCTAAGTGATTTTGGGGTCTGAGATTTATTTTCCTATTACACCTCCTTGTAATATCATTATAAGAGAAATGCAAATTAATATGGATTTTTTTCAAATAAGTTAAAGTAGGAACTACTTTGTGTGTGTGTGTGTATGTGTGTGTGACAGAATCTCATTCTGTCACCCAGACTGGAGTGCAATGGCATGATCATTGCTCATTGCAGCCTCAGGTGATCCTCCCACCTCAGCCTCCTGGTAGCTGAGACTACAGGCATGTACCATCATGCCTGGCTAATTTTTGTATTGCTTGTAAAGACAGGATTTTGCCATGTTGCCCAGGCCAGTCGCAAACTCCTGGTCTCAAGTGATCCTCCCACCTCAGCCTGCCAAAATGCCAGGATTACAGGCATGAACCACTTAGCCCATCCAGGAAGTACTTTCATCTCTTGAGTATATATTATAGCCTGTGTCACACACAAAAAAGAGAATGTACATATTCTAACACAGATGGAACAATGAAAATGTTTACTACTGTCAAAGAACAAATTTGGACATTGGTTAGAAGAGATTCTATTCAAAAAGTATATTGTGGTAGGGAGAATGCTCCAACCACAAGATCTGCAAATGTTTGAGTCACAAGAAATGGGCTTTTCTTTTCTCTAAAGAAGGAAGCAAGGCTAGAAAGCACCAGGTACAGGGCAGGGGATGAGCATCTGCTGTGACCTATTCAGGGAATTTTTTTTTTTTTTTTTTTTTTGAGACAGAATCTCATTCTGTTGCCCAGGCTGGAGTGCAGTGGTGCAATCTCGGCTCACTGCAAGCTCCGCCTCCTGGGTTCACGCCATCCTCCTGCCTCAGCCTCCCGAGTAGCTGGGACTACAGGCGCATGCCACCACGCCCAGCTAATTTTTTGTATTTGTAGTAGAGACAGGGTTTCACCGTGTTAGCCAGGATGGTTTCGATCTCCTGACCTCGTGATCTGCCCGCCTCAGCCTCCCAAAGTGCTGGGATTACAGGCGTGAGCCACCACGCCCGGCCCAAACAAAGATTTTAAAAAATAATAAATACATGTGTTCTACTTGAAAAACAGAACTAAAAGTAATAAGAACAATAGCAAACTTTGCTCCTTACCTCAGTTTTTGAATGACATTGAAGGGTCCTCAATGTGCATTTCGGCTGTGTGGTATTCATTTCGATCACATGCAAGACACTGATCAGTTCTTGTTGGAAGATATGGCTCTACATTTCTAACTTCAAGGGTCTCTGTAACTGTCGAATTAAGCAGAAAGCTAGGGTCATATTAAGAAAAATAGTGTTCCCTTATACATTTTTCTGCTGATCATGGGAAAACATATTCTCACAGCTTCATGAATTATTTGGTCACAATTTGACAATAAAAACACTAATTTATATGTCAGATCCATGTCACATTCTCATATTAATCTAAATTTTCTTTTTTTTTTTTTTGAGACAGAGTCTTGCTGCATTGCCCAGGCTGGAGTGCAGTGGCGCGATCTCGGCTCACTGCAAGCTCCGCCTCCCAGGTTCACGCCATTCTCCTGCCTCAGCCTCCCGAGTAGCTGGGACTACAGGCGCCTGCCACCTCGCCCGGCTAATTTTTTGTATATTTAGTAGAGACAGGGTTTCACCGTGTTAGCCAGGATGGTCTCGATCTCCTGACCTCGTGATCCACCCACATTGGCCTCCCAAAGTGCTGGGATTACAGGCATGCGCCCGACCTCAATCTAAATTTTCTTGACATCCTTTTTGGTACCAGCTGAGCCCTGACAAAGGAAGGTAATTCAGAGACATTTTCTCTTGTGATCAGAGAAATAACCTAATGAGAATAAACTTATGTTGATTGGGTTTTTTTGTTTTTTGTTTGTTTTTGAGACAGGGTCTCACTCTGTCCCCTAGGCTGGAGTGCAGTGGCATGATCACAGCTCACTGTACCCTCCACCTCCTGGGCTCAAGCCATCCTCCCAGCTCAGCCTCCTCAATAGCTGGGACTAGAGGGTCACGACACTATGCCCAGCTAATTTTTTTGTATTTTTTGTAGACATAGGGTTTTGTCACGTTGCCCAGGCTGGTCCCAAACTTCTGAACTCAAGTGATCCGCCTGTGTCAGCCTCCCAGTGTGTTGGGATTACAGGTGTGCACCACCATGCCCAGCTGAAAATAAAATTAAGGTGAAGAAAGTTGTTCTCTGTGATCTCAGGGGAAAACCTTCAGGTAAATTTGCATTCAGATTGAATAGAAGAAACATACAAATGTGGATGAACTAGATACTACTTTAAAAGTCTTTCTAGCGCCAGGCTCAGTGGCTCATGCCTGTAATCCCATCACTTTAGGAGGCTGAGGCAGGCAGATCATGAGGTCAGGAGATCAAGGCCATCCTGGCCAAAGTGGTGAAACCCCATCTCTACTAAAAATACAAAAACTAGCTGGGCGTGGTGGCATGTGGCTATAATCCCAGCTACTCGGGAGGGTGAGGCAGGAGAATCGCTTGAACCAGGGAGCTGGAGGTTGCAGTGAGCCGAGATCACGCCACTGCACTCCAGCCTGGGTGACAGAGTGAGACACCTTTACAAAAAATAAATAAATAAAGTATTTCTGTCCACAAACCAGCTTGGAGTAGGTAGGTAGCCAGGCATGAGCAGTTAAAGGAGCCCCTGGGAAAGGAATCTTAAGAAACACAGCCCACTGACAATCCCCTTTTGACAGCAAAAGCAGGACAGTGGCTACATTGCCTACACCTGTCCTTGTGGCTGGACTTGTCTGGCCCAGGAAGGGAGTTATCTGGCCCTAGCCAGAAATAACCCAGCTAGGGGATTTTCCCTATTAAGGAGCGTGCACACTCCTCTAATAATTCATCCTAGAATGGCCTTTTGCTCATTATAATACTAAGAAACACATCCCCTTTTTTCAAATATGATTTTAGAAAAAAATAAATAAGGGCTGGGTGCGGTGGCTCATGCCTGTAATCCCAGCACTTTGGGAGGCCGAGGCAGGTGGATCACGAGGTCAGGAGATCCAGACCATCCTGGCTAACACGGTGAAATCCCGTCTCTACTAAAAATACAAAAAAAAAATTAGCTGGGCGTGGTGGCAGGCACCTGTGGTCCCAGCTACTCAGGAGGCTGAGGCAGGAGAATGGCGTGAACCCGGGAGGCGGAGCTTGCAGTGAGCCGAGATAGCGCCACCGCACTCCAGCCTGGGCGACAGAGTGAGACTCCGTCTCAAAAAAAAAAAAAAAAAAGCCACACCCCTGGGTGGAGATTTGAGATGCTAAGGAGATATGTGATGTGTGCATGGACAGTCACAGCACATTCCTGCCCAAATGACTTCCCAGAACATGCTTACTAATAATGGCTGTGCACGGCCCCTTCATGAATAATCATGTCAGGTTCTCATTAAAAGGGTCAGGCCAGCATAAGTAAGGACAGACTCCTTCTTTTCAGGAGCCCACTCGGTTCTGTCGTTCAGGGTGTCGCTTCTTTCTGAGCTCCTGTCTCTTTAAATGAAGGGCATTTACCCTTTAACTCTTTCTGCGCATCTCTTGACTGAATCCAAGAAGACCAAGAACCAGAGGACTTCCACACCCCTCTGGGTAACATCTGGTGTTTTCACCTGGTTACCTGGTTACCTCGCCTGGTTATCCAGGTAAGTACCAAAAAGCTGGTGCCAGATTCTCTGGTTGACGACCTCTGCTTCTTTCTGCACTGAAGAACCTCCTGCCCTAATGCAGATCTGGCAGCTTTAAGGGGAGGGGTTTTTCCTCTCAGGCTCTGTTCACTAACGACTGCCCAGTACCATTTCCCTTCAGCCACTGTCACTCTGCTCCCTCTGGCTGATTTCTCAGCTCACCCTGAGGGGTGATAAGCAGAGGAGGGAGGATTTAAACTCCACAGTGAGTAGATCTGAGACACATGGTGACCCTTCTTGCAGGAGGCTTGTGAAGGTGGCAGGGAATACGCCTGGCTGTGCAGTGACTGGGGAGCTTCATATTTTTTTTTGTGGGGGGGAGGACAGAGTCTCACTCTGTCGCCCAGGCTGGAGCGCAGTGGTGTGATCTCGGCTCACTGCAACCTCCACCTCCCGGGTTCAAGCGATTCTTCTGCCTCAGCCTCCCGAGTAGCAGGGACTACAGGCGTGTGCCACCATGCCCGGCTAATTTTTGTATTTTTAGTAGAGACAGAGTTTCACCATATTGGCCAGGCTGGTCTCGAACTCCTGACCTCGTGATCCGCCCACCTCGGCCTCCCAAACTGCTGGGATTACGGGCGTGAGCCACTGCGACCGGCGCATATCTTTTAATTAAAACTACAATCCGGTGTTAAGTCAGCTCTTATACTTGCCATTCATGGCCGTTCACTCCCCTGAACACCATATGCCCCCACCGTTGATTAATCTCCCAGGTCACTCTGCTTACTCTTTGCTGTCCCTCTCCTCGCCGCAGGGATTTCATGAATTCTTCCTGCGGGTGCAAGCCTCTTGCAGGGCCTGTTTATCCAGGACCTGCTGCGTTTGCTTCACTCAGGCGCCAGAGTCCTTTGAGGGCCTATGCTGATGTTTATACTTTTTTCCTCAGAAATGAGACTCAGCTTTGTCCTTTCCCTTGCCTCCTGTTTCACTGGAGGGACCGGCACTGGGAGGATGCCTGCTTAAAGAAATCCCTCATTTTGGCCGGGCACGGTGGCTCATGCCTGTAATCTCAGCACTCTGAGAGGTTGAGGGGGGTGGATCACCTGAGGGCAGGAGTTCAAGACCAGCCTGGCCAACATGGTGAAACCCCATCTCTACTAAATATACAAAAATTAGCCGGGCGTGGTGGCACACGCTTGTAATCCCAGCTACTTGGGAGGCTGAGGCAGGAGAATCGCTTGAACCCGGGAGCTGGCCATTGCAGTGGGCCGAGATCGCACCATTGCACTCCAGCCTGGGCAACAAGAGCGAAACTCTGTCTGAAAAAAAAAAAGAAAGAAAGAAATCCCTCACTTATTATTGGGTCCTTCTCCGCCTGCCTACTCTTCAAGAATGCCTCATTCTGTGACTCCTCAATGGAACTGCCTGGCTCTTCCAGAGGGTCACCTGTGACCACTTCCTTACTCCCTAGTTTCTCTGTACAACCAGGGTTTCCAATGGGCCACAGGAGACTGCTTTCTCCACCTCATTAGGCCATTGTAACAGACCCGTGAAGTACTCAGGTCCTTTTTGCTTTTTGTTGAATAAGCTGATAGAAAATGCTTCTCACATTCCCCTTGCTGTTTATGTGATCATATAATGGACTAAAAAACCAGAATCAACAGCCCAGTTCACTAACTCTGAGCCCCAGGGGGTCTTCTATGCTTTTCAAGCATTTTTTTCTGTATAAACCCCAAGGAACCTTTTAAGAGTGGGGGAAGATATCACATCTTTTCCGTTCCTGTAATCATTAGTATTAGCCCAATATCATTATGTATTAAGAAGACCTAGGCTGGGCGCATTGGCTCACGTTTGTAATCCCAGCACTTTCGGAGGCCAAGGCGGGCGTGTCACCCGAGGTTGTGAGTTCGAGACCAGCCTGATCAACATGGAGAAACCCCGTATCGGCTGGGCACGGTGGCTGATGCCTATAATCCCAGCACTTTGGGAGGCTGAGGCGGGCAGATCACGAGGTCGGGAGTTTGAGACCAGCCTGGCCAATATGGTGGAACCCTGTCTCTACTAAAAAATTAGCCGGGCCTGGTGGCATGGATCTGTTATCCCAGCTATTCAGGCGGCTGAGGCAGAAGAATCTCTTGAACCCTGGACACAGAGGTTGCAGTGAGCTGAGATCGTGCCACTGCACTCCAGCCTGGGTGACAAAGTGAGACTCCATGTCAAAAAAAAAAAGAAACCCCGTCTCTACTAAAAATACAAAAATAGCTGGGCATGGTGGTGGACACCAGTAATCCCAGCTACTCAGGAGGCTGAGGCAGAAGAATCGCTTGAACCCAGGAGGCGGAGGTTACCGTGAGCCAAGATAGCGCCACTGCACTCCAGCCTGGGCAACAAGAGAGAAACTGTCTCAAAAAAAAGGACTTTAGAAGTCCCTTCTCTGCAGAATTCAGCAGGGGCACAACTACTGGGCTTCCTGCAGAACCAAGGTCACTGGGAACATGAGAGAAGAGAAGAGAACTACTCTCATGGCAGACATTCTTCCACCCGTCCTTACCCAACACGGAAGAGTGGAAGGCATCACTGCTGGGCATCAATCCCAGGAAATCTAAGAAATCCTTCTGAGCAAAACAATAGGAAGAAATGCAAACAGCAGAGCACACAGTAGGGCTAATTCCAGAGCTCCAAGGTGAAGGACACTTCACCCTTGCAGGGAGAGGCATGAGACACCTCATTTAGGTCAAGGATTGGAATGCCTGACCTTCATGAGTCACCAAATAGGTAAAGGGACACTTCCTCTATCCTGCATTCTCTCTTGTCTTGTCTTTCAGATGGGTAATCAGATCTTTATATCCCAGGATTCCCCTCCTGGATCCCCTTGGAATCTGGGAAAAGGTTGATCCCCAGATTGTAAAACAAGAGACTGATTTTCCTTTGCAATATAGTTTGGTCAAAGGTGGGGAGCTTAAATGTTAATACCATATTCCAGCTTGACCTTTACTGCCAACACCAACACAAATGGTCAGAAGTCCCTTATGTGAAAATCTTCATGATCTCGTGGGAAAACCCTGATTTTTGTAAAGGCTGCAAAACGGGCTCAAAAGAAAAAGAAAAGGAAAGGAAACAGCCAAGGGCGGTGGCTCACGCCTGTAATCCTAGCACTTTGGGAGGCCAAGGTGGGCTGATCACCTGTCAGGTAACCAGGTGGCCAGGTGACCAGGCTGGTCAGGAGTTTGAGACCAGCCTGGCCAACATGGTGAAACCCCATCTCTACTAAAAATACAAAAAAATTAGCCGGGCATGGTGGCGGTCACCTGTAATCTCAGCTACTCGAGAGGCTGAGGCAGGAGAATCACTTGAACCCCAGGAGGCGGAGGTTGCAGTGAGCTGAGATCGCACCATTGCACTCCAGCCTGGGAGACAAGAGCAATACTACATCTCAAAAAAACAAACAAAAAAAAGGCCAGCCACAGTGGCTCATGCCTGTAATCCCAGTACTTTGAGAGGCTGAAGCAGGTAGATCATCTGAGGTCAGGAGTTCAAGACCAGCCTGACCAATGTGGAGAAACCTTGTCTACTAAAAATACAAAATTAGCTGGGCATGCTGGTACATGCCTGTAATCCCAGCTACTCGGGAGGCTTAGGCAGGTGAATCACTTGAACCTGGGAGGCGGAGGTTGCGGTGAGCCGAGATCCCGCCATTGCACTCCAGCCTGGGCGACAAGAGCAAAATTCCATCTCAAAAAAAAAAAAAAAAAAAAAAATACAAGCCATTCAGGAGTTTGGACAAAAGGTACTGCCTGCTCTTGACCCTTTCAGGAATCAACACCCATTATACCAACCAGGGTCAAAAAACCTGGAGAGATGGGTCATCTGGGTCTCAACTCCCTTATGGAAAGACCCCTTTACTGTCTTACTTTCCACCCCAACAGCTATCAACATTTCTGGCATCTCCAGTTGGATACATCAGTCTCAAGTGAAACTGTGGGAAGGTCCCGAAGAACCACAGAAGAACAACAGAATTCAGCACCTGAGCATTCTTGTGAGCCACTGGAGAACTTAAAATTCCACTTCAAGTGAAAAGATAAGTAAAGCCTTCTCTCTGTTCACCCAAAACTAAAGTCAATCTCAGTACGGGGAATCTTGGTTGCGGTGGCATTGGTTCTTCTCCTTATTTTGACCCAACTGGCATGCCACCTGAAGTCCCGATAACAGCCTGATTTCTCACTAAACACTCCATCGAACCACTTCATTATTTGTCTCTCCTATTTTCAGCACTTTCCTTTTGCTTTCACAAAGCTTAAGGGAGAATCAGCTATGACAGAGAAATTCCTTTTCCTTTATCTTTCCCTCCTTCCCATGCCCCTACTCTCACAGGCACAGTGGAATGAAAATTCCCTTGTCAGTTTTTCCAAAATAATTGCTTCGGGAAACCATCTAAGCAACTGTTGGATCTGCCACAACTTCATCACCAGGTCCTCATCTTACCAATATATTTTGGTAAGAAATTTTTCTTTAAACCTAACATTTGGTTCAGGAATCCCTGAAGGCCAACATAAATCTGTTCCGCTCCAGGTTTCGCTTGCTAACTCAGCGCACCAAGTCCCCTGCCTGGATCTCACTCCACCTTTCAATCAAAGCTCTAAAACTTCTTTCTATTTCTACAACTGCTCTTCTCTAAACCAAACCTGTTGTCCATGCCCTGAAGGACACTGTGACAGGAAGAACACCTCTGAGGAGGGATTCCCCAGTCCCACCATCCATCCCATGAGCTTCTCCCCAGCAGGCTGCCACCCTAACTTGACTCACTGGTGTCCAGCTAAACAAATGAACGATTATCGAGACAAGTCACCCCAAAACCGCTGTGCAGCTTGGGAAGGAAAAGAGCTAATCACATGGAGGGTTCTATATTCGCTTCCCAAGGCACACACTGTCCCCACATGGCCAAAATCTACTGTTCCCCTGGGAGGGCCTCTATCCCCTGCATGCAATCAAACTATTCCAGCAGGGTGGAAATCGCAGTTACACAAGTGGTTCGACAGCCACATCCCCCGGTGGGCCTGTACCCCTCCTGGCTATGTATTTTTATGTGGGCCACAAAAAAATAAACTGCCCTTTGATGGAAGTCCTAAGATAACCTATTCAACCCCCCCTGTGGCAAACCTCTACACTTGCATTAATAACATCCAACATACGGGAGAATGTGCTGTGGGACTTTTGGGACCACGGGGGATAGGTGTGACCATTTATAACACCACCCAACCCAGACAGAAAAGAGCTCTGGGTCTAATACTGGCAGGGATGGGTGCGGCCATAGGAATGATCGCCCCATGGGGAGGGTTCACTTATCATGATGTCACCCTCAGAAATCTCTCCAGACAAATAGACAACATAGCTAAGAGTACCAGAGATAGCATCTCTAAACTCAAGGCCTCCATAGATTCTCTAGCAAATGTAGTCATGGACAACAGATTGGCCTTAGATTACCTCTTAGCAGAGCAGGGTGGAGTCTGTGCAGTGATCAATAAATCCTGTTGCGTTTATGTCAATAACAGTGGGGCGATAGAGGAGGATATAAAAAAGATCTATGATGAGGCTACGTGGCTCCATGACTTTGGAAAAGGAGGTGCTTCAGCAAGGGCCATCTGGGAGGCTGTGAAGTCTGCCCTCCCCTCCCTCAACTGGTTTGTCCCTTTACTGGGACCAGCAACAGTTATACTCTTACTTTTCCTCTTTGGCCCTTGTTTCTTTAATTTACTGATTAAGTGTGTCTCTTCTAGGATAAAGCAATTTCACATGAAGTCCCCCCAAATGGAAAGATATCAGCTATCTGTCATTGGAGGCCCCAGCACCTATAAGCACATCTCCCCCTTGGATGCCAGTGGGCAAAGATTCCGGGAAACTATGGAGGAATTTTCTCTCTGAGACAGAGCAAGAGAGGGAGACCCTGATGACTTCTTCGCCCCATGTCAGCAGGAAGTAGTTACAGAAGACCCACGACGTCCTTACAACCAGAGCTTTTCAGGGTCTCCATCTCTTGAGGAGGGAAATATTAGGGTAGGCAGGTAGGCAGGCATGAGCAGGCAAGAGAGCCCTTGGGAAAGGAATCTTTAGAAACGCAGCCCACTGATAGCTTCCTTGGTGATGCTGCCCACAGACAGTCAGCACTTCTCTAATAACCCATCCTAGAACAGCCTTTTGCTTTTTTTTTTTTTTTTTTTTTTTTTTTTGAGACAAGTTCTTGCTCTGTCTCCCAGGCTGGAGTACAATGGTGCGATCTCGGCTCACTGCACCCTCCACCTCCCAGGTTCAATTGATTCTCCTGTTTCAGCCTCCTCAGTAGCTGGGACTACAGGCATGTGCCGCCATGCCCGGCTAATTTTGTATTTTTAGTAGAGATGGGGTTTCACCATGTTGGTCAGGCTAGTCTCAAACTCCTGACTTCAGGTGATTCGCTCGCCTCGGCCTCCTAAAGTGCTGGGATTATAGACGTGAGCCACTGCGCCTGGCTACTCAGAACGCTTCTGAATGGCACATTCATGAAAAATCATGTAAGGTTCTCATAAAAACATCTGCCCAGCCATTAGTAGGAGTAGACACGTCCTTTTGATCAGCCCGCCCTGTTCTGTCTTTCTGGGTGTACTGTTTTGATGACTTTAAAAGCTCCCATAAAAACTAAGGCACTAGCAGCTGGCTCATTCTTCTGATGTCCTCTCTTTTTAAATAAAGCTTACTTAACCCTTTAACTCTTTCTGTGTGTCTCCTGACTGAATTCCTTCCTTGAGGAAGACCAAGAACTGAAGGATTCCCCACCCCTCGTGGTAACCAAAGGTCTATGAAGGATTTAGTGCATCTAAACTAGTAAATACAGGCTGGGCGTGGTGGCTCACACCTGTAATCCCAGCACCTTGGGAGGCTAAGGCAGGTGGATCACCTGAGGTCAGGAGTTCGAGACCAGCCTGGCCAAAATGGTGAAACCCCGTCTCTATTAAAAATACATATATTAGCCAAACGTGGTGGCGGGCACCTGTAATCTCAGCTACTCTAGGGGGTGAGGCAGGAGAATTGCATGAACCCGGGAGATGGAGGTTGCAGTGAGCTGAGATTGCACCACTATACTCCAGCCTGGGCAACAGAGCAAGACTCCATCTCAAATAAATAAATAAATAAATAAATAGCTAAATAAATAAACTAGTAAATACAAACTGCACTCAACTGTCCAAGAAATATTCTTTATTTCTTAAACGTTGGGAAAATATAATTAAAGGCAAAATAATTTTCTCCTCACCCAGAAATCCTCTCCACAAAGGAAAACAATAAATTGATAATCCCAGCCCAGTTAGTGGTTGGTGAATGCCTCTACCTTAATCAATACATGTTTCGAAGCAGTCAGCATCTATTTTCTCATGAAAGATGACTCCAGAGAACCTGGTCTTTGCTTTGCCTGGTAGGTGAGGAATACCTTAATCTTATCAGAAATATATAAATTGGTCGGGTGCGGTAGCTCATGCCTGTAATCCCAGCACTTTGGAAGTCTGAGGTGGGTGGATCACGAGGTCAGGAGATTGAGACCATCCTGGCTAACACGGTGAAACCCCGTCTCTACTAAAAATGCAAAAAATTAGCCGGGCACAGTGGCGAGTGCCTGTAGTCCCAGCTACTCAGGAGGCTGAGGCAGGAGAATGGCGTGAAACTGGGAGGCAGAACTTGCAGTGAGCTGAGATTGCGCCACTGCACTCCAGCCTGGGCGACAGAGCAAGACTCTGTCTCAAAAAAAAAAAAAAAAAAAAAAAGAAATATATAAATTATGTGGTTTTTCACAATATTTACTAAATTTCTCAACTCACCCACTGTGAAGACAGCACAATTTGAAAGGGACACCACTCCCTTGTAATGGAACACAAACTCAGCTTCTGCTCCGTAACAATAAATAGTAATAGCAATACTAAATGAAATATTAAGTAGTTTCATGTAAGTATGTATACAATTGATAGTTTGTTATTATTTTCAGTTTTGCAATTGGTACAAATTCCATAGAATAATTTTCCTTCTTTCTTTTTTTGAGACTGAGTTTCGCTCTTGTTGCCCAGGCTGGAGTGCAATGGCGTGATCTCGGCTCACCACAACCTCCGCCTCCCAGGTTCAAGCAATTCTCCTTCCTCAGCCTCCCGAGTAGCTGGGATTACAGGCATTTGCCACCACGCCTGGCTAATTTTGTATTTTTTTAGTAGAGATGGGGTTTCTCCATGTTGGTCAGGCTGGTCTTGAACTCCCAACCTCAGGTGATCTGCCCGCCTCGGCCTCCCAAAGTGCTGGGATTACAGGCGTGAGCCACCGCACCCAGCCTGAAAAGTTTTTTCTGCAGCTATTGAGATAATCATGGGGGTTTTGTCCTTAGTTCTGTTCATGTGATGAATCACATTTATTGATTTGCGTAGGTTGAACCAACCTTGCATGTCAGGGATGATATCCTTGATGAACACTGATACAAAAATCCTCAACCAAATACTAGCAAACTGAATATAGCAGCGCATCAAAAAGCTTACCCAACATGATCAAGTAGGCTTTATTGGCATATATATGCCAATAAAGTAAGATAATGCAGAATGAATAAATCTCTAGAAATATATAACTTACTGCCAGGCGCAGTGGCTCACGCCTGTAATCCCAGTACTTTGGGAGGCTGAGGCGGGTGGATCACAAGATCAGGAGTTCAAGACCAGCCTGACGAACATGGTGAAACCCCGTCTCTACTAAAAATACAAAAATTAGACAGGGATGGTGGTGCGTGCCTGTAATCCCAGCAACTTAGGAGGCTGAGGCAAGAGAATTGCTTGAACCTGGAAGGCAGAGGTTGTAGTGAGCCGAGATCACGCCATTGCATTCCAGCGTGGGCGACAGAGTGGTACTTTGTCTCAAAAAAAGAAAAGAAAAAGAAAAAGAAAAAAAAAAGAAATATATAACTTACCATCACTGAATCAAAAATAAATTGTAAAAATCTGTACATGCCTATAAATAACACTAAAGTAGTAATGAAAATGTCCCAACAAAAGAGACCAAGTATAGACACGTAATTTGTAATCACTGCATAATTCTACTGAACATTTAATAACAAATTAACACTGAGAACAATGGTTCTCCGCTGCGACGAGCAGGAGGAAGGAAAGCTGAACAGAAACATCTTGGTGCCTAAGCCGTATGTTGGGGGTTTACTATAAAACAAATACATTAATCATGTGATGTTTAAATAAGTCGAATATTTAATAATTACTGGGTTAAAAAATGGTTCCATCCTCTCCGATGGCAAAGAAGTTCTGATCCTCTGTCTGAGAACAATGATAACCATTTTCACCAAAAACACATTTCACAGGCGCTCCTCCAGGAATACACAGACTGTGGTCTGTGTTCTGGACTATCTGCAAATAGTTTAACATTTGCTGTTTGACATTTACATGGACTTCATATCTTAAAATGGGTAATGAGATGAAAGCATCTTATCACTGATGTCTGTGTCTCAGCTTTCCATTCCATTCCCAGTCATGAAGAATTTGGAGTCAGAAGACCAGGCGCGGTGGCTCACGCCTGTAATCCCAGCACTTTGGGAGGCCGAGGCAGGCAAATCACGAGGTCAGAAGATTGAGACCATCCTGGCTAGCACGGTGAAACCCCGTCTCTACTAAAAATACAAAAAATTAGCCAGGCGTGGTGGCGGGCACCTGTAATCCCAGCTACTCGGGAGGCTGAGGCAGGAGAATGGCGTGAACCTGGGAGGCGGAGCTTGCAGTGAGCCAAGATCGAGCCACTGCACTCCAGGCTGGGTGACAGAGCGAGACTCCGTCTCAAAAAAATAAAAATAAAAATAAAAAAGAATTTGGAATCAGAAACACAGTGACTCACTTGTAGAGTTTCAAACATAACATAAACGAGGCAGGAATGCTTTCCCCTTAGTGTTCTAATTTTAAAGCATTTAGCAGGAACTTGTGCACAGTAATATTTGACTTCATGGGCAGTTTCTTGAATCCTGTTCTGCAAAGAGGTGGCATGCATCCAGATGTGGCCCCTAAACAATCCCTGCTGCCCAGCATACAACCCACACAAATATACGACAAGAAAACAAAACCTTAGACCAATATCCCTGAAAATATTGGTGAAAAAGTCCTCAACATAATATTAGGGGGCCCACACCCCATCTCCAATCCAGGCCCCAGTGGAGCTTCTTCCCAAGTTCATGTCACTAGGTCACGGGCAATGGAATGTAAGTGAGATAAGAGGGACTGAGGGACCGCATGGGTGAGTGAGCAAATATGTCAGGCAGGATGCTTCAGACTCAAAGACTTGCAACTCCAAAGAATGACATTTTGTTATTGTAGGTAACTCCTCTGGTATGAGCAGAGCAGGGCAGGGCAGGAGAGGGCTCCCCCTCCCCATACACACACATCAGGAATGTCAGGCAACTATCAGATGATGGTCAGGTGGTTGTTAAACATGTAAAATAATAGTCACAGCTGGCACCAGGGAAAGGCAGGCTCCTCACACACAGAAAACACCTGAAACTGGTGATCTGCTGCTTCCCATGAGATCTCAGGAGTTGGGCGAGTGGACTCAAGCACGCACATGCGGACAGCCCACCCCAAGGGAAGAATCAGGGAAGCAAGACCCCGGAAGTATACCAATGTATAAAACCCCAAGTCAAAAGGTCGAAGTGCACACTTGCCTTTCAAGTCACCCACTTGGCACTTGGCCGTCTTCCAACTGTACTTTCCTTCCTTTCATTTCTGCTCTAAAGCTTTTTTTCTTTTCTTTTCTTTTCTTTTTTTTTTTTTTTTTTTTTGAGACAAGGCCTTGCTGTGTCACTCAGGCTGGAGTGCGATGACATCATCTTGGCTCACTGCCAACCTCCACATCCTGGGCTCAAAAGATTCTCCTGCCTCAGCCTCCCAAGTAGCTGGGATTACAGCCATGCACCACCACACCCGGCTAATTTTTATCTTTTTTGTAGAGATGGGGTTTTGCCATGTTGCCCAGGCTGGTTTTGAACTGCTGGACTCAAGTGATACGCCCATCTCAGCCTACCAAAGCATTGAGATTACAGGTGTGAGCCACTGCGCCTGGCCATTTCTGCTCTAAAACTTTTTATTCATTCATTCATTCATTCATTCATTCATTTATTTTTGAGACGGAGTTTTGCTCTTGTTGCCTAGGCTGGAGTGAAATGGCGCCATCTCGGCTCACTACAACCTCCGCCTCCCACGTTCAAGCGATTCTTCTGTCTCAGCCTCAGGTCAGGCTGATCTCGAACTCGAGACCTCAAGTGATCTGCCGCCTCAGGTCAGGCTGGTCTCGGACTCTCGACCTCACATGATCTGCCGCCTTGGCCTCCCAAAGTGCTAGGATTATAGGCATGAGACACCGCGCCCGGCCCTGCTCTAAAACTTTTTAATAAACTTTTGCTTTCATTCCTGCTCTAAAACTTGCCTCAGTCTCTCCTTCTGCCCTATGCCCCTCAGTTGAATTTTTTCTTCTGAGGAGGCAAGAATTGAGGTTGGTGCAGACCTGTACGGATAGGGATTCACCACCTGTAACAATTTCAGAAATAAGAGAAATAAAAATCAACCGATACTATTACTTTACCTGAGTAAGAGCCATCCCTGTTTCCTTTTCTTCCTCTTCTAGGCATCTTCCTTGGGTAACATGAAAAAGCCTTTACAAGTCGATCCTGAATGTCTAAAATATGCCATTTAATGACTGGAATCAACACCCTCATTTTTGTGCCTCAAACACCCATTCAGGGAAGCCCTCACTGTGGAAAGCCAGTTCTCTGGGAGTCATTGCACCAGATGGAACACAGGGACGACAGGCTCCTACAGGAAGACCAACAGGTGAGTTTTGGGCCCATTTCTTCAGAACCCGCTCCCCTCCCAGAGAAGCCCACACACACACTGCAGCCGTGGGAAGCTGGGCTGGACTGAGCTTCTCTTCAGGACACAGACCCAGCCCTGACCAAACCCCATGCAGAGCACAGCCCCCCTCACCCATCTGTGGATCACAGGCTGATTTCAGCCCTTAGAAACAAAGGGCGGAGCCTGGGTGCTCAATGCTGGACACCCATGGAATCACCTTTAAATATTATTAAGGACACGTCCCAATGTATTTGAATGAAAACTTCAGGTAAGGGGGCACCAGAGGTGTGCCTGCAAAATGCCCCAGATGCCTGCTGGACTCCCAGAGGAGAGTTGAAGAGACAATTGGACACAGGATTCCAGTGTTCAGGGGAGAGGTCTGCAGGGAACATGGAGCCGTGTAGGTGGGTTTAAAGCCATGAGATGAGATGATAAGGGCAGTGGGTGTGGGCAGAGATCAGAAGTCCGAGGGGTAAGCTGAGGGTCACTCCACATTCAGAAAACAGAGCTCAAGACATACTAGAAGAGAAAAGTGTAAAGTGATCAGGGAGGCAAGAAGAAAATTAAGAGAAATACATTTTTATTTTTTTTAATTAAAAACATTTTTGACGTGGAGTCTTGCTCTCTCGCCCAGGCTGGAGTGCAGTGGCGCGATCTCCGATGACTGCAACCTCCCTCTCTCGGGATCAAGCGATTTGCCTGCCTCACCCTCAGAGTAGCTGAGATTACAGGCGTGCAGCACCACATCCGGCTAATTTTTAGTAGAGACGGGGGTTTCACCATGTTGGGCACGCTGGTCTCGAACTCCTGACCTCAAATGATCCACCCGCCTCGGCCTCCCAAAGTGCTGGGATTACAGGCGTGAGCCACCGCGCCTGGATCCTTCTTTCGCTCTTCCCGTCTCTGCGAATCCCGACCCATCCTCTACTTTGCCATGTGTTTATGGGTTTCCTTCATTCTTTCCTCTCAGTTTTTGTAATTCACTCTCAGCCCCTCTCTGTTTCCTGATCCCTTTGGCCCACACATTCACAGGAGGGTTTGGAGTAAGACACCTGGATCCTGGAGGAGCACATTTTCCAGCGGGTGGAGCTGGGCAGGCAAGAACACCGGGTGTCACAGGACAGGCCCCGGGCACCTCCCCAACGCGGGCGCAGGGGAAGCGGTGACTGCGAAGGGGAGGCCTGGGGAGCAGCAGGGCCCGGCACGAGGAGGAGGGAGGTGGGGGGCGACGGCGCCTTAGGACAGGGTAGGGTCTGCAGGAGCCTAGGACCAGGCGGAGGACGCGGTCTGCGGCGCTGCGCTCCAGGGCCGACGACGGAGAGGCTGGGAGGCGCTCAGGACGGGAATCCACCTCGCAGGTGAGGACTTTAAAAAGCGCGGGGCGGGAGGAGGGGTCAGGAAAGGGTTTTATGCGGGAAGAAGACGCGAATGGCAGGGGACAGGGACTGGTCTCAGAGCGAGTTTTACCCACATGGCGAGGTCCGTATTTACCTCGGGTGAAGGGCGCGATGCGGGGATTTTAAGGTCAGCAGAGCGGGTGTGGAAAAGCGGGACGGCGAATCGAAGGCTTAATCTACACCTAGGCACACTCTTGCTCGGCGGTGTCACCTTCACACACCGCGATCCGCTTCCGGGACTCCAAGAAACTGCACGTGCGCGCAGAGCCCGGGTAGCCTGGGGCGGAGCCCGGGGAGAGGCGGGGTCTGCAGAGGGACCGCGGGGGCGGGGCCTGTGCAGTTGTAAGGTAAAAAGCATAGAGTTGTGTGGGCCCCTTCTGTTGGAAAGCAAAATGTTTTCTTCCCACCAAGATGAAAACGGTTTATCTCAAAACTATTTTTGCCAGCAGGTTGGACCCGATCCTGCTAGGGAGTCTCCTGCAGCTCAGCGGTCTGGGAACTGCGAATTCGGTGGGGGGAGGGGGGTCCAGGAGGAGCAGTGAGTGATTGGATCCAGGAAAGTTCCTGCAATTCAAATTAATTGGAGTAACTTACTTTAAAAGCCCTGAAATTATCTGTGAAGGGGTTGCAAACTAGACTGTGAAATGCAAAACTGCCCGGAACAAATGTGATACGTAATGCTATTGCCCAAAGGATCCTCCTTTCCATTTCTATCCCATACCTATCTCAGGGGAAGAGTCAAGTCTGTGCTTCCAGAGACTTTTATAGGACAACACCTGGACCGTGGGCTGTGGACCGTGGAAGGCTAAAACCCGCAGTAAGCCAGATCACCAACTGCTGCTTTAAAACACGCAATAACTTTTAAAAAAAAATAGATATGAATTGTATTGTTCTTCCTTATACTTGTTATTCGGTTCCACGGTTGACAAAACCTCAAATAACTTTGAGATAAACTTTTTTTTTTTTTTTTTGAGATGGAGTCTCGCTCTGTCCCCCAGGCTCCTGGAATACAATGGCGCGATCTCGGTTCACTGCAACCTCTGCCTCCCAAGCTCAAGCGATTCTCCTGCCTCAGCCTCTGGACTAGCTGGGATTACAGGCGCGTGCCACCACGCCCGGCTAATTTTTGTTTTTAGTGGAGACGGGGTTTCACTATGTTGGCCAAGCTGGTCTCAAACTCCTGACCTCAAGTGATGCGCCCACCTCGGCCTCCCAAAGTGCTGGGATGACAGGCATCAGCCAAGGAGCCCGGCCGAGATAAACTTTCTTTAAATCATACTATGCTTAAATCGATAATATCTAAACTTTTTTTTTTTTTTTTTTTTTGAGATTGAGTTTCGCTGTTGTTGCCCAGGCTGGAGTGCAATGGCGCGATCTCGGCTCACTGCAACCTCCGCCCCCCGGGTTCAAGCGATTCTCCTGCCTCAGCCTCCCGAGTAGCTGACCACCACACCTGGCTATTTTGTATTTTTAGTAGAGACAGGGTTTCTCCATGTTGGACAGGCTGGTCTGGAACCCCCAACTTCAGGTGTTCCACCCGCCTCAGCCTTCCAAAGTGCTGGGATTACAGGCGTAAGTCACTGCGCCCGGCACTTTTTTTTTTTTTTTCTTTTTAAGATTAGGAAACAGACGTCAGAAGCAGCCAAATCAGGTCTGTAAGGTGGATGCCTAATGATTTCTCATTGCAACCCACTGTTGCAAAACTGCCGTTGTTTAATTAGAGGAATGACCAGGAACATTGTCATGGTGGAGAGGGACGCTGGTGAAGTTTCCCTGGACATTTTTCTGCTAAAGCTTTGGGTAACTTTCTCAAAAATGCTCTAAAAATAAATAAGTGTTATTCTATGTCCCTCTAGAAAGTCGACAAGCAAAATGCCTTGTGCATCCCCCACCGCCAAAAAAAAAAAAAAAAAAAAAAAAAAAAACTATTGCCATGAACTTTGTTCTTCACCGCTCAGCTTATTTTAATTAATTAATTATTGAGAAAGAGTCTCACTCTGTTGCCCAGGCTGGAGTGCAGTGGCGCAATCATGGTGCACCACAACTTTTACCTCCTGGGCTTAAGTGATCCTCCTACCTCAGCCTCTCAAGTAGCTGGAACCACAGGCACACAACACCATGCCTGGCTAATTGTTTTATAATTTTTTGTAGATACAGAGTCTCCTTATGTTACCTAGGCTGGTCTTGAACTCCTAGGCTCAAGCAATCATTCTGCCTCCATCTCCCAGAATGCTGGGATTACAGGTGTGTGCCACAGAGCCAAGGTTCACTGGTCAGCCTTTTGCTTTGACTGGACTATTTCCACCTCTTGGTAACCATTGCTTTGATTGTGGTTTTTTCAGCATTGTACTGGTAAAGCCATGTTTCGTCTTCTGTTAAAATTCTCCTAAGCTACCTGGAGTTCACACAGCTGCACTATTCCTTTATTTTTTTATTATTATTATTTTTTGAGACAAAGGTTCACTCTGTTGCCCAGGCTGAAGTGCACTTGTGCAATCTCGGCTCACTGCAACCTCCACCTCTTTGGTTCAAGTGATTCTCCTGCCTCAGCGTCCCAAGTAGCTGGGATTACAGGCATGTGCCACAACGCCCGGCTAATTTTTTTTGTATTTAGTAGAGACGGGGTTTCATCATGTTGGTCAGGCTGGTCTCGAACTCCTGGCCTCAAATGATCCACCTGCCTTGGCCTCCCAAATTGCTGGGATTACAGGCATGAGCCACCTCACCCGGCCCTGTACCGTTCCATAGAAAGAGCTTGTGTATGGCCGGGTATGTTGGCTCATGCTTGTAATCCCAGCACTTCGGGAGGCCAAGGCAGATGGATTACTTGAGCTCAGGAGTTCAAGACCAGCCTGGGCAACATGATGAAACCCCATCTCTACCAAAAAAAAAAAAGAAAAAAAAAAAAAAGAGGAGGAAAAAATAAAGAGCTCATGTAGACCAGGTGCAGTGGCTCACACCTGTCCACCATTTCCCAACTGAGCTACTGCAGCTCCCTACCTCCTGGGAGCAAGCTACCTAGGAGACACTCCATCACCCCCTTCCCTGTTTTGGCTGGGCCACACCCCTGGCTACTTAAAGCCCGAAAACACAGTGCGTGAATCAACCTCGTTGGGTTTTGGACATGTAAGTTACCTGAGCTACCCACCACATATATACCTCTTCAACGTAACTCCTTGCTTGCTGTTGGACACTGGTGGGAACGGTGCATCTTATAGCCAGAGCTCTGTGTCACCCTGTAACATGAACTGCCCATTCTCACTCGGGTGCTCACAAACCTTATCGATAAAATTGGACAGGCTCAATAGAGCTCAACTATAAAATGGAACTGGCATATTCAAGATGAGGCACAGCAGAACCTCAAGGGACCAGTATACTCCATGAACAAATGGGTAGCTTACAAGAAGGGGTCAAACAGTCCTTAAAGGATCCTCTGGCTCCTCTTGTGGCTACCTGGGACCCAAGATTCACATATATGCCCACCAAGTGTATGGCATGGTTTACTGATGTCTCTGCAAAACAATAAACACACAGGGTCTACTGGGCTTCAGCCCAGTGGATGGCCATTCTTTGACCCAGTGAATGGCCATTCAGCCAGTGGATGGCCATTCTTGACTAAGACTAGACATAGACATTCTGCCTAATTAGCCAAACTGCATGCATTGGTAATGGCCCTGCAGGCCACGTCCACCACCATATCTCATCACATTTTCATGACTCATGAGCCATGCAGACTTGTGTGGAACCCTTTAATGCTGCAGGACAGCCAGGGGCTCCTTTGGTTCACCCAATCTTCGAAACTGTTGTATTAAGACCTTTGTTTCAACTTCATCAATTTCCATTTCCATTTTACTCATCCCGTTTTTTTTTTTTTTTTTTTTGAGACAGGCTCTCGCTCTCTCACCCAGGTTGGAGTGCAGTTGTCCAATCACTGCTCACTGCAGCCTCAAACTCCTGGGCTCAAGTGATCCTCCCATCCTGGCCTCCTGAGTTAGCTGGGCCCACAGAAGTTCACCACCACACCTGACTAATTTTTGTATTTTTTTGTAAAACAGGGTTTCGCCATGTTGCCCAGGCTGGTCATCCCATTTCTTAATTACCATCTAAAGATTTCCACTCTGCTGGGAGGAGAGCCATGACTCTCCCCTACCTTTCCCCGCTTAGTTTCATTTTATGAATGCTTTTTTTTTTTTTTGAGACGGAGTCTCGCTCTGTCGCCCAGACTGGAGGAGTGCAGTGGCACGATCTTGGCTCACTGCAAGCTCCCCATTCCAGGTTCAAGCCATTCTCCTGCCTCAGCCTCCAGAGTAGCTGGGATTACAGGTGTGCGCCACCACACCCAGCTAATTGTTTTGTATTTTTAGTAGAGACAGGGTTTCACTGTGTAGGCCAAGCTGGTCTCGACCTCCTGACCTCAAGGGATCCACCCGCCTCGGCCTCCCAAAGTGCTGGGATTGCAGGTGTGAGTCACCATACCCAGCCTGTGAATGCTTGCTTTATTCACCTTTTTTCTTAATGACGATTTTAAAATTTCCACCTTCATGAGGAGAAGTCCTTTGAATCTCAACTATTTTCCCCCATCCATTCTCTTCTTAATTAACTTGATACTGTTAATTGGCACTTGAAAGTTCCAACAGGAGATGTGGAGACAGCAAATTTGATAAGGCTTCCTGAGCTGTCTTTTGGTTTTGTAGAAGTAAGGTACCGTGGGATGTATACATTAAAGGAACAACCTTATTTTTCTCCCCTTCCTTGCTTGTAGTTCTCAAGAATAACTTCAGAATGTTATTCTGAAGGTAACACCCTGAAATATGAAGAAACTGGCCAAAGCAGCCGGGCTCCATTCCAGAGCCCCCTGCCCCCCTTTCAAAGAACAGGATGTCCTTCAGTGCTTTAGGGCGGCTCATCACGAGGCCATGTGCCATAAAACCTAGGGTGGGTGCTCTCTGGGGTCCCTCAGCATCAGTGCCGGTGGGACACCAGTAGATGAGACTCCATCTTCCCCAAGCAGTTTTCCTGAGCCTTGGGGGACCAGCTTGCAATGAATCAGTCCTAGGCTTCTACTGCCCCTTGTTGCCTGTCAGTAGTCAACTCACTTTATTGAACTTGTGTGCATGGGTTCTGTCTCACTGGAGTCAGACATTCGGTAACCAGTGCGAAGTGAACCTACTTCACAGGCAAGGAGAGTCTGTAATCCTCCTACGCTTGGCAGTGGGAATGCACAATGGCACACCCACTATGGAAAACAGTATGTTGGAAAACTTCCTCAATATGGTGCCTACAAAACCTTACAGCAAACATCATATATCATGGTCAAAAAGTGAAAGTTTCCTTCCCAGGGTTGGGGACAAGGCAAAGACGTACACTCTTACCACTTCTATTCCACATAGTGTTAGCAATTCTTGGCTGAGGGTAGTGGCTCATGTCTGTAATCCCAACACTTTGGGAGGCTGAGGCAGGAGGACTGATTGAGTCCAGGAATTTGAGACCAGACTGGGCAAGATGGGGAGACCCTATCTATCTCTACAAAAAAAAAAAATTGAAAATTGGCTGGTGGCTGGGCGAGGTGGCTCACGCCTGTAATTTAAGCACTTTGGAAAGCTGAGGCAGGAGGATCCCTTGAACCCAAATGTTCAAGACTGCAGTAAGGTCTGACTGCACCACTGCACTCCAGCCTGGGTAACAAAGCAAGACCCCATCTAGAAAATAATAATACTAGTAATTGAAATAAGAAAAATAATAGAGACCAAAAAGGAAGGCATAATACTGTACACGATGAGATGGTTGTGGTAAGCTAATGACCCCCACCCCCAAAGATACACACACAAAGGATTTCCGTATCAATAGCCCTATACCCTGTATTACATGGTATCTCAAATCAGAGTTTGCAGATGTGATCTGGCTGAGGATCTTGAGATGGCAGAATATCCAGGATTATCTGGTTGAAGCAACATAATCACAAGAGTCCATATAGGAAAAATACAGATGGACTTAGAATCACAGAGAATTGACAATGCTTGCATAGCAAAGAGACAAAGAGATTTTATGACACTACCTTCTGGCTGTGAAAACGGAGGGACGTAGACCATGAGGTAAAGGATCTAAGTGGCCTCTGGACCTAGCAGGGGTAAAGAAATAAACTCTCCCCTAGAGAGTCAAGAAGGATCATAGTTCTGTAAACCTGACTTCTGACCACCACACATTAACAGCATAAATTTGTGGGTTTTTTTTTTTTTTTTTTTTTGAGACAGAGTCTTGCTCTGTCGCCCAGACTAGAGTGCGGTGGCATGAACTTGGCTCACTGAAACCTCCGCCTCAAGCAATTCTCCAGCCTCAGCCTCCTGAGTAGCTGGGATTACAGGCACGCGCCACCGCACCCAGCTAATTTCTGTAGTTTTAGTAGAGATGGGGTTTCGCCATCTTGGCCAGGCTGGTCTCAAACTCCTGACCTCATGATCCACCTGCCTCGGCCTCCCAAAGTACTGGGATTACAGGCGTGAGCCACCATGCCCAGCCTAAATTTGTGTTGTTTTAAGCCACTCACTTTGTGGTAATTGTTACAGCAGCAATGGGAAATTAAGTTTATGTAGAAAACCCTAAGAAATCTAAAAAATCTGGAGAACGAGATTTTAAGGAAATAGACTACCAAATTAACATACAAAAACTACTTTATTTCTATATACTAGCAATTAATACATGGAAATTGAAAATAAAATACAATACTCCTCTGGTTTGAATATCCCCAACAAAACTCATTTGGAAACTTGATCCCCGGTGTGGCCATATTGAGAAGTGGGGCCTTTAAGAGGTCATTGGATCATGAGAGCTCTGCTGTCATGAATGAATCAATCCATGCACAGATTAATGGACTGTGTTATCATGGGAGCAGAAGTGGTGGTTTTATAGGAAGAAGAGAGACCTGAGCAAACAGCATACTCAGTGCTCTCACAATGATGTGCTACATTGCTTCAGGATGCTGCAGAGTGTCCACCAAGAAACCCTAACCAGCACTGACCAAAGGTCAAAAAATGTCTAGTAAGGAGACCTTTATTTCTTACACAGGGTTGCAGCCTGCAGGCTGGGAAGCATGGTCTCTACCAGAAACAACACAGGCAGTTCAGAGGAGGAAAGTTGCGGCAGGAATTTATACTGAATAGCAATATGTTGGATATTAAGTAAACATACTCAATAGGTTATGGGAGAGTCATGCGTGTGTGATAAGCAAACATACATGTTCCTAGTTTATCTACCAGAACAAAATAAAATTCTCATTTTCTATATTCACTCTTAAGAGGAAACTCATGAACATTAATCTTTTCAAATTATATCAATATTCCAAGAACATCATGAAGGAGGTTTTATTATTCTCCACTTTTTTTTTTTTTTTTTTTGAGATGGAGTTTTGCTCTTGTTGCCCAGGCTGGAGTGCGATGGCGTGATCTCAGCTCACTGCAGCCTCCACCACCTGGGTTCAAGCCATTCTCCTGCCTCAGCCTCCCAAGTAGCTGGGATTTACAGGCATGCACCACCACACCCAGCTAATGTTTTTGCATTTTTAGTAGAGACAGGGTTTCACCATGTTGGCCAGTCTGGTCTTGAACTCCTGACCTTAAGTAATCCACCTGCCTCAGCCTCCCAAATTGTTGGGATTACAGGCGTGAGCCACCATGCCCAGCCAACGTTTTTTTTTTTTTTGTTTTGTTTTTTGAGAACGAGTTTCGTTCCTGGTGCCCAGGCTGGAGTGTAATGGAATGATCTCCATTAATAGAACCTCTGCCTCTTGGATTCAAGCAATTCTCCTGCCTCAGCCTCCCAAGTAGCTGAGACTACAGGCATGCACCACTAAGCCCAGCTAAGTTTGTATTTTTAGTAGAGATGGGGTTTCACTATGCTGGCCAGGCTGGTCTCTCCTGACTTCAGGTGATCTGCTTGCCTTGGCCTCCCAAAGTACTGGGATTACAGGTGTGAGCCACCGTGCCTGGCCTGATTTATATTTCTCGCATTCTTACTATGTATTTTCACTTCATGGAAACCAAGATGCAAAGCATGGGTCTTATTTGGCACACAAGAAACTGATGTGGAAATATAATAATGTGGTGCATATGCATCAATGGCAATGCAGATTTTGGGGTGTAAGAATGTGAAATTAACTTTCAGTAAGATTTTCATTATACCCCAATAAGTATCCTAAGCCACAGTGTGGGGCACGTAATTCAAGCACAAAATGCGGTTATAGGTTTCCAAAACTGCGTTATTTGATTTCACCATGAAAAAAATTGTTCTTGATCGTTTAAGAGCCTAGTGGTGTACTGCTATTGTGTTATGGAGTATCCTACTGAGACAGGATAAAACTATGTTGGCAGAAAGAATGTGATTCATTCATAGAGAAAAACCATTCTATTTTATTAGTTAAAACATTATATCTATGATACATTCTGAATAAAACATTAGCAAAATGTGCTTCAAGCAGATAATGTGAGTTCTACTAAAGAATATGTTACTCTACTTCTGTTGATTAAACTCTTCACTCTGACAACTACTCTCTCTTCAGTTTTTCTTTTTCTTCTTTAGATGGAGTTTTGTTCTTGTTGCCCAGGCTGGAGTGCAGTGGCATGATCTTGGCTCACCACAACCTCCGCCTCCTGGGTTCAAGCACTCTCCTGCCTCAGCCTCCCAAGTAGCTGGGATTACAGGCACCTGCCACCACGCCCGGCTAATTTTGTATTTTTAGTACAATTGGGGTTTCTCCATGTTGGTCAGGCTGGTCTCGAACTCCCGACCTCAGGTGATCCACCTGCCTCAGCCTCCCAAAGTGCTGGGATTACAGGTGTGAGCCACCGCGCCTGGCCTCTCTCTTCAATTTCAAAACAAGATCAATTTTTCATCACTCTTTGCTAAACAACAGGTATTGCTCTTTGATGCATAAGAGGGCGACCTTTTCCCCTGCAGTATTTCTACCACACAATCAGTGTCTAATTACCTATTACTCTCCTCCCACAAAAATCCCAATGTCCTAAGGTCTTGGCCTGCTCCATTTCATGTTCAGTTGATAGACCATTTCTTTCCTCTAAGCCACAGTACTCTCCTGGTAGGAGAAAGGCACCCTGAACATTATCAGAATGGTGAGTGACATCATAGTTTTACATTGTTTTTCGCCACTCCCAAATGCTAATTCAGATGATACTTAATTTTAAAAGCAAAGTCCTCCTTCTTCACAAATTGGATAGAAATAATCCTTCACCTAATCAATGATCTTCACCCAATCAATGATCCTTCCATCCCAATGATCTTTCCAAGAAAGCACCATGGAAGGTGTGTAAGGATGCACAATAAGATTTCAAAGTTCACATTGAAACGCAATAGTAGGCTTTCCAAAAAACCTCAAATAACTCAGTGAAACATTTCATAAGGTGAAGGTAACTGACTGCCTACAAATATCCTGCAACCTTTTCGTATGTGAGTTAAAAATATATAATTTTTAGCATATTTGGACTTGTGAGTATTCTACAGTGTATAATATCAAAGGCAAACAGGGAAACCAGAGACTGTTATTCCTCCTAGGAATCCTCACTTACCATCGGTCACTGGGTAATGGCCTCAGGATGCATATTACATTTGTTTCGTTTCATCAAAGATATAAATCTTGATGCCTAGTAACCTGCGAGGCCTGGATAGACCCTCTGCCACATATGTTTACATGATGTCTCTTGCTTATGGCCTCTCATATCTATTAATGCTTCAACTCATGAGGGATTGGCCACTGTCACTACATTTGTAAGGATTCTGTCAAGAATGAAATTAACTGATGTGAAAGGAGTGAATTGTACCTAATGACCTCACCACACTCATTTGTAAGGTTTCTCTCCGGTATGCATTCTGTGATGACTTGCAAGATTTGAACTCTGCCTGAAGACCTTGCCACACTCATTACATTTGTAACGCTTTTCTCCAGTGTGGATTGCCATATGGGTAGTTAGACTTGATCTTACCCTAAAGGCTTTCCCACACTCTGTACACCTGTAAGGTTTCTCCCCAGTATGAATTCTTCGGTGATTTGCCAGGTGAGCATTTTGAGTAAAGACCTTGCCACATTCATTACATTTGTAAGGTTTTTTCCCAGTATGGATTGCCTGATGGGTGGTTAGGCTTGAACGAACACTGAAGGCTTTCCCACACTCATTGCATCGGTAAGGTTTCTCTCCGGTGTGAGTCCTTTGATGATTTGCAAGGTGTGAGTTCTGAGTGAAGACCTTGCCACATTGATTACATTTGTAAGGCTTCTCTCCAGTATGGATGACCTTATGGGTAGTTAGGTTTGAATGCATACTAAAGGCTTTCCCACACTCATTACACTTGTAAGGTTTCTCTCCAGTATGAATTCGCCGATGAGTTGCAAGGTATGAATTGTGCCTAAAAACCTTGCCGCATTCATGACATTTGTAAGGTTTCTCTCCAGTATGTATTGCCTGATGAAAAGTTAGGCTTGAACGATCACTAAAGGCTCTGCCACAGTCATTACACTTGTAAGGTTTTTCTCCAGTATGAACTCTCCAATGCCTTGCAAGTTGTGATGTTTGAGCGAAGACTTTACCACATTCATTACACTTGTAAGGTTTCTCTCCAGAATGAATTCCCCGATGACTTCTAAGGTGTGATTTTTGAGTGAAGCTCTTGCCACATTCAATACATTTGTAAGGTTTCTCTCCAGAATGGATTGCCTGATGGGTAGTCAGACTTGAACGAACACTGAAGGCTTTCCCACACTCATTACACTTGTAAGGTTTCTCTCCAGTATGAATTCTTCGATGATTTGCAAGTTGTGAATTTTGAGTGAAAACCTTGCTGCATTCATTGCATTTGAAAGGTTTTGTTCCAGTATGGATGACCTGATGGGTAGCTAGGTTTGAATGCATACTGAAGGCTTTGCCACATTCATTACACTTGTAAGGTTTCTCACCAGTATGAACTCTCCGATGCCTTCCGAGGTATGAATTGTACCTAAAGACTTTGCCACATTCATTACATTTGTAAGGTTTTTCTCCAGTGTGGATTGTCTGATGGATTGCTAGGCTTGAACGAACACTAAAGGCTTTGCCGCACTCATTGCACTTGTAAGGTTTCTCTCCAGTGTGAATTCTCCAATGACTTATAAGGTGTGAATTTTGAGTGAAGAGCTTGCCACATTCATTACATTTGAACGGTTTTTCTCCAGTATGAATTAACTGATGGGTAGTTAGGTTTGAATGTCCTCTAAAGGCTTTTCCACACTCATTACACTTGTAAGGTTTCTCTCCAGTATGAATTCGCCGATGAGTTGCAAGGTATGAATTGTGCCTGAAGACCTTGCCACACTCATGACATTTGTAAGGTTTTTCTCCAGTATGGATGACCTGATGAATAGTTAGATTTGAACGAACAGTAAAGGTTTTGCCGCACTCACTGCATTTGTAAGGCTTCTCTCCACTATGAATTCTCCTATGACTTGTAAGGTTCGAATTCTGAGTGAACGCCTTGCCACATTCATTACATTTATAAGGTTTTCCACAACTGTTTGCTTTTCGTCTTTGTGTGAGTAATGAAAAATGGTTAAGTTCATGATATTTTTTAGACCTGTGGGTTTGGACACTAGAAGGAATTTGTTGAAGTGGTGACACTGAGGAACCATTGTTGGTAGACTTCTCAACTTGATTACATTCATACATTTTCCCCTCACCTTGAAATAGCTGCAGTTCAGGCAGATGAGAATGAAAGCTTACTCCAAGCTGATTGTTCATAAGCTTGTTTTCTATGTCTCTTCTGTCGCGTTGATCTCTTTTACCTTCTTTCTGGGCCATAAGCACTCCCTTGTAATTTCCTGTGTCATCTCTCCATTGACACTCAAAATCATGCACATTTTTCTGGGGTTCCTTGAAGGAAAAGTCTTCAATGTCAGGGCTTTCGTGTCTTTCCAACACCACTGTGTGGAATACTGCTTCTGTACTGCTCTTCTCTTTTGGTAGCAAATCCTTGATTGTACATTTAGGAGGGATATCTACAAGATATAAAGAACCACATAATTTCCAATTAATTACAGTATAGAAATAAATATTTTACATTGAAAACATATTCCACCAAAAGTAATACTTATATTGAACAGACTTTGGAACTTCAGAACTGTGAATTTCAATTGTTAGGAACAAAAATGTTTTTTTTTTTTTGAGACGGAGTCTCGCTCTGTCGCCCAGGCTGGAGTGCAGTGGTGTGATCTTGGCTCACTGCAAGCTCTGCCTCCCGGGTTCACACCATTCTCCCGCCTCAGCCTCCTGAGTAGCTGGGACTACAGGCGCCCGCCACCACGCCTGGCTAATTTTGTTTTTGTATTTTTAGTAGAGACGGGGTTTCACCATGTTAGCCAGGATGGTCTCGATCTCTTGACCTCATGAGCCGCCTGCCTCGGCCTCCCAAAGTGCTGGAATTACAGGCGTGAGTCACTGTGCCCAGCCAAAAGTAGTATTTTTTAACAAAGAAAATGCAGTTACATGTAATTCAAATATTTGGGAAGGGCTGGCTGTTGTGGCTCATGCCTGTAATCCCAATGCTTTGGGAGCCTAAGGTGGGAGGATCACAGGAGGCCACGAGGTTGAGACCAGCCTGGGCAACACAGCAAGACTCCATCTCTACAAAAACAAAATAATTTAAAAATTAGGCCAGGTGTGGTGGCTTATGCCTGTAATCCCAGCACTTTGGGAGGCTAAGGTGGGTGGATCATGAGGTCAGGAGATTGAGTCCAGCTTGGCCAACATGGTGAAACCCCATCTCTACTAAAAATACAAAAATTAGTCAGGCGTGGTGGCATGCGCCTATAGTCCCAGCTTCTCAGGAGGCTGAGGCAGGAGAATTGCTTGAACCTGGGAGGCAGAGGTTGCAGTGAGCCGAGATCGTGCCACTGCACTCCAACCTGGGCGACAAAGCAAGACTCCGTCAAAAAATAAAAATAAAAAAATTAGTTTGGCATGCTGGCATGTGCCTGCAATTCTGGATACTCAAGAGGCTGAGGGTGCTGGGTGCGGTGGCTCACACCTGTAATCCCAACACTTTGGGAGGCCGAGGCGGGTGGATCACCTGAGGTCAGGAGTTCGAGACCAGCCTGGTCAACATGGCAAAACTCTGTCTCTGCTAAAAATATAAAAAATTGGCTGGGTGTGGTAATGGGCACCTGTAATCCCAGCAACTTGGGAAGCTGAGGAAGGAGAATTGCTTGAACTCAGGAGGTGAGGTTGCGCCACTGCACTCCAGCCTGGGGCAACAAGAGCAAAACTCCGTCTCATCAAAAAAAAAAAAAAAAAAAAGGCTGAGGCATGAGGATTGCCTTAGCCCAAGAGTTCAAGGTTACAGTGAGCTATGATTGTACCACTGCACTACAGCCTTAGAGACAGTGAGATGTCTTAAAAAATAAAAAAATAAAAAAAAAATCGGGCAGCCTAGATTCAAACTACCTATGACCAAAACACTCACGTTGTGAATCCTATGTTAGCCATCAGAGGATTATTTTTCCACGCTGACCTCACGGCACATACCAATTGGCCAAAAACATATGGCTATCTCAATTGAAGAAAAATAAGTTATACACATTTAAAGCATATTCATTATGTACAAATACATACTAAAGTACAACATAATATATTATAATGGCAAAGAGCTCACAGGAAACATAATTAAGAAGCGGGAATTTTGAACTGCAAAACCATCATAGCACTAGGAAAATGAACATTCAATAAAACTATGTCAGAAAAAAATGTGTTGAAATACTTGTTATATAACTATCTATATCCACACAGAGCAGATAATTTTGCAGCATTAGTAAGTGGTACATGACAGTTATATTTCTTTCTTTCTTTTTTTTTTTTTTTAGACAGAGTCTTGCTCTGCTCCCCAGGCTGGAGTGTAGTGCTGCGATCTTGGCTTGCTGCAACCCCCGCCTCCAGGGTTCAAGTGATTCTCCTGCCTCAGTCTCCCGAATAGCTGGGACTGCAGGCATGTGCCATCATGCCTGGCTAATTTTTGTATTTTTAGTAAAGACAGGATTTCACCATGTTGGTCGGGCCGGTCTCGAACTCCTGACCTTGTTATCTGCCTGCCTCTGCCTCCCCAAGTGCTGGGATTATAGGCGTGAGCCTCTATACCTGGCCTGACAGTTATATTTCACAATACCTGCTGAAAACCATAATGTATTCATTTTATGAAAATCAACTAATAAGATATTCTAGCAGCCTATGATAAAATGAATTGAGAGGAATAACTGCATATATAAAATGTTCTTGTTTAAGGCCATGTGTGGAAACTTAAAAAAAAAATTATTGGCCAGGTGCAGTGGCTCATGTCTGTAATCCCAGCACTTTGGGAGGCTGCAGCAGGTGGATCACCTGAAGTCGAGAGTTCGAGACCAGCCTGACCAACATGGAGAAACCCGATCTCTACTAAAAATACACAATTAACCAGGCATGGTGGCGCATGCCTGTAATCCCAGCTACTCGGGAGGCTGAGACAGGAGAATCTCTCGAACCCAGGAGGCAGAAGTTGCGGTGAGCCGAGATCGCACCATTGCACTCCAGCCTGGGCAACAAGAGCGAAACTTCATTTAAAAAAAAAATTATTGTCCGTGGAATAATAAACAGTTTTGTCTTAAGAGAAAGAAGCATTTTTATTTAGAACCAACACAATAAGAACTGGAATATGATTTTTAAAAAAATTCTATATTGACAAATTATAGTTATATATATTTACAGGAAACAAACTGATATTCTGTTATAGGTATACAATATGGACTGATGGAAACAAGCCTATTACCATATAAGTCATCTCAAAAACCTATCATTTACTCCTAATGTTTTCACCCAGTGACCAACATCTCCCTATTCCCTCCAGTCCCCAACCTGTGGTAACCCACATTCTACTCTTTGCTGCTATTAGTTTTATTGGTTTAGATTCCAAATGTAAGTGACAACATGCAGTACTTGTATTTCTGTGCTGAAGCCTGGAAAAACAGAATACGCACCCCATGTAAGACTGAGGATCAATGACAGAAGGATTTTGTTAGGTGTCTTTACGGTTATGCTGAGAACAATCTTAGAAGATAGAACCCACTCGCTTATCACACACCCCCATGAAAGTGGCAAAAGCAGAATGGAAGAAATGGCCGAGGGACCTCGACAGGCGGAGACGGCTGGAGACTCTTCCATGAGGTTTGGGGCAGCAGATGCCAAGGAGCAGCAGCCAATGTTTCCATCTCCTGAGCAGGTCTTCCACGCACAGGAAATGGGGTGGAACATAAACAGGTCTAGACGTCAGGACTAAGGACTATGGAGGCTTCCCCTCTGACCCATATGGACTAAGAACTGAGCACCATATGGAATTAAATACAGAGGGAGAGACCAAGAAAGAAAGCAGTTTCTTCAGAAGGAACCATAGAGTTCAAATGACAGGGTGTTGTCCATCATGATAAAGACTTTGCCTCTATCTCTAAGGCAACTTATTTTCCCAAAGAACTCTCTCATCTGCAGAGAGTTTCCCACTTTATTTATTTATTTATTTTGAGACGGAGTTTTGTTCTGTCCACCCA
Organism: Homo sapiens; assembly: GCF_000001405.40. Taxonomy (NCBI): domain Eukaryota; kingdom Metazoa; phylum Chordata; class Mammalia; order Primates; family Hominidae; genus Homo; species Homo sapiens. Next base: position 53,073,830 of record NC_000019.10, read on the forward strand.
GGCTGGAGTGCAGTGGCATGATCTTGGCTCACTGCAACCTCCACCTCCCGGGTTCAAGCAATTCTCTTGCCTCAGCCTCCTGAGTAGCTGGGACTACAGGCACACGCCACCATGCCCGGCTAATTTTTTTTTGTATTTTTAGTAGAGATAGGGTTTCACAATGTTGGTCAGGCTGGTCTCGAACTCCTGACCTCAAGTGATCTGCCCACCTTGGCCTCCCTAAGTGTTGAGATTACAGGCGTGAGCTACTGTGCCCCCTCCCACACTCTAGTTAATGAGTGGCCTTCTCTCTGCCCATCTGAGCTCTTACCTGTGACCACGCCTTTGACACATTCCGGCGTTCTTGGTTTTCTTGCTATTTTCACACAGCTCTTCACAGTCCAGGGCTCTTTCCCTTCCTCCAACATGGAGATAATATTCATATCAAAATGACACAGTCCTGTTTATAAAAAGAAAGGATCACAATGTGCCGGGGCTTTTCCAGAATCCCAGCCCTATGTTTACATGAGAGGACATTATATGTGGATCTAAGAAAACTTCAAAAATTCATCCACTGGGCCAGGCGCGGTGGCTCATGCCTGTAATCCCAGCATTTTGGGAAGCTGAGGTGGGTGGATCACAAGGTCAGGAGATGGAGATCATGATGGCTAACATGGTGAAACCCTGTCTCTACTAAAAACATAAAAAAAAATTATCCAGGTGTGGTGGCGGGCGCCTGTGGTCCCAGCTACTCGGGAGGCTAAGGCAGGAGAATGGCATGAACCTGGGAGGCAGAGCTTGCAGGGAGCCTAGATCACGCCACTGCACTCCAGCCCGGGCGACAGAGCGAGACTCCGCCTCAAAAAAAAAAAAAAAAAATCATCCACTGAATGCCTCCTTCTGAATACCCAGGAAACATGGTACATGCTGATAGAAGGCTCTATTCCACCAACAACTTAATCCAAAGCAGAGAGGTAGAAAACAGGAAATCTGACATTTCAAAAGTCTAACACAATGTATTATGCATACAAAAGCTCTGAAACCTCAAATGATGAAGTACAAAGGAGGCAGAACATCTGAGAAAGGGGAAGATTAAAGTCCAGGTTTCCCATGATTAAGCTTTCCATTTCAGAGTCAACAGGACTTCAATCTCAGTCAAGCAATGCAGGGGCTCTCCAGGGACTCGTAAGGGAAAATGCAACAATAGACAAGAACAGATCTTGACTTCTGGAAGAAAGTCATCCTCACCCAGAGAAACAAGGTTCCAGTAGTTCTCCAACATCACGTCCCTGTATAAGATCCTCTGAGCAGGGTCCAGGCATTTCCACTCCTCCTGAGAGAATTCTATGGCCACATCCCTAAATGTCAACCGTACCTAAAATGAAAAACACATTTCACCAAGTGGCTAAGGGGAGAGTTCAAAATTTCACATAAAAGGAGAAGAGGAGAAAAATGTGAGAATAGGTTAAATTGAAGTGGGTGAGCTGACAGATCCAGATTGTGACAATGTGACATACAGATTTGGTCTTCATCCCCCTCTCCTGACATAAGAGCTCACTTGAAATCAGTGGAGTGATAAGTATCTTTTTGTACATTAATGGGATAATTGGTGTCTGGAGCACCTAGGTAGCTTCAGGATGGAGGGCGGTCACCGGAACTAAGGCTCGGTGGGTGGTCACTGGAAAGGCTGAGGCTCGGTTAGACTAAGCCTCTGTCCTCTCGGGAGGACAGAGGGAATGAAAGTTCAGTTGATCACCAATGCCAATAATGGAAGCAAGGCCTCCATAATGGGGCCTCCATGAAAACTCAAAAAAGACAGAATACATGAGAGAATACATCCCAGCTCCTCACTCCTTTCCCATATCTCAACTAATAGATCACTTCCATCTAGATGTTCATCTGTGTGCTTTGTAGCATCTTCTATAATAAATGGGTAAATATAAGTGTTTCCCTGTGTTATGTGAGCCACTCAAGCAAACTAATCAATTTCAAGGAGGGGGTCATCAGAATTCACAATTCACAGCTGGTCATTGAGAAGCACAGGCCACAACTTGTGTTTGTGACTGGCATTAATGTGTGTGCGCTGTTGTGGGATTGAGCCCTCAGCCTATGGGAGCTGACCCTATATCCAGATAGACAGTGTCAGAATGGAATCAAATATGAGAACACCCATTTGGTGTCTGTTGCAGAATTGTTTATTTGATGTGTAGAGGAAAACCCAATACATCCAAAATCACAGAAGTATTTGTATTATGGAAGCAAAGCAGGAGAAACTGAGTCTGTTTTTCCCATATTTTCCTACGCATTAAGGACTTTTGAGCAAGTTATGTCTCCCTAATTCTGTCTTATTATTCTTTTACCTAAGAGGTTGTGATATCCTCTATATCAGTGTCGATTTCTCAGTTTTATGGGCAATAAGTATACAAATAAAAAACAGAAAACAAGGTTATCTCTATGGAAGTGTTAGACATTATGTTTGACATACTGAGTGATATTCAATAACTACATGAACTAAATAAGCACAACTGGTATCTTAAGAAATGATAATGCGGCCGGGCGTGGCGGCTCATGCCTGTAATCCAGCACTTTGAAAGGCCGAGGCGGGTGGATTACTTGAGGTCAGGAGTTCAAGACCAGCCTGGCCAACATGGTGAAACCTGTCTCTACTAAAAATACAAAAATTAGCCAGGCGTGGTGGCAGGCGCCTGTAATCCAAGCTACTCGGGAGGCTAAGGCAGGAGAATCACTTAAACCCAGGAGGTAGAAGTTGCGGTGAGCCGAGATCACGCCACTGCACTCCAGCCTGGGTGACAGAGTGAGACTCCATCTCAAAAAAAGAAAACTGTACTGAAGTGATGCTGTCTATAAGACAGAGGAGTAGGAAGTCCCAAGCACTACCCATGGAGACACAGATTTAATAACACTACATGGACCAAATTGTCTTTGTGGGAAATCTGGCAACCACATCAGAGGTCAGAACTCTTTTGAAACACCTGCTCACCTGAGGCCCTATCCTGCCATGATGTAGTATCACTGTGAGAAAACCACACTTCCATTTTCTCCTGGGGAGAGAAAGTATGGGAATATCCATCTAACATTCTGACTTTTTTTTTCTCTTTTTTCCTGTAACACAACACAAGGCTCATAACGTTCTGACTTTTCAGGGCACTGCTAAGGGACAAGTTTCTGTCTTGCCTGAATATAAACACTGAAGTAACAGGACCCCAGGTAAGGAAGCTACTGAGAACAAAGCCATCCGTCATAAACCAGAGCTTGTAGTAACGTACGCAGACATTAGGTGGCGGTGCAGCCCCCAGCTTACTAGGACACCAGCGAGGCTGCGGAACAGCCGGCAGACAACAGAGGCATTCCTGCATACAAACTGGCACAAGCTCTTTAGTTAAGCTACAATCAAAAAGTCCACGGAGGACGCATCCTTAGAAAAGGCTTGAGGGATCTCCAGAGCCTCTAGTCAGGATGACTGTAGCATGTCTTCCCTGAAGGAAGCCAGAATCAAAAACTACAAGTGGCTGATTAGTGAAATGCTGTGGTCCCAACAGGAGATAACGAGATATCAAAAGAAGCCAGGCACGGTGGCTCACACCTGTAATCCCAGCACTTTGGGAGCCGAGGCGGGTGGATCACGAGGTCAGGAGTTCGAGACCAGCCTGGCCAAAATGGTGAAATCCCGTTTCTACAAAAAATACAAAAATTAGCCGGGCGTGGTGGCGGATGCCTGCAATCCCAGCTACTCAGGAGGCTGAGACAGAGAATCGCTTGAACCCGGGAGGTGGAGGTTGCAGTGAGCTGGGATCCCACCACTGCACTCCAGCCTGGGTGACAGAGTGAGACTCCATCTCAAAAAAAAAAAAAAAAAAGCAAAAGAAAAAAAGAAACATGGACCATATGCAGCAACATATTAAATCACCACAAAGTAATACTAAAGAAGCAGATATATATATATATACATTATCAAAGAAATAACAATAAGACTCCTAAAGTTGCTCAGTGTATTAAGACAGTACTCATAAACAACTTCAGAAAATCAGAAAAACAATAAATATGAGATTATCAACAAAGAGATAAAAATTATGAAGAAGAAACAGAAATTCTAGAGCTGAAAAACATAACTGAATTAAAAAACACACTAGAGCCAGGCGTGATGGCTCACGCCTGTAATCCCAGCACTTTGGGAGGCTAAGGCGGGCGGATCACGAGGTCAGAAGTTCGAGACCAGCCTGGCCAACATGATGAAACCTCATCTCTACAAAAATACAAAAACTTAGCTGGGCATGGTGGTGGGCACCTGTAATCCCAACTACTCGGGAGGCTGAGGCAGAAGAATCGCTTGGACCCAGGAGATGGAGGTTGCAATGAGCTGAGATCGCACCACTGCACTCCAGCCTGGGAAACAAGAGTTGCCACCTCAGGGGAAAAAAAAAATACACAAAATTAGCTGGGTGTAGTGGCATGAGCCTGTAGTCCCAGCTACTCAGGAGGCTGAGGTAGGAGGATCATTTGAGCCTAGGAGGTTGAAGGTACAGTAAGCTATGATCATGCCACCATATTCCAGCCTGTGCTACAAAGTGAGACCCCATCTCTAAAAAAAATAAATAAAAGGAGAAAATGAAATAGAAGAATGATGAAGATAGCCAGGCATGGTGATGTGTGCCTGTAATCCCAGCTACTCAGGAGGCTGAGGCAGAAGAATCAGCTGAACTCAGGAGGCAGAGGTTGCAGTGAGCCAAGATCACACCACTGCACTCCAGCTTTGGGTGACAGAGTGAGACTGCATGTCAAAAAAGAAAAGAAAAGAAAAGAAAAATGAACAAATGAACATAGCCTAAGGGAAGTGTGGAACACCATCATGTGGTCAACTCCAATGTCAAAGTAAGAAGAAGGAGTATAAGAGAACTTAACCTACTGTGTCTGAGTGAGAAAGAAAAAATCTGTATACTCTCATAAGTAGTAAGGCAACTGGAGCAGCAATCAAAAAAAAAAAAAATCCTAGAACAAAGACCAGGAACACATGCATAACTCATAAGCACTGTACAATTCTACTCAATGTTGAATGAAGAATTAACAATTCTCAAACAATTCCAAATAAGTGAAGAAGAGGAAACAACAAAAAACAATTGTATGATACCACCCTTAGTCTGACACCACCCAAGCAAATATATGACAAGGAAACAAAAGTGTAAGATATTATTCGTGATAAACACTGATGCAAAAGCCCTCAACAAAATACTAGGAAACCAAATTGTAAAGACATTAACAGGATTATAGTCCATGACCAAGTGGACTACACACTGGGAAGACAAGAGTGGTTCAACAGAAGAAAGTCAATGTAATACACCACACTGACATGGTGAAGGACCAAAACCACATGCTCATCTCAATCGGTGCAAAAAAAAGTTATTTGACAAAATTCAACATAGTTCATGATAAAAATGCTCAACAATTCGGGCACGGTGGCTCACGCCTGTAATCTCAGCACTTTGGGAGGCCAAGGCAGGTGGATCACCTGAGGTCAGGAGTTCAAGACCAGCCTGACCAACATGGAGAAACCCCGTCTCTACTAAATACAAAAATTTAGCCAGGCATGGTTGCACATGCCTGTAATCCCGGCTACTTGGATGGCTGAGGCAGGAGAATCTCTTGAACCCGAGAGGCGGAGGTTGCAGTGAGACTGTGCCACTGCACTGCGCTCCAGCCTGAGCAACAAGAGCAAAACTCCATCTAAAAAAAAAAAAAAAAAAAAAAAATAGGCTCAACAAATCAAGGAAACTTCAGAATATTAGATTTGGCAAAGATTTCTTGGCTATGACACCAAAAGGAAACACAATAGCAGCAAAAAAAAAAAAAAAGGGACTGCATCCAACCGAAAAACTTTTGTGCATCAACAGATGCTACCAAGAGTAAAACAGTATGCCTGTGACAAGTCCTAGCCAGAGCAATCAGGCGAGAGAAACAGAAGGCATTCAAACAGAAAGAGGGCTGCATGCAGTAGTTTGCACCTGTAATCACATCACTGTGGGAGGCCAAGGTGAGAGGGTAGTTTGAGTCCAGGAGTTCGAGACCAACATGGGCAACATAGTGAGACTCTGTCTCTATTTTTTAGCAACGACAACAAAAACAACAAACGAAAAGGAAAAGGAGGAAGTCAAATTATCTCTCTGAGAAGGATATGATTCTGTATCTAAAAAACCCTAAAGATTCCACTAAAAGACTCCTAGACCTGATAAATGACTTCAGCAAAGTCTCAGGATTTAAAATCAAGGTACAAAAATCAGCAGTACTTTTTTTTTTTTTTTTGAGATGGAGTTTCGCTCTTGTTGCCCAGGCTGGAGTGCGATCTTGGCTCACCACAACCTCTGCCTCCCCGGTTCAAGCAATTCTCCTGCCTCAGCCTTCCTAAGTAGCTGGGATTACAGGCATGCACCACCACGCCCGGCTAATTTTGTATTTTTAATAGAGACTGGGTTTCTCCATGTTGGTCAGGCTGGTCTTGAACTCCCGACCTCAGGTGATCCGCCTGCCTTGGCCTCCCAAAGTGCTGGGATTACAGGCGTGAGCCACTGTGCCCGGCCCAGTCAGCAGTACTCTTAAACGCCAATAATGTTCAAGCTGAGAAACACATCATCAAGAATGCAATCCTATTAAAAATAGCCACACCCCCCAAAAAATGACTAGGAGTATGTCTAACCAAGGTTGTGAACTATCTCTATGAGGAGAACTACAAAATACCAGTGAAAGAAATCAGACAACACGAACAAATGGAAAAGCATTTCATGCTCATGGGTTGAAAGAATCAATATCAATGAAATGTCCAAACTGCCCAAAGCAATCTATAGATTCAACAGTATTCCTATTAAATGACCAACATCACTTTTCACAGAATTAGAAAAAACTTCTAAAATGTATATGAAAGCAAAAAAGAGCTCAAAGAGCCAAGACAATCCTAAGCAAAAGGAATAAAGCTGGATGCATCACATTACCTGACTTCAAACCATATTGCAAGGCTACAGTAAACAAAACAGCATGGTACTGGTATAAAAACAGACACATATACCAATGGAATAGAACAGAGACCCCTAAAATAAAGGCCCACACCTCCAACCAACTGATCTTCAAGAAAATCAACAAAAATAAACAATGAGGAAAGGATACCCTATTCAATAAGTGGTGCTGGGAAAACTGGCTAAACATATGCAGAAGAATGAAACTGGATCCCTATCTCTCACCATATAAAAAAATTAACTTGAGATGGATTAAATACTTAATATAAGACCTCCAACTATAAAAATCTTAAAAGCAAACCTAGGAAATACTCTTCTAAGACTTTGGCCTAAGCAAGGAATTTATGAAGACCTCATAATATATGCAGCAAAATAAATGCAGCAAATAAAAGGAATTTATGAAGACCTCATAATAAATGCAGCAAAATAAAAAATAGACAAGTGGAACTTAATTAAAGAGCTTGTACACAGAAAAACAAACTATCAACAGAGTAAACAATCTACAGAATGGGAGAAAATACTTGCAAACTACGCATCTGACGAATAACTAATATCCAGAATCTATAAGAAACATAAGCAAATCAACAAGAAGAAGACAAATCACCCCACTAAAAAGTGGGAAAATAGCATAAACAGACACTTCTCAAAAGAAGTCGTACTATTGGCCAACAAGCGTATGAAAAAATGCTCAACACCCCGATCATCAGAGAATGCAAATCAAAACCATAATGAGACACCATTTCATACCAGGCATAATGGCTATTACTAAAAAGTAAAAAAAAAACAACAAATATTGACAAGGCTTCAGAAAAAAGGAAACACTTTTACACTCATACACTTATGGGAATGCAAATTTGTTCAGACCTTGTGGAAAGCAGTTTGGAGATTTCTCAAAGACTAAAAATAGAATTACAATTCAACCCAGCAATCCCATTACTGGATATGTACCCAAAGGAAAATAGATTGTTCTATCAAAAAGACACCTATATTCATATGTTTATTGCAGCACCATTTACAATAGCAAAGACATGGAATCAACCTTGGTGACCATCAAGTGGATCGGATAAAGAAAATATAGTAGACATATACCCTATGGAATATTATACAGCCATAAAAAAACAAAATCATGTCCTTTGCAACAACATGGATGCAGCTGGAGGCCGTTATCCCTAGCGAATTAATGCACAAATAGAAGAACAAATACCGCATGTTCTCACAATGGCAGCTAAACACTGGGTGCACACAAACACAAAGATGAGAACAACAGACACTGGCGACTCCAAAAAGGAAGAGGAAGGAAGAGGGGAAGGGCTGAAAAACTATCTATCGGGTACTATGTTCACTACTTGGGTGATGGGATCTTTGGAAGACTAAACCTCAACATCACAAAATATACCCATGTAAGAAACCTCACGTGTACCCCCTGAATCTAAAATAAATAGTTTAAAATGAATCAAATAAAAGTACGTACCAATGTACACAAAAAAATTCAAATCCATGAGACATATTCTGTGGAAAAATGAAATTGTTTTTCCTACTATAATCTCAGAAAATGCTTCTAAAATCAGATGTGGCCAGGTGCAGTGGCTCATGCCTATAATCCCAGCACTTTAGGAGGCCAAGGCAGGAGTACTGCTTGAGCTCAAGAGACCAGCCTGGGAAATACAATGAAACCTCATCTCTACAAAAAAATCAAGCTGGGCATGGTGGTGCGTGCCTATAGTCTCAGTTACTCCAGAGGCTAAGGTGGGAGGATCACTTGAGCCCCAGAGATCAAGGCTGCAGTCAGCTGTGATCACACGACTGGACTCCAGCCTGGACAACAGAGTAAGAGCCTCTCAAAACAATAAACAAACAAACAAATAATAAATAAACAGATGTATAGTTTTCCCCTATGCCAGCAAGCAATCAATTGTGCAGCAGACACCGCCTGGGTATCCTCCAACCCCAGTTCAGTTTCAATACCATCTACCTGGAGATAGTGGCAAATCCCACAGGTTGAGGGTTCAGTCCCACTTCGGGCGCCAACAGCAAGCCCCAGGTTGTTTTTCCTGTGCTTTTGACAGACTGACTATTAATCAGGGTTCCTGTAACTCCCTCATTGGGTTCAATTAATTTGCTAGACCTCACAGACCTCAGGGAGACACTTTATGTACATTTACCCATTTATTATAAAGGATATTACAATGAATACATATGAAGAGATGCATACAGTGAAGTATTGGAAAAGGGGTTGGAACTTCCATGCCCTCCCTGAGTATGCCACCCTCAGGAATCTCCACGTGTTCACCTAAACTGAAGCTCTCTGAACCATGTGCTTTTGTGTTTTCATAGAAACTTCATGAAGTAGGCATGATTAAACCATTGGCCACTGGTGATCAACTTAACCTTCGTCGCCTCTCCCCCTCCCTGGTAGCTGAGGAGTGGAGTTTAAAGCCCCAATCTTCCAATCTTGCCTTGGATATTCTGGCAACTCAGGCCCCATCCTGAAGCTTGTTGGAGGCTGCCAGCTATCAGTCAATGCATCAGCATGCAAAAAGACAACACTTAGGAAACTCTATAGATTTTAGGAGCTGTATATGCCAGGAACTGGGTCAAAGACAAAGGCCATGTGAACAATCCACTGGTAGATAAAGATAAAGCATACCATTTCATTTCGTTAAGGCCTTCCAAAATAAGATAAACTGAACAAATAATTGAGAAAGGGGTAAGCAACGAAAGATTATTTTTACAGTAGAATAATGTGTAATCGAAAGGAAGACAACAGTGCGTATATAAAGAATTAAACCAAGCCGGGCACAATGGCTCATGCCTATAATCCCAGCACTTTAGGAGGCACAGTCAGGAGGATGGCTTGGGCCCAGGAGTTTGAGACCAGCCTGGGCAACATAGTGAGACCCTGTCTCTACAAAAAACAAAAACATAAAAAATTATCTGGGTGTGGCAGCACACAACCGTAGTCCCAGCTACTCAGGAGACTGAGGTGGGACAATTGCTTAGGCCAAGGAGGTCAAGGCTACAGTGAGCCATGACTGTACTGTAACCAAGTACGCTCATTTTTCTAAGAAAAAGGGAGTGAGTTATTATTTTTTTCTCTTATTTTCTCCTTTCCCCATTTTCCCCTGTTCCCTACTTCCTACTTAGCCCTTTAGAAATACACTTATAACCTTTTACCTCCCCTTCAGCAGACACTCTCTACAGGGCAAGTTCATCCAACTATGTGCTTCGAGCTCCAGAGGGGAATCTCACTTGCCAGGAGGTTACCTCGAGAAACAGCAATCAATCTACAACCCAAAGTCCTGCTACAAAACTCTCTCCCACCCGGAGAGTTTCAGCCACTTTTACAACCCAGTTCTGCCCACGAAGGCACCAGTGGCTGCCAGCTCAACCCCCTGGTACGTAAGGCACAGAAGCAAGTTAGGGGGACACCCACCTGCTCGCTTCCTCTCCTTAGTGCCATTCATGCCAAGCCCGCCTTTTAAAAGCGCCTGCTTTCTGCTCCAAAAGCAATGCAGTACCTTACGGCAGGAAGCCTGTACTTCTTCCCCTAAGCTAGCTTTGGAATAAAAAGTCACTGTCTTTCTACCAGACCTTGCTCTTGTTAACTGGACTCTGCAAGCAGCGAGCAACTGAACCTGCATGTCAGTGACAGAGCCGCCGTGCTCCGGCCTCGCTCCAGCAACAGGGTGAGACCCTGTCTCAAAAAATGTAGTAAAAGTTAAAAAGAAAATAAACCGCAGAATACAACACAGCTCCTGAATTCCAGGAACAGAAAATGGAGCAAAGTATAAAAATTCATTTCATATATACACATCCACAAAGTAATGCAACCCACTCAGACTCACAAGGAATAAGAAAATGAAAATAAAATGGGTTGCATTATCCCCGCATTTTCATAATATAAAATGAACACAGTGGCAAGTTTGCTTAATGAGGGGGAAATCTGACGTGGCATTGGTGGGAGAGGGCACCTCTGCACCTGGGGTAGGGATAGAATCTTGCCAGATCTAGCAACACAGGAAATGTGCCATCCTAGAAGAGATCACTCTTCCAATCGTCCAGCCTGGAGGAACTCTCCACGATCCATAGTGAAGTCGGCATGGTCACAGGCAGCCAGGGTGGCACCTTTTTTTTTTTTTTTTTTGAGACAAGGTCTTGTTCTATCACTCAGGCTGAAGTGCAGTGGCACTATCATGGCTCACTGCAGCCTCAATCTCTGGGGCTCAAATGATCCTCCCACCTTGGCTTCCACAAGTGCTGGGATTACAGGTGTGAGCCACCATGCAGCACCCTGTGTGGCATTCTTTATAGAAGTGAGAAAGTTAAAAGATCCACCTGTCTTCATTCCCAGCATGCTCCAACAAGGATGTAGAAAAGTGAGCTCCTGTTTCCTAACACGAAAACATGTCAATGTTCAAAACTTGCAGGTTAACATATCACAACCAAACATTCACTGAGGAATTTGTTTAAATCTCATAATGATGTCAAAATACATTTCTACAGGACTTGCACTGACCCTTCCCACAGAATTGAGAACAGTGGCTCCCCACTAAGATGTGAGGGAGGGTGGAAGGCTGGACAGGAAAAGGGATGCTTTACCTCTTGGCACATAAATGTATCATTTCACTATAAAAGAAATATATACATGATGCCATGTTCAAAATAAAAGAAACAAAATGTTGACTCATAACTGGTAAAACAAAAATACAGTTCCATTCTCTCTAATGGCAAGGTTGTTCTGCTTATATGCCATTCTCACCTACAATACCCGACGGACAAAGGTTCTTGTAAGAACATCACAGTCTCCATGGGATAGAGCTTCTGAGACTAGTTTAATGAATCTTGTTACACATTTATGTTGACGTCATACATTAAAATGGATGATGGAATGAAAGAATCATCTATCTCCAATGTCAGTGTCTAAACTTTCCATTCTGTTCCCAGTCTTTACGAGTTTGGAGTCGGAAATCCAATGACTCACTTGTTCGGCTTCAAATGCAGTTACCAATGAGGCAGGAAAGCTTTCCCCTTAGTGTTCTTTTCTATGCCAGTGAGCAGGTACGTGTGCACCTGACTTCATGGGCAGCTTCTGTTATCATGGTTTACACAGCGCTGACAGTGCATCCAGATGCGGCCCCTGAGCAATCCCTGCTGCCCAACAGCACTGACACCACAGGACCCTCACCCCGTCTCCATCCATGTCTGGGTGTGAGCCCTTCCCAGGACCATGCCCAGTGCAGCCTCTTCCCAAGTTCATGTCACTGGATCACGGGAGATGGAATCTAAACGAGATGAGAGGGACTGAGGGAAGGCGCGGGTGAGTGCTAGCAAACATGTCAGGCAGGACGCTTCAGACTCAGAGAAGATTCGCAATGCCAATGCCAGGCATTTCAGGAAGAAATAAAAGAACAATCCACCAGGAGTATCACTTTACCTGAGTAAGGGCCATCCCTGACTCCTTTTCTTTCCTCTTCCTCTTCTTCCAGACTTCTTCCTTGGGTAACATAAAAGAGTCTTTAGAAGTCAATACTGAATATCCAAAATATGCTGCTTAGGGCTGAGAATCTATACATCCCCTTCATGTGCCACAGTCACACGCACAGATCTCACCCTGTGGAAAGATGGTCCTCTGCGCCCCACTGCACCAGGGGGAATACGGGGACGAGAAACTCCTACAGGAAGAAGTGAGTTTCTGACCCCTTTCTTCAGAACCCACCTTCCTCCTGGAGAAGCCCACACACACTGCAGCAGTGGGGAGCTGGGCTGGACTGAGCTCCCCTTTAGGACACAGACCCAGCCCTGACCAAACCCCATGCAGAACACAGCCCCCCTCACCTCTCTGTGGATCCCAGGCTGAGCTCAGCCTTCAGAAACAAAAGACAGTGATTGGTACTATGCTGGCTACAGAATAGAGTCAACTTTAAATATTACTCAGCTGGGCTCTAAAACACTGAAATGAAAATACGTCAAGGGGGCACAAGAGATGTTTCTGCAAAACGCCTAGGCACTCTAATATGAAGCCAGGGTTGAGCTCCACTGAGGGGGTGAGCCCAGCACAGCCCCACCTTCTGGCTCTGCTCTCCTGTTGGGGACTTGTTCTCACCAGGATCCAGACTGGATATTGAAGGAGCAAAAAGAATCACACAGAACAGGCAACATGGACCAGAGGTGGGGGTGAAGGTGGGCCTGCAATGTCAAATAGGAGGCTGTGGGAGATCACAAACGTTTCCACGGAGGAAGTGATGTCAGAACAAAGACCTCAGGAAGAAAGGCTGCTTGTCACTTGCAGCTGAGAGGCCAGGGAGTTCTAGGCAGAGGGCCAGCCCACATGGAAGCCTTGAGGCAGGAGCAACCTTGGCTCCAGGAAAAGGAAAGGGGCCTGTGTGACTGGAGCAGAGGGGGCTGGGAGGACACAGGAAGGAGATGGCGTCTGAGAGGTCCTGAGGGTGCAGATCACGCAGGGAGAGGTCTTCAAACATTCTTTCTCCCATACGTCAAAAAAATTTATGAAACCATGTATTTCCTCACCTGTTTTAAGTAAATGCTTAATTTTTTCTTCATTTTACAAAGTAACACACTTACAACATAGTATCTTGCATATTTTAAACATGACAAGAAGTTCAGCTGAGCCCCAGGAAGTACAGGGTTGCCCTTAGCTGAGATGTGCAAGACTGCAGGGGTGAATATGTTTGGAGGAGTTTGGGAAGTCACTTTTATTTAAATAATTAATTAATTAATTTTTGAGAGAGTTTCACTCTTGTTGCCCAGGCTGGAGTGCAGTAGCGTGATCTCGGCTCACTGCAGCCTCCGCCTCCTGGGTTCAAGCGATTCTCCTGCCTCAGCCTCCTGAGTAGCTGGGATTACAGGCGCCCGCCACCACGCCCGGCTAATTTTTTGTATTTTTAGTAGAGATAGGGTTTCGCCATGTTGGCCAGGCTGGTCTCAAACTCCTGGCCTCAGGTGATCCGCCTGCCTCGGCCTCCCAAAGTGCTGGGATTATAGGCATGAGCCACTGTGCCCAGCCAAGAAGTCACTTTTAGGCATATGAAAATGGAGATGCCTGTTGGGACATCCCTGTAGAGAGTTTTGGAGACAACTAGACACAGGATTCTAGACCTCAGAGGAGGGTCTGCAGGGTACATGGGGCTGAGTATTAACAGGTGGGGCATAAAGCCATGAGATGAGAAGTACGGAAAGGCAGTGGGTGTGGACGGAGACAAGAAGAGGTGTAAGGACTGAGCCATGAGCACTTGCACATTCAGAGAACAAGAAAGTTCTGGAGACACCAGAAGAGGAAAGCAGAAAGTGATCAGAGTGGCAAGAAGATTGAATAGATTTGTAAAGGTTAACGGGGTGTCATAAAAGCCAAGATAACAGAAGAGGAAGTGATCAGCTGTGCTACATGCTACCGACAGGAAGAAAAAGATGAGGACAGGACATGAATTACGGCATTTAGGAATTGGGAGGTCACTGATGACTGAAAAAGGAAGAATCAGTGGAATGCTGGATGTGAAAGCTAGATTCAAGCAACAATTCAAAGGTTTAAGCAATAATTGAAGACAAAGTGGCCGCACACGGCTCACGCTTGTAATCCCAGTACTTTGGGAGGTTGAGGTGGAAAGACTACTTGAGCCCAGGAGTTTGAGACCAGCCTGGCCAACACAGCAAGATCCTGTCTCTATATTTTTATTTAAAAAAAAAAAAAGAATTGAAGACAAAGTAAAACTAGTTTTTAGAATATTATGCTCTTAAATAGAGCACAAATAGGTACTTATTACAGAGGGAAATGTAGTTGAAAGTATTTTTTTGTCTTAAAGATGGAAGAGTAGAAGAAAAAAAGGCTTTATCATGCATTGGAGATCTGTTCAGAGAGGAAAAAAATTGTTCATACTACTCTGACACTCTAACACAGAATATTTCACCTCTAGTCACCAAAATGTGTGTCATTGTCCCCACAATGACAGCTTCTCCAGCAGACTCCCAGGTAGGGAGTCCTGCTGTTTTACTCAATTCTGACACCGTCTACAAAACAGAATCAGACACCACAGCTTGAGGGTTCAGTCGCACAGGACTGCCCTCACTTCATATGCTGTACGCTCTGACTGACCTGGTCAATGTGCTTCCCTAACACTTTCCTTGGGTTTGAATAACTAGCTAGCACAGCTTTTCCATCTGGCTGTTCATCTGTGTCCTTTGCAACATACTTTATAATAAATGAGTAAACTAAGTGTTGTCCTGAGTTCGGTGAATGACCGTGGCAAATTACTACAACCTGAGGAGGGGGGTCAAGTGAATCCCCAATTTACAGTTGGTCGCCCAGAAGTTCAGGTCCCAACCTGCAACTTGTGACCGGCATTTGAAGTGGGGGTAGCCCTGTGGAACTGACCAACCAGTAAACAGCATCTGATCCTAATTCTAGCTGGACAGTGTCAGAATTGAGTTGAAGTATAAGTTCACCCAGTTAGTGTCGGATGGAAAATGCATTGCTGGTGGGAAGAAGTTCCTCCACATTTTGGTGATGAGTTTTCTGTGTGGAGTGTTCACTATTACATTGACTGTACACTATTATATTGACTATAATCAGCATCATATAATACTAAATATTATGTAATCAGTATTACATTAACTCATGTTCTCGCCCCTACCCAACCCCATCCCAGGGAAATGGAGGAAGAGCGTGGCCCACAAATGAATGAGTCAAGTCACTGCCCTCTGGCTGAAAAGGTTACAAGTGGAAGCTAACCTCTGATGCCATAATTATAAAATGCATAGCCTTATAGACAAGTTTTGCAATTCTCATCTTTATCTGTGTATTTTAAGCATATTTAAAATCTGTTAGATTATAAAGACAGAAATCAACATGTCACAACTAAATTACCCATATTCAATCAACTCACCACTCACCTGAACCAAGGTCCCCTCCTTCTTCCTTCCTGTGTGTTTCCCTCTCTCATTCTGTACATATCTCATCCTCACCTTCCCTCCCTGGCTCTTTTTTTCCGATGTTTCCCCCCAGGTTTCTGCTCCTCATTTTGAGCCCCTCTCCTCTCCTGCTCTTTCTCCCCTTCTTCCCTCCATTCCTTCTCTTCCCCCTGTTCTGCTCCATTCCTACAACTTCTTCCACCTCTTATTCCTTTCTGCCCAAACTTTTCATTGTCCCAATCCCAATCTCCACATATTTCTGCCTCTTTCTTCCCTCATCTTTGCTCCCCCTCTGCTCCCCCTATTAAATCCCCTCTTCCCTGTTACACCCCTTGTCCCCACTCTCTGGCACCCCCAGATCCAAAGCCTTCCCATACTGTGGTTCTCCCTCTGCTCTCCTTGTCACCAGCTGTCCCGTCTTGCTGTCCCAGCACCACATTGCTGTCTGCCCTGACTCCAAATTCCTCCTCCTCTCCCCCACTCTCTGTCTGAGGAGCCTCCCCCTTTCTGCCCCTCTCCCTATCTTGCTGTCCTTCATCTCTCTGGAGACCCAGCTTTTCTCTATATTTCTCCAGTTGCTCCCTGCCCCACACTTTCTCAGCTTTGTCTTTCACTCTCAGTGTCTGTCTGCAAATTCCCCACCCATCCTCTGCGTTGCCATCTGTTCATGGTTCTCACCCGTCCTTCTCACTCCTTCTCAGTTTTTCTATTTCCTCTTTCTCCTGTCTCTCTTTCTCCTGATCCCCTGTGGCCACATATTTACAGGGAAGGGGATGGAATAAGATGCCCACCTACTGAAAGCACTTTTCCTAGTGGAGTGGAATCTGGGACAAAAGAACATTGGAGGTGAACAGACAGGCCCAAGTCACCTCCTTCAACGCTGGGTCAGAGGAAGCCATGCTTATGAGGGGGAGGCCTGCAGGATAGAGGGCAAGGCTCAATGAGAGCAAGATGGGAGGGTGTCTCAGGGGAGGGGTGGGATCTGTGGAATCCCAGGACCAGGGCGAGGACTCTCTTGCACCGGAGCTGCGGTGCTGCTGTGCAGACGCAATGAAGGGCGAGGCTTAGGGGACCCAAAGGGTGAATGCACCTCGCGGGTGAGGACCTTACAAGGCACAGGGTGGGAAGTGAGTAAAGGGTTTTAAGCAGGAAATGGCATGAAAGCTCTCTACATGGGCTGAAGGCAGAAATACTGCAAGCAGGACCTGTCTGTGTGGTTCAATGGGAAGTGACCCCTGACCTCTCATGGACACCTCTGAATTTACTTGGGAATGAAAGAGCCATGAGGGGATACTAAGGTCTATAGGGTCCGGAGTGACGGCTCATGCCTGTAATCCCAGCACTTCGTGGGCTGTAATCCCAGCCGAAGCGGGAGGATCACTTGAGCCCACAAATTCGAGACCAGCTCAGGCAACACAGTGAGACTTCCTCTCTACTAAATATATATAAAAAAAATTATTTAAACGTGGTGGTGGTACACACCGGTGGTCCCAGCTACTCAGGAGGCTGAGGTGGGAGGATCGCTTGAGCCCAGGAGGTCCAGGCTGCAGTGAACTACAATCACTCATATATACACATATGTCTCTGAGGACTCCTGCAAATCGAGTCTGGATGTGCAGGAGCCTGGGAAGCCCAAGTTTAACCTAAACAGAGGGAAACTCACGTGTGAGGTCTTCACTCCAGGTGATCAGCTTCCAGTGGCTGCAAGAAGAGCTGGGTCCCCTGTAGGCGGGGCCCGGGGCAGGCGCCTCGTGCAGAGAGGCCAGGAGTTGGGAGGTGCCTGAGGGATGAAGTGGGCGGGGGACTTGGGGAAAGGGGGCGGTGCCTGCGCTCCCCTCCCTCTCACTCCCAGGAGTCTGTTTCCAGAGCTTTGGAGGAGAGACCTACCAGCGAGGCTGAAGCCACTCAGTGGGCTGGGAGCCGGGATCTCTCTAGGTCGTCAGGGGGCAGTGTTCGGATCCAGGAACGTTTCTGCAATTAAAATTAAGCATTTAAAGAAATGCTGTAACTGAATGAGATGCAAACTAGAATGTGAAATGCAAAATTTGAGCTTAGCAGGGAGTGTACAATTTCATGCTGATCAGCAGAACCTCCTTTCCATTTCTATTCCCCGCGCACTCAGGAAGGACAGCGTCAACCTCGGTTCCAGAGCAGGGCTAAGGCCTAGGTATTGGTTAGGTCAATAACTTGCTTTTTAAAAAGCAGTAACTTTTTACAAATAGAAATAAATTCCATTGTTCTTCCTTTATCCCATTCCACTCTTGAGATGACGGCCTCAAATACCTTTGAGATAAACTTTGTCATTGTAATATGCTTATGTCAATAATCTCTACATATGGCGTAATTTGAAATTCACTTCACATGCATTCCAAAAGTACTTGAAGAAACGGAAGAGAAACCAAAGAACATAGATTACAATATTTAAATAAAAATTGTTTTCTAAGTACTTATTTTAATCTGTTGTAGAAAAAAAGCCTGTAAAATCATCTTCAGAAAACATTTACATTTATATTCACCTCAAGGGTAATTAATTTTGCAAGATTTTAAGCGTATTTGATAGGGTATTTTTTTTTTCTTTTGAGACAGAGTCTCCCTCTGTCGCTCAGGCTAGAGTGCAATGGCGCAATCTTGGCTCATTGCAACCTCTGCCTCCTGGGTTCAAGCGATTCTCCTGTCTCAGCCTCCCAAGTAACCGGGATTACAGGCACACGCCACTAGGCCCAGCTAATTTTTTTTGTATTTTTAGTAGAGACGGAGTTTCACCACATTGGCCAGGGTGGTCTCAAACTCCTGACCTCAAGTGATCCACCTGCTTTGGCCTCCCAGAGTGCTGGGATTACAGGCGTGAGCTACCATGCTGGCTGGATATTCTCCTTCATATGAACCCTATACAAAGTAAAACTAGATTATCAAATATTAAATGGCATCGTATCTACTAGCAATAATTTTATGGCAACATCTGTGAATTTACCTCTACTTTGAAGTATGTTTGCCTCTCACATCCCCACATGTGGAAGATTTCATCAATGGAAAAGTGGTGATTAATTGAAAATACAATTGTTTAGACAGGAAAAATAGCATATTTCACAACTACATCTACAGTTTCAAAAGATATGGTGTCTGGGATAGATTTGGGGACTTTTGCAAGGTAGACTGCTCTGTGTTACGCAATATTGCTAAGTACCTATGTTGACAAGAAAGCAGTTTCAGCATGGACTTCCATGATCCCAAGCAAAGAAATGATTTGATTTTGGATCTTTTCATTAAATTGAGAATAGTAGGGGTGAATCTGATTATAGATGAAAGCCATGAATCCATTTTGTATATGCAGAGTTTAAATGCTTATACATTTTCATTGAAGCAAAATCAACATATTCACAAGAGATTTAAAAAGGATATTTCTGGCCGGGCACGGTGGTTCATGCCTGTAATCCCAGCACTTCACTTTGGGAGGCCGAGGCAGGTGGATCACCTGAGGTCAGGAGTTCAAAACAAGCCTGGCCAACATGGTGAAACGTTGTCTCTACTAAAAATACAAAAATTAGCCAGGCGCGGTGGCAGCGCCTGTTATCCCAGTTACTAGGGAGGCTGAGGCAGGAGAATCACTTGAACCTGGGAGGCAGAGGCTGCAATGAGCCAAGATCGTGCCACTGCACTCCAGCCTGGGCAACAGAGCAGGACTCCATCTAAAAAAACAAAAAAAAAGAAGAAAGGATGGAAGGGGGAGGCTTAACCTTTGCTATCTGCTAGGATTACAGGGTCAAAATCGGCTTCTACATTGTCAACACATAACACCAAGTGAAACTCAAAACTAATGAACTTGCCCTGGTACCTTGGCCTTTGAGACTCGGCACTGAATCCAGCCTGGGCAACATAGTAAGACCCCATCTATACAAAAAAATTTAGAAATTATCCAGGTGTGGTGGTGCATGTCTATAGTCCCAGCTATTCAGGAGGCTGAAGTGAGTGTGAGATTGCAGTGAGCTATGATCGCACCACTCCAGCCTGGGTGACAGAGCCTGTCTCAAAAAACAAAAAACAGAAGAAAAAAGCTTTGAAGGGCACTCAGCCTTCACTGTGGGTGTACTGAATGTTCCTGTCACACATAAGAGACATCATTAACTGCTAAAGGAAAATTTCAGCTAATTGAAAAAATGAGATGCACCAACTTCATTTCAAAGCCATATACATTTAAAATTCCCTTACAATTGTGTAATAGATCAACAATTGAAAGATAAGGAAACAAGGCATTAGTGATGCACATGCTCCAATGAGACCCCGATATCATACAAGGTAACACTCCAAACTATTTTATCTTCCAAAATGCATCCGAAAGCTTCTTGATCTACAACACAAAATACTCCAAAATACCAAAGGTAACCCAGAAATTTATCTCTGAGATTTTCCCTATAATTCCTCTATTTTAAAAAGTATTCTTTATGTTTAAGGGAATGGTTGGCGACCTAAATTACCAGATACCGTTCCTCCACACACCCTGGTCCAGGGTCCTTGAAACGCCCCTGGACCTAAGCCCAGAGTTCTCTTTCTTCCATCCCGGTGCCTGGCAAATAGAAATGGAAACGATGTTCCGATCGTTGTCACTATGAAACTGAACACAGCACAAGTAGAAATTTCACCTTCGTTTCATCCTCTAAACAGACAAATCAGGTCCCGGATTAATTAAACGGTTCTAATTGCCAGTTCCAGGATGAAACCACTGCCCCACAGGGACCATCCGCTGATGCCCCTGCACCCCTCCTGGTACCCTGAGCTAAGATGAGTTGTGATCCTCTTAATGGTAGGATGCCTGTCTCCACCTGCAAACAAAATGAGTTTTTCACTTAAATCGTTTTCAATGTAAGAGTAAAAAAACCTTAGCCTTCAATTAAGTGGCCCAGTACCATTCTGTTCTTTTGCCTTAAATTGTTTGAAATGTTGGATTAACTGAAAATAAGCAGGAAGCGTCCCTGGACTGAAAATAAGCCGGAAGCATCCCTGCTTATTAACTGAAAATAAGCAGGAAGCATCCCCGGCTAATTTCAATTAGCTGAAACTTTATTTTAGCAGTGCAATGCTGTTGATCCAGTCCTAGTGGAGAGAAAGGCTGACATAGCAGAAAATGACCTGGGGCCAAGAGGAGTAGAGAGCCCAGGCCCGCTCCTTTCCCGGCCCTGCCCGCTTCCCACAGCCCAGGCTGCACCATAGCAGCTTCCACCCTCCCATCCCGCCGCCCTCTTCCAGCCCTTTCCCGTTGCCCAGACCCCAGCCCAGGGCGACTTTTACCCTTCTCACCCCACCCCTTCCCCACTGCCCAGGCCCCGCCCCCACGGTAGTCCCACCCTCCCACCCCACCCTCTTCCACCCCTTTCCCATTGCCCAGACCGCACCCCAGGGCGACTTTCACCCTCCTCACCCCGCCCCCTCCCCACTGCCCAGGCCCCGCCCACAGCAGTTCCACCCTCCCACACGACCCTCTTGCACCCCTTTCCCATTGCCCAGACCCCACCTCACGGTGGCTTCCACCCTCCCCACCTGGCCTCTCCCCACTATCCAAGACCCGCCTCTCGCTGGCGACAGCTCCCTCCCAGAATCCGCTTCCAGTTTTCTCACCGGCAGGAGAGCATTCAGGCCTTTCAGGGCACTCCAGCCCTGTCCAACCACACTCGGAATCCACCATCCCACCAGACGTTAAAATCCCCAGGTGCGCTCATGGGATTGGTAGCGAGTCCCAGCGTTTCCGCGGGAAACTCTGAGACCCGGTGGCTCTGCAGCTTGTCTATGATTTGAACCCTCCCCTTGATTTGGAGACTGGATTGCTCTTTTTAATACTCCCAGTTGGTGGCTGGTGTGCTTCCCAGCTGTCCGCAGGTTTGTTCTCATGAGAGATGACTCCAGAGTGTCTAGTCTTTGCTTTGCATAACGGATGAGGAATACAAAATGTCTTAATCTTATGAATATATAAATTGTCTGTTTATGCACAATGTTCAGTCGTTTATTCACTCATCTCCCGTGGAATCCTAAGCACAATTATAAAAGAGTCACGTTACATGAGATCAGCGTCTAACACAAAGCTTCTGTCTCAATAACAGTAAATAATAATAGCAACATTAAATGAAATATTAGTATTGCTAAAATGGGAGTGTAGTAAAAATTAAATAAGTAAATAATTAAAAGGAAATGATATATGGTCAGGTGCGGTGACTTATGCTTGTAATCCCAGCACTTTGGGAGGCCGAGGTGGGCAGATCATATGAAGTCAGGAGTTCAAGACCAGCTGACCAACATGGTAAAACCCTGTCTCTACTAAAAATACAAAAAAATGACCCAGGAGTGGTGGCACATGCCTGTAGTCCCAGCTACTCCAGAGGGTGAGGCAGGAGAATTGCTTGAACTCAGGAGACAGAGGTTGCAGTGAGCTGAGATCGCACCACTGCACTCCAGCCTGGGAGACAGAACGAGACTCCGTCTCAAAATAAATAAATAACTGAATGAATGAATGAAATATTAGGCCATTTTTATGGTCTTCACTTTGGGAGACTGATGTATGCAGGGGTGGACTGCATGTTTGTCCTTGGGGTGGTCTTTTTCGTGAGAAGGGAGCTGAGCAGGACTAACTGAGGGGCAGAGCCAAGGGCCCTTCATGGAGACCACTCTGCTTACCAACCTGTGGAAGGGCAAGCGCAAGTCCACCCAGAAACACATCTGGCTGACTATGGGATCCCTGTCTGAGGCTCAGCAGACCCACGTGGCCAATAAAAGACCCTAAATTCTGCAAAAAGAAGAGTTTGTCTCTGTGCCCAGGCCCCTCCATGGAAAAAAGGTCCTGGGGTCTAAGATTTCTCACTTGGCAATGATGTTGGCTTGAATATTATTCACAGACCCAGATCCTTGGGTCTTGCGTGGGGCAAACTGACTGCAGAACTGCAGGAAGTGAGAGTCTGAACAGAGCAGCAGAAAGGCAGGCAGGAGACCTGAGGGAGGGGAGAAAGGAGAGAGACAAACAGACCAACCCGTCCTCTCCCTCAATCACCCGCCTGGGGAAGCATTAGTTTCCCATCATAGAGAGGACAACGGGGAAAGGGAGAAGCGTGTGCATAGGATGAGATGTGTGTTGGGTGGACAGAAAGACTCCTTTCCCTAAATGTGACCCCATTAGCTCACCCCATTCTATTGCACAAATTCCTGAGCGGAGGGGCACCCTGTGGGGATGAACACAGCTCTTCCTGCCTCCAGTTCCTGCGTCTCCCTGCCATGACCAGGGCTGTAACCCTCCAACTCCCTTCCCAGGGCCCCGTGGCCCCTCTGCACTGGAGAAAGGTCCATGTTCCACAGCGGGTTTCAAGGACCTTGCCCCTCAGCTCCCCAGCTGCCTTGTGACTCTGTGACTCTGTTATCTTGGAATAAACAGGGAGAGGCCACCGGCCTGGCTGCAAGAATGTGGCAGCTTTATCTTCCCAAGGACAGTCCCAGTGGAAGCCTTTGGGCCGCAGGTCAGTGTGCTGTGTTTCACTCTGATTCTTGGAGAAATCTTTCCCTTACTCTGGGACCCTGATAATCACTCCCTCTTGAGTTGCACCCACAGACGCCCCCACAACAAACCCTCCCTAATGAAAGCCATCTGCGCCTGATTCTTAGGATCCCCGTTGCCCTCTGGACTCAGACACGCTTACAAACTCCCACACTCCCCATATACTTCATAAAGATCCCACAATCCCCAGATACTTCATAAAGATCCAGAAGCCCTGTTATGAAATCTCACAAGCCCCAGTAACTCATGGAATAATATACACAAACACCCCAGGAACTCACTGACCCAGGGCAACGTATTTCCACTCATAGTGACTCCACCCCACAGGGGAATACCACTGAAACCTACCAATAAAACAGAGATGTCTCTAATGATGCAATTAGACCCCAACATCAGGAAAGGAAACACTCCAAATGATCATTTCATCTTCCAAAACACAACTGAAAGCTTATTGATCTGCAACTGAAAATACCCCGAATGCCAAAGGCAACCCAGAAAATAATCTCTGAGATTCTTCCTATCTTTCCTCTATGGGTTTCAGGATGGTTTTTGCACTTCCCAAAGCCTCCACAGAAATCACCCCGTGGAGCGGATGCTGTGGAGCAGCTCTGGGATCCACACCCTCAGGCCAAGGCGCCCATCCTCCTGCTGCTGAAGCTCCCTCTGGGCTCAGCTTAGGTCTTGGTTCTAAGTACACTTCGGGATGTTTTTCTCTGCCTGATTCCACTGCCTTCAGTCCTCTTCACTGTGATGATGAGTTTCCGAATTAAATTCCTGCATGCAAATCTCTGTGTCAGCATCTGTTTCCCAGGTAACCTGAGCTGAGACATCAGGGCATTACAAAATGATCCTGCAGCCCCACAACCACCCCAAAACCCACTTCCAGGTGCTACAGCCAGACCTGAGACTTCTTTCCAAGTGTGCCACACATCCCGTGAGCCCACAGTCACCTGTGGGCCAGGTGCATGCAGCATTCATCCAGCTCCTCTAGAGGCTCAGCATTGCTTCCACGCCTCACTCCACACCTCTAAGGACTTCTTCACCTGTCCCCATTTTTCTACTTCTCTTCCAGCCTGAGAAGCACACTGGATTGAAAGGCCTCTGGACACAAGCGATGCGGCAGGAATGGACACAAACTGCTATCTGCAGGACAGTGGGCCTCAAGTCTAGATTCTAGAAGTTGGCCATGCTGGAAGGAATTGCCCCCAATTTGGGGACACCATGGAATCCAGTTTAAAGGCAGGTGAAGATTGGCCGGATTGAGCTGGCGGAGGATGTCCAAGAAAAAGAGAGGCCCCAGATCTCATGAGGGAGGCTGCCATTGTCCCCTTGTCTCTCCACTCACAGTCCCCTGCAAAATTCCCCCGCTGTTTAGGGAGTGCCTCCTTCATGGCCCACTTAGCTTCTGAACTTCTCGCCACCCTTCCTGAAGGGAATCCAGGACCCCTGACTGCGAGCGCATCACCTGCTGGAAGGCAAAGCCCCTGCCCAGGATGGCCACCGGGCCCCGGTGATGTGTAGAGCGCGGAAGACCCGGGAGCTGGAGTAAGGCGGTGGGGACGCCTCGGCACTGGCTGAGGACACAGGGTCTGCGGGGCTTTTCAGGCCTCAGTGAGGCCTTCTGCTCTTACATAGACTGGAATAAATAGCCACAGGAAGTTTAGACCAATTACGGATGAAATTTCCAGAATATGAGACCATCCTCACTACCCGCCCTATCCTTTTGGTCTTCCCTGAGGACTCCTCAGCCCGACCCCAGCCCCAGCATCTGAACCACAACCCCAGAGCAGGTGCTGCAGTCGTCCCGTGGCCAAGATGGAGACACAAAACACTCAAAATAATCCATGCAGAAGAGTGTCCGATGTGGTGATGGATGCGGAGACAGTGAAACCTGAGTAACGTGGTAGAGACTGACAGGCAGAGAGAATTTCAGATGGGGGTGCAAGAGGGTGGAAGACAGCTCTGAGGCTAGACCCGAAGGAGAAGAAAGGGACAGAGCTGTGATGATTTGGGGACATAGGGTAAGAGGAGGGACAAAGACTGAGACAGGAAAGGTTTTGATGTTTGGGAAAAGAGAAAAACAAATGTGACTAGGGCAGAGGGAGTCATGAGATGAGGGCAAGCTCCCAGGAGGAGGCTGGACACTGGCAGGGGCCCTGGACGCAGGGCTGTGGAGCCACAGTGAGGAGTTGGGCTTTTGTCCTGGGGAACACGGGAAGCCGGTGGAGGGTTCCCTACCAGGGACTGACATGACTGCTTTAGATTTAGCCATAACTCTAATGCAGAGAAAGGCCTCCAAAGATGGTCTCTCTGCCTCTGAGTCTACACCCCAGCTTCCATCCTTGTGGTTTTGGTTTTGTTTTGTTTTAAATTTTAAAGGACTGAGTCCCATTTAAATTTTTAATTGCAGTGGGCACTCCCCAATTCCTAGAAGAACTGCAAAACACAGATGTACACCCAATTCTGCCAAACATTAAGGGGATTAGTATTGCCCAGACTGAGGTATATTGACTGAGTCCCTCACCTTCACGTTGCAGGTGGATTTACTGAGGGCTAGACGGGGAGATGTTTCACTAAGTCATCCAAGTTGAATTAGAAGATGTATCTGACTCTATGACGGCCTCGAAGGGCTAATGGGCAACACTAGACTTTCTCACGCCTCCCCTGGAAAATTCCAGGATCTTCTTTCACATACCTGGGCAAAAGAAACTTCCCTTTCATGGCTTTATCACATTGATCCCAAACATTTAATTCCTCTTTTCCAGAAAAACACAACATACTAATGAAACGCAGAACTGTGAAAACATGGCTATTGGTGTTGAAAACAGTGAAAGACTGTCAGCTATAGAGATGAGCTCTCTCAGCAAATTTTTTCATGAACACATAAGCTCTGCTGGAATAAGGTTTTGAGTCAATCCAGCCCATCTTTCCACATTTACAGAAAATAGAACTGACAAAAGGGACTTGAGGGGGACATCTGCTTAGTAGTTCACAGGTCACTATTTTAAGAGATGACATAAGGGAAGAAAACTGACTAGTAACAAATAAGTTGGCCGAGCGTGGTGGCTCACGCCTGTAATCCCAGCACTTTGGGAGGCTGAGGCGGGTGGATCACGAGGTCAGGAGATCGAGACCATCCTGGCTACCATGGTGAAACCCCATCTCTACTAAAAATACAAAAAATTTGCCGGGCGTGGTGGCGGCTGCCTGTAGTCCCAACTACTTGGGAGGCTGAGGCAGGAGAATGGCATGAACCTGGGAGGCGGAGCTTGCAGTGAGCCGAGATTGCACCACTGCACTCCAGCCTGGGCGACAGAGCGAGACTCCGTCTCCAAAAAAAAATTAGTTAATAGGTTCTTATGTTAACGTTAAAAAAAAAAGCGTCACTGATATCTTTACCAAATACACATTCATACCATCTAAAATTCCTACTGATGGCCGGCGTAGTGGCTCACGCCTGTAATCCCAGCACTTTGGGAGGGATCACTTGAGATCAGGAGTTTAAGACCAGCCTGGCCAATATAATGAAACCCTATCTCTACTAAAAATACGAAAATTAGCCAGGTGTGGTGGCAGGTGCCTGTAATCCCAGCTACTTGGGAGGCTGAGGCAGGAGAATCACTTGAACCTGGGAGGTGGAGGTGGCAGTGAGCCAAGGTCACACGAGTGCACTACAGCCTGGGCATCAGAGTACCTCCATCTCAAAAAAAATAAATAAGGGCCAGGAGCGGTGGCTCACGCCTGTAATCCCAGAAATTTGGGAGGCCGAGACAGGTGGATCACTTGAGGTCAGGAGGTCAAGACCAGCCTAGCCAACATGGTGAAATCCCGTCTCTACTAAAAATACAAAAAATTAGCCAGGCGTGGTGGCACACACCTGTAATCCCAGCTAGTTGGAAGGCTGAGGCAGGAGAATCACTTGAACCCAGGAGACAGAGGTTGCAGTGAGCTGAGATCACGCCACTGCCCTCCAGCCTGGGTGAAAGAGCGAGACTGTCTCAAAAATAAATAAATAAATAAATAAAAATGAATAAAGTTACCTACTGACTACCAAAGAGTATTTCCAATATATGATAAAGAGTAGAAAGCATGCAGACCTCAATCTGAACTCAACACAATTAACTTCAAATGGAAACCATTTTGAAAATATATATATTATTTAATATGTATATGATATATTAACTATATATGGAATTCTACAAAGGGAAAAAATTGAAAATATATCACATTTAGAAAAGAATGACATGAGCCAATACAGGATTCCACAAAAGCTTACTTCAGCAATAATTACATATAGAAAAAGAGACTGAATTAGATAAGCTTCATCTCAACCTTCAGCATGAACTGTGAGATGAAAGGTAAATACAAGGCACCAGGCAGTGACACAGCCAGTCACTCCTTGCCTCTCTTCACTGCCCCCACCCTACCCCATCCTCGGAAACAGGAAGAGGGAGACCCATAACTGAATGAGGCAAGTCACTGCCCAATGGCTAAACAGCATGGGCAAATGAAAGCTAGCCTCTTATGCCATAATTGTAAAATGCACAAGCCTTTTACACAGAGCTTTGTAATTCTCATCCTTATATGTAGAATTTAAACAATTAGATTACAATTTAAATGTAACACATTATAAATAGAGAAATCAAATTGTCATATCCAATCTCAACTCACCTCTCACCTGGCCCCAGGGCGCCCCTCTTTCTTTATAACTATGTGTTCCTCTCCCCCATTTTGTGCCTCTCACTTTCACCTTGTCTCTCCAGCCTTTTTCCCCTTTTATCTTCCCCCTAGGATTCTGACGATGTTGTGCCTCTTTTTTCTTCTGCTGTTTCTCCCTTCTTTGTTTTTTCCCCTTATATCTGTTCTACTCCATTCTTCCAATTTGTTTCACCTCTTGTGGCGTTTTCTTTCCAATCTTTTCATCGTCCCAATCTCCATCTATTTCTGCCTCTTTCTTACCCCATCTCCGCGCCTCCTCTGCTCTCCCTGTTAAATCCCCTCTTCCCTGTTACACCCGCTTATCCCCACTCTCTGGCACTCCCAGATCCCAGGCCTCCCTGTGTTGTGGTGCTCCCTCTGCTCGCCTTGTCACCAGCTGTCCCCTCCAGCTGTCCCAGCACCACGCAGCTCTGTCTGCCCTCGGCCAAATCCTTTCTCCTCTCCCCCACTCTCTGTCTGAGGAGGCTCCTTCTTTGCTGTCCCTCTCCTTATCTTGTTGTCCTGCATCTCGGGACATCGAGCTTTTCTCTACATTTCGCCAATTGCTTTTCTGCCCCTGCTACTTTCTTGACTGCTTCTTTCACTCTGTCGCTGCAAATCTCTCACCCATCCTCCACTTTGCCATCTGTTTATGGGTCTCCCTCATTTTTCTTTTCTCTTTCTTGGTTTTTCCATCTCCTCTCAGTGGCTCTTTGTCTCTCTTTCTCCTGATTCCCTTGGGCCACACATTCACTGGAGGGTTTGTAGTAAGATGTCTGCATGTTGGAGGAGTACATTTTCCAGGGGGTGGAGCTGGGCAGGCAAAAACACCGGGTGTCACAGGACGGGCCCCGGGCACCTCCCCAACGAGGGCTCAAGGGAAGCGGTGACTGCGAAGGGGAGGCCTGGGGAGCAGCAGGGCCCGGCACGAGGAGGAGGGAGGTGGGGGGCGACGGCGCCTTAGGACAGGGGTGGGATGTGCAGGATCCCAGGACCAGGCGGAGGCGCGGCCTCCCCGGGACTGGGTCGGCGGCGCTGCGCTCCAGGGGCCGACGAGAGCGAGGCTGGGAGGCGCCCAGGGCAGGCGGTGAGGACTTTAAGCGATGCGGGGCGGGAGGAGGAGTCAGTAAAGGATTTTAAGCAGGAAAATCCTGCTTAAACGTTTAAAAAACCGGGAAAGGCCGTGTTTACTTGGCCCAAGGCAGAAAGACCGGGGGCAGGGACCAGCCTCAGGGCGACTTTAACCCAAAAGGAAGCGTCTCCGGGCCCACACAGCAAGGCCTATTTACCTGAGGTGGAGGGTGCGGTGCGGAGATTTTAAGTCCGTAGCGACCCCCGGGCATCGGGTGTGCGAATGGGGGACGGCGAGGCGCAGGTTGAGTCTACACAGAGGAACACTCATACGCCATGGTGTGATGCTTGCTCCGCACGATCCACTTCCGGGTCTGTGGGCAACTGCGCGAAGGAAAGCGACCGAGCGGCCCGGGGCGGGGTCCGAGATGGGCGGAACCGGAAAAGGGCGGGGCGTTGAGAGAGCCGGGCTGAAGCAGGGGCCGCCAGGCAGGGACCCCAGGGAAGGAACGGGGAGGAGCCACCGGGGAGGGGTGGGGAGTGACCAAGTGGAGGGACCCGGGGGCGGGCCGGGGAGGAGCCGCCGGGGAAGGGCGGGGAGGAACCGCGGGAAGGGACCGCGGGGGAGGAAGGCGAAGGGACCGCGGGGGAGGGAGGCAGAGGGACCGCCAGGAAGGGACCCGGGGGAGAGGCGGGGCTGGACGGGACACGTTAGGGTCTGCGATTTCGTGTGATGCCCACAGCCCAGCGCCCAGAGCCATCTGTAGTGTCTTGTGGAACGGCGTAGATGTTTCAAACGGTTTCAAGTTAAAAGCACAGTTGTGTAGGTTATTTTGGAAACCAAACTGCTTTCCTCTTAGAATGGAGGCGGTTTATGTTGAAAGCATTTTTTGCTAGCGCGTTTACCCAGTAATGTTATTGACGCTGAAGCAGCCCAGGAGTCTGGGAACATGGGTTGACACGGAGCGGTGATGGCATGCTGGAAAAGTTTCTGCGATTAAAATTAAGTAATTTAAAAGCCCTGAAATTAGCAGTAACTTTTAAAAAATAGATATAAATTGCATTGTCCTTTTTTATACTTACTATTCTATTCCGTGCGAGATGACAACCTCAAACGCCTATACTTTTTTTTTTTTTTTTTGAGCCGGAGTCACGCTCTGTCGTCCAGGCTGGGGTGCAGTGGCATGATCTCTGCTCACTGCAACCTCGGCCTCCCGGGTTCAAGCAATGCTCCTGCCTCAGCCTCCCGAGTAGCTAGGATTACAGGCGCCCGCCACCACGTTCTTTAGCGGAGATGAAGTTTCACCATG
The DNA here is from genome assembly GCF_000001405.40 of Homo sapiens. Taxonomy (NCBI): domain Eukaryota; kingdom Metazoa; phylum Chordata; class Mammalia; order Primates; family Hominidae; genus Homo; species Homo sapiens. The sequence continues at coordinate 53,104,357 of NC_000019.10, forward strand.
TTGCCTAGGCTGGTCTCGAATTCCTGACCTCAAGTGATCCACCCGCCTCAGCCTCCCAAAGTGCTGGGATTACAGGCGTGAGCCACCATACCTGGCCCCAGGAACTACTTTCACCTACTGAATATATATTAAGTCCTTTGCCACAAAAAGATAATATACATAATTTATCTCAGAACAATTAAGATATTTACCACTGTAAATGACAAATTCAGACTTAGAGAAGGAAGATTTTATTCAAAAGGACTATTGCAATAGAGAGAATGTTCCAATCACAAGATCTGAAAATGTCCAAGAGACACAAACTAAAAAGCTTTTTTTTCTTTTTTTCATATATGGAGGAGTAAACAAGGCTAGAAAGCACAAGCACAAGTTATGAGGCTGTGGATGAGCACTTGGCATGACTACAGTTATTCAGGGAAAGTTTGTTATGTTATGTTATGTTATGTTAAAAATGTTACATATTTCTTGGAGAGAGTCTTGCTCTGTCACCCAGGCTGGAGTGCAGTGGCGTCATCTCTGCTCACTGCAACTTTTCATCTACCAGGCTCAGGCAATCCTCCCACCTCAATCTCCCCAGTAGCTGGGACTACAAGCACACGTCACCATGCCTAGTTAATTTTTGTACTTTTTGTAGAGACGGGGTTTCGCCATGTTGCTCAGGCTAGACTCGAACTCCTGAGCTCGAGGGATCCCCCACACCTTGGCCTCCCAAAGTGCTGGGATCACAGGCGTGAGCCACCGTGCCCGGTCTATTTATTTTTTGAGAGAGCATCTTGCTCTGTTGCCCAGGCTAGAGTGCAGTGTCAAGACCATAGCTCACTGCAGCCTTCAACTCTGGAATCAAGTGATCCTCCTACCTCAGTCTCCCAAGTGGCTGGGACTACGGGTTTGCACCGCCACACTCCACTAATTTTTTTACTTTTTGCAAAGGCGGATTCTCACTATGTTGCCCAGGCAAGTCTTGAACTTCTAGCCTCAACTGATCCTCCCGCCCTGATCTCCCAAAGTGTTGGGATTACAAATGTGAGCCTGGCTCATCATGGAATTCAAGACCAGTTTGGGCAACATAGCAAGACTCCCATCTCTACAGAAAATTTTTAAAAATTAGCTGGGCATGGTGGCACACACCTGTAGTCCCAGCTACTCAGGAAGATTGCTTGAGCCCAGGAGTTCGAGGCAGCAGTTAGCTATGATCCTGACACTGCACTCCAGTCTGGGCAACAGAGTGAGAACCTGTCTTTCAAAAAAAAAAAAAAAAGCCTACTCTTGGGAGGGGCTGTTGGCTGTTGTTAAGGAAAAGTTGTTCCAAATTACACTGACAAAGAATGGTTCAGAGGGTTGGGCATGGTGGCTCACGCCTGCAATCCTTGCACTTTGGGAAGCTGAGGCGAGTGGATCACATGAGGTCAGGAGTTCGAGACCAGCCTGGTCAACATGGCGAAAACCCATCTCTACTAAAAACAAAAATTAGCCAGGCGTGGTGGTGCACACCTGTAATCCCAGCTACTCAGGAGGCTGAGGCAGGAGAATTGCTTAAACCAGGGAGGCAGAGGCTGCAGTGAGCCGAGATTGTGCCACTGCACTTCAGCTTGGGTGACAGAGCGAGACTCTGTCTCAAATAAATAAATAAGGCTGGGCGCGGTGGTTCACACCTGTAATCCCAGCACTTTGGGAGGTTGAGGCGGGTGGATCACGAGGTCAAGAGATCGAGACCATCCTGACCAACATGGTGAAACCCCGTTTCTACTAAAAACACAAAAATTAGCTGGGTGTGGTGGCCTGTCCCTGTAGTCCCAGCTACTCAGGAGGCTGAGGCAGAATTGCTTGAAACCAGGAGGCAGAGGTTGCAGTGAGATGAGATCGTACCACTGCACTCCAGCCTGGCGACACAGTGAGACTCCATCCTATAAATGAATGAATGAATGAATTAATAAAGTGAATTAGTTATCAAAAACCTCAAAAAAGAAAAGTCTGTAGCTGGGCATGGTGGCTCACACCTGCAATCCCAGCATTTTGGGGGACCGAGGCAGGCAGATCCCTTGAGATCACGAGTTTGAGACCAGCCTGGCCAACATGGTGAAACGTTCTCTACTAAAAATACACAAATTAGCCGAACGTGGTGGTGGGCGCCTGTAATCCCAGCTACCTTGGAGGCTGAGGCAGGAGAATCGCTTGAACCCGGGAGGCGGAGGCTGCAGTGAGCTATTGTGCCACTGCACTCCAGCCTGGGCAACAGAGCAAGACTCCGTCTCGAAAAATAAAAATTAAAAAAAAGAGTGATACAGCTTTCATGGTGTAAAATAACTTTCTTGGGATTTTCATTATATTCACATAAGTATCCTGAGGCAGGGTATGGGCGGGGAGAACAACTCAAGTGCACTCTGTAAGTGTATGTTCCCAACACTCTATTTAATTCCAAGAAAAAAAAAAATGGTTCTATCTTTCAGCCTTAAGAGTCTAATGGTGTGTTGTTATTGTCTGTTACAAAGTAACCTACTGAGGTGGGATAAAACTATGTTGGCAGAGAGAACATGATGCATTCATAGTTATGCAAAAATCAGATTAATTAGCACGAGATCTATGATACATTCTGAATAAAACAGTAGCAAAATGTAATACCAGCAGTAAATGTGAATCCTAATCAATAACATGCTATTGTGGTTCATCTCTGAGGTTGTGGTTTCTATTGTGGTTTCAATCTTGGCTATATAACAGCGATGGCCATTCCATGCAGAAGGTGGCCACCGTTTTCCCCTGAATTATTTCCACCATGTAATCAGTCACTAATAACCCATTACACTCCTCCCACAAATCCCAGTGTCTAAGGTCTTGATCTGCTCTGATTTTTTTTGAGGCACAGTCTCTCTCAGTCACCTAGGCTGGAGTGCAGTGGTGCAATCTCGGCTCACTGCAACCTCCGCCTCCTGGGTTCAAGCGATTCTCCTGCCTCAGTCTCCCAAGTAGCTGGGATTACAGGCGCCCACCACCACGCCCGGCTAATTTTTGTATTTTTAGTAGAGACGGGGTTTCACCATCTTGGCCAGGCTGGTCTTGAACTCCTGACCTCATGATCCACCCACCTCAGCCACCCAAAGTGCTGGGATTACAGGTGTGAGCCACTGCGCCCGGTCGTGGTCTGCTCTGTTTCATGGTCAGGTTGCAGGTCATCTCTTTCCTGTAACCCAAAGTGCCGTCTATCAGGAGAACACCCTAAACACAATAAGGATGATGATCAACACCATCATTTTGCATTATTCTCTGCCTGCCCCCATGCTTGGTAATTTGCCAAGGCAGAGTCCTTATTCTTCAAAGAATCTGAATAGAAATGATCCTCATCTAATGCAGTGAGCCCTTCCATCTTACTGATTCTTTCCCAGACATTGCCATGAAAGGCAGGTAAGGAGGCCTATCAACACATTTCAAGGTTTTGGTTGAAAGTCATAAATCCTAAAGTATAAAGTAGTAGCCTTGCAAGACACCTAAAATAAATAAATAAAATATTTTAAAATCTGAGACAACCAGTGACTTCAAACATCCTGCAACCTTTAATATATATCATGTTGTGTGAGTTTTAACATATTTGGGCTTGCATTTGTTCTACAATGTGTAATATGAAAAGTTTATCAGCACAACTAGACTGAATTATTCCTCACATAAATCCTTGGATGTGTTACAGTTTTGATCCTTGGTTAATAGCTTCAACATGCACAAAATATACAAAGATGTTTACACATTTTGATGTCTAGTGAGTTGTGAGACCTAAATGAAGCCTCTGCCACACAGTTAGGTGTATATGATTTCTCTTTAGCATGGACTCTGATGTCAATGAATGCTTGAACTTGTGATGAAGGGTTTGCTGTACTCGTAAGGATTCTCTCAAGAATGAAATTCTCTGATGCTGTGTAGGAGTGAATTGTGACTGAAAACCTTGCCACATTTATTATACTTGTATGGTTTCTCTCTGATATAAATTCTTTGATGACTCACAGGATTTAAACTTTGACTGAAGACCTTGCCATATTAATTTCTTTTATAAGGTTTCTCCTTAGTATGGATAATTTGATGTCTGAAGAGGTTTGGGCGCACACTAAAGGACTTCCCACAATCACTACATTTGTAAGGTTTCTTTCCAGTATGGATTATCTGATGTCTAGTGAGGTTTGGGCGCACACTAAAGGATTTGCCACACTCATTACATTTGTAAGGTTTTTCTCCAGTATGGATGACCTGATGGGTAGTTAGGCTTGAATGCACACTGAAGCCTTTGCCACATTGATTACATTTGTAAGGCTTCTCTCCAGTATGGATGACCTGATGGGTAGTTAAGTTCGAATGCACACTAAAGGCTTTCCCACACTCATTACACTTGTAAGGTTTCTCTCCAGTATGAACTCTCCGATGACTCGCAAGGTGTGAATTGTAACTGAAAACCTTACCACATTCATTGCATTTGTAAGGTTTCTCTCCAGTATGAATTCTCCAATGCCTTGCAAGGCTTGAAGTCTGACTGAAGACTTTACCACATTCATTACACTTGTATGGTTTCTCCCCAGTGTGAATTCTCTGATGAGTTGCAAGGCTTGAAGTCTGACTGAACACCTTGCCACATTCATTGCATTTGTAAGGTTTCTTGCCACTATGAATTACCTGATGGTTGGTAAGTGTTGACCTCACACTAAAGGCTTTGCCACACTCTTTACATGTGTAAGGTTTCTCTCCAATATGAGTTTTCTGATGTAGTGCAAGGCATGAATTTCGACTGAAGACCTTGTCACACTCATAACATTTGTAAGGTTTCTCTCCAGTGTGAACTCTCCGATGTAGTGCAAGGCATGAGTTGCGACTGAAACTTCTGTCACATTCATTACATTTGTATGGTTTCTCTCCAGTATGAACTCTCCAATGACGCGCAAGGTTTGATTTTTGACTAAAGACCTTGCCACACAGATCACATTTATATCCTTTCTCTCCAGAATGACTTACCTGACGTACAGTCATGTGTGAGCCATGATTCAAGGCTTTGTCGCACTCAATATATCTGTAAGGTTTTTCCCTAATGCATGATTTCTGTTCTTGTGTGAGTAATGAAGAACAGATGAAATCAGTCCCATATTTATTAGAAACATGGGTTTTGATGGTAGAAGAAATTATTTGGGGTGGTGAAACTGAGGAACCATGGTTGACAGACTTCTCAACATGGTTACATTCATAAATTTTCCCTTCAGCTTGAAACTGCTGCAGTTCATGGGGATGTGGTAGAAAGCTTAATCCAAGCTGATGTTTAATAGACTTGTTTCCTATACCTCTTCTATCGCGTTGGTCTCTCCTACAAGTAAGATTTTCTTTTGGGGCCGTAGTCACTTTGTTGCAATTTCTTTCATCATCTCTCCACTGACAGTCAAAGTCGTGTATTTTTTTCTTGATTTCCCTGAAGCAAAACTCTTCAATGTCATGTTTTTCATGTTGTTCCAATGTCACTGTGTGGAATACTTCTCCTGGGTTACCTTCCTGTTGTGGTGCTAGTTCCTTGATTACACAGTTACGAGACAGATCTATAAGAAATGAAAACCATAGGTTTCCAATTAATTAGAGACAGTATATAAATATTTCATACTGAATAACAGAATTACACAAAAAGCAACATTTATATACAACAGAGTTATAAAACTTCCCAATCATGATCTTTAATTTTTACGAACACAAAGGAATCACATTCTTTAGTAAAAAAAGGGTGATTACATGGCATTCAAATAAATTCTAGGGAAGGACAGATTCAAACATCCTATGACCAAAACACATTGTACAAACCTACGTTAGCCCTGAAAGGAGTATTTTTTCACCTTGACAGCAAAGTACACACCAATTGGCAGAAAATACATGGCTGTCTCATTATTGAAATAAATATTACATTTTACCTAGCCACAGCATATTTACTGTGCCCATATAAATGAAAAAAGTACTACACAATATATCATAATGGTAACTAAGCCACAACAAACTTACGGAATAAGTAAGATACATAAATGATAATTCTGAATTGCAAAACAGTAATAGCACTGAGAAAACGAGACAAAAACTAATAAAACACTGTTAAAAATAGCTAATTTTTCTGAATACCTGTTATGAAAATATCTGTACCCACCTAGACCAGGCATTTTTGACATTAATGAGTGATGCATGTCAGTTATATTGCATGAAACTTACTAAAAACCCATCATCTGTAAACCATAACAATTAATTAATAAAACACTGTAGTAACCCATGATAAAAATGCAAACCAAAAACTAGTAACTACACTTGTACAAAGTTATAGCCTGTAAATGATTCTCTCCTAAGAAAAAAGCAAGAACTATTTCAGAACCAGCACACAACCTGTGAACTGGAATATATGTTAAGATCTCTGACATTTGATGCATGAGGTCAGGTAAACACATAGCATTATAAAGAAGAATTGAAGAACAAAGTCAGAAATCACAATTATGACTTCACACCTGCACTTATGTAACAAACAGCCAGTCAATAACGCAATTCCCTACATATGCATTGCCCTTTCATGACCTAGTTCATCAGCCACACAATATACATAAGAGTTTGTACTTGGAAAATTTATTAACTGAAATCAGAGAACACAATGTTTAAAACGAATTGAAAATAAAATCAAACAAAATATAATGCAGTCTCTACGGTCTGAATATGTTGGCCAAAATTCGTATGCTAAGGTCCTATCCTCCAGTGTGATGTTGTTGCAGATGGCGCGTTTGGGATATAATTAGGTCATGAGGTTGGACTAGTCAAAAATAGGATTAATGCCCTTACAGGACAAAACATAAGAGCTTGTTTTCTCTTGCCCTTTCCATCATGTGGGACAGTCAGCGAGCCAGTACCAGGAACTGATTCACCTGGCTCCTTAATTTTGACTTCCCAGCTTCCAGGTCTGGGAGATATAAATTTCTGTGGTTTAGTTCTCCTAGCCTATGATATTTCTTTTTTTTTTTTTTTTTTTTTGAGACCCAGTTTCTCTTGTCACCCAGGCTGGAGTACAATGGCGCAATCTCGGCTAACTGCAACCTCTGCTTCCTGGGTTCAAGCGATTCTCCTGCCTCAGTCTCCCAAGTAGCTGGGATTACAGGTGCCTACCACCATGCCTGGCTAATTTTTATATTTTTAGTAGAGATGGGGTTTCAGTATGTTGGCCAGGCTGGTCTCGAACTTCTGACCTCAGGTGATCTGCCCACCACAGCCTCCCAAAGTGCTGGGATTACAGGCGTGAGCCACTGCGCCCGGCCCGCCTATGATATTTCTTATGGCACGATGAGTTATATAAGACAGAAAAAGGACAATCTCATCACAATCATCACAGAAGGCTGATCAATCTTATTAAACAAACTTTGGGACTTTACTGTAAGACATGCAATATTCCAAGTAATCACACACCACCACCTTGTTTTAAAAACTTTCAAGTAAATTGTTATTATTTTTCAAATAAACACATTAGGCCCATGGTATTCATGTATCTAACCTAAATTTTCACAGAAAATAAGAGAGAAAAACAAGACTAAATCCTGGGCCAGCAGGCTCAGACTTTTTTTTATTTTTATTTTTGGAGACACAGTCTCGCTCTTTTGCCCAGGCTGGGGTGCAGTGGTGTGATCTCGGCTCACTGCAACCTCCGCCTCCCAGGTTCAAGCAATTCTCTTGGCTCAGCCTCCTGAGTAGCTGAGATTACAGGCACCTGCCACCATGCCCGGCTACTTTTTTTGTATTTTTAGTAGAGAAGGGGTTTAACCATGTTGGCCAGGCTGGTTTCGAACTCCTGACCTCAAGTGATCCGCCCACCTCAGCCTCCAAAAGTACTCGGATTACAGGCGTGAGCAACCACGCCGGGCCATCAGACGTGTTTTTAAGCACATGTCCACCCACAGGCAGTGTGGAAAACCTGGGTGGACATGTGCAGTGTGGAAAACTATCAGTCACAGCAAGAATGCACCCAGGCGAGGAGCATATGAAGAAAAGGAGCTACAAGAGCTGGGCTGTGTTGATAATAGTGTTATTCAGTCAGCTCTCATGGAAGGCAGCTATGCTCACCACTACACCACCAATGCATCTAGTCAGTCAGCTCTCATGGATAATGGTATCTGAGTCATCACTTCCTACACATACTGATTTAGGCAGATCCTGACTTATAAAGCGGTTGAGTAGTGTCTTGTCTTGCATAGTGAGAGTAGTGTGGAGGGTGAGGAAGTCCTGTGGCAATTGGGGTTTTCAGGAATACAAAACCAATATGCTAAAAAGCAACAGTATATTCCATGCAGATCAAGGTATCATGTGAGGATAGGAGAGAGGAAGGGCAAGAGCACAGGAGAGGGAGTAATGGGCATGTCAGAGGAAAATCTGCATGCACATGTGTGGGATATAATTCCACTAGGACAGTTACAATTCTGACCTTGGGGCCAGGCGTGGTGGCTCACGCCTGTAATCCCAGCACTTTGGGAGGCCGAGGCGGGTGGATCACATGAGGTCGAGAATTCAAGACCAGCCTGACCAACATGGAGAAACTCTGTCTCTACTAAAAATACAAAATTAGCCAGGTGTGGTGGTGCATGCCTGTAATCCCAGCTACTCAGGAGGCTGAGGCAGGAGCATCGCTTGAACCTGGGAGGTGGAGGTTGCGGTGAGCTGAGATTGTGCCATTGTATTCCAGCCTGGGCAACAAGAGCGAAACTCCATCTTAAAAAAAAAAAAAGTATCATAAAAAATACAGAATTTACGACTAAATGAAAAAGATGTTCATTTATACCACATGTAAATGTACAAGATGAAACTAGTAGTGGCTTAAACAAATGACACTGGACTTTAAAAACCGAGGCATTGGCCGGGCGCGGTGGCTCACGCCTGTAATCCCAGCACTTTGGGAGGCCGAGACGGGCGGATCACGAGGTCAGGAGATCGAGACCATCCTGGCTAACACGGTGAAACCCCGTCTCTACTAAAAATACAAAAATTAGCCGGGCATGGTGGCGCACGCCTGTAGTCCCAGCTACACGGGAGGCTGAGGCAGGAGAATGGCGTGAACCCGGGAGGCGGAGCTTGCAGTGAGTCGAGATCGCGCCACTGCACTCCAGCCTGGGCGACAGAGCGAAACTCCGTCTCAAAAAAAAAAAAAAAAAAAAAAAAAAAACCGAGGCATTACAGCAGTGTAAAGCAAAAAAAGAACAAACGAAAAAAAACCAAGGCATCATTCAGCTTCACAAGCTCCCTCCACAAGAGGGAGGTTTGAACCTACAACAAATTGAACCCAGGCTGAACAAAGGTTTGTTGATGAGAATGAACAATGGTGCACACAGGATGGAAAATGAACAAATGTGGTGTGAACAATAGTTTAGTCAAGAGCCTCATACATATGATGCTGTGAACTTGAACAATGTCATCGCTAGGAGAAACTCCCACACCAACTGCTGGCTTAGGGGAGATGATCATTAGTTTATGTGTCCAGCGCTGTCACAGTGCCCTCCAGGTACACTTTTGTGAGGCTCCTCAAAACTAGAAGGACATCTGGACACACTTGTCAGTCAGGCTCGCCTGATATTTTGTATCTTATATCCTGAGCCATGCTGACAATTCTGCTGAACGCTTTAAGGGGCATCTCTACATGTAGCAGGATGCTATTCAATTATATTAAAGAGTTTTCCCTCATAAATTTTCTGTTATCATATAAACACCCTCCACAAGAGACTCCAGGAGAAGGTATGCATAACCTATAGGTTGGTTATCATAGCAGGAATAGAGAAATGACAGACTCCAGGAGTGTGTATATCAAAAGCTGGGTTTGTTTTTTTTTGAAACGGAGTCTCACTCTGTTACTCAGGCTGTAGTGCAGCGGTGCCATCTCAGCTCACTGCAACCTCCGCCTCCTGGGGTCATGTGATTCTCCTGCCTCGGCCTCCTGAGTAGCTGGGATTACAGGTGCATGCCACCACACCTGGCTAACTTTTGTATTTTTAGTAGAGACGGGGTTTCACCATGTTGGTCTTGAACTCCTGACCTCAGGTGATCCGCCCACCTCAGCCACCCAGAGTGCTGGAATTACAGGCGTGAGCCACCGCACCTGGTCAAAAGTTGGTTTTCAGAGGAAAAATCATGCAAACTTAAGAGAAAACAAAATCAGGAAGAGCCAAGGTTTTTCCACATTCATATAGCAGTGAGACCAACGGAAAAGAGAGAAAAATACAACATATGAGGCTAGATTTTGAAAGATCTTGAGATGGGATTGTCTGCTCTGCCTACAGAGGGATCCTAAGCTAAGAGCCTGAAAGACTAAGACGTACTCCCTGTGTAGGACGGGGGATCCCAGTGAAGACCTGTCAACTGTTCTTACAGTTCTGCAGAGTAACAATCCCAGAAGAACCAACTCCCTCCCCTGGTCCACACACCCACGAACTGTGGCAAAAGCAGAACAGAAGAAATGGCTGAGGGACCACAACAGGTAGAAAGGGCTTGAGACAGCTCCTTGCAGCTCCCCGGGGCCTCAGATGCAAAGAAGGAGCAGCCAGTGTTTCCCATCTTGTGGGCAGGTCTTCCAAGCACCAGAAATGGGGTGGAGCATGGATAGCTCCAGGCATCAGGACTGTGGAGGCCTCCCCTCTGATCTATATGGAGAGCGAACTGAGCATCAGGTGGCATCAAGAACAGGAGAGACCGGCCGGGCGCGGCAGCTCAAGCCTGTAATCCCAGCACTCTGGGAGGCCGAGACGGGCAGATCACCTGAGGTCAGGAGTTTGAGACCAGCCTGACCAACATGGTGAAACTCCGTCTCTACTAAAAATACAAAATTAGCCAGGCATGGTGGTGCATACCTGTAATCCCAGCTACTCGGGAGGCTGAGGCAGGAGAATCATTTGAATCCGGGAGGCGAAGGTTGCAGTGAGCCGAGATTGCACCATTGCACTCCAGCCTGGGCAATAAGAGCGAAACTCCATCTCAAAAAAAAAAGAACAACAGCAACAAATAACAGGAGAGACCACGGGAGAAGTAGACCCTTGTGATGTGGCCCCTCCCGGACCCCTCAGAGTGAAGGAGCCAGAGAGTTCACGGAAGTCAGAGGGCAATGCTGTCCATCATGATGAGCACTTCCATTTGTCTCTGTTTGAGCTGCAGCCCCCACTGGACAGCAAAAGGATCAACTATGACACGTCTCAAGAGCAGAGGGAGAAGTAGGGGAAGTTTAAAATTTCCTCTAAGAGCTCACAGGATATAAACATTTGTTTTCCTACAGAACTCTCCCACTTGCTAAGAGTTTCCAAACATAGTGTAATGGTGTGGCTTCCTCTCCCCTCATCTGAGGTCTTACCTGTTTTCACACCTTTGATCCATTCCCACCCTTTTGGTTTTCTTGCTACTCGTACTTGGCTTTCTATGGTCCAGGGCTCTTTCCTGTGCTCCCACATAGGATAATACTCTGGTCAGGAAGAGAATTTCCCGCTTATAAAATGAATGGAACATGATGTGCTGTGGCTTTTCAAGAATCTCAGCCCTTTGCTTGGATAAGAAGAGAGGCTATCACAGATGGATCTAGGAAAATATTTCACAAATTATTTCACTGAATGCCAACTCTGAATGCTTAGGGAAGACTGTAATATGCAAATATCTAGCTCCCTTCCAAGAACTACTGAATCAAAGCACAGGGGCAGAAAACAAGAAGTGAGTATTTCAGAAGTCTACCATAAGCTTTCATGGATACTTCAGCTCTGGAACCACCACTGTTGTATCATGAAGGGGTCAGAAAATCTGGAAAAAGGGGATGGTTAAACTCCAGAGTTCACATTATGGAGCTTTTCATTTCAGAGTCAACAAGGCCTCAAACTCAGTCAGGTAATGCAGGGGCTCCCAAGAGGCACACAAGGGAAAATGGAAAGATACCAAGGGCAGATTTTGACTTCTGGAAGAAAATTATCCTCACCCAGGGAGACCAGGTTCCTGTAGTTCTCCAACATCACATCCCTGTATAAAGTCCTCTGTGTAGAGTTCAGGCATTTCCACTCATCTTGAGAGAATTCGATGGCCACGTCCCTGAATGTCAACTGTCCGTAAAATAATAAACACATTTCACCAAGAGGTTATGAAGGGAGTTACCATCTTCACACAAAATAAGAATAAAAGAGAATTTAAGTATAGATTTAATTGAAGTGTGTGTTCTGATAAATCCACACTAAGGTATTTTTGAGTACATATCTCTCCCTAATTGTGGTTTTTTTTCTCTCTTTTTTTTTTTTTTTGGTTTGAGACAAGGTCTCGCTCTGCTGCCCAGGCTGAAGTGCAGTGGCATGATCATGGCTCACTGCAGACTCAATCTCCCAGGTTCAAGTGACCCTCCAACCTTAGCTTTCCAAGTAGCTGGACTATAGGCATGTGTGTACAAAGTACATTTGAAAACTTCAACAATGAACTAGGGATCAAGCAAAAGAAAAAATTTCAGAACTTGAAGACAGGTCTTTTGAAATAAACGAGTCAGACAAAAATAAAGAAAGAAATAAAAAAGAATGAACACAGCCTATGTGACATATGGGGCAGGCACCATAAGGTGACCAAATATTTGAATTTTTGGTGTCCCAGAAGGTGGAGAGAAAATCAAAAAAGATAGAAAGCTATTTAACAAAATAATAACCAAAAACTTCCTAAGTATAGTAAAAGGTTTAGATATCTAGATACAGGAATTTCATAGATTCTCAAAGAGATACAATCCAAAAATGTCTTCTTGGCACATTATAGTCAAACTGTCAAAAGTCAAAGAAAAAGAAAGAGAATTCGGCTGGGCGTGGTGGCTCACGCCTGTAATCCCAGCACTTTGGGAGGCCAAGGTGGGCAGATCACCTGAGGTTGGGAGGTCGAGACCAGTCTGACCAACATGGAGAAACCCCATCTCTACTAAAAATACAAAACTAGCCGAGCGTGGTGGTGCATGCCTGTAATCCCAGCTACTCGGGAGGCTGAGGCAGGAGAATTGCTTGAATCTGGGAGGTGGAGGTTGCGGTGAGCCGAGATCACACCATTGCACTTCAGCCTGGGCAACAAGGGCGAAATTCCGTCTCAAAAAAAAAAAAGAAAGAAAGAGAATTCTAAAAAAAAACAGCAAGAGAAAAGCATCTAGTCACTTATAAAGGGTGCTCCATAAAACAGGAAATTTCTCAATAGAAACCTTACAGGCCAACAGAGAATGGTATGATACATTAAATGTGCTGAAAGAAAAAAAAACCCTGCCAGCCAAGGATACTATACTCAGCAAAATTATCCTTCATAAAAAGGAGAAATAGTCTTTCCCAGAGAAGCAAAGCCTGAGGGAATTCTTCACCACTAGACTGGCCCTACAAGAAATGCTTAAGGGATCCCTACATCTAGAAGCAAAAGGACAATATTGGCCGTCATGAAAACACACAATACTATAAAACCCACTGTTAGAGCAAACATGCAAGTAAGGAAAGGAGTCAAATGTAAATGTTACTATTATAGAAAACCACCAAACCACAATGAAAAACAATTAGAGAAAGGAGCAAACATACAAAACAACCAGAAATCAATTAATAAAGTGACAGTAATAAGCCCTCGCATATCAATAATGAACTTTATGTAAATGGATTAAACTTTCCACATAAAAGATATAGACTGGCTAAATTGATACAAGCGTGTAACCCAACTATATGCTACCTTTAAGAAACTCATGTCAATGTAAAGACACAAATAGACTCAAAGTGAAAATATGAAAAAAGGTATTATATGCAAATGAAACCAAAAGCAAGCAGAAGTACCTCTACTTCAATCTAACAAAATGAATTTTAAGTTAAAAACAGTAAAAGAGATGAAAAAGGTCATTATATACTAATAAAGAGATCAATTCAATAAGAGGAATATAACAATTCTAAACATATATGCACCCAACACTGGAGCATCCAGACATATAGGGCGAATATTATTAGATTTAAAGGGAGAGACACAATCCAAAAATAATAATAGTTAGGGATTTCAGCATTAGACAGCTGATTTAGACAGAAAATTAACAAAGAAACACTGAATTTAAACTGCACTTTAGACTAAACAGATCTAAGAGATATTTACAGAACATTTCATCCAACAAGTACAGAATACACATTCTTTGCATCAGCGCATAGAACATTCTCCAAGACAGACTACATATTAGAACACAAAACAAGTCTCAACACATTTTTAAAATATCAAAATCTTAGTATCTTCTTAGAACAACAATGGAATAAAATTAGAAATCAATACCATGAGAAACTTTGAAAACTGGCAAATACATGGAAATTAGACAACATGCTCCTAAATGACCACTGGGTCTAGGAAGAAATTAAGGGGGAAATTAAAAAAAAAAAATCTTGAAACAAGTAAAAATGGAAACACAATATGTCAAAACCTATGGAATACAACAAAAGCAATGCTAAGAGGGAAGTTTATAGTAATAAACACCTACTTGGAAAAAGTAGAAAAATTTCAAATAAGCCAGGCACGGTGGCTCACTCCTGTAATCCCAGCACTTTGGGAGGCCAAGGTGGGTGGATCACCTGAGGTCAGGAGTTCAAGACCACCCTGGCGAAGATGGTAAAACCCCATCTCTACTAAAAATACAAAAATTAGGCCGGGCGCAGTGGCTCACGCCTGTAGTCCTAGCACTTTAGGAGGCCAAGGCGGGCGGATCACGAGGTCAGGAGATCAAGACCATCCTGGCTAACATGGTGAACCCCGCTTCTACTAAAAAAATACAAAAAAATTAGCTGGGTGTGGTGGTGGGCGCCTGTAGTCCCAGCTACTCGGGAGGCTGAGGCAGGAGAATGGCATGAACCCAGGAGGCGGAGCTTGCAGTGAGCCCAGACCGAGCCACTGCACTCCAGCCTGGGCGACAGAGGGAGACTTCGTCTCAAAAAAAAAGAAAATACAAAAATTAGCCAGGTATGTGCCTGTAATCCCAGCTACTCTGGAGGCCGAGATGGGAGAATCGCTTGAACCAGGGAGGTGGAGGTTGCAGTGAGCCAAGATTGCACCACTGCACTCCAGCCTGGGTGACAGAGCAAGACTCCATCTCAAAAAAAAAAAAAAAAAAAAAAAAAATTTAAATAGACAGTCTAACAATGCACCTCAAGGAACTAAGAAAGCAAGAACAAATCAAACCCAAAATTAGTAGAAAGAAAAAAATAACAAAGATCAGAGCAGAACTAAACAAAATAAATACTACAAAAACACAAAGGATCAACAAAATGAAATGTTGGTTATTTTTAAAAAAGATAATATAATCTATAAACTACTAGCTAGATTAATCAAAAAGAAGACCCAATAAACAAAATCAGAAATAAAATGGATACGTTACAACTGATAACACAGAAATATAAAAGATCATCAGAGACTATTATAAATAACTACACACTAACAAACTAGAAAACCTAGAGGAAATGGATAAAATCCTGGACACGAAGCACCAAGACTGAATCAGGAAGATTCAGAAAACCTTAACAGACCAATAATGAAATTTAATCAGGAATAAAAAGTCTCTGAACAAAGAAAAGTCTGGGACCAAATGGCTTCACTGCCGAATTCTATCAAACTTTCAAAGAAGAACTAAGACTGATTCTCCTCAAACTAAAATTGAAACGGAGGGAATTCTCCTTAACTCATTCTATGAAGCCAGCATTCCCGATATCAAACCAGAAAAGAAAAAAAAAAGGAAAACTATAGGCCGAAATCCCTCCTGAACACAGATGTAAAAATCCTCATCAAAATACTAGCAAATTGAATATTTTGCTATATTCCCAACACATAAAAATGATAAATACTCAAGGTAATAGACACTTCAAATACCATTACTTGATCATTACACATTCTATGACACACGTAACAAAATATCACATCTGCCCCTTAAATATGAACCAATATTATGTATCAACTTGAAAAAGGAGCAAGCTATCCTTGTTCCTTAATACGAAAACGTGTAAATATTCACAACTTGCAGGATAGAATACCCTAACAAAACATTTACTGACAATATTGTTCTAAAATCTCACAATGATTAAACACATTTCAACAGGGCTTGAGCTGTCTGTTCTCACAGAACTGACAATAGTGGCTCACCACTGAGACCTGTGTGAGGGTGTAAGGCTTGACAGGAAAAGGGATACTCTATATCTAAGCACTAAATATCTCTATTGAGAGTTTCACCATAAAACAAATATATACATCATGTGATGTTTAAAATAAAAGCAGCATAATACTTAATAACAATACATATAATAAGAATATGGATATATCCTCTTTAATGAAAAAGGAGTTCTGCTCTGATGTCTGAGCAAAACTGTTACCATTTTTACCTAAAATATCTGATGCCTAAGAGACCCTGCAGGAATAGCACCATCTCCGTGGTATGCAAGTGCTGAGAATGGTTTAAAAACTTGGCTGGGCGCGGTGGCTCATGCCTCTAATCCCAGCACTTTGGGAGGCCGAGGTGGATGGATCACGAGGTCAGGAGTTGGAGACCAGCCTGACCTACACGGTGAAACCCCGTCTCTACTAAAAATACAAAAATTAGCCAGGTGTGGTGGCGCGTGCCTGTAATCCCAGCTAGTCAGGAGGCTGAGGCAGGAGAATTGCTTGAACCTGGGAGGCAGAGGTTGCAGTAAGCTGAGATCGCGCCACTGCACTCCAGCCTGGGTGACAGAGGAAGACTCAAAAAAAAAAAAAAAAAAAAAAAAAGTCCTACAGCTGGCCGGGCACAGTGGCTCCCGCCCGTAATCCCAGCACTTTGGGAGGCCGAGGCAGGCAGATCATATGGTCAGGAGTTCAAGACCAGCCTGGCCAACATAGTGAAACCCCATCTCTACAAAAATTAGCCAGGCATAGTGGCGGGTGCCTGTAGTCTCAGCTACCTGGGAGGCTGAGGCAGAGGAATCACTTGAACCTGGGAGGTGGAGGTTGCAGTGAGCCAAGATCGAGCCACTGCACTCCAGCATGGGCGACAGACTGAGACTCCGTCTCAAAAAAAAAAAAAAAAAGTCCTACAATTATACTTTATTTTTGTCGTTGTTGTTGTTGACACAGAGTCTCGCCCTGTCACCCAGGCTGGAGTGCAGTGCAGTGGTGCGATCTCCACTTACTGTAACCTTTGCCTCCCAGGTTCAAGTGATTCTCCTACCTCAGCCTCCTGAGTAGTTGGGATTACAGGCGTGCGCCACCACGCCTGGCTAATTTTTGTATTTTTAGTAAAGACGGGGTTTCACCATGTTTGCTGGTCTCAAACTCCTGACCTACAATGATCCGCTCACCTCGGCCTCCAAAGTGCTGGGATTATAGGCCTGAGCCACCGTGCTCGGCCTTACAGTTACACTTTTATGTTGACTTTATGTTTCAAAGTCAATAAAGGAATAAAACGCCCTCTAGTACTGATGTCTGTATCTCAACTTTACATTCCATTCCAAGTCATTAACAGTGTGGAGTCAGAGACATACTGATATACTAGTTTTATCTGGATTACAAAATCAGGCACAAAATATATCCCCTTATTGGCTGCCTTTTCCAGGATTTACCAGGTATTTGTCTATATTAACACCTGACTTTAGGCCAGGCACGGTGTCTCATGCCTGTAATCCCAGCACTTTGGGAAGCCGAGGTGGGTGGATCACCTGAGGTCTGGAGTTCGAGACCAGCCTGACCAACATAGAGAAACCCCGTCTCTATTAAAAATACAAAATTAGCTGGTTGTGGTGGTGCATGCCTGTAATCCCAGCTACTCGGGACGCTGAGGCAGGAGAATCACTTGAACCCGGGAGGCAGAGGATTCAGTGAGCCGAGATTGCGCCATTGCACTCCAGCCTGGGCAACAAGAATGAAACTCCATCTCAAAAACAAACAAACAAACAAAAAACAAAAACAACAAAAAACATGACTTCCATGGGCAGCTTCTCTATTCCTGGGCTACGGAGAGCCGACAGTGCATCCAAATGTGGCCCCTGAACAATCCCTGCTGCCCAACAGCACTGACACCACGGGACCCTCACCCCGTCTCCATCCATGTCTGGGTGTGAGCCCTTCCCAGGACCATGCCCAGTGGACTCTTCAGAAGTTCATGTCACAGGGTCAGGGTGAGACGGAATCTCAGTAGAGATGAGAAGGACTGAGGGAAGGCACGGGTCAATGTGAGCAAACGCGTCAGGCAGGATGCTTCAGACTCAGAGAAGATTTGCAGCTCCAAGGCATTGTCTCCCACCTTTCTGAAAAGAGGGAGACAGAATGATCCACACAGAATCTTTCTTTACCTGAGTAAAAGCCATTCCTGACTCCTTTGCTCTCCTCTTCTGGGTTTCTTCCTCATGTGCCAGGAGTCTTTGGAAGTCAATGCTGAATAACAACAACAAGTGCTGTTTATTGCTTAGAAACAACACACCCCCTCTTGTGTGACAAGCACACACATACACAGGGAGGAGCTCGCCCTGTGCAAAGACGGTCCTCTGCCGCCCACTACACCAGGGTGGCCCCAGGGACAAGAAACTCCTACAGGAAAACCAATACATGAGTCTTCTGACCCCTTTCTTCAGAACTCCCTCCCCTCCTGGAGAAGCTCACACACATGCTGCAGCAGTGGGGAGGAGACCCAGCCCTGATTAAACCCCATGCAGAGCACAGCCCCCTTTCCCTCTCTGGATCCCAGGCTGGGCTCAGCCCTCAGAAATAGAGGACACAGAGCCTTGGTGTTCAGGGCTGGATATAGATTAGAATCATGTTGGGCACTGTATTATCGAGGGTGGGTCCCAACCTGTGTGAATGGGAATCTCTGGGACAGGGATGGGGGCACAAGAGGTATATCTGCAAAGTACCCCAGCACTTTCATATGAAGCCAGGGGGTAGCTCTACTCACATGTGGTCAGCCCAGCATAGCCCCCACCTTCTGACTCTATTCTCCCCTTGAGACCTTGGTGTCATCAGGATCCAGACAGTGGAAGCAGAAAGAATCAAGAGAAGCATGCAGAGGAGGTAATATGGACCAGAGGTGGGGGTGAGGGTGTAGCTGGAGTGTGAAATGGGAAGTGGGTCACAGAAGTCCCCGCTGAGAAGGTGATATTGGAACCGAGACCTGGGGAAGGAGGGGTGTTTGCACCTGCAGCTGAGGGGCCAGCGAGTTCCAGCAGAGGCACAGCCCACGTGAAGGCCTTGAGGCAGGAGCAAGCTCGGCCCAGGAACAGGAAGGACGCATGCTTGGCTGGAGCAGAGGGAGCGAGGAGGACACAGGCAGGAGATGAGGTCAGAGAGGTCCTGGGAGGGCAGATCAGGCAGGGCAGATGCTGTCAAACATTTTTCTCCCACACCTCAAAAGAATTTTGGAAATGATGTATTTCCTCACCCATTTTAATTAAATATATAATATTTTCTTTATAAATTAACCCACTTACAATGTAAAATCTTATATATTTGAAAGTCCCACGAAATACATGGTCCCGCTCATCTGAGATGTGCAGGACTGCAGGGGAATGCATCTAGGGAGTCAGGAAGTCACTTTTGGACACCTGAAAGTGGAGATACCTGTTACATGTCCTAGCAGAAAGTTGAGGAGAAGGCTAGGCGCAGTGGCTCACACCTGTAATCCCACCACTTTGGGAGGCCGAGGCAGGTGGATCACCTGAGGTCAGGAGTTCGAGACCCACCTGACCAATGTGGTGAAACCCCATCTCTACTAAAAATACAAAAAAATTAGCCGGGCATGGTGGTAGGCACTGGTAATCCCAGCCACTTGGTAGGCTGAGGCAGGAGAATCGCTTGAACCCAGAGGGCAGAGGTTGCGGTGAGCCGAGATCGCGCCACTGCTACAGCCTGGGCAACAAGAGAAAAACTCCGTCTCAAAAAAAAAAAAGAGGTTTATTTGGCTCATGGTTCTGCAGGCTGTACAAAACACAGTGCCAGCATCTGCCTCTGATGAGGGCCTCAGGAAGCTTCCGTTTAGGGTGGAGGGTGAAGGGGCGCCAGCAGGGCAGACAAAATGGTGAGAGAGGAGACGAGAGAGAGAGAGAGAGAGAGGTCAGGCTTTTTGACAACCAGCTCTCAGGGGAACTAAGAGTCAGAACTCACTCCCTAGAGAATGACATCAAGCCATTCCCAAGAGATCTGCTCCCATGACACTCACCAGGCCCTACCTCCAACTTTGGAAATCACATTTCAACATGAGAGTTGGTGGGGCAAAACAAATCATATCCTAACAATTGCACATTCTGAGGCTATGAGTGGGGCTGGCGTGTGGTACACAATTGGAGGGTTAGTAGCAGCCAGGAGCAGGAACAGACCATTCCCAGTCACTACTGAGTAGGGATCCCAAGCCCTGAGACAGGTGGGTGGGTAAGTTGGAAAAGATCTCTTCCTTGCTTCCAGGGACTCAACGGTGAAAAAAACCAAGGCCTTTAAATGAGCAAAAAGAAGAAAGAAAATCTCCAGAGACAAGGTGCAGAATAGAAAAATAGGAGAATGGAAGAGGTGCGGGGCAGGAATTAAATGACACCAGGAATTCTGGCTGTATGTTTTCTCCAGGCTGTGGTCAGCTACACAGGGACAGAAGCAGAGTAACGGAGCTGGATGTGGGGATGTCTGGGAGAAACAAATGATTTAGTGCACTTGACTTGCAAATCATCTAGTAACTGAAAGGGTCTGTTTATGTCCAATTTTTTTTTTTTTGAGACGGAGTCTCACTCTGTCACCAGGTTGGAGTGCAGTGGCGTGATCTCGGCTCACTGCAACCTCCGCCTCCCGGGTTCAAGTGATTCTCCTCCCTCAGCCTCCCGAGTAGCTGGGATTACAGGCACATGCCACCATGCCCGGCTAATTTCTGTATTTTTAGTAGAGACGGGGTTTCACCATGTTGGCCAGGATGGTCTCGATCTCCTGACCTCATGATCTGCCCGCCTCAGCCTCCCAAAGTGATAGGATTACAGGTGTGAGCCACCGCGCCTGGCCTTTTTTTTTTTTTTAAACAGGATCTTGCTGTTGGCCAGGCTAGAGTGCAGTGATGTGATGCTGGCTCAGTGCAGCCTCGGCTTCCTGTGCTGAAGCAATCCTCCCACCTCAGCCTCTCGAGTAGCTAGGACTACAAGAGGCACGAGCCACCACATCTGGCTGATTTTTAAATTTTTTATAGAGACAAGGTGTCACTATGTTACCTAGGCTCGTCTCAAACTGGGCTCAAGTGAGCGTCCTGTCTCAGCCTCTGAAAGTGCTGGGATTACAGGCGTGAGCAACCATGCCTGCCATATCACTATCATTTTAAAAATAAACTGGAGCCAGGCGCGGTGGCTCACGCCTGTAATCCCAGCACTTTGGGAGCCCAAGCAGATCACGAGGTCGGGAGTTTGAGGCCAGCCTGATTAACATGGTGAAACCCCATCTCTACTAAAAATACAAAAATTAGCCGGACATGGTGGCACGCGCCTGTAGTCCCAGCTACTTGGGAGGCTGGGGCAGGAGAATTGCTTGAACCTGGGAGGCAGAGGTTGCAGTGAGCTAAGATCACGCCACTGCACTACAGCCTGGGCAAGAGTGAGACTCCATCTCAAAAAATAAAATAAAATAAAATAAACTGGATATGGTAGAGGCACATATTCTTTTGTTTTACCATTATTATTCCTGGTGTAGACAAAAAAAAAAAAAAAGAGCCTGGCACATGACGGAGTATTTGTTGAATAAATGAGCAGAATGATACAGGGTGACACTAGTGCACCCTCTGGTACGGTGTTCACTTTGAGGGACTGATGTGTGCAGGGGTCCTGTTTCACCTGAGGATTGTCTTCACCGAGAGTGAGAAGGGACCTGAGCAGGACCAGCTGAGGGGCAGAGCCAAGGGCCCTTCATGGAGACCACTCTGCTTACCAACCTGTGGAAGGGCAAGCGCAAGTCCACCCAGAAACACATCTGGCTGACTATGGGATCCCTGTCTGAGGCTCAGCAGACCCACGTGGCCAATAAAAGACCCTAAATTCTGCAAAAAGAAGAGTTTGTCTCTGTGCCCAGGCCCCTCCATGGAAAAAAGGTCCTGGGGTCTAAGATTTCTCACTTGGCAATGATGTTGGCTTGAATATTATTCACAGACCCAGATCCTTGGGTCTTGCGTGGGGCAAACTGACTGCAGAACTGCAGGAAGTGAGAGTCTGAACAGAGCAGCAGAAAGGCAGGCAGGAGACTTGAGGGAGGGGAGAAAGGAGAGACACAAGCAGACCAACCCCTCCTCTCCCTCAATCACCCGCCTAGGGAAGCATTAGTTTCCCATCATAGAGAGGACAATGGGGAAAGGGAGAAGCGTGTGCATAGGATGAGATGTGTGTTGGGTGGACAGAAAGACTCCTTTCCCTAAATGTGACCCCATTAGCTCACCCCATTCTATTGCACAAATTCCTGAGCGGAGGGGCACCCTGTGGGGATGAACACAGCTCTTCCTGCCTCCAGTTCCTGCGTCTCCCTGCCATGACCAGGGCTGTAACCCTCCAACTCCCTTCCCAGGGCCCCGTGGCCCCTCTGCACTGGAGAAAGGTCCATGTTCCACAGCGGGTTTCAAGGACCTTGCCCCTCAGCTCCCCAGCTGCCTTGTGACTCTGTGACTCTGTTATCTTGGAATAAACAGGGAGAGGCCACCGGCCTGGCTGCAAGAATGTGGCAGCTTTATCTTCCCAAGGACAGTCCCAGTGGAAGCCTTTGGGCCGCAGGTCAGTGTGCTGTGTTTCACTCTGATTCTTGGAGAAATCTTTCCCTTACTCTGGGACCCTGATAATCACTCCCTCTTGAGTTGCACCCACAGACGCCCCCACAACAAACCCTCCCTAATGAAAGCCATCTGCGCCTGATTCTTAGGATCCCCGTTGCCCTCTGGACTCAGACACGCTTACAAACTCCCATGGGGTCTTGCACTCCCCAGATAGTCCATAAAGGTCAGGCACTGCCTGAGGACACAGGGTTTATAGAAGCCCGGCTACGAAATTTCGCAAGTCCCAGTAACAATGAAATAATACACATAAATATCTTAGGGTCTCACTGACCCACGACAATGTATTTATTTCCACTCATAGTGACTCCACCCCACACAAAAGTACCACCAAAGCCTACCAATAAAACAGAGATGTCTCTAATGATGCACGTGCCCCAATGAGATCCTAATATCTTCCAAGAAAACACTCCAAACTGTTATTTCTATCTTTCAAAATGCATCTGAAAGCTTCCTGATCGGCCGGGCGTGGTGGCTCCCACCTGTAATCCCAGCACTTTAGGAGGCTGAGGCAGGCAGATCACGAAGTCAGGAGATCGAGACCATCCTGGCCAACATGGTGAAACCCCGTCTTTACTAAAAATACAAAAATTAGCTGGGTGTGGTGGCGCGTGCCTGTAGCCCCAGCTACTCGGGAGGCTGAGGCACGCGAATCGCTTGAACCTAGGAGGTGGAGGTTGCAGTGGGCCAGGATCGCACCACTGCACTCCAGCCTGCCAACAGAGCGAGACACCGTCTCAAAAAAAAAAAAAAGAAAAAGAAAAAGAAAAAGATACTAGGGCTTTCCAAACTAATCCATGCAGTCCCATAACCACCCATAAACCCACGTCCATGTGCTACAGCCAGACCTGAGACATTCCTTTACAATTCTACTCACTCCTTGATCCCACAAGCATGCGTGGGACAGGTGTACACATCATTCACCCGGCTCATCTAGAGGCCCACCTTGCTTCCATGCCCCTATGTGACACCTCCAAGAATGCTTCTTCACTTTCCCTCATTTTTCTACTTCTCTTCCATGCATGAAGAGCACACTAGGCTGAAAGGCAAAAGGGCCTCTGGACAAAAGCAGGAATGGACACAAACTGCTATCTGCAGGACAGTGGGCCTCAAGTCTAGATTCTAGAAGTTGGCCATGCTGGAAGGAATTGCCCCCAATTTGGGGACACCATGGAATCCAGTTTAAAGGCAGGTGAAGATTGGCTGGACTGAGCTGACGGAGGATGTCCAAGAAAAAGAGAGGCCCCAGATCTCATGAGGGAGGCTGCCATTGTCCCCTTGTCTCTCCACTCACAGTCCCCTGCCAAATTCCCCCGCTGTTTAGGGAGTGCCTCCTTCATGGCCCGTTTAGCTTCTGAACTTCTCGCCACCCTTCCTGAAGGGAATCCAGGACCCCTGACTGTGAGCGCATCACCTGCTGGAAGGCAAAGCCCCTGCCCAGGATGGCCACTGGGCCCCGCTGATGTGTAGAGCGTGGAAGACCCGGGAGCTGGAGTAAGGCGGTGGGGACGCCTCGGCACTGGCTGAGGACACAGGGTCTGCGGGGCTTTTCAGGCCTCAGTGAGGCCTTCTGCTCTTACATAGACTGGAATAAATAGCCACAGGAAGTTTAGACCAATTACAGATGAAATTTCCAGAATATGAGACCATCCTCACTACCCGCCCTGTCCTTTTGGTCTTCCCTGAGGAGTCTTCAGCCCAACCCCAGCCCCAGCATCTGAACCACAACCCCGGAGCAGGTGCTGCAGTCATCCCGTGGCCCAGATGGAGACTGTGTCCTCCAATGGAGGGAGACACAAAACACTCAAAATAATCCACGCAGAAGAGTGTCCGATGTGGTGATGGATGCGGAGACAGTGAAACCTGAATAATGTGATAGAGAGTGACGGGCAGAGAGAATTTCAGATGGGGGTGGGAGGGCACGGGAGACATCTCTCAGTCTAGACCCGAAGGAGGAAAAAGGGACAGGGTCACGATCATTTAGGGACATAGGGTAAAAGCAGGGACAACGACCCGTGACAGGAAGGGTTTTGACATTTGGGAAAAGAGAAAAGCAAATGTGACTGGTGCAGAGGGAGTCATGAGATGAGGGCAAGCTCCCAGGAGGAGGCTGGACACTGGCAGGGGCCCTGGACACAGGGCTGTGGAGCCACAGTGAGGAGTTGGGCTTTTGTCCTGGGGAACACAGGAAGCTGGTGGAGGGTTCCCTGCCAGGGACTGACGTGACCTGCTTTAGATTTCTCTGTGATGTCCTCATACAGAGAAAGGCCCCGAAGATGGTCTCTGTGTCTGAGTCCCTGCTTCACATTCTTGTTTTCATTTTTAGAGGAAGAAATCCAAATAAAAATTTTAATTGCAACTGGCTAGTCCCCCCACATACAACTGCCAAACACAAATGCACACCCAATTTTGCCCCAAATTTCAGGAGTCAGTGTTGCTCACATTGAGGTTTTCTGGTCTAGTCCCTTATCTCTGTTACAGGTGGGCTCACTGAGGCTGAGAGAGGGAGTCATTTCACCAAGTTATCCTGAGAGGTCTGAGTTGAGTGAGAAGGAGGAGATGTGGCTGAATTATGATGTCACGACCTGGAAGGGCCAATGGGCTGTGTTTGCCTTTATCACATCTCCCTTAGAAAATTCCAGGACTGGCCAGGCATGTTGGCTCGTGCCTGTAATCCCAGCACTTCGAGGCTGAAGGAGGGGAGATTACTTGAGGCCAGGAGTTTGAGACCAGCCTGGCCAACATGATGAAAGCTCATCTCTATCAAAAAACACAAAAGTTAGCCGGGTGTGGTGGCCTGTGCCTGTAATCCCAGCTACTCAGGAGGCTGAGGCAGGAGAATCGCTTGAACCCGGGAGGCGGAGGTTGCAGTGAGCCGAGATTGCACCACTGTACTCCAGCCTGGGTGAGAGAGCAAGACTCCAGCTCACAAAAAAAAAAAAAAAGAAAAGAAAAAAAGAAAATTCCCAGACCCTCTTTCACATATCTGAGCAAAAGAAACTTCTTCAAGGTTTTATCACATTGGTTCCAAATGCAGCTCACAGCTTACTATTTTAACAAATTACACAAAAGAAGAAAATTGAATAATAGACTAGTTAAACTAGGTTTCCATGTTAAGGTAAAAACATCATTGACATCTTTATCAGGTACACATTGAAACAATCTAAAATTACCTACTAGTCAACAAATAATGCTTCTATTATATAATAAAGAGCAGAAAGCATGCAGACCTCTATCAAAACTGGACACAATTAATTTCAAAGGGAAAGATTTTGAAATTGTTAAGAAATATCTGATGAATTTTGGAGCTAAAAAAATTGAAAACACATTATATTTAGAAAATGCCATGAGCTGATTATAGGATGCCACCAAAGTTACTTTGGAAATAATTATATACAGAAAAATAGAAACTGAATTAATGAAGATCTATCTCAAGTTGCAAAATGAACTATACATGAGATGAAAGGGAATTAGTAAGAAAAAAAGCAAATCAATTACAAAAAGCAACAACACTTTTTTTGTTTGTTCTTTGTTTTTTTTTCAGACGCAGTCTTGCTCTGTCACCGGATCTCGGCTCTTGGCTCACTGCAACCTCCGCCTCCCGGGTTTACACAATGCTTTGCCTCAGCCTCCTGAGTAGCTGGGATTACAGATGCGTGTCACCATACCTGGCTAAGTTTTGTATTTTTAGTAGAGATGGGGTTTCACCATCTTTGCCAGGCTGGTCTTGAACTACTGACCTTGTGATTCACCCACCTCGGCCTCCCAAAGTGCTGGGATTACAGGCATGAGCCACCATGCCCAGCCTCAACACTTTTAATGTTCCTTTTGAGCAACGTTGTCCAATCCGCAGCCCAGGAAGGCTTTGAATGCAGCCCAACACAAATTCCTAAACTTCCTTAAAACATTTTGAGATTTTCTTGCAACTTTTTTTTTTTTTTTTTTTTTTTTTTTTAGCTCATCAGCTATTGTTAGTGTTAGTGTACTTTATGTGTGGCCCAAGACAATTCTTCTTCCAATGTGGCCCAGGGAAGCCAAAAGATTGGACACCCCTGCTTTAGAGAGACACTATGTAGTGACAGTCTTTCACTTTCTGCCCAGCTTTACTCTCCCACTCCCCCTTCCCCTCCCCCTGCCCCAACGCCAGGGAAGGGGAAGAGGATGACCTGTGGAATTAATGAGTCAAGTCACTTCCCTCTGCCTTAACAGGGATTGCAAGTGGAAGCTAACTTCTGATGCCATAATTATAAAATGCACCAGCCTTAATAGACAGGAGCTTTGCAATTCTCATCATCTGTGCATTTTAAACTTATAAAGACAGAAATCAACAGGTCAAAAGGTAGTCATCACATCCAGTCAGTTCACAACTCACCTGGACCTGGGGTCCCCCTCTTTCCTCATTATGGTGTGTTTCCCTCCCTCGTTCCGTACATCGCTCTCATTCTCACCTTCTTTCTCTAGCTCTTTCCTTCCCCTTTATTTTCTCCCTAGGATTCTGCTCATTTTGAGCCCCTCTCCTCTCCTGCTGCTCCTCCCCGTCTTCCCTCTATTCTTTCTCTTCCACTTGCTCTTTCCATTCTTGCAATGTATTTAATTCCTCTTTCTTCCTAATCTTTTCATTGTCCCAGTCTCCACATATTTCTGGCTCTTTCTTCCCCATTTCAGCACTCCCTGTTAAATTCCCTCTTCCCTGTTACACACCGTTGTCCCCACTCTTTGGCACCCCCAGATCCCAGGCCTCCCCGTGCTGTGGTTCTCCCTCTGCTTCTCCTTGTCATCGGCTGCCCCCTCTTGCTGTCCCGGTACCACACTGCCCTGTCTGCCCTGGCTCCAAATCCCTTCTGCTCTCCCCCACTCTCTGTCTGAGGAGCCTCCTCCTTTGCTGCCCCTCTCCCTACCTGGCTGTCCTTCATCTCTCTGGATACTGTGCTTTTTCTCGAAATGTGTCTAGTTACTTTTCTCTCCCTGCTACTTTCTCGGCTTCTTCTTCCACTCTTACTGTCTCTGAAAATCTCTAACCATCCTCTACTTTGCCATCTGTTTATTGGTTTGCCTCATTCCTTCCTGTCTCAGGTTTTCTACTGCTCTCTCTGTCCCTCGATCCCTTTGGCCCACACATTCACAGGACGGTTTGGGGTAAGACGCCTGCATCCTGGAGGAGCGCATTTTCCACGGGGTGGAGGAGGGCAGGCAAGAACATCGGGTGTCACAGGACAGGCCCTGAGCACCTCCCCAGCGCGGGCTCAGGGGAGGCCTGGGGAGCAGCGGGGCCCGGCACGAGGAGGAGGGAGGTGGGGCGCGACAGCGCCTTCAGACAGGGGTGGGGTCTGCAGGATCCCAGGACCAGGCAGAGGACGCAAGGCTCCCCGGGACTGCGGCTGCAGCTGCGGCGCTGCGCTCCAGGGGCCGACGAGGGCAAGGCTGGGAGGCACCCAGGACGGGAATACACCTCTTGGGTGAAGACTTTAAAAAGCCCGGGGATGGGGGAGGGGGTCAGGAAAAGGTTTTAAGCGGGAGGAAGAAGCAAAAGGCCGGGGACGGGGAGCAGCCTCAAAGCGACTTCAACCCAAAGGGAAGCGACTCCGGACCCACACTGCGAGGCCTGTATTCACCTGGGGTGGAGTGTACGGGGATTTTAAGGGCCGTATCGACCCTGGACATCGGCTGTGGAAATGGGAAACAGGGAGCGCAGGTTTAATCTACACAGAGGGTCACTCACGCTCGACGCCGTCACCTTCACCCAACGCGATCCGTTTCCGGGCCTGTAGGAAACTGCGCATGCGCGGAGAGAAGAGCCCGGGCAGCCTGAAGGAATGGCTGGAGTGGGCGGGGTCTGCGCCGCTTTAAGGTAAAAAAATCAGAGTTGTGTGGGCCACTTATGGTGGAAACCAAAATGTTTTCCACTTACCAAGTTGAAAACGGTTTATGTTAAAACTATTTTGCCTGCAGGTTGGACCCGATCCTGCTAGGGAGTCTCCTGCAGCTTAGCAGTCCGGGAACTGGGATTTCGGTGGGGAATCCAAAACTAGCAGTGATTGGATCCATAAAAGTTACCAAAAAACAAAAATGAAGTGTCTGGAATCACTCCACTGGATTTCAAGACTACCAATATAGGAAAGGTAATAAAAACTGTGTGGTTTTGGGGCAATAAAAGACATATGGATTGATGCAATACAGTAAGAGAGTACAAAAATAGCCTCTACAGGTACTTCCAACTGATTTTTGACAAAGTTACCAAGGGAATTGAATGAAGAATTTTTAAAAACTGGTGAGGGGCTAACTTAATATCCACAGCAGGAAAGAAGTCATCTCTACTCAAACTTCACAACCGTACAGACATTAGTTCAACATTGACCATAGCCTAAATGTAAAATATCAAACCATAAAATGGTATCCTGTAGGAGACTGAAAGAAAAAATTACTCACAATAAAATCGTAAGAATCAAGAGCTTGTTCAAAAATTCTTAGCCATAGCAGCAAAAGCATGATTCATTAAAGAAAAAAAAAATCAACTGGTATTTACCAAATTAAAAACTTTTGGTCTGTGAAAGACCTTCAGACGATGAAAGAAAAGGTATTTGATATGGTTTGGCTCAGTGTCCCCATCAAATCTCATTTTCAAGTATAAACCTCAGGTGTTGAGGGAGGGACCTGGTGGGAGGTGACTGGATCATGGGGGTGGTTTTCCCCAAGCCGTTCTCATGATAGTGAGCTCTCAGGAGATCTCATGGTTTAAAAATCTGTGATAGTTCCTCCTTTGATCGCTCTCTCTCCTGCTGCAAGCAAGACGTGCCTTGCTTCGCCTTTGCCTTCCTCTATGATTGTAAGTTTCCTGAGGGCTCCCTAGCCATGCGGAACTGTGAGTCAATTAAACCTCTTTTGTTTATAAATTACCCAGTCTCAGGTTGTCACAGGAGGGTTTAGGCAGTGTGAAAATGGACTAATACAGTACTGAATAATAGAAAATATTTGCCTACCATATATCTGACATAAAACTGGTATGTGGAATGTATAAAGAATCCTAGAACGACTTAAAAAAAAAGCAAAATAATCAAATTAGAAAATGGATAGAACTATGAAGAGACATTTCACTGAAGCAGATATACTGAGATAAATGGGCACATAAAAAGATTTCCAACATCACCATCCATCAAATCTCAGACCTCAGCATATTCTGCTTTCTCCATGTGAACCCCTGGATGCTGTCAGAGATCATGAGAAACACAGGAGCTTCTACTGAACAGTCCAGTTGATGTGTATTAGCAACCTGTAATTGTTTTTGGAAACGAACAATGGAAACACAGATACAAAAATATTCTCAGCTCAAGAAATATGCACTTTGTCATTATTAGTGATTTTTTTTTTTTTTTGAGACAGAGTCTTGTTCTGTCACCCAGGCTGGAGTGCGGTGGTGTGATCTCAGCTTACTGTAACCTCTACCTCCCAGGCTCAAGCGATTCTCCTGCCTCAGCCTCTTGAGTAGCTTCAACCACACGCACGCGCCACCACACCCAGCTATTTTTTGTATTTTTAGTAGAGATGGGTTTTCACCATGTTGGCCAGGCTGGTCTCCAATTCCTGACCTCAGGAGATCCACCCCCCTTGGCCTCCCAAAGTGCTGGGATTACAGGGGTGAGCTACAGCGCCTGGCCACCACTAGAACTAACACCTCAGGTACTGGATGCCTCCTTCGAAAGATTGGATAATCGTTCTTACAGGATTATGTGGTAATGAGTGTCTCTGTCATTCATTTAGGTAAGATGCATACGCAATAGTGATCTATAAAATATAGACTTAATTGATCTATAAAAATATAGATTTAATACAAAGTTACCACAATCACAATGATATATGAAGATAAACCATTTAAAAATTACAAGAGATACTAACAAAATAGGTATAGATGGTGAGTAAAGGACAAAAATAACTAGCATTGTTACTGTAGCATCATCATTAAAAGCTTTGTCTTTGCAACCAGACAACATGGATTCAAATCTCGATTCTGCCTCTTACTGAAATGTGACAAGATGAGTCTTTTAAAGCAGAATATGCTGAGATCTGAGATTTGATGGATGGTGATGTTGGAAATCTTTTTATGTGCCTATTTATCTCAGTATAACTGCTTCAGTGAAATGTCTCTTCATAGTTCTACCCATTTTCTAAATATATATATATATATATATATATATATATATATATATATAGAGAGAGAGAGAGAGAGAGAGAGAGAGAAAGAGAGAGAGAGAGAGAGAGAGAGATGGAGTCCCGCTCTGTCACTGAGACTGGAGTGCAATGGTGGGAACTCGGCTAACTGCAACATCCGCCTCCCAGGCTCAAGCAATTCTCCTGCCTCAGCCTCCCGAATAGCTGGGATTACAGGCGCCCGCCATCACACCCAGCTAATTTTTGTATTTTTAGTAGAGACGGGGTTTCACCATGTTGATCAGGCTGGTCTCGAATTCCTGACCTCAGGTGATCCCCCCGCCTCGGCCTCCCAAAGTGCTGGGATTACAGGCATGAGCCACTGTGCCCAGCCTAATTTGATTATTTTGCTTATCTGTCCTAAGTTTCCTCACCTCTGAAATGAGAATATCATTAATACTTATTTCAGGAGCTGATGATTCAGTTGTTACACATAAAGCATTAATAACTGTGATTCTTACTCTAAATGTGATTGATATAAAATATATATGCAAAGATAAATCACTTATTAAAGAATATATATCAGTTTTTTAAAATGGAAACAAATCTAAGGGGAGTATATTAAATGGCAGCTGTCATTGCAAAAGTTGCACAAATATCATGTTTTGCTGTAAGATCCTCTGGCTCAGAAAAGAAATACCAGCCACAGTAGGAAGTTGAATTGCCTCCAGGGATTCAATGAGAGAAATTATCTCCTTTGCATAAATGATAATTAATATCTTGGGGACTCTCTTATTAACTGTATTTTCATTTACTTCTCCAGATGCTGGTTAACCTCCACACGCTTGATTTTCAAGCATCTGATCTTTGATAACTTCCATATTAAGAGACTTCATTTCACCATCTAGTATCCCTGTACTTTAATTGAACTAAAGATTTACAAGGACACTCCATTTTCCTATTTACAGAGAACCTAGTCTGTACCTGCCATTGTTTTACATACATTTTCATGTCACAAAATTTTATTTCTAAACAACACCCTCATTTATGTATTTTCTAAGTGTTCACTGGAGTAACACAGAGAAGAAATGCAGTAAACATATAATTTGGATTAAAATGTATGGAAGGAAAAAATCCTTAAAGTAAAAATCATATACAAAAACAAAAAGTCATTTTACTACTATTGGCTCATGGCTGTAATCCTAGCACTTTGGGAAGCTGAGGCAGGAGGAATGCTTGAGGCCAAGAGTTCAAGACCAACCTGGCCAACATAGCGAGACCCCACGTCTAAAAAGAAAAAGAAAAAAAAAAAGAAAAGAAGCTATGGAGAATATGTTACACAATACCATAAACTGAACAAGACATGAATATAACACAGCCTTTGGAAAAATGCCCTTTGGCTAAAATTGCTTGATCATATTATGTAATAAACTTTTCCACAAATTCATTTGCATTGAACTACTGTAAAAATATTTTAGGCAATTTAAACAGCATTTCACAAATATTTTCAAGAATGACGTTGTGTAATGGGCCCTATGGGTTCAGCAGAAAGGAAGAGTATTATCTACTATTATGAAGAAAGCGGAGGTCTTCCCTAACAAAGAAGTTAGAAATTTCTTTTGTTTTTTTGAGAGTCTCACTCTATTGCCCAGGCTGGAGTGCAGTGGTGAGATCTCAGCTCACTGCAACCTCCGTCTCCCGGGTTCAAGTGATTCTCCTGCCTCAGCCTCCCTGGTAGCTAGGACTACAGGAGTGCGCCACCACACCTGGCTAATTTTTGTATTTTTAGTAGAGATGGGGTTTCACCATGTTGGCCAGGCTCGTCTTGAGCTCCTGACCTAAGGTGATCCACCTGCCTCGGGCTCCCAAAGTGCTGGGATTACAGGCATGAGCCTGTAATTTCTGGCCATGCCTGGCCAGAAATCAGAAGTTGCAAGAGTAAATATTCAGTGTTGTACTACAGTCAGTTTCCATTTTGTGATTTTTGTCTTATACCACCATTTATACCTCTGCACTCCCTCTTCTTATTCTGCCCATCTGGCCAAGCTGATAATGTCCGTGTTCCCTCCTTTGGCACTAGATGGAAGTTCAAATCACGTGTGGGATCCTCACCCCAACCCACCCTTTTATTAAAGGTTATTACCATAACACCCCAAGCAAGTTATTTATCCCTGCTCTCTCAAGCCATTTTGGACCAGTTTGGGAAGTCAATCCTGCTTCTCACAGAAAGCCTCATTATGCAATACACATTTCCCTAAAACTTCATTGTTCAGCATCCTCATTTTCCATATCTAAACCAAACTGTAAATGGAGTTCAATACACTTCCTGTGGAGAGGTGACAAATTAACATTACCAAAAACATGATAAGGCTAAATTTATGAAACTTCTAGTTTACCTACAAAAACAAAATTTCCATTATATATGTTCATTTTTAAGAGGAAACTCATGAATATTAGTCTTGTCAAATTATGTGAGCATAGCATTCTTAGTGTTATTTTTGTTATTCTGCACTATTTATAATTTCATAATTTTTTTTTTTGAGACGGAGTCTCACTTTCTCGCCCAGGCTGGAGTGCAGTGGCAATCTCGGCTCACTGCAACCTCCACCTCCTGGGTTCAAGTGATTCTCCTGCCTCAGCCTCCCGAGTAGCTGGGATTACAGGCGCATGCCACCACATCCAACCAATATATATATATTTGGTATTTTTTAGTAGAGATGGGGTTTCACTGTGTTGGCCAGGGTGGTCTCGATTTTCTGACCCCATGATCCACCCGCCTTGGCCTCCCTAAGTGCTGGGATTACAGGTGTGAGCCACCACACCCAGCCAATATTTTTCATACAATTGTTTTTTTTGAGACAGGGTCTCGCTCTGTCACCCAGGCTGGAGTGCAATGGCGCGATCTTGGCTCACTGCAACCTCTGCCTCCAGGCTCAAGTGATCCACCTGCCTCAGTCTCCCTGAGGAGCTGGGACTACAGGCATGAGCCACCCTGCCTGGGTAATATTTCTATTTTTTTTGTAGAGACAGGGTTTTGCCATGTTGTCCTGGCTGGTTCAAACTCCTGGACTCAAGTGACCCCCCTGCCTTGGGCTCTCAAAGTGCTAGGATTACAGGCATGAACCACCACACCCAGCCCATACACTTTCTATATTTGTATTTTCACTTCATGTAAATAAAGATGCATGCCATAGTTATTTAGCACACAAGCATGTAAAAATATAATATGGTATATATTCACCAACACTGTGGCAGCTTTCAGAGTGTAAGAGTATGAAAACTGCACTTTCTATGGGATTTTCATTATATCCATATAAATATTCTAAGGCAGAGTGTAGAGAGAATAATTCAAGTGCAGAGTATGATTACATTTTCCCAAAATTGTATGTTGATTCCACAAAGAAAAAAAAAATTGTTCTACATCCTCCAACCTAAAAGACTGAGTGTATTGTTATTATCTGCTATGAAGTATCCTACTGAGGTAGGATAAAATGATGTTGGTACAAAGAATGTGATTTGTTTATAGTTATAAGAAAACGTTGAATTTTTTTTAGCAAAACATTATGTCTGTGACACATTCTTAATAAAACTGTAGCAAAATGTAATTCCAGCAATTAGTGTGAATTCTACTAAAAACAAAACAAAACAAAAAAAACCATGGTATTCTGGTTTTTCTGACCAAGCTCTCCACTCTAATAACTGTTACCTCTTCAATTTCAAAAATAAGCCTATTTTTCATCAATCTCTGCTATAAAACAGCTATTGCCATTCAGTAGAGAAAGTGGCAACCATTTCCCCTGCACTATTCCCATCACATAATCAGTCACTAATAACTTATTACTCTCCTCTCATAAAAATTCCAGTGTCCTGAGGTCTTGGCCTGCTCAATGCAGGTAGAGCCTTACTTCCCTAAAACCCATGGTGTCTTTCTCTCAGAAAAGCACCCTGAACACAATCAGTATGATGATTGATATCATAGTTTTACATTATTTTCTGCCCCAAAACCATGGTCTCTCAATTGAGAGAATATTTAATTTTACAAGGCAGAGTCCTCCTTCTTCAATAAACATGGATAAAAATGATCCTCATGTAATGAAGTAAGCCTTTCCATACTGTGGTTCTTTCCCAGATAGGCACCACGAAAGGTGCTTAAGGATGCAAAATAGCCACAGATCCATAGTTCAGGTTGAAAGTCACAAACAGTAGCCTTTTTGAGAAACCTCAAACAATGGAATAAAAGATTTTATAACCTGAAGGTAAGTAGCCATTTCCAAATGTCCTTTGACCTTTGAAATATATAATGTCTTAAGTTTTACCATATTGGAACGTGTAATTATTGTGCAGTTTATCATTTTAAAAGTGAATCAAAGAACTAGAGACTGAGTCACTCTTTGTATGAATCCTCACCTACAGTTACAGTCTTAGAGTAAGAGCTTCAGGATGCTCTTACACATTACATTTGTGTGGTTCCATCAAATACGTAGATTTTAATGCCTGCAAAGCTGTGAGGCCTGAATAAAGCCTCTGTCACACACAGTACATTTATGTGATTTCTCATTATTATGGACTCTTGGATGTCTATTAATACTTGAACTCATGAGGAGTTTGCCACAGTCATTGCATTTTTTTTTTTTCCTTTAAGATGGAGTTTTGCTCTTTTTGCCCAGGATGGAGTGCATTGGCACGATCTTGGCTCACTGCAACCTCCGCCTCCTGGGTTCAAGTGATTCTCCTGCCTCAGCCTCCTATATAGCTGGGATTACAGGCGCACGCCACCAGGCCTAGCTAATTGTGTACTTTTAGTAGAAATGGGGTTTCGCCATGTTG
This sequence comes from Homo sapiens, assembly GCF_000001405.40. Classification (NCBI taxonomy): domain Eukaryota; kingdom Metazoa; phylum Chordata; class Mammalia; order Primates; family Hominidae; genus Homo; species Homo sapiens. Next base: position 53,140,106 of record NC_000019.10, read on the forward strand.
GTCAGGCTGGTCTTGAACTCCTGACCTCAGGTGATCCACCTGCCTCGGACTCCCAAAGTGTTGGGATTACAGGCATGAGCCACTGCACCCAGCCAGTCATTGCATTTTCAAGGAATCTCTCAGGCATAAATTCTCTGACGTTGTCAAAGGAATGAATTCTAACTGCAAAAGTTACCACCTTCATTTGTAAGGTTTCTCTCCACTATGAATTCTGTGATGGCTTGCAAGGTTTGAACTCTGACTTTAGAACTTTCCACACGTTACATTTGTAAGGTTTCCCACCAGTATGGATTGTCTGATGGGTAGTTAGGCTTGAACAGATACTAAAGGGTTTCCCACACTCATATGGTTTCTCTCCGGTATGAATTCTCTGATGCCTTGCAAGTTTTGAAGTTTGACTAAAGGCTTTGCCACACTCATTACACTTGTAAGGTTTCTCTCCAGTATGAATTCCCCGATGTCTTGCAAGGTGTGAATTCTGAGTGAAGACCTTCCCACACTCATTGCATTTGTAAGGTTTTTTTCCAGTATGGATTGCCTGATGGGTAGTTAGGCTTGAACGGACACTAAAGGCTTTCCCACACTGATTACACTCATATGGTTTCTCTCCAGTATGAACTCTCTGATGCCTTGCAAGCTTTGATGTTTGACTAAAGGCTTTGCCACATTCATTACACTGGTAAGGTTTACCTCCAGTATGAACTCTCCGATGTCTTGCAAGGTGTGAATTCTGAGTGAAGACCTTGCCACACTCATTACATTTGTAAGGTTTTTCACCAGTATGGATGACCTGATGGGTAGTTAGGTTTGAATGTTCACTAAAGGCTTTGCCATACTCATTATACTTGTAAGGTTTCTCTCCAGTATGAATTCGCTGATGCCTTGAAAGGTATGAATTATGCCTAAAGACCTTGCCACATTCATTACATTTATAAGGTTTCTCTCCAGTATGAATTCCCCGATGTCTTGCAAGGTGTGAATTCTGAGTGAAGACCTTGCCACACTCATTACATTTGTAAGGTTTTTCTCCAGTATGGATGACCTGATGGGTAGTTAGGCTTGAATACACACTGAAGGCTTTGCCGCACTCATTACACATATAAGGCTTCACTCCAGTATGAATTCTTTGATGATTTGCAAGGTGTGAATTTTGAGTGAAGACCTTGCCACATTCATTACATTTGTAAGGCTTTTCTCCAGTATGGATGACCTGATGGGTAGTTAGGTTTGAATGTGCTCTAAAGGCTTTGCCACACTCATTACACTTATAAGGTTTCTCTCCAGTATGAATTAGCTGATGCCTTGCAAGGTGTGAATTACGCCTAAAGACCTTGCCGCATTCATGACATTTGTAAGGCTTTTCTCCGGTGTGAATTACCAGATGAATAGCTAGGCTTGAACGAACACCAAAGGCTTTGCCGCACTCATTACACTTGTAAGGTTTCTCTCCAGTGTGAATTCTCCAGTGATTTGTAAGGTGTGAATTTTGAGTGAAGACCTTGCCACATTCATTACATTTGTAAGGTTTTTCTCCACTGTGGGTTGCCTGATGGATAGCTAAGCTTGAACGAGCTCTAAAGGCTTTCCCACACTCATTACACTTGTAAGGTTTCTCTCCAGTATGAATTCCTCGATGTCTTACAAGGTGTGAATTCTGAGTGAAGACCTTGCCACATTCGTTACATTTATAAGGTTTCTCTCCAGTGTGAATTTTCTGATGTTGTGAGAGTTGTGAATTTCGACTAAAGACCTTACCACACTCATTACATTTGTAACGTTTTTCGCCAGTATGGATCACCTGATGGGTAGTTAGGTTTGAACGTGTTCTAAAGGCTTTGCCACACTCATAACATTTGTAAGGTTTCTCTTTAGTATGACTTCTCTGATGACTTGCAAGGTGTGAATTTTGAGGAAAGACCATGCCACATCCATTAGATTTGTAAGGGCTTCCCCAATTATTTGCTTTTTGCCCCTGTGTGAGTAATAAAGAAGAGATAAAATCTTTGAGATATTTCTTAGAAATGTGGGTTTTGACATTATAAGGCATTTGTTGAGGTGGTGAAACTGAGGAATTATTGTTGAAAGACTTCTCAACCTGATTACATTCATAAATTTTCCCTTCATATTGAAAAAGCTGCAGTTCAGGCAGATGTGACTGAAGGCTTAATCCAAGCTGATTTTTAATAAGCTTGTTTCTTGCATCTCTTTTATCATGTTCATCTCTTCCATGAGTGAGATTGCCTTCTTGGGTCAAAAGCACTCCTTTGTAATTTCCTTCAGCATCTCTGCATTGATACTCAAGGCCATGTGTATTTTTCTGGACTTCCCTGAAGGAACATCCTTCAATGTCTTGGCTTTCCTGTCTTTCCAACATCACTGTTTGGAATACTTCTCCTGTATTACTCTTCCCTTTGTGTAGTAAATCTTTCATTACAAATTCGGAAGAGAGAGCTACAAGATATAAAGATCCATAGGTTTCCAATTAATTGTAGTACGTAAACAAGTATTTTACACCGAAAAACAATATTACACCGAAAAACAATATTAAACCAAAAGCAATTCTTATATTAAACAGATTTATGAAACTTCAGAACAATAATATTCAATTTTTAGGAACACAAAGGAAAGAGGATTGTTTAATAAAGTTGATTCCATGTAATTCAAATTAATAGTATGGAAGCCTAGTTCCCAACCTACAATACTGTAGCCAGCAAAGCAATCGTTCAGTCATAAAGGAGAGAAAGTCTTCCCCAGACAAACAAAGCTAAGGGAATTTACCATGATCAGACCTGTTTTACAAGAAATGATAAAGGGAGTTCTTCAAATCCAAAGAAAATGACACGATGTAACTGTTACACTAATATTAATATCATAATCATGGTGTGCAAACCATTTGTATATTTACTAAGAGGGCTAAAAGATAAAACTATTAAAAATAAGCACAACAGTTTGTTAAGTGATAGGCAGTACACAACATAAATTGCGACATAAAAAATTCAAAATGCAGGGTGAGAAGGGAACGAACATGCACAGAGGTTTTAGTTTCTTTTTTTGCAATCAAAGTTAGTTGATATTGATTTGAGATAAATTGTTAAAAGCTATAGGATGTTTTTATATTTATTTATTTATTTTTTATTATACTTTAAGTTTTAGGGTACATGTGCACAATGTGCAGGTTAGTTACATATGTATATATGTGCCATGTTGGTGTGCTGCACCCATTAACTCGTCATTTAACATTAGGTATATCTCCTAATGCTATCCCTCCCCCCTCCCCCCACCCCACAACAGTCCCCAGAGTGTGATGTTCCCCTTCCTGTGTCCATGTGTTCTCATTGTTCAATTCCCACCTGTGAGTGAGAACATGCGGTGTTTGGTTTTTTGTCCTTGCGATAGTTTGCTGAGAATGATGGTTTCCAGCTTCATCCATGTCCCTAAAAAGGACATGAACTCATCATTTTTTATGGCTGCATAGTATTCCATGGTGTATATGTGCCACGTTTTCTTAATCCAGTCTATCATTGTTGGACATTTGGGTTGGTTCCAAGTCTTTGCCATTGTGAATAGTGCCACAATAAACATACGTGTGCATGTGTCTTTATAGCAGCATGATTTATAATCCTTTGGGTATATACCCAGTAATGGGATTGCTGGGTCAAGTGGTATTTCTAGTTCTAGATCCCTGAGGAATCGCCACACTGACTTCCACAATGGTTGAACTAGTTTACAGTCCCACCAACAGTGTAAAAGTGTTCCTATTTCTCCACATCCTCTCCAGCACCTGTTGTTTCCTGACTTTTTAATGATCGCCATTCTAACTGGTGTGAGACGTAAGCCTTATTTTATGGTCACCACAAAGTAAAAGCCTGTAATAGACATATTAATAATAAAAAGCAATGAATTAAAACATACTGCCGTTTTGTTACTTCTTTTCTAATTGTTTTCTAACTTCTCTCTTGCTTTCTTTCTTACTGTCTTCCTTTGTGTTTAAGTGATTTCTCTGGTAGTATAAGTCCTTACCTATCAATAATAACATTAAATAGAAATGGACTAAATTTTCCAATTACAAGAGAGAGGCCTGCTGAATGGATTATAAAACATACAGCTAACTATATGTTGCCTACAACAAACTCACTTCACCTATAAGGATACATGTAGACAAAAAGTGAGGGGATGGAAAAAGATATTTCATGGAACTAGAAATCAAAAAAGAGCAGTAGTAGGTATACTTAGATAAAATAGACTTTAAGTCAATAAGTGTAAAAAGAGACAAAGTCAGTATATAATGAGAAAAGGATCAACTTAGCAAAAGGACATAATAAATAAGTACACACCCAAATATGTAAAGCTAATGTTAATAAATCTAAAGGGAGAGACAGGTAGCAATACAATAATATTAGGGGACTTCAAAACACAATTTTTGGTAATGAATAGGTCATCCAGGCAGAAAACCAATAAAAAAAAAATTAGAGTTAAAATATACTGCAGACTAAATGGACCTAAAAAAAGACTTTTTAAATTTTTTTTCTATTTTAAACAGATGGGATCTCCCTATGTTGCCCAGGCTGTGGTCCATTGCCTAGTCACAGGTGAGTTCACAGTGCACTGCAGCCTTGAACTTCTGGCCTTAAGCATTCCTCTCTCCTCAGCCTCCCAAGTAGCTAAAATTACAGGTATGTTCCATGCCCTAACAGACGTTTACAGACCATTTTATCCAGCTGTTGCAAAATACATATTCTTCTCATCAGCACATGGATTATGCTTCAGGATAGATTATATGTTAAGACACCAAACAAGTCTCAATAAATTCAAAAAAGTCAAAATTGTATCTAGTATCTTTTCTGACCACAATAAAATAACACTAGAAACCAACAAGAAGAGCCTCAGAAGATACACAAACATGGCTGGGCGTGATGGCTCACACCTGTAATCCCAGCACTTAGGGAGGCCAAAGTTGGGCAGATCACCTGGCGTCAGGAGTTCAAGACCAGCCTGGCCAACATGGTGAAACCCTGTTTCTACTAAAAACACAAAAATTAGCCAGGCGTGGTGGCACACGCCTATAATCCTAGCTACTCGGGAGGCTGAGGCAGGAGAATTGCTTGATCCCAGGAGGTGGAGGATGCAGTGAGCCAAGATTGTGCCATGCACTCCAGCCTGGGTGACAGAGCAAGAGTCTGTCTAGAAAAAAAAAAAAAAAAGAAGATACAAAAACACATGGAAATTAGACAACATATTCCTGAACAGCCACTGAGTTAATGAAGAAATTAAGAAGGAAATAAAACATTTCTTTTTTTTTTTTTTTGAGATAGGGTCTTGCTCTGTCACCTACACTGGAGTGCAATGGTGTGATCTCAGCCCACTGCAACCTCCACTTCCTGGGCTCAAGTGATCCACCCACCTCAGCCCCCCAAGTAGCAGAGACCACAGGCACACACCACCATGCCCAGCTAATTTTTGTATATTTTACCAAGACAGAGTTTGGACATGTTGCTCAGGCAGGTCTCAAACTCCTGAGCTCAAGCAATCCGCCTGCCTCAGCCTCCTAAGGTGCTGGGATTCCAGGCATGAGCCACCATGCCTGGCTAAAAATTTCCTGAAACAAATTAAAATGCAAAACAGCACAATCTATAGGATACAGAAAAAGCAGCAAAAAGAGGAAAGTTTGTAGCAATAAACACCTATATCAAAAAAACAGTAAGTCAACAAATAAAACACCTAATGATACAACTCAAGGAACTAGAAAAGCAAGAACAAACCAAACCCAAAAGTAGTAGAGGGAAAGGAATAATAAAGATCACAGTAGAACTAACCAAAATAAAGACTAAAAAAAAATCTAAGATCAATAAAATGAAAAGTAGGATTAAAAAAAAATTTTTTTTTTTTTGAGATGGAGTTTTGCTCTTGTTGCCTGGGCTGGAATGCAGTGGCATGATACCAGCTCACCATAACCTCTGCCTCCCAAGTTCGAGAGATTCCCCTGCCTCAGCCTCCCGAGTAGCTGGGATTACAGGCATGTGCCCCCACGCCCGGCTAATTTTGTATTTTTAGTAGAGATGGGGTTTCTCCATGTTGGTCAGGCCGGTCTTGAATTCCCAACCTCAGGTGGTCCACCCACCTTAGTCTCCCAAAGTGCTGGGATTACAGGTGTGAGCCACCGTGCCCGGCCTAAAAAAATTTTTTTTTAGAGATGGGGTCTATCTCTCTCACACAGGCTGGAGTGCAGTGGCCCAGTCATAACTCACTGCAGCCTTGAACTCCTGGGTTTAACTGATCCTCCTCCCTCAGCCTCCCAAGTAGCTGGGACTACAGAAACGCACTACCATGCTTGGCTAATTTTCGTTTTATTTTTAGAGATGGGGTCTCTTTCTATGTTGCCCAGGCTGGTTTGAACTCCCCGCCTCAAGCAATTCTCCTTTCTCAGTCTCCCAAGTTCCTGGGATTACAGGCATGAGGCACCATGCCTAGCTTGAAAAGTAGGTTTTTCTAAAAGATAAGCAACATCAACAAACTTTTAGCTAAACTGAAATAAAAGGTGGGGGGAGGTACACCCAAATTAATAAAATCAGAGACAAAACAGAAAACATTAGAACTGATACCATAGATACACAAAGGACCATTAGGGACAATTATGAACAACTACATACAAATTTAAAAACCTAGAAGAAAGGGATACATTTCTGGACACATACAACCTATCAAGATTGAAACATGAAGAAATAGAAAACCTGAAGACACTAATAACAAAATTGAAGCTGAAAAAAAAAAAATTTCATGTAGAAGAAAAGCCCAGGATTGAATGGATTCACTGCTGAATTATACCAAACACTTGAAGAAGAACTAATACTGGCTAGGCATGTTAGCTCACGCCTGTAATCCCAACAGTTTGGGAGGCTAAGATGGGAGGACTGCTTGATGCCAGAAGTTTGAGAGCAGCCTGGGAAACACAGCAAGACCTCGGCTCTACTAAAAAATAAAAAAGGATTTGGCCAGGCACGGTGGCTCACGCCTGTAATCCCAGCACTTTGGGTGGTTGAGGCAGGTGGATCACCTGAGGTAAGGAGTTCAAGACCAGCCTGGCCAACATGGTGAAACCCCAACTCTACTAAAAATACAAAAATCAGCCAAGTGTGGTGGCACACGCCTGTAATCCCAGCTACTTGGGAGGCAGAGGCAGGAGAATCATTTGAACCTGGGAGGCAGAGGTTGCAGTGAGCCAAGATTACGCCACTGCATTCCAGCCTGGACAAGAGAACGAGACTGCATCTCAAAAACAAACAAACAAACAAACAAAAAAACACAATTAGTTGGGCGTGGTAGTGTGTGCCTGTAACCCCAGCTACTGGGGAGGATGTGGAGGGAGGGTCAGTTGAGCCCAAGAGTCTGAGTTTGCAGTAAGCTATGATTGTGCCACTGAACTCCAGTCTGGGTGAGATAGAGAGAGAGAGACTATCTCAAATAATAATAATAATAATAATAAAGAAAGAAAAGAAAAAATAAAGAATACTAATTCTACTCAAACCATTTCAAAAATTGAAGGCAGCACATATTTCCAAACTCATTTTATCAGACCAGCATTACCCTGATACCAAAAAGCAGACAAGGACACCACAACAAAAAGAAAACTATAGGCCACTACCCCTGATGAATATACATGCAAAAATCCTTGACAAAATAGAATTCAACAACACATTAAAAAGACATTCACCATGATCAAGTGGGATCTATTCCAGGAATGCAAGGATAGTTTAATACACACAAATCAATTAATGTGATTCATCACATCAACAGAATCAAAGACAAGAAGCATATTATCATTTCAATAGATGCTGGGAAATGACTCAATAAAATCATTATCTCTTCCTAATAAAAAGTCTCAACAACTTGGGTACAGAAAAAACATACCTAAGCATGATAAAAGCCATATATGACAAATCCAGCAGGAATGTACTAAATAAGAAAAAACTGAAAGCCTTTCTGCTAAGATCTGAAAGACAAGGATGTCCACTTTCACTACTTCTATTCAACATAGCATTGATGTTCTAGCCAAAGCAATTAGGCAAGAGAAAGAAATAAAAAGCATACAGATTGAAAAGGAAGAAGTCAAAATATACTTCTTTGCAGATGACATGATTTTATATTTAGAAAAACCTAACAACTCCACTAAAACACTCTTAAAATTTAGCTAACTATATAGAATTTGGATCTGTAAGACTGAGAACTGGGCATCAGATAGAATCAACTACAGAAGGAAACACCAAAGGAGATGAAATAACCCTTTTGTAACAGCCCTCCCTGTGCCACACGGAGTCAAGGAACCAGAGTTCTCAGAAGCTAGAAAACAGTGTTGTCCATCATGATAAAGACTTTGCCTTTGTCTGAGCTGCAGCACCACTGGAAGGTGAAAGGATAAACTAGTACAAGTCTAAAGGATAGACAAAAGGGGGCAAATAAAGATTTCTGTTCTGAGGTCACAGAATTCAAACTTGTTTTCCCACAGAACTCTCAGATTTGCATAGAGTTTCCCAAACACTATTTAATAAACGGCATTTTCTCTACCCATCTGAACTCTTACCTGTGATCACAGCTTTGATCCATTCCCATCCATCTGGGTTTCCTGCTATTTGTACTTGGCTCTCCAAAGTGAAAGGCTCCTTCCCTTGCTCCAACATAGAGATAATACTGAGGTCAAAACAAGAGATTCCTGCTTATGAAAAGAAAGGAAAACAATGGGCTGTAGATTTTCCAGAGTCCCAGTCCTATGTTTACATGAGGAGGGAGGACTTTACAGCTGTATCTAAAAAAACACTTCAAAAATTCATCCACTAAATGCTTCTTTATAAATTGTTAGGAAACACTATAATATGCAAATATATAGCTCTCATCCCAAAACCACTGAATCAAAGCATGGGGATAGAAAACAGGGAATTGGATATTTTAAAAGTCCTGAAACCCTCCAGTGACATCAGGAAGAGGAAAATTAAAATCCAGTTTCCACATTATGGAGATTTTCATTTTTCAGTCAACACAGCTTCAGTCTCAGCCAAGCAATGCATGAGCTCCCAGGAGAGCCACATGGAAAATGAAAAGATACACAGGGGCAGATCCTGACTTCTGGAAGAAAGTCATCCTCACCCAGGGAGGCCAGGTTCCTATAATTCTCCAACATCACGTCCCTGTACAAAGTCCTCTGAGCGGGGTCCAGGCATGTCCACTCCTCCTGAGAGAATTCTATAGCCACATCCCTGAATGTCACCTGTCCCTAAAATGAAAAACACATCCACCAGGGGGATATAAGGAAAAGCTCCAATCTTCACATAAAATGAGAAGACAGAATAGATTAAACTGGAGTAAGTGGGCCGATATCCAAGTTGTGATATAATAAAATATACATATGGTCTTCATCCCCCTTTCCTGACATACATCTCACTTGGAATCTCTGGAGTGATAAGTGCCTTTGTAAGCTAATGAGATGACTGGTGGCTGGAGGCCCCAAGATAGTTTCAGAATGGCGGGGTGGTCACCAGAAAGACCAAGGCTGGATTACAGAGTTGGGACTTCGAGCCCCATCCCCCAACTTACCCTGAGGGGATGGGGGCTGAAGGCTCGGCTGATCACCAGTAGCCAAAGATGTAAGCAATCGTGCCCACTTAATGAAGCCCCCATAATAACCCGAAAGGACAGGGCCTGAACAAGCTTCAGGATAGGGAAACACACGGAGGCTCTGAGGACGCCCCCACCGACCCCCACCAAAGACAGCACTCAGCCTCCCAAGTAGTTGGGATTACAGGCATGCACCACCACGCCATGCTCCTTCTCCCATACCTTACCCAATAGACTGCTTACATCTGGCTGTTCATCTGTATACTCTGTAATATCCTATATAATAAATGGGTCAATATAAATAAAGTGTTTCCCTGATTTCTCTGAGCCATTCTAGCAAATTAATCAAACCTGAGGAGGGGGTCATGGGAATTCATGATGTATAAGCCAGTCAGTGAGAAGCAGAGACCATCTGTGTTTGCAACTGGCATTGAAGTGGGCACACTCTTGTTGGATTGAGCCCTCAACCTGTGGGATCTGATGCTATGTCCAGGTAGACAGTGTCAGAATTGAACTGAATAGGAGGTCACTCAGCTGGTGTCCAGTGCAGAATTGCTCCCTTGGTGTGTGTGGGAAAACCCAGGACATCTGGGATCACAGATGTGTTTTCCGTTGTGAGAGTACAGTAGGAGAAACTGGGTCTGTTTTCACCACATCCTCACACACACAGGTATTTTTGGGCAGAATGTTTCCTTAATTCTGTCTTCTTATACTCTTCTATAAGAGGTTATGATAGTCTTTAAATCAGTGTTGATTTCTCAGTTTTGTAGACAATACAAAAAATACACAAATATACAAATAAAAAACCAACACCGGGTTATCTTTATTGAAGTGCTATATATTATGTCTAACACACCAAGTGATATTCAGTATTTAGATGATCTAGAGCATGAGTGATGTCTTACGAGATGAAAATGTGTACAGTGACTTTAAAGAAAGGTCAGAATCTAAAAACTGTGATCATCGCAATAACAATGACAGATGTTTCTGAGCACTTCCCAAGTGCAAGGCATTATTCTATTTATTTATTTACTTACTTACTTATTTTTTTGAGACAGAGTCGCTCTATCACCCAGGCTGGAGTGCAGTGGCATGATCTCAGTTCACTGCAACCTCTGCCTCCTGGGTTGAAGCGATTCTCCGGCCTCAGCCTCCCAAGTAGCTGGAATTACAAGCACCCACCACCACACCCGGCTAATTTTTGTATTTTTAGTAGAGATGGGGTTTCACCATGTTGACCAGGCTAGTCTCAAACTCCTGACCTCAGATGATCCACCCGCCTTGGCCTCCTAAAGTGCTGGGATTACAGGCGCAAGCCACTGTGCTCAGTCTGGCATTATTCTAAATAAATGTCCTGCATGTACTAACTTGTATATGAATATGATAGCCCATGAGAGAAAGATCTGTTCCCATCTTACTAGCAGATAAATGTATATGACAGACACTCTAAGAAACTTGCGTCAAGACAAAGAGCTAAAATGTCAGAGCAAGCATCTGAATCCAGGTGTCTGGGAATAAGAATTAAACCTAAAGAATCAAATAGTTGGCCAGGCGTGGTGGCTCATGCCTATAATCCCAGCACTTTGGAAGGTCGAGGCAGGCAGATCACGAGGTCAGGAGATCAAGACCATCCTGGCTAACATGGTGAAACTCCGTCTCTACTAAAAAAATACAAAAAAATTAGCCAGGCATGGTGGCGGGCACCTGTAGTCTCAGCTACTCAGGAGGCTGAGGCAGGAGAATGGCATGAACCCAGGAGGCGGAGCTTGCAGTGAACCGAGACTGTGCCACTGCACTCCAGCCTGGATGACAGAGCAAGACTGTCTAAAAAAAAAAAAAAAAAAAAAAATCAAATAGTTAAGTAAAAGAACATGAAAAGGATCTAAATGAGCAAAGTTGAAACAAGTTCATGAATAACAACATGGAACTTCATAAAAGGTAATTACATATATACACACATCTATTTATGCCCATAATATGTAACTATTCTTACTATTAAATCATTAATGTGATAGCTGAGAACAAATTTAAGGACACAGAAAATATTTAAGATACAATTTGAATTGCTAAAAAACACAAAACTTATTTAAAATCATGATGTGTGGGCTGGGTGCAGTGGCTCACACCTGTAATCCCAGCACTTCGGGAGGCCGAGGAGGGCGGATCACGAGGTCAGGAGTTCGAGACCAGCCTGACCAACATGGTGAAACACCATCTCTACTAAAAATACAGAAATTAGCCGGGTGTGGTGGTGGACATCTGTAATTCCAGCTACTCAGGAGGGTGAGGCAGGAGAATCGCTTGAACCCGGGAGGCAGAGATTGCAGTGAGCCGAGATTGCACCACTGCACTCCAGCCTGGGTGACAGAGTGAGACTCTGTCTCAAAAAAAAAAAAAAAAAAATCATGATGTGTGCTTAATAAAAAAACACGCACTCACGTCACATATACACAGTTTAGTAATAACAACAGTGAAAAGGTAAAACATCCACTCTGTCCTCATTCAGAGAAGGCTCCAATAAAGATGTAGAATGAGCTATACATCTTTCCTAACATGAAAACATGTAAATTTTCAAAATTTGCAGGCTAAAATGTCACAACAAAACATTCACTGAAGGGCCGGGCATGGTGGCTCACGCCTGTAATCCCAGCGTTTTGGGAGGCCAAGGTGGGCTGATCACTTCAGGTCAAAAGTTTGGGACCAGCCTGGCCAACATGGTGAAACCTTGTCTCTACTAAAAATATAAAAACTAGCTGGGCATGGTGGCATGCAACTGTAGTCCCAGCTACTTTGGAGGCTAAGGCGAAAGAATTGCTTGAATCCGGGAGGTAGAGGTTGCAGTGAGCCGAGATTGCACCACTCCAGCCTGGGCAACAGAGTGAGACTCTGTCTCAAAATAAATAAATACAATAAATAGAATATTTAATAATTGGTAAAACAGGCCGGGCGCAGTGGCTCACGCCTGTAATCCCAGCACTTTGGGAGGCCGAGGCAGGTGGATCACGAGGTCAGGAGTTCGAGACCATCCTGGCTAACACAGTGAAACCCCGTCTCTATTAAAAATACAAAAAATTAGCCGGGCATGGTGGCGGGCGCCTGTAGTCCCAGTTACTTGGGAGGCTGAGGCAGGAGAATGGCGTGAAAGCAGGAGGCGGAGCTTGCATTGGGCTGAGATCATGCCACTGCACTCCAGCCTGGGCGACAGAGCAAGACTCCGTCTCAAAAAAAATAAAATAAAAATAATAATTGGCAAAACAAGAACGTGGTTCTACCCTCTCTAATGGGAAAGAAGTTCTGCTCCTATAACCGAACAAAATAATAACCACTCTCACCTAGCACCAGTTGCACAAGGGTCCCTGCAGAAACACCAGTCTCCATTGTATGGGTTTTCTGAAAATAGTTCAATGATTCTCCTGCATTTTCCATTTAGGTTGATTTCATGTATTAAAATAGATGATGGGATGAAAGAACCCTCTGTCACTGATGTCTGTCAGTCTAAAATTCCCATTCCATTCCCAGTCATTAATAAGAGTTTGGGGTTAGAAACACAGTGACTCACTTGGTGAGCTTCAAATGTAATGTAAATGAGCCAGAAAAATTTCCCCTTATTAGCCTTATTTTACATAATTTAGCAAGTATTTGTGCACATTAACACGTGACTTCCACGTGCAGCTGCTCTAATCCTGCTCCACAGAGAGCTGACAGTGCATCCAGATGTGGCCCCTGAACAATCCCTGCTGCCCAACAGCACTGACACCACAGGACCCTCACCCCGTCTCCATCCATGTCTGGGTGTGAGCCCTTCCCAGGACCATGCCCAGTGCAGCCTCTTCCCAAGCTCATGTCACTGGGTCACGAGAGATGGAATCTAAGTGAGATGAGAGGGACTGAGGGAAGGCACGCGTAAGTGCGAGCAAACCTGTCAGGCAGGACGCTTCAGACTCAGAGAAGATTCCCAACTTCAAAGAATGACATTTCAAGAAGAAATAAGAGACAGAACAATCCACTGATAATATTACCTTACCTGGGTGAGAGCCATGCCTGACTTGTCTTTCTTTCCTCTTCCTCTTCTTCAAGGGTTCTTCCTTAGGTAACAGGAAAGTGCCTTTAGAAGTCAATATTGAATATCCAAAATGTGCTGTTTATTGCTCAGAATCAACACATCCCCTTCCTATGCCACAATCACACACACACACAGGGAAGACCTCACCCTGTGGAAAGATGGTCTCAGCTGCCCACTGCACCAGGGCAATGCAGGGACAAGAAGCTCCTATGGGAAGATCAATAAGTGAGTTTCTGACCCCTTTCTTCAGAACCCACTCTCCTCCTGGAGAAGCCCACACACACGCTGCAGCAATTGGGAGCTGGGCTGGACTGAGCTCCCCCATTCAGGGCACAGACCAAGCCCTGACCAAACCCCATGCAGAGAACAGCCTCCCTCACCTCTCTGTGGATTGCAGGCCAATCTCAGGCCTCAGAAACAAAAGGTAGAGGCTGAACGTGGTGGCTCACACTATAATCCTAGCACTTTGGGAGGCTGAGGCAGAAAGATCAGTTGAGGCCAGGAGTTCAAGACCAGCCTAAACAACATAGTGAGACCCCATTTCTCTTAAAAAAAAAAAGTAATAAATTTAGCCAGGCACGGTCACTCACGTCTTGTAACCTCAGCACTTTGGGAGGCCTAGATGCTGGATCTAGAGTTCACAGGAGAGGCCTGCAGGTGACATGAAGCTGTGCAGGTGGGGTTGAAAGCCATGAGCTGAGTTGATAAGGAAAGGCAATGAGTGCGGACAGAGAAAAAAGTGGCTGGAGGACTAAGCCCACGTTCAGAGAACAGAAAGTTCTGGAGACACAAGAAGAGGAAAGCATAATGTGATTAGGGAGGCAACAAGAAAATTACAACAAATAGATGTGTAAAGCTTAACGGGATGTCCTAAAAGCCAAGAAAATAGAAGAGAAAGTGAGCAACTGTGCCACATGCTACTGATAGGAATGGAAAGATGACAGGAAATTAAACATTGAATTTCAAATGGATCCATCACTGGTAAATGAAAAAGAAAGGATCAGTGGAATGTTGGGTATGAGAGCTTGATTCAAGCAAGAGTTCAAGCAAGGACTGAAGGCAAGAATTGAACATAAAGTAAAAAAAAAAAAAATTGTAGTGTATTGTGCTCTTAAACGGAGCATAGAAGAGTACTTACTACAGACTGAAAGGTAGTTTAGAGTTTTGTTTTGTTTTTTTTTTTGAGATGAAGTCTCACTCTTGTCACCCAGGCTGGAGTGCAATGTTGCGATCTCGGCTCACCGTAACCTCCGCCTCCCAGGTTCAAGCGATTCTCCTGCCTCAACCTCCAGAGTAGCTGGGATCACAGGCGCGTGCCACTATGCCTGGCTAATTTTTGTATTTTTAGTAGAGACAGTGTTTCACCATGTTGGCCAGGCTGGTCTCGAACTCCTGACCTCAAGGGATCCACCTGCCTTGGCCTCTCAAAGTGCTGGGATTACAGCCGTCAGCCACCGTGCCTGGCCAATTTAGAGTATTTTTTGTTTTAAAGATGGAGCGTAGAAGAAAAAAAGACTTTATTCTGTGTGTGTGTGTGTGTGTGTGTGTGTGTGTGTGTGTGTGTTTGTTTTTTGTTTTTGAGACAGGGTCTCACTCTGTTGCCCAGGCTAGAGTGTGACAGCATGAACATGGCTTACTGCAGCCTCAAGCTCTCGTGTTCAAGCGATTCTCTCACCTCAGCCTTGCAAGTAGCTGGGAGCGCAGGTGCAAGCCACCACATCCAGCTTATTTTTTTCTATTTTTCGTAGAGACGGAGTCTTGCTATGTTGCCCAGGCTGGTCTCGAACTCCTGGACTCAAGCAATCCTCCCACCTTGGCCTCTGAAAGTGTTGTGATTACAGGTGTAAGCCGCTGTGCCCAGCCCTGTGTACGTGTCTTAATGGAGAACACCACTCCCTAGGTACAGGGATGAATTCCCTTGAAGTTAAAATTTTGAAAGCTTTACAGATTGTGAAGGAAAAAAAAAGTTAAAATTGATGGCACGCATATTGTCCTGAGACTGTGAGTGAGGCTGGTACATGGTACACAATTGCAGGGCCAGCAGCAGCCAGAAGCAGGAACAGGCCATTCCCAGTCACTACTGAGTAGAGATCACAGGTCCTGACAGGTGGGTGGGCCACTTGGAGGTCTTTTCCTTTAGTCTTTGAGATAGGAAAAAACCCAACTCTACATTCTGCTCTCACACTAAACACAGAATACTTCACCTCTAGTCACCAAAATGTGTGTGTGGCTTTTCCCACAATGACCAGGGGACTCCCAGGGGACTCCCAGCTCGGGGGGGGGGGGGGGTTAGGCGGGGGTCCTACAATTTCATTCAACTCTGATATTATCTACAAGACAGCATGGGCCGGGCACAGTGGCTCATGCCTGTAGTCCCAGCACTTTGGGAGGCCAAGGCAGGAGGATCACTTGAGGCCAGGAGTTAGAGACCAGCATGGCCAACATGGCAAAACCTCGTCTCTACTAAAAATACAAAAATTAGCTGGATGTGGTGGTGCACACCTGTAATCCCAGCTACTTGGGAGGCTGAGGCAGGCAGGAGAATCGCTTGAACTCGGGAGGCAGAGGCTGCCTTGAGCCAAGATTGCGCCACTGCACTCCAGCCTGGACAACAGAGCGAGACTGTTTCAAAAAGAAAAAAAAAAAAAGACTGCATGACGAGGTGCTACAGGTTCAGAGCTCAGTCTAAAACTGCCCCTCACTTCAGACACAGTATGCCAGTGGTAACTGTCACTTATACTTTTGAGTGACCTGATAAATACTGTGGTTCTCTTAACCCCTCCTCGGCTTTGATTAACTTTCTAGGACAGCTCTTCCTTCTGACTGTTCATCTGTATCTTCTGTAATATCCTTCATAACAAATGTGTAAACTAAGTGAAGTGTTTTCCCTGAGTTCTTTGAGCCGCCCTCACAAATTAATAGAACCTGAGGTGGTGGGGAGGGGGATGTCAAGGGAATCCCCAGTGTATAGCTGGTCGCTCAGAAGTTCAGGTACCAACGGGAGACTTACAACTGGCACCTGATGCGGGGGCAATTTCGTGGAACTGAGCCTCAATCAGTGGGATCTGATGCTAACTCCAGGTAGAGAGTTTCAGAATTGAGTTAAACTATACGACACTCAGTTAGTGTCTGATAGAGAACGGGTTGTTGGTGGGAGAAATCCGCACACATTTTCGTGAGTGGAGGCGAGACACTGTGTAGAATGTGCCCTGTTGTATTGAGTGTGACAGGAAAGAAAATCAAAGGAAAAATATTTTTTCCTCTTAGTTCATACACTCGCCCACACCCTACCCTATTCCAGGAAAAGGGAAGTGGGTGGACTCAAAACTAAATGAGCGAAGTCACTGCCCTCTGGTTTGAATAGTGATTGCAAATGAAGCTATACCCTAATACTAATAATTGTCAAATGCACGTGTTACGCATTTTACATAAAGGAGTTTCTTCCATTCTCATTTGCAACTGCATAATTTAAGTAAACGTATTTTAAATGTGTTGCATTATTTTAAACCCAGAAACCAATGTCACAATGTCATCATCACATCTAATCAACGCACCACTCACCTGGACTCAGGGTCCCTCTCTTGCTTCCATACTGTGTGTTTCCCTCCCTCATCCTCTACATAGCTCTCATTCTCACATTAGCTTATTTTTTATTTTCTGTGTTTTTCCCCTGGTTCTTTGCGCGTCGTTCTGAGCCCCTCTCATCTCCTGCTATTTCTCCCCTTCTTCCTCCGCTTGCACCTGTTCTGTCCCATTCTGGGGCCTTGTTTCAACTCTGATTCCTCTTTCTCCCCAGTCTTTTCATTGTCCCCAGTCTCCATATATTTCTGCCTCTTTCTTCTCCCATCTCTGCTCCCTCTGTTGAATCTCCTCTTCCCTTCTACACCTCTTGCCCCACTCTCTGGCACCCCCAGATCCCAGGCCTCCCCCTGCTGTGGTTCTCCTTCTGCTCTCCTCGTCACCGGCTGTCCCCTCTTGCTGTCCCAGCACCACGCTGCTTGTCTGCCCTGGCTCCAAATCCCTCCTCCTCTCCCGGACTCTGTCTGAGGAGCCTCCCACTTTCTGGCCCTCTCCCTACCTTGCTGTCCTTCATGTCTCTGGACATCGAGCTTTTCTCTACATTTCCCCAGTTGCTTTTCTCCTTCTGCCTTCTCAGCTCCTTCTCTTACCATCTGCAAATCCCTCGCCCATCCTCTACTTTGCCATCTGGTTACGGGTTTCCCTCACTCTTTCCTCTCAGTTTTTCTACTTCTCTCTCTGTCTCTGCCCCTTTCTCTACCTGCTAATCCCCTTGGTCCACACATTCACAGGAAGGTTTGGACTAAGACGCCTGCATCTTGGAGGAGCGCATTTTCCAGGGGCTGGAGCTGGGCAGGCAAGAACACCGGGTGTCACAGGACAGGCCCCGGGCACCTCCCCAGCGCGGGCTCAGGAGAAGCGGGGACTGCGAAGGGGAGGCCTGGGGAGCAGCAGGGCCCGGCACGAGGAGGAGGGAGGTGGCGGGGCGACGGCGCCTTAGAAGAGGGGTGGGGTCTGCAGGATGCCAGGACCAGGCAGAGGACGCGGCCTCGCCGGTACCGGGGCTGAGGAGCTGCGCTCCAGGGGCCGACGAGGGCGAGGCTGGGAGGCACCCAGGGCGGGAATCCACCTCGCGGGCGAGGACTTTAAAAAGCCCGGGGCGGGAGGAGGGGTCAGGAAAGGGTTTTAAGCGGGAGGAAGACGCGAAAGGCCGGGGACAGGGAGAAGCCTCAGAGCTACTTCAACCCAAAGAGAAGCGACTCCGAACCCACACCGCGAGTCAGCTGGGGTGGAGGGCGCGGTGCGGGGATCTTAAGGTCTGTAGCTGCCGGGCGCAGTGGCTCACGCTTGTAACCCCAGCACTTTGGGAGGCCGAGGCGGGCGGATTACCTGAGGTCAGGAGTTCGAGATCAGCCTGGGCAACACGGTGAAACCCCGTCTCTACTAAAAATACAAAATTAGCCGGGCGTGGTGGCACATGCCTGTAATCCCAGCTACTCGGGAGGCTGAGGCAGGAGAATCGCTTGAACCTGGGAGGCGGAGGATGCGGTGAGCCGAAATCGCGCCATTGCACTCCAGCCTGGACAACAAGAGTAAATCTCCGTCTCACCAAAAAAAAAAAAAAAGAAAAAAAAAAAGGTCTGTAGCGAGCCCGGGAACTGGCTGCGGAAACGGGGCACGGCGGTTCGCAAGTTTAATCCATACTGAGGGACACTCACGCTCGGCGGCGTCACCCGCACCCAACACGATCCGCTTCCGGAACTGCAGAAAACTGCGCGTGCGCGGAAAAGAGCCCGGGCACTCTGGGGGCGGGGCCTGGGGAGAGGCGGGGTCTGCGGACGAAACGCTGGGGCGGAGCTGGGGCGGGGTCTGCGCTTCCCTCAGCCTGCCTAGCCCGCAGTCTCATTTTTCCCGGTTTAGAAACGCTGGAGTGTTCACTATGTCCCCGGGAGCACCGTTCCAATTTGAAGCAGTTTTAAGGTGAAAGAATAGACTTACGTGGACCACTTATGATAGAAACCAAAATGATTTCCTCTTACCAAGTTGAAAACGGTTTATGTTAAAATTGTTTGCCGGCGGGTTGGACCCAGTCCTGCTAGGGAGTCTGCTGCAGCTCAGGAACGGGGATCTGGGAATCGGGGATCTCGGTCTGGGAACTGGGATCTTAGTGGAGGATCCACGAGGCACGGCGATTGGATCCAGCAATTCCTGCAATTAAAATGTATTTAATTTAACTAAAATGTCTGGAAATTATCTCTGAGGATGATTCAAAGTAGAATGGGAAATGCAGCATCCTACCTGGACGGATATGCAATTTAATGCAGTAGCCCAACAGAACCTCCTTTACATTTCAAATCCCCATTCTCCCCAGTGGAAGAGTCAAGCCTGTGCTCAATTCATGGGAAGGTTAAGGCCGATAAGTTAGATCACCAAGGGCTGCTTTATTGTTCTTTAAAACATATATTTTTGTAAAGATGGGAGTCTCGGCCCAGGCTGGTCTCCAACTCTTGACCTCAAGCAATCCTCCTGCCTGGGCCTCCAAAATTGCTGGGATTACAGGAGTGAACTACTGTGCCCAGTCAACTACTGATTTAAACCATGTGAATTTTTAAAAAATAGAGATAAACTGCATTATTTTTGCTTATATTCGTTATTCCGTTCCACACTTGAAATGACTTAACCACAAACAACTTTGACATAATCTTTCTTTGCATCAAAATATGCTTAAATCAATAATTTCTAAATATCATGTAATTTCAAATTCACTTTATGGGCATTCTGAAGGGAACTTGACACAGTACTTTTTATTTTAAAATTGTAATCTATATTGGGTCTATTTTTTTGTTTTCTGTTTCTTAATGTTCTATCAGATGTGGATAACAGAGTGTGGAAAATAGTCACCACATGACAATTGGATTTATTTTCGCCTAAAGAATAGTTTTCCAGTATTTCTAACGTACCATCCCAGTACATTGACTGAACTAAAGACTCACAGGGATACCCTTTTTTCATGTTTATAGAGAACCTAGTTTATACCTGCTATTGTCTTATGTACATTTTCATGTCACACAATTTTATCTCCAAACAACACCCTTATTTATATACACCGTATAGTTTTCACTTTAACAAAATATTAAACGTTTCATCTGGGTTACAATATATGAAAGAAAAAAATAAAAGGGAAAATCATATTAAAAAATAAAAAGTAATTTTACTACAATTGAACATAAACCATGAAATATATTGCTCAATACCATAAACTGAAAATAACATTTCCATAGCCTTTGGAGAAATGCCCTTCCAGTAAAACTGCTTAATCATATTTATTATGTAAGAAACTTTTCCACAGATTTTCACTGAGTTAGTATAAAAACATCTTAGGCATTATAACTAAACAGGATTTCAAAAACATTTTCAACAGTTGTGTTATTTTTAATGAGTCCTATGGGTACAGCGGAAGAATAAATGTAGAATATTACTATCAAGAAAACTAGGGCAGGGCGTGGTGGCTCACACCTGTAATCCCAGCACTTTGGGAGGCAGAGGCGGGTGGATCACTTGAGGTCAGGAGTTCGAGACCAGCCTGGCCAACATGGTGAAACTGTCTCTACTAAAAATACAAAAATTAGCCAGGCGTGGTGGCACATGCCTGTAGTCCCAGCTACTTGGGAGGCTGAGGCAGGAGAATCACTTGAACCTGGGAGGTGGAGGTTGCAGTGAGCCGAGATCACGCCACTGCATTCCAGCCCCGGTGACAGAGCAAGCCTCCGTCTCAAAAAACAAAACAAAACAAACAAACAAAAAAGAAAACTGGGGTCTTCCCAAACCAAGAATTCAGAACTTTCCAGAGTAAATAATTCAGTGTACTAGCGTCAGTCTCCATTTTGTGATGTTGTACTACTAACGCTTTTACAGCTCTGCACTTCTGTTCTGCCCATTTGGTCAAACTGGTCATGCTTGAGTGCTTCCTCCTTTGTCACTAGATGGACGTTCAAACCACACAAAGCTTCCTCTAACCCATCCCCACACCTTATCAACCATAACACACCAAGCAAGTTGCTTATCTGGGCTCTCAAGCCATTTTTAGACCAGCTTTGGAAGTCTACCCAGCTTTCCCCAGAAACCCACATTATGTAATAAACAGTCTCATAACACTTCTCAACCAACCTTTAGGTGAAGTTCAATACAGTTCCAGTAGAGAGGTCACAAGTTCAAATGATCAAAATGTTATGAGGGTGAACATACAAACTTTGTCGTTTATCTGCCAGGAAAAAAAAAAATCTGAATGTGTTATGTTCTTTCTTAAAAGAAAATTTATATATATTAATTTTTCCAATTGCCACTGAGCATTCCAAAGGTAAAAAAGAGATGTTGTTGTTTTTATCCATATTCCCCACAGTTTTTTTGTTTCCTAATATGTCATATTTTTACTATACTTGTATTTTCACTTCAGGTACATCAAGATAAATGCCATAGGTGTTATTTGGCATGCAAGAAAGAGACATGCAAAAATATAATAATACTGTGCATATGCATGAAGAGCAATGCAGACTTCAGGGTGTGAGAGTCTGAAATATCCTTTCTGTGGGATTTTCATTATACCACATAAGTATCCCAAGGCAGAGTGTGGAGAGAATAATTCAAGTACAAAATACAATTAGTTTCTGGGCTGGGCATGGTGGCTCACACCTGTAATCCCAGAGCTTTGGGGGGGCCAAGGCAGGTGGATCACTTGAGGTCAGGAGTTCGAGACCAGCCTGGCCAACATAGTGAAACCCTGTCTCTACTAAAAATACAAAAACTAGCCGGGTGTGGTAACGGGCACCTATAATCCCAGCTACTTGGGAGGCTGAGGCAGGAGAATTGCTTGAACCCGGGAGACAGAGGTTGCAGTGAGCCGAGATCACGCCACTGCACTCCAGCCTGGGTGACAGAATGAAACTCCATCTCAAACAAACAAACAAAAAAACCAAAATACACTTAGTTTCTGAAAATTATATGTTGTTTGATCCAACAATGGAAATCATTGTTCTAGATCCTTCGATAGCTTAATGGTGCAGTGTTGTTATCTGTTATGAAGTATGCTACTGAGGTAGGATAAAACTATGTTGGCAAGAAATGATTCATTCATACTTATAAAATACATCAAATTTTATTAGTTAAAACATTAAATCTATGATGCATTCTTAAATAGTAGCAAAATGTGATTCCAGCAGTTAATGTAAATCCTAGTAACAAACATGGGATTCTGGTTACTTTGATTAAACTTCTTATGCTCGGCCGGCCGGGCACGGTGGCTCCAGCCCGTAATCCCAGCACTTTGGCAGGCCAAGGTGGGCGGATTATGAGGTCAGGAGTTCGAGACCAGCCTGGCAAACATAGTGAAACTCCATCTCTACTAAAAATACAAACATTAGCCAGGCGTGGTGGTGCATGTCTGTAATCCCAGCTACTTGGGAGGCTGAGGCAGGAGAATCGCTAAAACCCAGGAGGCGGAGGTTGCGGTGAGCTGAGATTGCATCACTGCACTCCAGCCTGGGCAACAGAACAAGACTCCATCTCAAAAAAAAAAAAAAAAATCAATCTTTGCTATGCAACAGCTATTGGCATTTGATGGAGAAGGTAGCCTCCACTTTTCTGCATTATTTGTACCACACATCAGTCCCTAATAAGCTATTACTCTCCTCTAATAAAAATCCGAGTGTCTTCCTGGCTCTATTTCATGGTCTACTGGTAGAGAATTTCTTTCTTTCTTTTTTTGAGTCAGAGTTTCGCTCTTATTGCCCAGACTGGAGTGCAGTGGCATGATCTCGGCTCACCACAACCTCTGCCTCCCGGGTTCAAGCGAGTCTCCTGCCTCAGCCTCCTGAGTAGCTGGGATTACAGGCATGCGCCACCATGCCTGGCTAATTTTGTATTTTTAGTAGAGATGGGGTTTCTCCATGTTGGTCAGGCTGGTCTCGAACTCCCGACCTCAGGTGATCCACCCACCTTGGCCTCCCAAAGTGCTGGCATTACAGGCGTGAGCCACTGTGCCCGGCCAGTAGAGAATTTCTTCCCATACCCACAGTGCTCTTCTGTCAGAAGAAGGGCACCTGCAGTGCAATAAGGATGATGAGTGACATCATAGTTCATCATCCTCTGCCCTTTCCAAGTGCTCTCTAATTCAGACTATATTTAATTTTAAAAGGCAGAGTCTTTTTTCTTCAGGAGCTTGGAGAGAAATAATCCTCACCTAATGAAGTGAGTGAGCCCTTCCATCCTTTGATTCTTTCCCGAACAACACCATGTTAGGCGTATAATCATGTATAAAATCAGCACATTGCAAAGTTCTGGTTGGAAGTTATAAATAGTAGCCTTTTCAATAAATCTTAAATACTTCAACAAAACATTTTATAAGCTGAAAGTAATTGGCCATTTCCAAACATCCTACAACCTTTGATATGTATCATGTAATGAGTTTTAACACATTTGGACTTCTGATTATGCTGAAGTATATAATATCAGAGGGTTATGAGGAAACTAGAGACTGAGTTCTACTCTTCCTATGAATCCTCACCTACAGTTGTGGTCCAGGAGTAATAGTCTCAGCATGCATGTTACGTTTGTGTGACTTCATCAAAGATGTATCTTTTGATGCGTATTGAGCTCTGAGACCTGGATAAAGCTTCTGTCATACATAGTATATTCACAGGATTTGAACTCTGATGTCTGTTAATGCTTAAACTCATCAGGAGTTTGCCACAGTCACTGTATTTGTAAGAATTGTCTCAAGAATGAATTCTCTGATGTTGTGAAAGAATTTGTGGCTGAAAAACTGGCCGCACTCCTTTGTAAGGTTACTTTTTTTTTTTTTTTTTTTTTGGAGATGGAGTTTCACTCCTGTTGCCCAGGCTGGAGTGCAATGGCATGATCTCGCTCACTGCAACCTCCGCCTCCCAGGTTCAAGTGATTCTCCTGCCTCAGCCTCCCGAGTAGCTGGGATTACAGGCGTGCACCACCACACCCAGCTAATTTTTGTATTTTTAGTAGAGACAGCGTTTCACCGTGTTGGCCAGCCTGGTCTCGAACTCGAGACCTCAGGTGATCCCCCCGCCTCGGCCTCCCAAAGTGCTGGGATTACAGGCGTGAGCCACCACGCCCGGCGTCCTTTGTAAGGTTTCTATCCACTATGAATTCTTCGATGTTTTGCAAGGTTTGAATTTTGAGTAAAGACCTTGCCACATTGGTTACATTTGTAAGGTTTGTCTCCAGTATGGACTGCCATATGGGTAGTTAGGGTTGAACGAACACTGAAGGCTTTCCCACACTCATTACACCTATAAGGTTTTTCTCCAGTGTGAATTCTTCTATGATTTGCAAGATGTGAATTTTGAGTGAAGACCTTGCCACATTCATTACATTTGTAAGGTTTTTCTCCAGTATGGATGACCTGATGGGTAGCTAGGTTTGAATGTACACTAAATGCTTTGCCGCACTCATTACACTTATAAGGTTTCTCACCAGTGTGAATTCTCTGATGAATTGCAAGGTACGAATTGTGTCTGAAGACCTTGCCGCAATCATTACATTTGTATGGTTTTTGTCCAGTATGTATTGTCTGATGTATAGTTAGGCTTGAATGAACACTAAAGGCTTTGCCACACTCATTACACTTGTAAGGTTTTTCTCCAGTATGAACTCTCCAATGCCTTGCAAGTTGTGATGTTTGACTGAAGGCTTTACCACATTCATCACACTTGTAAGGTTTCTCTCCAGAATGAATTCCCCGATGACTTGCAAGGTGTGAATTTTGTGTGAAGACCTTACCGCAGTCATTACATTTGTAAGGCTTTTCTCCAGTATGAATTGCCTGATGGGTAGTTAGGCTTGATCGCACACTAAAGGCTTTGCCACACTCATCACACCTGTAAGGTTTCTCTCCAGTATGAATTCTTCGATGATTTGCTAAGTGTGAATACTGAGTGAAAACCTTGACGCATTCATTACATTTGAAAGGCTTTTCTCCGGTATGGATGATCTGATGCTTAGTTAAGTTTGAATGCATACTGAAGGCTTTCCCACACTCATTACACTTGTAAGGTTTCTCACCAGTATGAATTCGCCGATGCTTTGCAAGGTATGAATTGTGCCTGAAGACCTTGCCACATTCATTACATTTGTAAGGTTTTTCTCCAGTGTGGATTGTCTGATGGGTAGTCAGGCTTGAGCGAACACTAAAGGCTTTGCCACACTCATTACACTTGTAAGGCTTCTCCCCAGTATGAATTCTTCGATGACTTGCAAGGTGTGAATTTTGAGTGAAGCACTTGCCACATTCCTTACATTTGTAAGGTTTTTCTCCAGTATGGATGACCTGATGTGTAGTTAGTTTTGAATGTGCTCTAAAGGCTTTGCCACACTCATTACACTTGTAAGGTTTCTCTCCAGTATGAATTCTCTGATGACCTGCAAGGTTTGAAGGTTGACTGAAGACCTTTCCACATTCATTACATTTGTAAGGTTTTTCTCCAGTATGGATGACCTGATGGATTGTTAGGTTTGAACGAACAGTAAAGGCTTTGCCACACTTATTACACTGGTAAGGCTTCTCTCCAGTATGAATTCTCTTATGACTTGTTAGCCGTGAGTTTTGACTGAAGACCTTGCCACATTCATCACATTTATAATGTTTTCCTCGATTATTAGGAGACTTCTCAACTTGATTGTATTCATAAATTTTCCCTTCATGTTGAAATTGCTGCAGTTCAGGGAGATGTGACTGAAAGCTTACTCCAAGCTGATTTTCAATATGCCTGTTTCCTGCAGCCCTTCTATCACGTTGAGCTCTTCTACCAGGGAGATTTTCTTTTTGCAACATAAGTACTGTTTTATAATTTCCTTCATCATCTTTCCACTGACACTCAAAGTCGTATGTATTTTTCTGAACTTCCTGGAAGGACAAGCCTACAGTGTCACAGCTTTCAAGTCTCTCCAACTTCACCGTGTAGAACGCTTCTCCCATATTGTTCTTCCCCTTTGGTGGCAAATCCGTGTTTACACATTTACAAGAGATATCTGTAAGATATAAACAACCATAGATTTCCAGTTAACTATAGTAGGTAAATAACTATTTCCCATTGAAAAACCTAATGTTACACCAAAAGTAATAGTTATGTTGAACAGACTTACGATTCTTCAGAACCATAATTTTCCAGAACACAAAAGGAACAGGATTCCTTATCAAAGAAAAGGTGGTAACATGTAATTCAAATAGTAGGGGATCCTAGTTTTAAACATTCTGTGAACAAAACACTCATATTGTGCAAACCCATATTAGCCCTGAAAGGAGTATTTTTCAACCATGACCCAAGGCTACCAATTGGCAGTATATTTTATATGGCTGTCACAGAATTCAAGAGAAATAATTCTTAGATTGTGCCTATTTAAAGCATATTTGTTATGCATAAGTAAATGCTGAAGCACAACATGATATACTCTAATGGCAAATAACTCACAGCAAACATATGTAATGAATAATTAAAGAACTAGTAATTTTGAATTGGAAAACAATAATAGCACTGAAAAAACGAGGAGGAATTCAATTTTAAAATGTCAGAAAAAACTATTTTTCTGAATACCTGTTATAAAACTACATACCCCTATATACCCACACAGAGCAAACATTTTGCAACATTAACAAGTGGTATATAACAGTTATATTTCTTTCTTTCTTTCTTTCTTTTTTTTGAGAAGGACTTTTGCTCTTGTTGCCCAGGCTGGAGTGAGTGGTGCAATCTCGGCTCACCGCAACCTCCGCCTCCCAGGTTCAAGCGATTCTCCTGCCTCAGCCTCCTGAGTAGCTGGGATTACAGGCATGCACCACCAGGCCAGACTAATTTTGTATTTTTAGTAGAGACAGGGTTTCTCCATGTTGGTCAGGCTGGTCTCGAACTCCCGACCTCAGGTGATCCCCCCGCCTCAGCCTCCCAAAGTGCTGGTATTACAGGAGTGAGCCACTGCGCCCAGCCCCAACAGTTGTATTTCTTACAAATGGTAAAAAACCATCCTCTATCAATAATAATCGAAATTAAGAAAATATTTTAGCAACTCAGGATATAAGCAGTAGGCAAGAATTAGTAACCGTGTTTACAGGAAGTTATAGTCTGTGGATTGTCAACAATTTCTCTCTCTTTTTTTTTGGAGACAGAGTCTCGCTTTGTCACCCAGGCAGTGGCGCGATCTCGGCTCACTGCAAGCTCCGCCTCCCGGGTTCCCGCCATTCTCCTGCCTCAGCCTCCCGAGTAGCTGGGACTACAGGCGCCCGCCACCGCGCCCGGCTAATTTTTTGTATTTTTAGTAGAGACGGGGTTTCACCGTGTTAGCCAGGATGGTCTCGATTTCCTGACCTCGTGATCCACCCACCTCAGCCTCCTAAAGTGCTGGGATTACAGGCGTAAGCCAGGGTGCTTGGCCAACAATTTCTCTTGAGAAAAGAGGAGTCTGCCGGGCGCCGGTGGCTCCCGCCTGTAATCCCAGCACTTTGGGAGGCCGAGGCGGGTGGATCACGAGGTCAGGAGATCGAGACCATCCTGGCTAACACGATGAAACCCCGTCTCTACTAAAGATACAAAAAATTCGCCATGCGTTGTGGCGGGCGCCTGCAGTCCCAGCTACTCGGGAGGCTGAGGCAGGAGAATGGCGTGAATCCAGGAGGTGGAGCTTGCAGTGAGCCGAGATTGTGCCATTGCACTCCAGCCTGGGCGACACAGCCTGACTCCCTCTCAAAAAAAAAAAAAAAAAAAAAAAAAAAGAAAGAAAGAAAGAAAAGAGGAGTTCTACTTCAGAACCAGCACAGGATATAAGAACTGGAATATAATTTTTTTTTATGAAATAAAACTGTCTTTATTTGCAGATAACATAATCATCCTTGAGAAAATTCAATATACTCTACAAAAATGCTGCTAGAACTAGTGAGTTTAGCAAGGTTGAAGAATACATTATCAATACCCCAAAGAATCAATTTTATTTCTATATACTAGCAATGAATAATCAGAAAGTTTTCTAAAATGCAGTTTGCAATAGCTTTAAAAACATTAAATACTTAGAGAAAAGTCCGACAGCAGATATGAAGAACCTATACACTAAAAACTATAAAATATTGCAGAGAGGAATTAAAGAAGACCTAAATAAATGAAAAGCTAAATATATCTTGTTCAGCATTTAGAAGACTCAATATTGTTAAAACAGCAACACTCCCCATTTAGCCTATTGATTCAACACAATCCCAACCAAAATTCCAGCATGTATTTTTTGAGAAATTAACAGGCTTTCTAAAATTCATAGGAAAATGGAAAGGATCTAGCATAATTAAAACAATTTTGATAAAGAAGAAAGTTGTAACACTATCACTACCTGCTTTCATTATAAAAGTGTAGTCATCAAGACAGTGTGATTATTGTTGATTAGACAAATATCAAATAGATCAATGGAATGAAATAGAGAATACTGAAATAGACTCACGTTATATAGACAACTGATTTTTGACAAAGAATAAATGGCAATTCCATGGAGAAAAGACAGTCTTTTTAAAAAATGGTGCTGAAACAATTAGATCTTCATATGCAAAAAAACCCTTTTGTTTATACCTCATTCCATATAGAAAAATATACTCAAATAGATCAGATGAAAACCTAATGTAAAATCTAAACCATAAAACTTTTAGAAAACCAACATGAGGAAAAATCTGTGGAGCCCTCGGATCAAGCAAAGATTTCCTAGATATGATACCACAATCATGATCCATAAAAGAAAAAAAAGAATTAATTTATAAAGACACACTGTTAAAAGAATGAAGACTCGGACTGAGGGAAAATATTCACAAAGCACAAATCTGATAAAGACTTTGTATCTGGAATATACAAAGAACTCTCAAAGTTCAATATTAAGAAAACAAAAAGCCCAATTTTAAACATTGGAAAATGATTTGAACATACACTGCACAAAAGAAAATATTAATATATATAGATAATAAGCACATTAAAAGATATTCAACATCATAGTCATTAGGAAAATACAAATTAAACTACTAAATGTTGATTAGAAAGGCTGGAATTTAAAACTAGCAATACCAAGTGTTAACAAGGATGTGAAAAAACTAAAATTCTCACACACTGGTAGTGGGAATGTAAAAGGCTACAACCACTTTGGAAAATAGGTTGGATGGCTTTAAAAAAAATTTTTTTAATGGAAATATTTCTTTTTTTATTATTATTACTATACTTTAAGTTTTAGGGTACATGTGCATAATGTGCAGGTTAGTTACATATGTATACATGTGCCATGCTGGTGTGCTGCACCCATTAACTTGTCATTTAGCATTAGGTGTATCTCCTAAAGCCTATCCCTCCCCCTTCCCCCCACCCCACAACAGTCCCCAGAGTGTGATGTTCCCCTTCCTGTGTCCATGTGTTCTTATTGTTCAATTCCCACCTATGAGTGAGAATATGCGGTGTTTGGTTTTTTGTTCTTGCAATAGTTTACTGAGAATGATGATTTCCAATTTCATCCATGTCCCTACAAAGGACATGAACTCATCATTTTTTATGGCTGCATAGTATTCCATGGTGTATATGTGCCACATTTTCTTAATCCAGTCTATCATTGTTGGACATTTGGGTTGGTTCCAAGTCTTTGCTATTGTGAATAGTGCCGCAATAAACATACGTGTGCGTGTGTCTTTATAGCAGCATGATTTATAGTCCTTTGGGTATAAACCCAGTAATGGGATGGCTGGGTCAAATGGTATTTCTAGTTCTAGATCCCTGAGGAATCGCCACACTGACTTCCACAATGGTTGAACTAGTTTACAGTCCCACCAACAGTGTAAAAGTGTTCCTATTTCTCCACATCCTCTCCAGCACCTGTTGTTTCCTGACTTTTTAATGATTGCCATTCTAACTGGTGTGAGGAATGGAATATAACTTTTTTAAAAAAAACTTTTATTGTATAATGGCAAACTACAGGTGTATATATTTATGGGGAAAAAATGATGTCATGATGCATATATAGAATGTGGAATGATGGAATCACGCTTATTACCACATCCATCATGTGAAAAATGTGTCATTTACTCTTGTTTAATTGAACCTTTGTGTTGAAACGACAAACATCTTCCTAATCTCCCCAACCCCACCCTCTTGTAACCAACGTTCTTCTTTCTATGAGTTCAAGAGGTTTGGATTCCACATATAGGTAAGAAGGTGCAGTACTTGTATTTCTGTGCCTAGATTATTTCATTTAGCAAAATATCCTCGGGGTCCATCCATGTTCTGGCAGACAGAACTTCCTTCTTTTAAAGGCTACACAGTGTTCCATCATTTTCTTTATCCATTCATCTGTTAATGAACACGTAGTTTGATTTCATAACTCGACTATTGTGAACAATGCTGCATTAAACATGGAATGCAGATACGTCATAGATATGCTGATTTAAATCCTTTGGATCTATACTTGACCCTTGGACAATGTAGGGGTTAAGAATGCCAACCCTCCACTCAGTTGAAAATCTGTGTATAACTTTTGACTCCCCAAAAACTTAACCACTAATAGCCTACGATTGACTGGAAGCTTTACTAATAAACATATAATGTCGATTAGAATGTATCTTGTATTTTTTATGTTATATGTATTATATACTGTATTCCTTTTTTGTTTGTTTGTTTGTTTGTTTTCGAGACGGAGTCTTGCTCTGTCACCAGGCTGGAGTGCAGTGGCACAATCTCACCTCACTGCAACCTCCACCTCCCGGGTTGAAGCAATTTTCCTGCCTCAGCCTCCCAAGTAGCTGGGATTACAGGTGCCCACCATTAGGCCCAGCTAATTTTTTATATTTTTAGTAGAGACGGGGTTTCACCATGTTGGCCAGGCTGGTCTCGAACTCCTGGCCTCACATGATCTGCCTACCTTGGCCTCCCAAAATGCTGGGATTACAGGCTTGAGCCACCGCATGCGGCAAGAGATCACTTTTTATTATGATATGCAATTTACTGGAGAGATGAACTACTTAAAGATGATTAGCGTTACAGAGTGTATTAAGCAAATACTTGCAACACTTGAGCTCCATGTAATAGCAATAGGAGGTGGCTATGAAATTGTATGGCAGTACACTATGTACTAAAATTAGTTCTATACAATTATGATTATTATATCTTTACATTTGTGTGTGTGTGTGTGTATATATATATATATATATATTTTTTTTTTTTTTTTCTTTTTTTAGACGGAGTCTCACTGTGTCACCCAGGCTGGAGTGCAGTGGCGTGATTTTGGCTCACTGCAACCTCCGCCTCCCAGGTTCAAACAATTCTCTGCCTCAGCCTCCCGAGTAGCTGGGATTACAGGTGCCTGCCACCACGCCCAGCTGATTTTTGTACTGTATGTCACATGCAGTAAGTGTGTGTATAAGTTTTAATTTTTTATGATAGATTTGTGTTTTTATTTTGAAAGAGAGTCTCATTCTGATGCCCAAGCTAGAGGGCAGTGGTGTGATCTCGGCTCACTGCAACTTCTGTTTCCCTGGTTCAAGTGATTCTCCAGCCTCTGCCTCCCACCTAGCTGGGATTACAGGCATGTGCCACCACACCCAGCTACTTTTTGTATGTTTAGTAGAAACAGGGTTTCACCATGTTGGCCAGCTGGTCTCGAACTCCTGACCTCAGGTGATCCACACACCTTGGCCTCCCAAAGTGCTGGGATTACAGGTGTGAGCCACCACACCCGGCCAGATTTGTGTATTTTTTATGGTGGTAAATAATAGAGTAATAATTTATGCATTCATGACATACCTAATTTTTTCTTAATTTTTATAATATTTTTAGGTTATGCAATTTGTCTGCTTTTTCAAATTGTTGGAAATGTCTTTAAAAATT
This sequence comes from Homo sapiens, assembly GCF_000001405.40. NCBI lineage: Eukaryota > Metazoa > Chordata > Mammalia > Primates > Hominidae > Homo > Homo sapiens. The sequence goes on from NC_000019.10 coordinate 53,172,200, forward strand.
TCCAATATATTTACTGGAATAAAACCCATATATAAGATGACCCATGGAATTCAAACCTGTGCTGTTCAAGGGCCAACTGTATACCCAGAAGTGGGATTGCTGGATAATATAGTACTTTTATTTTTATTTTTTTGAGAAATTTCCACATAATTTTTCATAATGCCTGGACTAATTTACATTCAACCAATAGTGTATGAGAACCCCCAGTCTCCATATCTTTGCTAACACATATCTTTTGTCCTCCTGACAGTAGCCATTCTGACAACTACGTGATATTTTATGCTGCTTTAAATTTTTATCTCTGCAAGTAGTGATGTTGGCTGTTTGTCTGCCTTCCTTCAAGAACTGTATATTGAGGCTCATACCTGTAATCTCAGCACTTTGGGAGGCCAAGGTGGATGGATCATGTGAGACCAGGGGTTTGAGACCAGCCTGGCCAATGTGGTGAAACCCTGTCTCTACCAAAAACGCAAAAATTAGTCAGGCGTGGTGGTGCACGCCTGTAGTCCCAGCTACTTGGGAGGCTGAGGCAGGAGAATCACTTGAACCTGGGAGGCGGAGATTGCAGTGAGCCAAGATCACGCCACTGCACTCCAGCCTGGGTGACAGAGCGAGATTCTGTCTCAAAAAAAAAAAAAAAAAAAAAAGGAAATAAAATGTATATTGAGATCCCTTGGCCATTTTTTAAATTGGTTTGTTTTCATGCTATTGAGTAGTTTCGATTTCTCACACATTTTGGACATTAAATTGGTGTCAAATATACAAATTGCAAATACTTTCTCACAATCCGTAGGTTGTCTCTTCATTATGTTAATTGTTCCCTTTGCAGTGCAGAAGCATTTTCAGTAGATGCTACCCCATTTATCTGTTTGCTTTTGTTGCACAAGCTTCTGGGCTCAAGGCCAAAAAATCATTGATAACGTCATGTAGGTTTTCCCCTATGATTACTTCTAGTAGTTTTACATTATCAGGTCTTACGTTTAAGTATTTAATACATTTTGAATCAATTTTGGTATCTGGTGTGAGATTAACATCCATTTCATTCTCCTGTGTGTGGATATTGCTTTTTTCTAGCAATACTTATTGAAAAAACTGTCCTTGTTTTAATTGTGTGTTCTTGGTACCTCTGTCAAAAGGCAACTGGCCATATATCCATCATTTTTTTTTTCACTCTTTTTTTTTTTTTTTTTTTTTGAGATGGAGTCTCGTTCTGTCGCCAGGCTGGAGTGCAGTGGCACAATCTCAGCTCGCTGCAACCTCTGCCTCCCGGGTTCAAGTGATTCTTCTGCCTCAGCCTCCCAAGTAGCTGGGACTACAGGTGTGCACCACCATGCCTGGCTAATTTTTGTATTTTTAGTAGAGACAGCATTTCACCATATTGGACAGGCTGGTCTCAAACTCCTGAGCTCGTGATCCACCCACCTCAGCCTCCCAAACTGCTGGGATTACAGGGGAAAGCCACCGCATCTAGCATTTTTTACTCTTTTTATTCTGTTCCACTGGTTGATGTGTCTATTTTTAAGGAAGTACTATCCTGTTTTAATTACTATATCTTCATAATACAGTTTGAAGTAAGGTAGTGTGATGCCTCCAGGTTTGTTTTGTTCAATGAATCCCATGCTCAAGTGTGAAAAAAACAGGATACATGCCCGATGTAGGACTGGGATCAAAGAGAGGACATTTCTGTCCACTGTACTTAACAATTTGGCTAACCATCTCAGAAGATCCAACCCACTCCCCTTGTCACCCACACCCACAAACTGTCACAAAGTGGAAGAGAAGAAGTAGCTGAGACCTCAACAGGCAAGGAAAGCTTAAGACAGTTCCGTGAAGTTTCCGGGGCCCCAGGTGCAAAGGAGAAGCAGCCAGTGTTTTCCATCTCTTGGAAGTAGGTCTTCCAAGCTCATGAAATGGGATAAAGTATGGATAGAGGCACTTGCCAAAACTATGGAGTCCTCACATCTGTCTCTGTGGACAGAAAAATAAGGATTTTTGATTGAATCAAGCACAGAAGGAGAGACTAAGGAGGAGAGCAACCCTTTTGAAAGGGACTAAGAGTTCATAGAAAGCCAGTAACAGACGGTTGTAGATCATGACCAAGACTTTGCATGTGTTGCTCTTTGGGCTGTAGCGCCACTGCAGGTTGGAAGGATGAAGTTTTACACATCTAAAGAACAGGGTATTAAGTGGTAGGGAAAAAAATTCTTATCAGTGATCACAGGATATAAACTTTTATTTTCCCAAAAAACTCTCCCATTTGCAGGGTGTTTCTCAAACACTGTCTAATGAGATGCTTTCTCCCTGCCCATCTGAACTCTGACCTGTGATCCCACCTCTGATCCACTCCCAGTTTCTATTGTCTCTTGGTTCTCCACATTCCAGGGCTCCTTCCCTTGTTCCAACAAGGAGATAATACTCAGATCAAAAGGAGAGATTCCTGCTTATGAGAAGAAAGAAGGCCAGGCATGGTGGCTCACGCCTGTAATCCCAGCACTCTGGGAGGCTGAGTTGGGCAGATCACCTGAGGTCAGGAGTTCGGGACTAGCCTGGCCAACATGGTGAAACCTTGTCTCTATTAAAAATACAAAAATTAGCTCGGCATGGTGGCTAAAGCCTGTAATCCCAGCTACTCGGGAGGCTGAGGCAGGAGAATCGCTTGAACTCAGGAGGCGGTAGTTGCGGTTGCAGTGATCCGAGATCGTGCCATTGCACTCCAGCCTGGGTGACAAGGGTGAAACTCCGTCTCAAAAAAAAAAAAAAAAGAAAGAAAAGAAAGAAAGAAAAAAAAAAAGAAATATAATGTGCTGTGGCTTTTCCAGAATCGTACCCTTAGGTTTACATGAGAAGAGAGGAAACTGTAGACGGATTTGGAAAAACATTTCAACAGTTGATCCACGGAATGCCTCCTGAGTGGTTAGGAAACACCACACTACGCAGATATCTAGCTTTCTTCCATGAACCACTCAATCAAAAGCACAGAAGTAGAAAACAGAAAATCAAACATTTTAAAAGTCTGGTACAAGGTATTATGCATACAAAACTCTAAAACTCTCCACAAAGTGGGCAGACCATCTCGAGAAACAGCAAGATTAAAGTCCAGATCCTGCATGATTAGGCTTTTCATTTATGAGTCAACAGGACATCAATCCTCATCAAGCAATGCAGGGGCTCTCAAGAGACTCACAAGGGAAAATGAAAACATACACGAGAACAGACCCTGACTTCTAAAAGAAAGTCATCCTCACCCAGGGAGACCAGGTTCCTATAATTCTCCAACATGACGTCCCTGTACAAAGTCTTCTGAGCAGGGTCCAGGCATGTCCACTCCTCCTGAGAGAATTCTATGGCCACATCCTTGAATGTCAACTGTCCCTAAAATGAAAAACACATTTCACCAAGTGACTATGAGGAAAATTTGAATCTTCACATAAAACAAGAAGAGGAGAGAGCTGTAAGAATAGGTTCAATTCACGTAAGCAGACTGACACATCCAGGCTGTGATCACGGTACATACAGATTTGATCTTCCTCCCCTTTTCCTGAAAAGGGCTCACTTGAAATCTGTGAGGTGATAAGTATCTTTTTGTATGTCAGTGAGGCTAACTGGTGGCTGAAGGCTGCTAGATAGCTTCAGGGTGTGGGCTGGACACTGGAAAGACCAAGGCAAGATTACAGGGTTAGGCTGGGAGCCATTGCTCATGCCTGTAATCCCAGCACTTTGGGAGGCCAAGGCCAGTGGATCACTTGAGGTCAGGAGTTTGAGACAAGCCTGGCCAACACAGTGAAACCCTGTCTCTACTAAAAATACAAAAATTAGCCGGGCATGGTGGTGCGTACCTGCAATCCCAGCTACTCAGGAGGCTGAGGCAGCAGAATCACTTGAACCTGGGAGGCAGAGGTTGCAGTGAGCCGAGATCACAGCACCACACTGCAGCCTGGGTGACAGAGTGAGACTCTGTCTCAAAATAAATAAATAAGAATAAAAATAAATAAAAGATTACAGGGTTGGGACTTCCAGGCTCAATCTCCAACACTGCAAAAGGGAAGAAGGGCTGAAGGTTCAGTTGAACATCCATGGCCAATAATGTAAACAGTTATGCCTATGTAATGAACCTTCCACAAAAATGCAAAAAATTAAGGTTCTGAGGAGCATCTGGGACAGATGATAACATGGAGGCTCCTTGAGTGGTGCACCCACAGAGGGCATGGAAGCTCAGAGCCCCTTCTCCCTATCTCACCCAATAGATCGCTTCCACCTGCATTCTTTGTTATATCCTCAGCAATAAATGAATCAATATGAATCAAGTCTTCCCCTGAATTCTGTGAGCCACTCTAACAAATTAATTGATCCCAACGAAAAGGTGATGAGAATTTACAACTTAAGCCAGTTAGTGAGAAACCCAAGCCACAATCTGTGTTTGTGAATGGCAATGAGGTGGCTGCACCCTTGTGGGACTGAGCCCTACACCTGTGGGATGTGATGCCATATCCAGACAGTGTAAGAACTGAACTGAATGGGAGGACACCCAGGTCATATATCCACGGCAGAACTGCTTGATTGATGTGATGGAAAACCCAACACATCTGGGAGAACGGAAGCATTCTGTGTTGCAAGAGTACAGTAGAAGAAACTGAATCTGGCTGGGCATGGTGGCTCACGCCTGTAATCCCAGCACTTTGGGAGGCCAAGGCGGGTGGATCACCTGAGGTCAGGAGTTCGAGACGAGCCTGGCCAACATGGCAAAACCCCGTCTCTACTAAAAATACAAAAATAGCCAGGTGTGGTGGCAGGCACCTGTGATCCCAGTTACTTGGGAAGCTGAAGCCGGAGAATCATTTGAAGCCGGGAGGTGGAGGTTGTGGTGAGCTGAGATCACACCATTGCACTCCAGCCTGGGCAACAGAGCGAGATTCTATCTCAAACAAAAACAAAAACAAACAAACAAACAAAAAACTGAACCAGTTTTTCCCTATATTCTCACACACTAAAATTTATTTGAGCAAGTTATGTCTGTTTAATCCTGTTTCATTATTCTTTTCCCTAAGAGGTTATGATATCCTCTAAATTAGTGTGGATTTGTTTTGTGGACAATAAATAAATATACAGATACAAAATCAGCTGGGCTCAGTGGCTCATGCCTGTAATCCTAGCACTTTGGGAGGCCAAGGTGGGGTAATCACTTGAGGTCAGGAGTTCGAGACCAACCTGGCCAACACAGTGAAACGCTGTCTCTACTAAAAATACAAAAATTAGCCGGAAATTGCTTGAACCTGGGAGGCAGAGGTTGCAGTGAGCCAAGATTGTGCCACTGCACTCCAGCCTGGGCAACAGGGAGACAAACAAAACAAAACAAAACAAAACAAAACAAAACAAAAAAACCCAGCACAAGTTTATCTCTACCAGTGTTAGATAGATATTATGTCGGACACATCAAGCAATATTCAGCATCTAGATGACCTAGAGAATGAGTGGTGTCTTCAACGATGATAATATCCACAGTGGCTTTGAAGAAAAAACAAGTCAGAGCCTTAAAACTATGATGAGAGCAATAGCAATGACAGGGATTTAAGAACAATGCCCATATGCAAGGTAGTATTTTAAATCCTTTACGTGTACTAACACATACAACACTGTAGCCCATGAGAGAAAGATCTGCTCCCATTTTACTGTGGGGACAACTGTTTCACAGACACACTGAGAAACCTGTCTCAGGTCAAAGGACTAAAAATGACAGAGCAAGTACCTGTACCCAGGTGTCTAGGAATTAAAATTAAACCTAAGCAATCAGTTAAGCAACAGGCAAGCTACCTGAAAGAGCAGCTCGCAATGCCCTGAATAATCTTCCAAAGAGGGTAAGTAGGCGGTTTGGAATGCTAAAGCATTAAGGAAGGCTACATAGTCAAGAAGAGCCTTCAGAGTTTTCATTTTAGAATCTCAGTGTCTGAGATCAGTACAAAGGAGTCAATGTATCTGTCCAAGGTTCTGAAAGGGTGGTCATTTTGGAAGAATTCATTTATGTAACGACGTGTACCAATGTCTAATAGATTCCCAACATCCTTTTGTGCAACATCTATCAGCAGCTGCTCACGTTCTACTGTGAATGACTGACATGTAGATTGGTCTGAATAGTTTCTTGGTCATTAAACTGGTTAGAAAAGAACTTTCCCAGTCTTTTAGATGCTACACTGTGGCTGAAATCCTCTGAACTACTGTGAAAATGAGGTTTACAAAATAAAGAAATTGGCCAGGCATGGTGGCTCATGCCTGTAGTCCCAGCACTTTGGGAGGCCAAGGCAGGCAGATTGTTTGAACCCAGGAGTTTGAGACCAGCCTGGGCAACATAGCAAGACCTTGTTTCTACAAAAAAGTAAAAATTATTAAAAGTAAAAATAAATAAATACAAACAAATAAAGAAGTACAAGAAATGAGAGAATGTTGGAGAATGAAGGGTAAAATGATGTCGAGCAAAACTGGCCACAGAATGTGTTAATATATTCAAGTTCAAATAGTGTTTTATGAAGAAAGAGACTTTAAAATCTCAGGGGTAAGCAAATTTAAACTGAAAACAGAATAAAAAGTCCTAGAAAGATACAGTAAAAAGTAGTGTCTGTCTCTTTGCATAAAGTAGTATAATATAGTTTGCATAAAGTAGTATAATATAGTTTGCACGCATTTGGAAGACAACCAGCTGGCAGGGGAATTATCTCAAAGAACTACACAGGAGCCAAATGAGATTATCAAGGACAACAAACCACTTCCTTTATTACAAGGTCACACTTATAGAAAAAAGCACATGTAAAAACCTAATTTCAGCACTGAATTCAGGACTTTCTCACTGGAAATTTGGGTAGAATCAAAAGAGAAAACAAAGATAAAAGTGGCTATGAGTTTTGGCTGAGCACAGTGGCTCATGCCTGTAATCCCAGCACTTTGGGAGGCCGAGGCGGGTGGATCACGAGGTCAGGAGATCGAGACCATCCTGGCTAACACGGTGAAACCCCGTCTCTACTAAAAATACAAAAATAAATTAGCCAGGCGTGGTGGCGGACGCCTGTAGTCCCAGCTGGTCGGGAGGCTGAGGCAGGAGAATGGCATGAACCTGGGAGGCGGGGCTTGCAGTGAGCCGAGATCGCACCACTGCACTCCAGCCTGGGTGACACAGAGCGAGATTCCGTCTCAAAAAAAAAAAAAAAAAAAAAAGTGGCTATGAGTTTATGAGTTTTGTATAAATATGTAAATTTATTTCTTTTTTTTGTTTTTTTTTTTGAGATGGAGTTTTGCTTTGTCACCCAGGCTGGAGTGCAGTGGGTTCAGGGAGCTTCCAGAGGGCTGACATGTGGAGGTTCCTGGAGGACGGCATACCCAGGGAGGGCAGGGAAGCTCTGCGCCCCTTTCCCCATACCTCACCTTATGCATCTCTTCACTGGTATCTTCTGTAATAGTATTTATAATCAACCAGTAAAACTGAGTGTTTCTCTGACCTCTAAGAGTTGCTCCAGCAAATAAATCCAACCCAAAGAAGGGTTCATGGGAACTTCAACTTGAAGTTGGTCGGTCAGAAGTTTCAGAGGCCTGGACATGCAACTGGGAACTGAGCCATCAATCTGTGAGATCTGACACTATCTTCATGCAGACAGTGTTGGAACTGAACTGGAGGACAGCCAGTTGGTTGCTTGCTGTTTGTTGGTGGGGAGAAACCCCTCGCATTTGGCCACAGAAGTCTTCTGTGTGGATTGTGGTGTTGGTGTGAGAGCAGAGGAAAACATGGTTTTTGAGTTGTTTTTCCTAAACAGCACCAAAAGTAAATTAACATGAGGTCACCTAACTGAGAAAAACTGAAACAAGTTCAAGGCTAACAATATGGAATTTCACCAAAGGTCATTATATACACAAACGCATTTATGTCCATATATTACTATCCTATTAGTTCATTAATAGATAATAGAGAACAGGCTGGGTGTGGTGGCTCACACCTGTAATCTCAGCACTTTGGGAGGCCGAGTTAGATGGATCACCTGAGGTCAGGAGTTCGAGACCAGCCTGGCTAACATGGTAAAACCCCGTCTCTACTAAAAATACAAAAATTAGCCAGGTGTGATGGCAGACACCTGTAATCCCAGCTACTCGGGAGGCTGAGGCAGGAGAATTGCTTGAACCTAGGAAGCAGAGGTTGCAGTGAGCCGAGATTGCGCCCCTTCACTCCAGCCTGGGCAAAAGAGTGAAACTCCATCTCAAAAAAAAAAAAGACAGTGGAGAACAAATTTAAGGCCACAGAAAATATTTAAAATATGATTTCAAATGATAAAACACATACAATTTATTTAAATGATGGTATGTCTTTTATAAAACCATGGGTGTATGCATCTACATATTCATGTGTGCACATCACATATACCAGTTAAATTAAGTGAAATAAGGAGATGTGTCTCAATGATGTATTTTTTTTTATGACATCTTTAGTTGTCTTTTTTGCTCATGTGCTTTTCAGAAAGTCTGGGACAACTGAAATGCATGAATTGTACTTGATTTAGTTTACAAACATTTTTGTAAATTAAGCTGTAAAAACGCTAAAACAAAAATATGTAAGAACTTGTACTCCAATTGGTATTAAATACAAATATTAAAAGTACAGATACCATTTTTTTCCAGTTAAATTTAGATATTTAGGCATTAACAAAAGCCCAATGGAGGTTTTAGTTTATTTTACTCATGAAATCCTAAGATTAGGACATTTTTTAATATCATACATGAATAGATTTCAGAAGTACATATTGCAACAATACTTACTCAAAGAAATTATTGGATAATTAAAAATCAGTCCAAAAAGGAAATTTGAAAAACACCCAAAAGCTAATATTAAACAAGAAAATTTCACCAAACATCATAATCAAGCAGTAAATGCTGGATGCATTTGATCTAAATTAAAATGGAGAAAATGGGCTGGGCATGATGGCTCATGCCTGTAATCCTAACACCTTGGGAGGCCAAGGCGGGTGGATTGCTTGAGCTCAGGAATTCGAGACGATCCTTGGCAAAATAGTGAGACCCCCATCTTTACAAAAAATATAAAAATTAGCTGGGTGTGGTGGCATGCACGTGTAGTCCCAGCTACTTGAGAGGCTGAGATGGGAGGCTGGCTTGAGCCCAGGAGGTGGAGGTTGCAGTGAGCCGAGATTGCACCACTGCACTCCAGACTGGGCGACAGGGCCGGACCTTGTATCAGAAAAAAAAAAAAAGGAGAAAATGGGGGCTCACCAAGGCTCCAGCTAAAGCCCACTTCAGAGCATGCCTGAGCTGAGACCAAGAAAAAGGTAAAGTAGGAGCTGGATCTGTTAAAACTAACAGATGACATACTCACAACCCAGGAGAAGAATGCATTGAAGTTTAAGAACTAATAACAATACTGTGAAAACAATCTTCATTCTTTCTTTAGCAGCTCTCATTAGACACAAACACACAATGCATCTCACGAGTACATTAGGAATTATACAATGCTACCTATTAAAATACGTTTCCAGACCTATTTAAAGAAATTATAAGACTGTACTAAAGTGATGATGTCAATAAAATAGAGGACTAGAACTCCCAAACACTACCTCCACCACGGAGACACAAATGTAGTAGCAATATATGAACCAATTGCTTTGTGAGAAACCCAGTGGTCATTTAAGAGGTTGGAACTCTTAACAGAAGTCTAGTAGGAAAATACAGGACATCTGCTCCCAGAGGCCTTACCCTGGCATGATGCAGTGTCACTGCAAGAAAAACACCAATTTCCCATTTCTCCTGGGAGAGGAAAAGTATGAAAACATTCATCCAATATTCTGTCTTTTCAGGGCGCTGCCTGAGGGATAAGTTTCTCTCTTGGTTGAATATAAGTAATGAAGGCCGGGCGCGGTAGTTCACGCCTGTAATCCCAGCACTTTGGGAGGCCGAGGCGGGTGGATCGCTTGAGCTCACGAATTGGAGACCGGCCTGGGCAACACGGTGAAACACCATCTCTATTAAAAATACAAAAAAAAATAGCCGGGCATGGTGATGCATGCCTGTAGTCCCAGCTACGCAGGGGGCCATGGCCAGAGAATCACTTGAGCCCAGGAGGCGGAGGTTGCAGTGAGCTGAGATCGCGTCACTGCACTCCAGCCTAGGCGACAGAGCGAGACTCTGTCTCAACAAAAACAACAAAAAAAAGGAGTTTGGAGTCAGAAACACAGTGACTCACTTGTTCGGCATCAAATGCAAATATAAATGAGGTGACAAAGCTTTCCCCACAGTCGTCTCATTTTACAGCATTTCGTGGGTGCTTGTACACACTAACATCTGACTTCATAACCAGCTTCTCTTATCACAGTTTACACAGAGCTGTCAATATATTCAAATATGTCCTGAACAATCCCTGTTGCCCAACAGCACTGACACCACGGGACCCTCACCCCGTCTCCATCCATGTCGGGGTGTGAGCCCTTCCCAGGTCCATGCCCCGTGCAGCCTCTTCCCAAGTTCATGTCACTGGGTCACCAGAGATGGAATCTAAGTGAGATGAGAGGGACTGAGGGAAGGCACGAGTGAGTGCGAGCAAACCTGTCAGGCAGGATGCTTCAGACTCAGAGAAGATTCCCAACTCCAAGGTCCAAGGTTTCTGAAAGGAAGGAGACAGAACAATCCACCGAGAATATCATCTCACCTGAGGAAGAGCCATCCCTGACTCCTTTGCCTTCCTCTTCCTCTTCTTCCAGGGTTCTACCTTGGGTAACATGAAAGAGACTTTAGAATTCAATCCTGAATGTCAAAAATACGCTGTTTGTTGGTTAGAATCAACACACCCCCTCCCTGGGCCATAACCTTATACACAGGGAAGACCTTATACACAGGGAAGATGGTCCTCTGCTGCCCACTGCACCAGAAAAGATGCAGGGATGAGAAACTCCTACAGGAAAAACAAGTGAGTTTCTGACCTCTTTCTTTAGAACCCACTCCCCTCCTGGAGAAGCCCCCACACAGGCTGCAGCAGTGGGGAGCTGGGCTGGAATGAGCTTCTGTTCGGGGCACAGACCCAGCCCTGACCAAACCCCATGCTGAGCACAGTCCCTCTCCCCTCTGTGAGTCATAGGCTGATCTCAGCCTTCAGAAATGATCAGCAGTGCCCTGGTGCTCAATAGTAGATACAGAATAACAGAACAGAACAAATCTTAAATGTCACTGAAGCTGGGCTGCAACTTATCTGAATGAAAATCTCTGCTAAGGGGGCGTAAGAGATGTATTTGCAAAATGCCTCAGCATTCTTGAGCTCCACTGAGAGGGGCCGAGCCCAGCACAGCCCCCCCACCTTCTGGCTGTACTTTCCCTGGGGGCCTTGTCATCAGGATCCAGACAGTGGAAGGTGAAGCAGCACAGAGAAACACGCAGAACAGCCAATACAGACAAGAGGTGAGGGTGGGGGTGGGGATGGAATGCTGAAGCGGGGGTCAGGGAGAGGGTCACGGAAGTCCCCACTGAGGAAGTGATATCAGAACAAAGACCTGGGTTAGGAAGGGTGTTTGCACCTGCACCTGAGGGGCCAGAGTCCTAGGCAGAGGGACCACCCATGTGAAGGCCCTGAGGCAGGAGCAACTTGGGGACCCCGGAAAAGGAAAGGGGCCTGAGTGGCTGGAGCAGAGGGAGCAAGGAGGCACAGGCAGGAGACGAGGTCAGAGAGGTCCTGGGGGAGCAGGTCAGGGAGGGCTGAGGTCTTCAAACAGTTTTTCTCCCACACCTCCAAAGAATGTTTAAGCTGGGCGCAGTGGCTCTTGCCTGTAATCTCAGCACTTTGGGAGGCAGAGGTGGGTGGACTGCTTGAGCTCAGGAGTTTGAGACCAGCCTGGGCAACATGGCAAAACCCCATCTGTAAAAAAGGTACAAAATTTAGTCAGGTGTGTTGGTACGTGCCTGTAGTCCCAGCTACTTGGGAGGCTGAGGTAGGAGGATGGCTTGAGGACAGGAGGTGGAGGTTGCAGTGAGCCAAGATCACACCACTGCAGTCCAGCATGGGCGACAGAGCGAGACCCTGTCTCAAAAAAAAAGACTAGAAGAAATAATAAATAATTTTTAAAACACTGGATTTCTTTAATCCACTTATCTTATTTTTAACTCGCAAATAATGTCATATCTTCTCTATTTTAAATACATGCTGACATGTTCAGCTAAGCCCCAAGAAGTACAGGGTGGCCCCCATCCACCCTGGGTCTGCTGGGGAACACCTTTGGGGGAATTCAGGATGACCCTTTTGGACATACGAAGGTGGAGATGCCTGTTCCACCTCCCAGCAGAGTGTTGAGGAGACAACTGGACAAAGGATTCCAGTGTTCAAGGGAGAAGTCTGCAGGGAACAGGGAGCCGTGTAGGTGGGTTTAAAGCTGTGAGATGAGATGATAAGGAAGGGCATGGGTTGTAGGGTCCGGCCCCACAGGATTGGTGGGTTTTCTCCTCGTGTGTGGAGACGAGAGAGCTTAGAAATAAAGACACAAGACAAAGAGATAAAAGAAAAGGCAGCTGGGCCCGGGGGACCACTACCACCAAGACGTGGAGACCGGTAGTGGCCCCGAATGCCAGGCCGCGCTGATATTTATTGGATACAAGACAAAGGGGCAGGATAAGGAGTGTGAGCCATCTCCAATGATAGGTAAGGTCACGTGGGTCACGTGTCCACTGGACAGAGGGCCCTTCCCTGCCTGGCAGCCGAGGCAGAGAGAGAGAGGAGAAAGAGAGAAACAGCTTACACTATTATTTCTGCTTATCAGAGACTTTTTGTACTTTCCCTAATTTGCTACTGCTATCTAAAGGCAGAGCCAGGTGTACAGGATGGAACATGAAGGCGGACTAGGAGCGTGACCACCGAAGCACAGCATCACAGGGAGACGGTTAGGCCTCCGGATAACTGCGGGCGAGCCTGACTGATGTCAGGCCCTCCACAAGAGGTGGAGGAGCAGAGTCTTCTCTAAACTCCCCCGGGGAAAGGGAGACTCCCTTCCCCAGTCTGCTAAGTAGCGGGTGTTGTTCCTTGCCACTTACGCTACCGCTAGACCACGGTCCGCTTGGCAACGGACGTCTTCCCAGACGCTGGCGTCACCGCTAGACCAAGGAGCCCTCCGGTGGCCCTGTCCGGGCATGACAGAGGGTTCGCACTCTTGTCTTCTGGTCACTTCTCACTGTGTCCCCTCAGCTCCTATCTCTGTATGGCCTGGCTTTTCCTAGGCTATGATTACAGAGGGAGGATTATTATAATATTGGGATAAAGGGTAACTGCTACAAACAAATGATTAATGATATTCATATATAATCATAACTAAGATCTATATCTGGTATAACTATTCTTGTTTTATATTTTATTATACTGAAACAGCTCGTGTCCTTGGTCTCTTGCCTCAGCACCTGGGTGGCTTGCCACCCACATTGGGTGTGGACAGGAACCAAGAAGCTCAGGGAGTAAGCCGTGCATAGTCCACATTTAGGGAACAGAAAAATCAAGAGACACCAGAAGAGGAAAGCGTGACGTGATCAGCGAGGTATCAAAAACTTGAAAACAAACAGTTTAAAAAGGTTAATGGTATGTCCTTAAAGCCAGGAAAACAGAAGAGAAAGTGAGAAAAGAAAAAAAAGGAACACAAAGAAGTTTTTGTGTACTATTCTCTTAAATAGAGCATAGAAGAGGGGAACTTACTACAGAAGGAAAAGTAGTTAAGGGTTTTTTTTTTTTTTTTTTTTTTTTTTTTAATTAATTTATTTTTTTTTTATTGATCATTCTTGGGTGTTTCTCGCAGAGGGGGATTTGGCAGGGTCATAGGACAATAGTGGAGGGAAGGTCAGCAGATAAACAAGTGAACAAAGGTCTCTGGTTTTCCTAGGCAGAGGTCCCTGCGGCCTTCCGCAGTGTTTGTGTCCCTGGGTACTTGAGATTAGGGAGTGGTGATGACTCTTAAGGAGCATGCTGCCTTCAAGCATCTGTTTAACAAAGCACATCTTGCACCGCCCTTAATCCATTTAACCCTGAGTGGACACAGCACATGTTTCAGAGAGCACAGGGTTGGGGATAAGGTCACAGATCAACAGGATCCCAAGGCAGAAGAATTTTTCTTAGTACAGAACAAAATGAAAAGTCTCCCATGTCTACTTCTATCCACAGAGACCCGGCAACCATCCGATTTCTCAATTTTTTCCCCACCCTTCCCGCCTTTCTATTCCACAAAACCGCCATTGTCATCATGGCCCATCCCCAATGAGCCGCTGGGCACACCTCCCAGACGGGGTCGTGGCCGGGCAGAGGGGCTCCTCACTTCCCAGTAGGGGCGGCCGGGCAGAAGCGCCCCTCACCTCCCGGATGGGGCGGCTGGCCGGGCGGGGGGCTGACCCCCCCACCACCCTCCCGGACGGGGCGGCTGGCCAGGCAGAGGGGCTCCTCACTTCCCAGTAGGGACGGCCGGGCAGAGGCGCCCCTCACCTCCTGGATAGGGCGGCTGGCTGGGCGGGGGGGCTGTCCCCCCCACCTCCCTCCCGGACGGGGCGGCTGGCCGGGCAGAGGGGTCCTCACTTCCCAGTAGGGGCGGCCGGGCAGAGGCGCCCCTCACCTCCCGGACGGGGCGACTGGCCAGGCGGGGGGCTGATCCCCCCACCTCCCTCCCGGACGGGGCGGCTGGCCAGGCGGGGGGCTGACCCCCCCCACCTCCCTCCCGGACAGGGCGGCTGGCCGACCCCCCCCCCCCCGCCTCCCTCCCGGACGGGGCGGCTGGCCGGGCAGAGGGGCTCCTCACTTTCCAGTAGGGGCGGCCGGGCAGAGGCGCCCCTCACCTCCCGGACGGGGCGACTGGCCAGGCGGGGGGCTGATCCCCCCACCTCCCTCCCGGACGGGGCGGCTGGCCAGGCGGGGGGCTGACCCCCCCCACCTCCCTCCCGGACGGGGCGGCTGGCCGGGCAGGGGGCTGACCCCCCCTCCCCCCTCCCGGACGGGGCGGCTGGCCAGGCGGGGGGCTGACCCCCCCCACCTCCCTCCCGGGCGGGGCGGCTGGCCGGGCAGAGGGGCTCCTCACTTCCCAGTAGGGGCGGCCGGGCAGAGGCGCCCCTCACCTCCCGGATGGGGCGGCTGGCCAGGCGGGGGGCTGATCCCCCCAACTCCCTCCCAGACGGGGCGGCTGGCCGGGCGGGGGGCTGACCCCCCACCTCCCTCCCGGACTGGGCGGCTGGCCGGGCGGGGGGCTGACCCCCCCACCTCCCTCCTGGACGGGGCGTCTGGCCGGGCAGAGGGGCTCCTCACTTCCCAGTAGGGGCGGCCGGGCAGAGGAGCCCCTCACCTCCCGGACGGGGCGGCTGGCCGGGCGGGGGGCTGACCCCCCCACCTCCCTCCCGGACGGGGCGGCTGGCCGACCCCCCCCCCCGCCTCCCTCCCGGATGGGGCGGCTGGCCAGGCAGAGGGGCTCCTCACTTCCCAGTAGGGGCGGCCGGGCAGAGGAGCCCCTCACCTCCCGGACGGGGCGGCTGGCCGGGCGGGGGGCTGACCCCCCCCACCTCCCTCCCGGACGGGGTGGCTGCTGGGCGGAGACGCTCCTCACTTCCCAGACGGGGTGGTTGCCGGACGGAGGGGCTCCTCACTTCTCAGACGGGGCGGTTGCCAGGCAGAGGGTTTCCTCACTTCTCAGACGGAGCGGCCGGGCAGAGACGCTCCCCACCTCCCAGACAGGGCTGCGGCCCAGCAGAGGCGCTCCTCACATCCCAGACAGGGCGGCGGGGCAGAGGTGCTCCCCACATCTCAGACGATGGGCGGCCGGGCAGAGACGCTCCTCACTTCCTAGATGGGATGGCGGCGGGGAAGAGGCGCTCCTCGCTTCCCAGATGGGATGGCGGCCAGGCAGAGACGCTCCTCACTTTCCAGACTGGGCAGCCAGGCAGAGGGGCTCCTCACATCCCAGACGATGGGTGGCCAAGCAGAGACGCTCCTCACTTCCCAGACGGGGTGGGGGCCGGGCAGAGGCTGCAATCTCGGCTCTCCGGGAGGCCAAGGCAGGCGGCTGGGAGGTGGTTGCAGCGAGCCGAGATCACGCCACTGCACTCCAGCCTGGGCACCATTGAGCACTGAGTGAACGAGACTCCATCTGCAATCCCGGCACCTCGGGAGGCCGAGGCTGGCGGATCACTCGCGGCTAGGAGCTGGAGACCAGCCCGGCCAACACAGCGAAACCCCGTCTCCACCAAAAAAAAAAACGAAAACCAGTCAGGCGTGGCGGTGCGCGCCTGCAATCGCAGGCACTCGGCAGGCTGAGGCAGGAGAATCAGGCAGGGAGGTTGCAGTGAGCCGAGATGGCAGCAGTACCGTCCAGCCTTGGCTCGGCATCAGAGGGAGACCGTGGAGGGAGAGGGAGAGGGAGAGGGAGAGGGAGGGGGAGGGAGAGGGAGAGGGAGAGGGAGAGGGAGAGGGAGAGGGCCCCTTTGTTTCTTATAGGAGATGCTGGGTAATCCAGATTAAATTTTTGACCGGGTTTTTGTTTTTTTTGAGATGGAGTCTAGCTGTGTCACCCAGGCTGGAGTGCAGTGGTGTGATCTCAGCTCACTGCAAGCTCTGCCTCCTGGGTTCAAGCGATTCTCCTGCCTCAGCCTCCCAAGTAACTGGGATTAAAAGTGCACATCACCACGGCCAGCTAATTTTTGTATTTTTAGTAGAGAAGACGTTTCATCATGTTGGCCAGGCTGGTCTCGAACTCCTCACCTCAGGTGATCTGCTTGCCTCAGCCTCCCAAAGTGCTGGGATTGCAGGCGTGAGCCACCATGCCCAGCCTTATTTTTTGTTTTAAAGTTGAAAGAGTAGATGAGAAAGAAAGGCTTTATTTTCTGTGTGTGTGTGTGTGTGTGTGTGTGTGTGTGTGTGAATAGACAAGACCACTAATCTGGATATGCTCATCAAAATAATTCCCTTGAAGTAAAAGTTGACACAGTGGAGGAGGGAGCCACACCGTCCTGAGACTGTGGTGCAAAACTGAAGAGCCAGCTGTAGGGACCAGCCCCACAGGGTCAGTGGGTCTCTCCCCGTGTGCAGCGACGAGAGAGTGTAGAAATAACGACACAAGACAAAGAGATAAAAGAAAAGGCAGCTGCGCCCGGGGGACCACTACCACCAATGCACGGAGACCGGTAGTGGCCCCGAATGTCTGGCTGCGCTGTTATTTATTGGATACAAGGCAGAAGGGGCAGGGTAAAGAGTGTGAGTCACCTCCAATGATAGGTAAGGTCACGTGGGTCATGTGTCCACTGGACAGGGGGCCCTTCCCTGCCTGGCAGCCGAGGCAGAGAGGGAGAGGAGACAGAGAGAAAGACAGCTTACGCCATTATTTCTGCATATCAGGGACTATTAGTACTTTCCCTAATTTACTACTGCTATCTAGAAGGCAGAGCCAGGTGTACAGGATGGAACATGAAGGCGGACTAGGAGCGTGACCACCGAAGCACAGCATCACAGGGAGACGGTTAGGCCTCCGGATAACTGCGGGCGAGCCTGACTGATGTCAGGCCCTCCACAAGAGGTGGAGGAGTAGAGTCTTCTCTAAACTCCCCCGGGGAAAGGGAGACTCCCTTCCCCAGTCTGCTAAGTAGCGGGTGTTTTCATTTGACACTTACGCTACCCCTAGACCACGGTCCGCCTGGCAACGGGCATCTTCCCAGACGCTGGCGTCACCACTAGACCAAGGAGCCCTCCGGTGGCCCTGTCCGGGCATAACAGAAGGCTCGCACTCTTGTCTTCTGGTCACACCTCACTATGTCCCCTCAGCTCCTATCTCTGTATGGCCTGGTTTTTCCTAGGCTATGATTATAGAGCGAGGATTATTATAATATTGGAATAAAAAGTAATTGCTACAAACTAATGATTAATGATATTCATATATAATCATATCTAAGATCTATATCTGGTATAACTATTCTTGTTTTATATTTTATTATACTGGAACAGCTCGTGTTCTCTGTCTCTTGCCTTGGCACCTGGGTGGCATGCCGCCCACAGCCAGCAACAGCCCGGAGCAGGGACAGACCATTCCCAGTACCTCCTGAGTTGAGATTGCAGGCCTTAAGACAGGTGGGTGGGCCCGTTGGAGAGCTCTTCCCTTTACTGTTTGAGACAGGAAAAAATTAAACTGTTCATACTATTGTCACACTCAACCCAGAATACTTCACTTGTAGTCACCAAAATGTGTGCAGTTTTTCCCACAATGACCAGTTCTGCAGTGCACTCCCAGTGGTGGGTCCTACAATTTCACTCCACTCTGACACTGTCAGTTCTCCCAGGTGAAGATCTCAGTGTGCTACATGCTACTAGTAGCTGTTGGCTACACTCTCACCAGATAAATACCGTGATTCTCTTAACCCCTTCCTTGGATTCAATTAACTTGCTAAAACCATTCATCTGTATGCTTCGTAGTATCCTTTATAACAATTAGGTAGGCCGGGTGCGGTAGCTCATGCCTGTAATCCCGGCACTTTGGGAGGCCAAGGTGGGTGGATTACCTGAGATCAGGAGTTCAAGACCAGCCTGGCCAACATGGTGAACCCCCTTCTCTACTAAAAACACAAAAATTATCTGGGTGTGGTGGCGGACGCCTGTAATCCCAGCTACTTGGGAGGCTGAGGCAGGAGAATTGCTTGAGCCCAGGAAGCGGAGGTTGCAGTGAGCCAAGATCGTGCCATTGCACTCCAGCCTGGGTGACAGAGCAAGACTCCGTCTCAAAAACAGACCGGCAAACAAAAAACAATTGGGTAAACCAAGGAAAATGTTTCCCTGAGTTCTATGAGCTGCTCTGGCAAATTAATAGCACCTCAGGAAGGGATGAGGAGAATCCCAAATTTATACTCAATGGATCCGAAGCTCCGAATCTGGGACTTGGGGCTGGTATCTGAAGAGGGAACCCTCAACTAGTGGGATCTAATGCTAACTCTGGGTAGACAGTGTCCGAATTGAATTAAATTATTGGACAGTCAGGTAGTGTTTGTTCAAGAACTGCGTGTTGGTGAGGAGAAATCCCCACCCCACACGTTTTGGTGATGAGAGGCGATGCATTCTTTGTTGAGCGTTCATTACTTGATTATGAGAGTGGGAAAAACACTTTGGTTTTTCCTCCTCACTCATACACTTGCCTACACATTACCCCATCCTAGGAAAAGGAAAGAGGGTGACCCATAACTGAATGAGTCAAGTCACTGCTCTCTTAGAACAGAGATTGCAAATAGAAGCTAACCTCTGATGCCAGGAATTATAAAATGCACATGTCTTATAGACAAAACTTTTGTGATTCTCACCAGCATCTCCATAACAGAAACAAAATATATACATATAAAATTTGTTAGATTATTAGGGGCTGGGCACAGTGGCTCATGCCTGTAATCCCAGCATTTTGGGACGCTGAGGTGGGTAGATCACCTGAGGTCAGGAGTTCGAGACCAGCCTGGTCAACATAGTGAAACCCCGTCTCTACTAAAAATACAAAAGTTAGCCAGGTGTGGTGGTGCATGCCTGTAATCCCAGCTACTCGGGAGGCTGAGGCAAGAGAATCGCTTGAACCCAGGAGGCGGAGTTACAGTGAGTCGAGATCGTGCCATTGCACGCCAGTCTGGGAAATAGAGTGAGATTCTGTCTTAAGAAAAAAAAAATTTGTTAGATTATGGATACAGAAATCAATATATCACGATGTAATTATCCATATCCAATGAAACCACCATGCATCTGGGCCATAGTCCCCCTCTTTCTTCCTTCCTGTGTGTTTCCCTCCCTCATTCTGTACATCTCTCTCATTCTCTTCTTCTCTCTCCTTGTTTCTTTTCTGTGTTTCAGCCTGGGTCTCTGCTCCTCATTTTGAGCCCCTCTCTTCTCCTGCTGTTTCTCCTTCCCTCTATCCTTCTCTTCCACTTGTTCTGTTCCATTCTTGCAACTTGTTTCACCTCTTATTCCTCTTTCACCCGTCTTTTGGTTGTCCCCAATCTCCATCTATTTCTGCCTCTTTCTTCCCTTATCTCTGCTCTCCCTGTTAAATCCCCTCTTCCCTGTTTCACTTCCTTGTCCCCACTCTTTGGCACCCCCAGATCCCAGGTCTCCCCCTGCTGTGGTTCTCCCTCTGCTCTCCTTGTCACCAGCTGCCCCTTCTTGCTGTCCCAGCACCACGCTGCTCTGTCTATCCTGGCTCCAAATACCCCCTCCTCTCCCTAACTCTCCGTCTGAGGAGCTGCCCCTCTCCCTACCTTGCTGTCCTTCATCTCTCTAGACAGCGAGCTTTTCTCTACATTTCTCCAGTTGTTTCTCCATCCTGTTACTTTCTCAGCGACTTCTTTCACCCTTACTGTCTCTTTGTAAATCCTGACCCATCCTCTACTTTGCCATGTTTACTGGTTTCCCTCATTCTTTCCTCTGTCTCCGTTTTTCTACTTTTCTCTCAGCCCCCCTCTCTGTCTCCTGATCCCCTTGGCCCACACATTCACAGGGAGGGTTTGGAGTAAGACACCTGGATCCTGGAGGAGCACATTTTCCAGCGGGTGGAGCTGGGCAGGCAAGAACACCGGGTATCACAGGACAAGGCCCGGGCACCTCCCCAACGCGGGCTCAGGGGAAACGGTGACTGCGAAGGGGAGGCCTAGGGAGCAGCAGGGCCCGGCACGAGGAGGAGGGAGGTGGGGGGCGACGGCGCCTTAGGAGAGGGGTGGGGTATGCAGGATCCCAGGACCAGGCAGAGGCGCGGCCTCCCCGGGACTGGGGCTGCGGCGCTAACGCTCCAGTAGCTGACTAGGGCGAGGTTAGGGGACGGTAAAATCCTGCACCCACTTCGCAGATGAGGACTTCACAGGGCGCAGGTCAGTAAAGGGTTTTAAGCAGGAAACGGCGCAGGAAAGGAGGTGTCTGCATGGTCTGAAGGCCGAAAGACCGCGGGCAGGACCAGCCTGTGTGATTTTAACCCAAAGCGATGCGACCCCCAGAGTCTCGCGGCAAAGTCTGAATTTACATGGAATGGAGGGAGCCGTGCGGGGACTTTAAGGGCTATACGAACCCCCGGACATCGGGTACGGAGGAGCAGGGGACTCCGAAACGCAGGTTTAATCTAGATAGAGGGAAACTCACGCGGCGACTAACAGCCTTCACTCCAAGAGATCTGCTTCCGGGTTTGCAAGAAACTGCCCGCGCAGTAGGCAAAGGGGCGGGTTGCGGTGGGGAAAGGCCAGGCGTTGGGAGGGACTGAGAGCATAGGGTGGGCGGGGCCGGGGCGGGGCCTGAACCCTGGAGGCGGAGGTTGCAATGAGCCGATATCGCGCCATTGCACTCCAGCCTGGGTGACAGAGTGAGACTTCGTCTCTCCCAAAAAAAAAAAAAAACAAAACTTAGGCTATCTAAAAGTTTAACCAATGGCCAGTAATATAAGCAATCATGCATATGTAATGAAGGCGCCATAACAACCCAAAAGGAGAGGATTCAGCGGAGCTTCTGGATAGGTGAACACTGGGAGGCTCCTGCAGCGTGGTGCACCCAGGGAGGGCACCAAGGCTCAACGCCCCTTCTCCCATGCCTCACCTCACTGATCCCTTCCATCTGGCTGTTCTTCTGTCAACTTTGTAATATCCTTTATAATACGTAAATCTATGTAAAGTGTTTCCCTGTATTTTGTGAGCCACTCTAGCAAATTCGTTGAACCTGAGGAGGGGGTCAAGGGACTCCTGGATTTATATCTGATCTGTAAGCACAAGTCACAACCTCTGCTTGAGACTGGCATTGAAATGTGTGCACTATTGTGGGACTGAGCCCTCAACGTGTGGGATCTGATGCCATGTCCCGGCAAAATGGAACGGAATGAGAGAACACGCACCTGGTGTCTGTGGCAGGATTGCTTGCTTGGTGTGTGTGGGAAAACCCAGTACCTCTGGGCTAACTGTAGCATTCTGTGTTGTGAGAGAACAGTAGAAGAAACTGAATCAGTGTTTCCTATATTCTTAAATACGAATATGTGAGGTTTGTTGTTGTTTTTTTTTTTTTTTTTTTTTTTTTAGACAAGAGTCTTGCTCTTGTCGCCCAGGCTGGAATGCAATGGCATGATCTCGGCTCACTGAGCCACCGCCCCAGCGTGAAGGCATTTTTGAGCAAGTTATGTCTCCCTAATTCTGTTTTATTGTACTTTTCCCTAAGTAGTTATAATAGCCTCTAAATCTGTGTGGAGTTTTCAGTTTTGTGGACAATACAATAAATAGACAAATAAAAACCCAAACACAAGCTGATCTCTATAGAAGTGTTAGATATTATTTTCAACACACTAAGTGATACTCCGTATCTAGATAAGCTAAAGCACGAATGATGTCTTCTGAGGTGACAAGGTCCACAGTGGCTTTACAGAAACACTGGCCAGAAGTAAAAACTGTGATGATAATGGCAATAGCAATGACTGACTTTTCTGAACACTATGTGCAAGGCATTATTCGGAATACTTTACCTGTATTAACTCAAATAACAACATAATAGCCCATGAGAAAAAGATCTTTTCCTATCTTACTAGGAAACAACTGTGTCGGCCGGGCGCTGTGGCTCACGCCTGTAATCCCAGCACTTTGGGAGGCCGAGCTGGGCGGATCACGAGGTCAGGACCGGATCACGAGCCGGGCGGATCACGATGGTCACCAGGAGACCATCCTGGCTAACACGGTGAAACCCCGTCTCTAATGATAATACAAAAAAATTAGCCGGGCGTGGTGGCGGGCGCCTGTAGTCCCAGCTACTCTACTCGGGAGGCTGAGGCAGGAGAATGGCGTGAACCCGGGAGGCGGAGCTTGCAGTGAGCCGAGATGGCGCCCCTGCACTCCAGCCTGGGCGAGAGCAAGACTCCGTCTCAAAAAAAAGAAAAAGAAAGAAACTGTCACAGATACGCTAAGAAACTGGCCTAAGGTCCAAGAGCTAGAAATGACAGAGCAAGCCCCGAACCCAGGCATCTAAGAATTACAGTTAGGCTGAGAGCAGTGGCTCACACCTGTAATCCCAGCACTTTGAGAGCCTGAGGCAGGAGGGGTGCTTGAGCCCAGGAGTTCAAGACCAGCCTGGGCAATATAGTGAAACCCCATCTCAACAAAATAAAGACAAAACAAAAACAAAAAACCCCTCAACAATTACAATTAAACCTAAAGAATCAGTTAAGTAACAGAAGTACCATCAAAAGTGACAGGATGCCAGGTCAGGGAAACCATTGAGAACAAAGGCAAGCAACATAAACGAGAGTCTGCAGTAACGCAGGCAGACACTAGGTGGAGAACCAGACCACAGCTTACCATGAAAACACAGGGACTGCAGAATTGCAGACTGTCAACAGGAGCTCTCCTGAAGAAAAACTGGCAAACCTTCTCAGGTAACTACAAGCAAAAGCCCAGAGACGACACATTCCCAGAAAAGGCTTCAGAGGTTTCCAGAATCTCTAGTCAGGCTGAATAGAGAAGGTCCTCCCTGAAGGAAGCCAGAAATAAAAAAGTAGGACTGGTTGATTAGTGAAATGCTGAGGTGCCAAGATAACAAGACATTCAAGGAGAAAAGGAAACATGATCCACACAAAGGAACAAATGAAACCACCACAAACTGACACTAAAGAAATGAAGATGTGTGAATTATCAGACAAAGAATTGAAAATAAGAGTCACAAGATGGTCAATGAATTAAGAGGAGAGCACACATAGACAACCACAGGAAATCAGGAAAACAAGATATGAGCAAAATGAGACTATCAATAGAGAGACAGAAGCTATAAAGGAAAAACAGAGAAATTTTAGAGCTGAAAAATGTAATCAGAAACGCAGAACACAGAGCCTTGGTGCTCAATGCTGCACACAGATTACAACGCCCTGGGCCACCGTAGTTATTATTGAGGGTAGATCCCAACCTGACCATGGGAATAGGAATCTTGGGCAAAAGAAAGTTGAAATGGTTAAACTTATACGTTAATACGTTAAAATACGTTAAAAGGTATTTTTGCCAGCGAATGGGACAGAAGTTGAAATGGTTCACGTTGAAATGGTTATTACTGCCAGCAGGTAGGACAGAAGAGCTGCTAGTGAGACTGAAGCAACTCTGGGTGGGGATCTGGCATCTCTGGGGGTGTCGGTTTGGGGTAGATTGAATCCAGGAAAGTTTCTGCAATTTGAATTAATTTAAGCAACTTAACTAAAAAGCCCTGAAAATGTCTGTGAAGGGTATGCAAACTAGAATGTGAAATGCAAAACTCTGCCTGGGCAGAATGTGTAAGTAATTTCAAGTCACCTCTCAACAGAACTTAATGCAATCCCCTCCACATTCTACACCCATTCACCATGGAGGGAGAGAGTCAGCCCTGTGCACAGTTGCAGAGATTTTCATATGGTAAATACCTGGGGTGTGGAGCGAGGAGGGCTAATACCGGTGATATTAACTCTTGCTTTAGAAAAAGCAGTAACTTTTTAAAAATAGTTGAGCAACTTAAGTTTGCAACTTAGGAAAACATCTTACTTTCCAACAGAGATGGCCCACATAACTCTAAGGGTTTACCTTAAAATTGAGACATTAACTTAAAATAAGCAGAAAGCAAAACTGCTCCGCAGGACACGAAATAGACTTGTGTTCCCAAACCCAGAAAATAGGGACGCTCTGGGTACCAGGTGGCTGGAAACGCAGGCTCCCACCCGCCTTCCTTAGGTCCCTCCCGGCCCCGCCCCCTGCCTGTCCAGGCCCCGCCCCACCCTTCGCGTTTTCTCCCCAGCCCACTCCCTGTGCCGGTCACGCCCCGCCTAGGCCCCGCCCCTAGGCCACCTCAGTCCCCTCCGGCCCCGCCCCCTGCCGGTCTCTCCCTGGCCAGGCCCCGCCCCTTCCCCGCCCCCAGACCGCCCAGTCTCCGCTGCGAGCGGTTTTCTGTAGACCCGGAAGCGGATCGCGGGGAGTGAAGGCTGCGCCGCCGAGCCTGAGTTTCGCTCTCTCTAGATTAAATCTGCGCTTCGCAGTCCCCCTTCTTCCATCCCCCGGGTCTGGAGGGGTCCCTACAGATCTTAAAATGACCACACCGCGCCCTCCACCCCAGGTAAATTCTGACGTTGCTGTGAGAATGCGGAGATCGCTTTCCCTTTGGGTTAAAGTCGCTCTAAGCCTACTTCCTGAATCTGGTCTTTCTGCTTTGCGCTAGGTAAACATGGCCTTTCGTGTCTTTTGCTGCCTAAAATCCTTTACCGATTTTTCTTCCCGCCACGCGGGAGGGCACTTTTTTTTTTAAGACGGAGTCTCGCTGTGTCGCCCAGGCTGGAGCGCAGTGGCGCGATCTCGGCTCACTGCAAGCTCTGCTTCCCGGGTTCACGCCATTTTCCTGCCTCAGCCTTCCAAGTAGCTGGGACTACAGGCGCCCGCCACCACGCCCAGCTAATTTTGTTGTATTTTTTTTAGTAGAGACGGGGTTTCACCCGTGTTTGCCAGGATGGTCTCCATCTCCTGACCTCGTGATCCGCCCGCCTCGGCCTCCCAAAGTGCTGAGATTACAGGCGTGAGCCACCGCGCCCGGCCGGGAGAGCACTTTTTAGAGCCCTCACCTGCAAGGTGGATTCAGGTCTATCCGGTTCTCCAAGACCTGCCCTTGTCGGCCCCTGGTGCGCAGCGCTGCAGCCTCAGTCCGGAGGGGCCGCGTCCTTACTTGGTTCTGGGATTCTGCAGACCCCACCCCTGTCCTAAGGTGCCACCTTTGTCTTTCTCACCCGAAATCTTTCTCAGGAAGGGCCTTCAGCTCCCAAGCCCCTCTAGGCAGTCACCTCCCATGGTGGGAAGGTGAGCTGGGCTTGTCCTGTGACACTCATGGTGGAGGAGGTGACCTAGGCCTGTTCGGTGACACCCAGTATGCTTTTTTTTTTTTTTTTTTTTGAGAATGAGTCTCCCCCTCTGTTACCCAGGCTGGAGTGCAGTGGCGCAACCTCAGCTCACTGCAACCTCCACCTCCCGGGTTCAAGCGATTTTCCTGCCTCAGCCTCCGGAGTAGCTCGGATTACAGGCATGTGCCACCACGCCCGGCTAATTTTTGTATTTTCAGTAGAGTCGGGGCCACCATGTTGGCCAGGCTGGTCTCCAACCCCTGACCTCAGGTTATCCGCCCGCCTGGGCCTCCCAAAGGGCTGGGATTACAGGCATGAGCCACCGCGCCCAGCCAACATATAACACTTCTGACAGCAAATGTGTGGGAGTTTTTTTCCCACACACTAGGCAATTCTCCAGTATACACCAGTTGCGTGTCCTATAATTCAATTCAATTCTGACACTGTGCGCCTGGAGTTAGAGTCAGATCCAACAGGTTAAGGTCTTAGTCCCACAAGACCACCCCCCTGCCCCCCCGCCGCCACTTCAGACGTCAGTCAAAAGTAATAGGTTGTCACCTGTCCTTAAAACTGACCTATATATTGGGGCTCCCATGACTCCCTCTTTGGGTTTGATTAACTTGTGAGGACAGCTCACAGGACTGCTGGAAGCACTTACTTATGTTTACTGATTTTTTGTGCAGTCATTTCTCACTTCATGTTTTCTACAGGTTCTTGGAAACCGGGTCATGAATGAAATGATATACAGCAGGTCCTCGAATAACGTTGTTTTGTTCAATGTCATCATTATCATTATTATTATTATTATTATTTTGAGATGGAGTCTAGCTCTGTCACCAGGCTGGAGGGCAGTGGTGCTGTCTCCGCTCGTTGCAACCTCCACTTCCCAGGTTCAAGTGATTCTCCTGCCTCGGCCTCCTTAGTAGCTGGCATTACAGGCATGTGCTGCCATGCCCAGCTAATTTTTGTATTTGTAGTAGAGACAGGGTTTCACCATGTTGGCCAGGATGGTCTCGATCTCCTGACCTCTTGATCTGCCCACCTTGGCCTCCCAAAGTGCTGAGATTACAGTGTGAGCCACCGCACTTGGCCATTCGATGTCATTTTTTATGTAGATGAGGAAAAAGGTTGCCATTTCACTTAAAGTTCCGGTTTCCAAGAATCTATTGATAACATCAAGTGAGGATTTGGTGTATTAATGAAGGATATCATAAAAGATACCCATGAGCAGCCAGATGAAGAGATATGTATGGTGAGGTCTGAGAATGTTCTAAGCACAGGAGCTTCTGTCCTTGTGGATTTGGGTGCACCCACCCTCCTGGCATTCAGATGTGTTTATCAACCAGAAAGCTCTCCGAAGTCTATAGATCAGGAACTTTTATCGAGGCTTCATCCTGTAGGCATGAGAGATTATTAACTCAGTCTTCAGCATGCTCCACTCTTTGGGAAATAAGTGATGGAGCTGAAATCTCCAAGCTTCTAATCATGGCTTACTCTTTCTGGCAACTGGCTCTATCCAGGAGCCCAAGACTTGCCTCATTAGAACAAAAACACTCCTATCACGTAGGAAATTCCAAGGGATTTAGGAGCTTTGTGCAAGGACCCGGGGTCAAAGACCAAATATGAGAACCAAAGATTCTCCTAACACCCCTTTCTGTGAGGGGTTTAGGATCTATATCCCAGGAACCAGGGGCAGAGACCAAAAATATATTTCTTGTTATTTCACACTCCCTCTGAGTGGAGCTCAATCCTGGTTTGACTTGAGAGTACTGAGTCGTTTTGCAAATAAAACTCTTGTGCCTCTTTACCTGAGTTTTCCATTCATGTAATGGGGTTGGAGTCCAGCCTTGACAGTAGTGATGTTACCCCAGCTGATTCTAATCTGTCCAGCATTGATACTGAGGCTCTGTGTCCTCCATTTCTTTTTTTAAAATTTTTTAGATGGAGTCTCACTCTGTCACCCAGCCTGGAGTGCAATGGGGCAATCTCGGCTCGCTGCAACCTCTGCCTCCTGGGTTCAAGCGATTCTCCTGCCTCAGCCTCCCTAGTAGCTGGGACTACAGGCACGTACCACCATACCCGGCTAATTTTTGTATTTTTAGTAGAAACGGGGTTTCACCATGTTGGCCAGGCTGGTATCGAACTCCTGACTTCAGGTAATCCGCCTATCTCGGCCTCCCAAAGTGCTGGGATTACAGACTGTTTCCTCCATTTCTGAGGCCTCAGCTCAGCCTGGGATCCATAGGGATGTGAGGGCGGCTGTGCTCTGCATGAGGTTTGCTCAAGGCCAGGTGTGCACCCTGAAGGGGAGCTCAGTCCAGCCCAGCTCCCCACCGCTGCAGCGTGCGTGTGGGCCTCTCTAGGAGGAGAGTGGGTTCTGAAGAAAGGGGTTACAGACTCACCTGTTGGTCTTCCTACAAGTTTCTTTTTCCTACAAGTTTCTTCTTCCTACAAGTTTCTTTTTCCTCCTGGTGCAGTCGGTGGCAGAGGACTGTCTTTGCACGGGTGTCTTCCCTGTGTGTGTGGTCGTGGCACAGGAAGGGGGTGTGTTAATTCTAGGCATTAAATAACTTCTTTTTCACATTCCAGATTAACCTTTAAAGACTCATGTGGCCTGAGGAAGAAGTCCAGAAGAGAAGAAAGAGGAGACAGGGATGGCTCTTTCTCAAGTAAAGTGATATTCTTGGTGGATTGTTCTGTTTCCCCCTTTTTTTTTTTTTTTGGAGACAGAGTCTTGCACTATCGCCTGGGCTGAAGTGCAGTGGTGTGATCTTGGCTCACTGCAACCTCCACCTCCTGGGTTCAAGCGAGTCTCCTACCTCAGCTTCCCAAGTAGCTGCAATTACAGGTGCCCGCCACCATGCCCAGCTAATTTTTTGTATTTTTAGTAGAGACAGGGTTTCACTATGTTGGCCAAGCTGGTCTCCAACTCCTGACCTCATGATTCACCCGCCTCGGCCTCCCAAACTGCTGGGATTACAGGCGAGAGCCACCGTGCCCAGCTTGTTCTGTTTCTCTTTCCTTTCTGAAATTTCATTCTTTGGAGTTGCAAATCTTCTTTGAGTCTGAAGCATCCTGCCTGACACGTTTGTTCGCACTCACCCGTGCCTTCCCTCAGTCCCTCTCATTTCACTTAGATTCCATTGCCTGTGACCCACTGATGTGAACTTGGGACGAGGCCCCACTGGGCATGGTCCTGGGAAGGGCTCACACCCATACATGGATGGACACGGCATGTGAGCCCCGTAGTGTTAGGACTGTTAGGCAAGAGGGATTGTTTAGCGGCCACATCTGGATGCACT
This sequence comes from Homo sapiens, assembly GCF_000001405.40. Classification (NCBI taxonomy): domain Eukaryota; kingdom Metazoa; phylum Chordata; class Mammalia; order Primates; family Hominidae; genus Homo; species Homo sapiens. The sequence goes on from NC_000019.10 coordinate 53,201,337, forward strand.
GTGAGGTCTCTGTGGACCAGGAGTAGAGAAGCTGCACATGGAAGTCATGTACTAATGCGCACAAGTACCTGGTAATTCCAGAAAAGGAGGCTGATGAGGGGAATTCTGGCACATTGTTTGTCTGATTTAAGAATACATTCGAAGATAAATACATGAATCTGTATGTTTTTGGCTCCAGAATTGTTATGATTTGGAATGGAATGGAAAGTTCAGAAACACCTTAGTGAGGGGAGGGTGTTTTATTCTAGCACTGATTTGTTCTCTTTTTTGAGATGGAGTTTCGCTCTTGTTGCCTGGGTTAGAGTGCGATGGTGTGATCTTTGCTCACTGTAACCTCCGCCTCCCAGGTTCAAGCGATTATCCTGCCTCAGCCTCCCGAGTAGCTGGGATTACAGGCATGTGTCACCATGCCCGGCTAATTTTGTATTTTTAGGAGAGACGGGGTTTCTCCATGTTGGTCAGGCTGGTCTCAAACTCCCAAACTCAGGTGATCCATCCGCCTCGTCCTTCCAAAGTGCTGGGATTACCGGCGTGAGCCACCACGCCTGGCTCCACCAATTTTAAAATATGAAATCAATCTAAATCTCTTTTTTTTTTTTTGAGACAAAGTCTCACTCTTGTCCCCTAGGCTGGAGTGCGATGGTGCGATGTTGGCTCACTGCAACTTCCGTCTCCTGGGTTCAAGTGATTCTCCTGCCTGGGCCCCCTGAGTAGCTGGGATTACAGGTGCTTGCCACCACACCGGGCTAATTTTTGTATTTTTAGTAGAGATGGGGTTTTACCATGTTGGCCAGGCTGGTCTTGAACTCCTGACCTGAGGTGATCCACCTGCCTTGGCCTCCCAAAGTGCTGGGATTACAGGTGTGAGCCACCGCACCCGGCCAGAAAACAATCTAAATCTCTAACAGAAGGAGATTCTTTACGTCATTTTCAGCACATCCTTCTCTTGGAGGTTGCTTTTCAGCCTCTTGATTCTTTCTTTTGATGCAGAGATGTTTGTAAGTTTGATGTAGTCCCATTTGTATATTTTTGCTTTTCTTGCCTGTGTCTTTGGTGTCATATCTTAGAAATGACTGCAAAATTCAGTTTCGCAAACCTTTTCTCCTACACTTTCTTCTAGGAGTTTTATCATGTTAGGTCATATGTTGAGGCTTTTAATTCATTTTTCTTTTTTTTTGTTGTTTGTTTTTGTTTTTTGTTTTTTTTGTTACCCAGGCTGGAGTACAGTGGTGCGATCTTGGCTCACTGCAGCCTCTGCCTCCCGGGTTCAAGTGATTTTCCTGCCTCAGCCTCCCGAGTAGCTGGGACTACAGGTGCCCGCCATTTCACCACGTTGCCCAGGCTGGTCTCGAACTCTTGACCTCAGGTGATCCTCCCGCCTCAGCCTCCCAAAGTGCTGGGATTACAGGCGTGAGCCACTGCGCCCAGCCTAAATATTTAAATTTAAATGGATAGAATTTTATTTGTAGTTTGACTATAACTATTTCATAGGGATTGGAGTTAAAGTTTTAAATATTTTTTTCATGTTTTTACCATTCTTTTATTGGCATTATATAACATAATGTTGACAAACTAAGTTAAATACAACTTATACACTTTACTGTCCCCAAGATGCTGAAATGCACATGAGGAAAAATGATAATGAAAAAGTCATAAAAAGTATGTCATTGAGAGGCATGTTTTCTCTTTGTTAATTTACATTCGTGTATATATGTGTGCATGAATGTATGGATGAACTATCCTATGGCGTTTATAGACGACACATCACCATTTCATAAATCAGTTCCGTATTTTTATTTTTTTATTTTATTTTATTTATTTATTTTTTTGAGACGGAGTCTTACTTTGTTTCCCAGGCTGGAGTGCAGTGGTGCGATCTCGGCTCACTGCAACCTCTACCTCCTGGTTCAAGTGATTCTCCTGCCTCAGCCTCCCGAGTACCTGAGATTACAGGTGTGCACCACCACGCCCAGCTAATTTTCGTATTTTTAGTAGAGACGGGGTTTCACCATGTTGGCCAGTATGATATCAATCTCTTGACCTCATGATCACCAGCCTTGGCCTCCCAACGTGCTGGGATTACAGACGTGAGCCACCACGCCCGGCCACACTTTTTAGATTCTGACCTTTCTTTCTTTAAAGACACCATGGACATTGTCATCTCTGAAGACAACACACTTCTTCCAGCTCCTCCAGATACTGAATATCACTTTGTGTGTCAAACATAATATCTAGCACTTCTATAGAGATAGCTGTGTGTTGACTATTTATTTCTACGTTTCTTCCATTGTCTACAGAAAGAGAAATCCACACTTATTTAGAAGATATCATAAGCTCTTACAGAAGAGTATAATAAAATGCAATTAGGGAGACATACCTAATGTTCTTCCTAACGTCCCTAAATGCCCCAAAATACCTTAGCATGGATCTGCCAGAACTCTCCCTTCAGTAAATCAATACAATTCTCTCTTTTTCTCATTTTATGTAAAGATGATAACTCTCCCCCATGTGCTTGGTAAAATGTGTTTTTCAGACACGGTTTGCCTGAAAATACCTTTCCATGGATTTCCCAGAACGTTCATTTAAACTAAATTGACTTATACCTCTCTTTTTGTCATTTTGTGTGAAGATAATAGCTCTCCCCATGACTTCTTGGTGAAATGTGTTTTTTCATATCAGGGAAGGTTGACATTCAGGGACGTGGCCATCGAATTCTCTCAGGAGGAGTGGAAATGCCTGGACCCTGCTCAGAGGGCTTTGTACAGGGACGTGATGTTGGAGAACTACAGGAACCTGGTCTCCCTGGGTGAGGATAATGCCCCTCCAGAAGCTGGGATCTGCTCTGCTGTATCTCTGCATGTTCCCTGTGTGCCTCTTGGGAGCCCCTGCATTGCTCAATTAAGACTGAAGCTATGTTAATTCTCAGATGAAAAGCTTAATAGTGCAGCATCTGGACTTAATTATCCCATTTTCAAATGATCTACCTCCTTCAAGATATATCATTGGTGGTTCCAGAGCTTAAGTAGAAATAAACCCTATGGTAGACTTTAAAAATATCTACTTTGGGCCAGCGTGGTGGCTCACGCCTGTAATCCCAGCACTTTGGGAGGCCAAGGCGGGTGGGTCACCTGAGGTCAGGAGTTTGAGACTAGCCTGGCCAACATGGTGAAACCCCATCTCTACTAAAAATACAAAAAATTAGCCAGGCGTGGTGCCGAGCGCTTGTAATCCCAGCTACTTGGGAGGCCAAGGCAGGAGAATCACTTGAACCCGGGAGGCGGAGGTTGCAGTAAACCGAGATCGCGCCACTGCACTCCAGCCTGGGCAGCAAGAGCGAAACTCCATCTCAAAAAAAAAAAAAAAAGAAAAAGAAAAAGTAAAAAAATCCACTTTGCTCTTTTCTGCCCCTTTGCTTGTGATTCAGTACTTCCTAGAGGACAGTTCGATGTTCGTATTTTACCATGTTCCCTAAACATTCAGAAGGAGGCATTCAGTGGGTGAATTTGTGAAATATTTTTCTAGATCCATTTGTAATGTCCTCTTTCCTCCTCTAAACAAAGGGCTGGGATTCTGTAAAAGCCACAGCACATTACATGCCTTTCTTTTTCTAAGCAGGAATCTCTCTTTCTGAAATGAGTATTACCTCCATGTTGGGGCAAGGGAAAGAGCCCTGGACTGTGGAGAGTGAAGTGAAAATAACAAAAACATCAAGTGGTTGGGAATGCATCAAAGGTGTGAACACAGGTAAGAGCTCAAATGGACAGAGAGGAAGCTGCACCATTAGTATTCAGGTAACTCCTTCCGAGTTGAAGAGTTCTGTGGAACAAAAAGGGTTTAAATCCTGTGAGCTCTCAATGGAAACCTTTCTTTGCCCTCATTTATCCCTCTGCTCTTCTGACGTGTAGTAGTTTATCCTTTCACACTCCCATGGCGCTACAGCTCCAACAGTGACAAAGGCAAAGTCTTTATCATGATGGACAACACCCTGTCATGTGGCTTCTGTGACCTCTTTGGTTTCTTCACTCTGAGGGGCACAGGGAGGGTTGTGTCCAAGAGGTCTCCTGTGATCTCTCCTGTACCTGACTGCGTCTGATGCTCAGTTCTCTGTCTATACAGATCAGAGCTGAGGCCTCCATGGACCTGCCCCCTTGACCTATTCAGGTTTTGCCCCATTTCCTGTACTTGGGAGACCTAATCAGGTGACGGGAAAACATTGGCAGCTCCTCCTTTGCATCTGGGGCTCCGGAAACCTCATGGTGCTGTCTCCAGCCCTGTCTGTCTGTCAAAGTCTTTCAGCCTCAGTCATTTCTTCTGTTCTGCTTTTGCCACAGATTGCAGTGTGCGCCACAGGGGAGTACACGGGGTTTTCTGAGATTGTTTACTCAGGTCTGGAATGGCACTAGACAGAGAGGTCCTCTTTTTTTTTTTCTTCGAGACAGAGTCTGGCTCTCTTGCCCAGGCTGTGATGCAGTGGTGAGATCTCAACTCACTGGAACCTCTGCCTCCCAGGTTCAAGTAATTCTCTTCCCTCAGCCTCCTGAGTAGCTGGAACTACAGGCACATGTCACCACACCTGGCTAATTTTTGTATTTTTTTAAAAATTATTATACTTTAAGTTTTGGCATACATGTGCAGAACGTGCAGGTTTGTTACATAGGTATACGTGTGCCATGGAGGTTTGCTGCACCCATCAACCCGTCATCTATATTAGGTATTTCTCCTAATGCTATCCCTCCCCTACCTCCCCATCCCCTCCACAGGCCCTGGTATGTGATGTTCCCCCTCCCTGTGTCCATGTGTTCTCATTGTTCAACTCCCACTTATGAGTGAGAACATGCAGTGTTTGGTTTTCTGTTGTGTTAGTTTGCTGAGAATGATGGTTTCCAGCTTCATCCATGTCCCTGCAAAGGACATGGACTTATCCTTCTTTATGGCTGCATAGTATTCCATGGTGTATATGTGCCATATTTTCATTATCCAGAAACTAATATTTCTGGATAATGGGCATTTGGGTTGGTTCCAAGTCTTTGCTGTTGTGAATAGTGCCACAATAAACATACGTGTGCATGTGTCTTTGTAGTAGAATGATTTATAATCCTTTGGGTATATACCCAGTAATGGGATTGCTGGGTCAAATGGTATTTCTAGTTCTACATCCTTGAGGAATTGCCACACTGTCTTCCACAATGGTTAAACTAATTTACACTCCCACCAACAGTGTAAAAGCATTCCTATTTCTCCACATCCTCTCCAGCATCTGTTGTTTCCTGACATTTTAATGATCAGCATTCTAACTGGCATGAGATGCTTTCTCATTGTGGTTTTGATTTGTGTTTCTCTAATGACCAGTGATGATGAGCTTTTTTTCATATGTTTCTTGGCCACATAAATGTCTTCTTTTGAGAAGTGTCTGTTCATATCCTTCGCATAGATGTTCATGAGGGATATTGGCCTGAAATTTTCTTTTTTTGTTGTGTGTCTGCCAGGTTTTGGTATCAGGATGATGCTGGCCTCATTAAAATGAATTAGGGAGGATTCCCTCTTTTTCTGTTTGGAATAGTTTCAGAAGGAATGGTACCAGCTCCTCTTTGTACCTCTGGTAGAATTCGGCTGTGAATCTGTCTGGTCCTGGACTTTTTTTGGTTGGTAGGCTATTAATTACCGCCTCAATTTCAGAACTTGTTATTGGTCTATTCAGGGATTCGACTTCTTCCTGGTTTAGTCTTGGGAGGGTGTATGTATCCAGGAATTTATCCATTTCTTCTGGATTTTCTAGTTTATTTGTGTAGAGGTGTTTATAGTATTCTCTGATGGTAGTTTGTATTTCTGTGGGATTGGTGGTGATATCCCCTTTATAATTTTTATTGCATCTATTTGATTCTTCTCTCTTTTCTTCTGTATTAGTCTGGCTAGTGGTCTATCTATTTTGTTGATCTTTTCAGAAAACCAGCTTCTGGATTCGTCTATTTTTTGATGGATTTTTCGTGCCTCTATCTCCTTCACTTCTGCGCTGATCTTAGTTACTTCTTGTCTTCTGCTAGCTTTTGAATTTATTTGCTCTTGCTTCTCTAGTTCTTTTAATTGTGATGTTAGGGTGTTGATTTTAGATCTTTCACGCTTTCTCTTGTGGGCAGTTAGTGCTATAAATTTCCCTCTACACATTGCTTTTAATGTGTCCCAGAGATTCTGGTATGTTGTGTCTTTGTTCTCATTGGTTTCAAAGACTGCCTTCATTTCATTATTTACCCAGTAGTCATTCAGGAGAAGGTTGTTCAGTTTCCATGTAGTTGTGCAGTTTTGAATGAGTTTCTTAATCCTGAGTTCTAATTTGATTGCACTGTGGTCTGAGAGACGGTTTGTTATGATTTCCATTCTTTTGCATTTGCTGAGAAGTGTTTTACTTCCAATTATGTGGTCAATTTTAGAATAAGTGCGATGTGGTGCTGAGAAGAATGTATATTCTGTTGATTTGGGGTGGAGAGTTCTGTAGATGTCTATTAGGCCTGCTTGGTCCAGAGTTGAGTTCAAGTCCTGGATATCCTTGTTAGTTTTCTGTCTCATTGATCTGTTTAATATTGACAGTGGGGTGTTAAAGTCTCCCACTATTATTGTGTGGGAGTCTAAGTCTCTTTGTAGGTCTCCAAGAACTTGCTTTATGAATGTGGGTGCTCCTGTATTGGGTGCATATATATTTAGTATAGTTAGCTCTTCTGGTTGCATTGATCCTTTACCATCATGTAATGCCCCTCTTTGTCTCTTTTGATCTTTGTTGGTTTAAAGTCTGTTCTATCAGAGACTAGGATTGCAACCCCTGCTTTTTTTGCTTTCCATTTGCTTGGTAGATATTCCTCCATCCCTTTATTTTGAGTATATGTGTGTCTTTGCATGTGAGATGGGTCTCCTGAATACAGCACACCGATGGGTCTTGACTCTTTATCCAATTTGCCAGTCTGTGTCTTTTAATTGGGGCATTTAGCCCATTTACATTTAAGGTTAATATTGTTACGTGTGAATTTGATCCTGTCATTATGATGCTAGCTGGTTATTTTGCTCATTAGTTGATGCAGTTTCTTCATAGTGTCGATGGTCTTTACAATATGGTATGTTTTTGCAGTGGCTGGTACCAGTTGTTCCTTTCCATGTTTAGTGCTTCCTTCCTTATAAGGCAGGCCTGGTGGTGACAAAATATCTCAGCATTAGCTTGTCTGTAAAGGATTTGATTTCTCCTTCACTTATGAAGCTTAGTTTGGCTGGATATGAAACTCTGGGCTGAAAATTCTTTTCTTTAAGAATGTTGAATATTGGCCCCCACCCTCTTCTGGCTTGTAGAGTTTCTGCCAAGAGATCTGCTGTTAGTCTTAGGGCTTCCCTTTGTGGGTAACCTGACCTTTCTCTCTGGCTGCCATTAACATTTTTTCCTTCATTTCAACCTTGGTGAATCTGACGATTATGTATCTTGGGGTTGCTCTCCTTGAGGAGTATCTTTGTGGTGTTGTCTGTATTTCCTGAATTTGAATGTTGGCCTGTCTTGCTAGGTTGGATAAGTTCTCCTATAATAATATCCTGAAGGGTATTTTCCAACTTGGTTCCATTCTCCCCATCACTTTCAGGTACACCAATCAAATGTAGATTTGGTCTTTTCACACAGTCCCATATATCTTGGAGGCTTTGTTCATTTCTTTTCACTCTTTCTTCTCTAATCTTGTCTTCTCACTTTATTTCATTAAGTTGATCTTCAATCTCTGATATCCTTTCTGCTGCTTGATCAATTCAGTTATTGATACTTATGTATGCCTCATGGAGTTCTCATGCTGCGTTTTTCAGCTCCATCAGGTCATTTATGTTCTTCTCTAAAGTGGTTATTCTAGTTAGCAATTCATTTAACCTTTTTTCAAGGTTCTTTTCTTCCTTGCATTGGGTTAGAACATGCTCCTTTAGCTCAGAGGAGTTTGTTATTACCCACCTTCTGAGGCCTACTTCTGTCAATTCGTCAAACTCATTCTCCTAGTTTTGTTCCCTTGCTGGTGAGGAGTTGTGATTCTTTGGAACAGAAGAGGCATTCTGGTTCTTTTTGTGCTGGTTTCTCCCCATCTTTGTGGATTTATCTACCTTTGGTCTTTGATATTGGTGACCTTCAGATGGGGTCTCTGAGTGGATGTCCTTTTAGTTGATGTTGATACTATTCCTGTTTGTTAGTTTTCCTTCTAACAGTCAGGCCCCTCTGCTCCACGTCTGCTGGAGTTTGCTGGGGGTCTACTCCAGACCCTGTTTGCCTGGGTATCACCAGCAGAGACTGCAGAACAGCAAAGATTGCTGCCTGTTCCTTCCTCTGGAAGCTTCATCCCAGAGGGGCACCCGCCAGGTGCCAGCCAGAGCTCTCCTGTACGAGGTGTCTGTCGGCCCCCTACTGGGAGGTATCTCTCAGTGAGGATACATGGGGGGCCAAAGACCCACTTGAGGAGGCAGTCTGTCCTTTATCAGAGCTCAAACGCCGTGCTGGGAGATCCGCTGCTGTCTTCAGAGCTATCAGGCAGGGACGGTTAAGTCTGCTGAAGCTGCTCCCACAGCCGCCTCTTCCCCCAGGTGCTCTGTCCCAGGGAGATGGGGGTTTTATCTATAAGTCCCTGATTGGGGCTGCTGCCTTTTTTTCAGAGATGCCCAGCCTAGAGAGGAGGAATCTAGAGAGGCAGTCTGGCCGCAGTGGCCTTGCTGAGCTGTGGTGGGCTCTGCCCAGTTCAGACTTTCCGGCAGCTTTGTTTACATTGTGAGGGTAAAACCGCCTACTCAAGCCTCAGCAATGGCGGATGCCCCTCCCCCCACCAAGCTCAAGTGTCCCAGGTCGACCTCAGACTGCTGTGCTGGCAGTGAGAATTTCAAGTCCATGGATCTTAGCTTGGTGGGCTCCGTGGGGGTGGGACCCCCCAAGCCAGACCACTTGGCTCCCTGGCTTCAGCCCCCTTTCCAGGGGAGTGAACAGTTCCGTCTTACGGGTGTTCCAGGTGCCACGGGGGTATGAAAAAAAAACTCCTGCAGCTAGCTCGGTGTCTGCCTAAACGTCCACCCAGTTTTGTGCTTGAAACCCAGGGCCCTGGTGGCGTAGGCACTGGAGGGAATCTCCTGGTCTGCCGGTTGTGAAGACTGTGGGAAAAGCACAGTATCTGGGCCAGAGTGCACCGTTCCTCATGGCACAGTCCCTCACAGCTTCCCTTGGCTAGGGAGGGAAATCCCCCAACCCCTTGCACTTCCCTGGTGAGGTGACGCCCCACCCTGCTTTCTCTTGCACTCTGTAGGCTGCACCCACTATCCAACCAATTCCAGTGAGATGAAGTGGGTACCTCAGTTGGAAATGCAGAAATCACCTGCCTTCTGTGTCGATCTCGCTGGGAGCCGCAGGCCAGAGCTGTTCCTATTTGGCCATCTTGCCAGCAAATCCCTAATTTTTGCATTTTTAATGGAGATGAGGTTTCACCATGTTGGCCACCTGGTCTGGAACTCCTAACCTCAGGTGATCTGCCTGTCTTGGCCTCCCAAAGTGCTGGGATTACAGGCGTGAGCCACTGCACCCGGCCGATATATTTTTCAATATGAACTACTGATTTGCCAACTGTAGTTAATAGAAAACCTGTTTTTTAAATATCTTGTAGATGTCTCTCCTACACATATGATCAAGGAATTACCACCAAAAGAGAACAATAGCACAGGAAAAGTATTCCAAGCAGTGATGTTGGAAAGACATGAAATCCATGACATCCAAGATTTTTACTTCAGAGAAATGCAGCAAAATATTCATGACTTTGAGTGTCAGTGTCACAATGATGAGAGAAATTACAGAGAAATACCTGCAATTAAAATTAAAAACATCACTGGAAGAAGAGATCAAGGTGATGGAAGGAATGCAGGAAATAAGCCAGTTGAAAATCAGCTTGAACTAAGCTTTTGGTTGCATCTGGCTGAACTGCAGGGATTTCAAATTGAAAGGAAAATTTATGAATGTAATCAAATTGAGAAGTCTGTCACCCGTGGGTCCTCAGTTTCATTACTTCAAACAAATCTTCCTTGTGTCAACACCAGCATTTCTAATATATACAGGAATGATTTTATGCATCCTTCATTACTCACACAAGACCAGAAAGCATACATTAGGGAAAAACCTTACAAATGTAGTGATTGTGGCAAGGCCTTTAATCAGAGGTCCAACCTTACTACACATCAGAGAATCCATACTGGACAGAAACCACATAAATGTGACATATGTGGCAAAGGTTTCAGGCGAATTGCAAACCTAGCAAGTCATCATAGAATTCATACTGGAGAGAAACCTTACAGATGTAATGAGTGTGGCAAGACCTTCAATCAGACGTTCAACCTTACTACACATCAGAGAATCCATACTGGACAGAAACCATATAAATGTGATAGATGTGGCAAAGGTTTCAGGCAAATTGGAAACCTAGCAAGTCATCATAGAATTCATACTGGAGAGAAACCTTACAGATGTAACGAGTGTGGCAAGACCTTTAACAGGATGTTCCACCTTACTAGACATCAGAGAATCCATACTGGACAGAAACCATATAAATGTGATATATGTGGCAAAGGTTTCAGGCAAATTGCAAACCTAGCAAGTCATCATAGAATTCATACTGGAGAGAAACCTTACAAATGTAGTGATTGTGGCAAGACCTTTAATTACAGGTCCCACCTTACAAGACATCAGAGAATCCATACTGGACAGAAACCGTATAAATGTGATACATGTGGCAAAGATTTCAGTCAAAATTCATACCTTGAAAATCATCAGAGAATTCACACTAGAGAGAAATCTTACAGATGTAATGAGTGTGGCAAGACCTTTAATAAGATGACCAACCTTACTACACATCAGAGAATCCATACTGGACAGAAAACATATAAATGTGATATATGTGGCAAAGGTTTCAGGCAAATTGGAAACCTAGCAAGTCATCATAGAATTCATACTGGAGAGAAACCTTACAGATGTAATGAGTGTGGCAAGACCTTCAATAGGATGTTCCACCTTACTAGACATCAGAGAATCCATACTGGACAGAAACCATATAAATGTGATATATGTGGCAAAAGTTTCAGTCAAAATTCATACCTTGAAAATCATCAGAGAATTCACACTGGAGAGAAAACTTACAAGTTGTAATTAGTGTGGCAAAGCCTTTAGCGTGCGCTCAAACCTAACTAAACATCAGGTCATCCATAATGGAGAGAGACCTTATAAATGTAATGAGTGGGACAAGGCTTTTTTTTCAGAGTTCAAAATTGTAAAACATCACAGGATTCATTCTGGAGAGAAACAAAACAAAAGTAATGAATGTAGTAAGGCATTTATTCAAAATTCAAGTCTGGTGGACCATCAGAGAACTCACACTGGAGAGAAACCTTACAAGTGTAATGAGTGTGGTAAAACCTTTATTGGGCATTCAAGCCTAACTAACCATCAGGTAATTCATACTGGAGAGAAACCTTACAAATGTAATGAGTGTGGAAAGGCTTATGTGAAGTGGTCCCACCTTAGACATCATGAGAGTATTCAAACTGGAGAGAAGCCATACAAATGTACCAAATGCAGCAAGGCCTTTAGACAATGGGCGGACATCAGGATTCACCAAAAAATCTATGCTGGAGAGAAACCTCACAAGTATGATGAGTGTGGAAAAACCTTTACCCAGGCCTCTCACCTCACTATACATCAGATTATCCATACTGGAGAGAAACCATATGAATATGACATATATGGCAAAGTCTTCAGTCAAAATTCACATTTCAAAAGTTATCATAGGATTTGTACTGAAGAGAAGCCTTACAAATGTGTGTGGCAAGGTCCTCAGTCAAAATTCACACCTTGTAAATCATCAGAGAATTCATACTGGAGAGAAATCCTACAGATGTCATGAATGTGGCAAAGCCTTTACTCAAGGCTCACGCTTCATTAATCATCAGATAGTTCATACTGGAGAGAACTTTCCAAATGTACTGAATGTAGCAAGGCTTTTAAGAATGGCCCTAAACTCAGGACTCACCAAATAGATCATACTTGTAAATGCAATGAATGTAGCAGTGTTTTAAAGTAGTGCTTGCTACTCATTAGATAAGAGTATCTAATATATCTTGGGGCAAAGGCACACAAATGCAATGTCTGTGACAAGGATTTTATCTGAGGATCAAAAGTTGGGGAACAGAATAATTCGTACTGGGGAGAAACCTTAGAAATCCAATGAGCATGGGAAAAACTTTACCATGAGTTCAAGTACTACAAGACATCAGAGAGTTCATATTGAAGAGAAACCATGTAAATATAAGGTATGTGGCAGAGGCTCTTTTCAGGTTTCACAGTGCACTGGACATCAGAGTATACATCTTTTGCCGGGCGCGGTGGCTCACACCTGTAATCCCAGCACTTTCGGGAGGCTGAGGTGGGTGGATCACCTGAGGTCAGGAGTTTGAAACCACCCTGGCCAACATGGCGAAACGCTGTCTCTATTAAAAATACAAAAATTAGCTGGGCGTGGTGGTAGGTGCCTGTAATCCCAGCTACTCAGGAGGCTGAGGCACGAGAATTGCTTGAACCTGGGAGATGGAGGTTGCAGTGAGCTGAGATCATGCCACTGCACGCCAGCCTGGGCGACAGAGGAAGACTCCGTCTCAAAAAACAAAACAAAACAAAAAAACAGAGTATACATCTTTTAGAGAAATCAAAGTAACATGCATGCTAAAGCTTTTTTTTTTTTTTTTTTGAGATGGAGTCTTGCACTGTCGCCCAGGTTGGAGTGCATTGGCCCGATCTTGGCTCACCACAACCTCCGCCTCCTGGATTCCAGCAATTCTGCCTCAGCCTCCCAAGTAGCTGGGACTACAGGCGCGTGCCACCACACCCGGTTAATTTTTTGTATTTTTTAGTAGATACGGGGTTTCACCATATCGGCCAGGCTGGTCTCGAACTCCTGACCTCGTGATCTGCCTGCCTCAGCCTCCCAAAGTGCTGGGATTACAGGCTTGAGCTCCTGCGCCCAGCCCATGCTAAGTCTTTTACCCAGTGGTCAAAACTGGCACAACACAGGATTTATACTGGAGAGCAACCTCACAAATGTAATGAAAGTGGTAAGGCTTTTTATCAAATGTCCTTGTCTTTGGGGTCATGAGAAAATTCATACAGAATCTATTAAAAATGTACTAAACATGGAAAGACCTTTAAGCAACAGTGATGTGATGAAGGTGGTAGTTTTTTAAATGAACTCCCATAAGAGTCTACACACCATAGAACTCATACCAGGAATCACAAAGTCTCTAAATTTCCAAAGTTAACTGGAAATATTACAAACTGCAGAATAATTCCAGGCCAAAATATGTTAAATTCATAACATGATGTATATCAAAGGAAAAAAGGACATGTGGAAATGACACATTATCTTCAGTGTATAAAATATTCATTTATGTGAAGTTTCTTGGAAAGGCTACACTACTATTACTGGTTTCCGTCTGATGTTTGAGATCTGTTGATTTTATGCTTTTCTTACAGGCCTTTCATTATGATCTTTGGGAAGGAATCAATAAAATGATAGGGCCTACTTCATTAGGTGTGGTTCATTCCTATTCATGCTCCCTGGAAGAACAAGAATGCTGAATTTTGAAATTTAATATTGTATGAATTAGCATCAGGGAGAGGTGGAGAAAAATACAAAACTAAAAGTCATGCTTATTGTGTTCAGTGTGCCCTTCTCCAGAGGGCCACTGGCTTATAGGAAAGGATTGCTGCTCTACCAGTTGACCAGGAGATGGCACGCCAGGACATTAAGACACTGGAGTTTTGTTTCGTTTTTTTTTTTTTTTTGAGATGGAGTCTCGCTCTCTTGACAGGCAGGAGTACAGTGGTGCGATCTCGGCTCACTGCAAACTCCGCCTCCCGGGTTCAAGTGATTCTCCTGCCTCAGCCTCCCGAGTAGCTGGGACTACAGGCGTGTGCCACCACCCCCAGCTAACTTTTGTATTTTTAGTAGAGACAGGGTTTCACCATGTTAGCCAGGATGGTCTCAATCTCTTGACCTCATGATCCGCCCGCCTCCGCCTTCCAAAGTGCTGGGATTACAGGCGTGAGCCAGTGTGCCCGGCCGACACTGGGCTTTTTATGAGAGTGACAGATTACTAGGACCTCATTATGTGGTAGAAGTAATGTAGGGGAAATGGCGATTATCTTTTTTTAAAAGCAATAGCTGTTGTATATCAATGATAAATGAAAAATTAGTTATTCTTGTAAATTGAAGAAAGAATGGTTATCATAGAGGGTAGTTCAAGTAAAAGAACCAGGGCTGGGTGTGGTGGCTCACGTTCTGTAATCCCTGTACTTTGGGAGGCCAAGGCAGATGGATCTCTTGAGGCCAGGAGTTCGAGACCAGCCTGACCAACATGGCAAAACCGTGTCTCTACAAAAAATACAAAAATTAGCCGGACATCGTGGTAGATGCCTGTAATCTCAGATATTCAGGAGACCGAGGGGAAAATCACTTGAACCCGGGAGACGGAGGTTGCAGTGAGCTGAGATCGCACCACTGCTCGCCAGCCTGGGCAACAGAGTGAGACTCTGCCTCAAAAAAAAACCAAACCAAACCAAAGAACCAGAATAGCATGTGCACATATACACAGACGTTTCACAACTGGCATTATGTTTTGCTACTGTTTTATTTACAATGTATCACAAGTTTTATGCTTTAATAAAATTTAATCATAACTTCTAATGAATCATGTTTCTTCTGCCACCACAGTTTTATCTCACCTCAGTTGGGTATTTCATAACAGATAGTAATAGTGCACCATTAGGCTCTCTAGGTTGAAGGAGTCTTGCAGGGGAACATGAGGTTTGTGCTTTAACTGTGGCAACTGACATCCAGTATCCTCCCCTTTAATTTGTTCTCATCCAAAACTAATCCATCTGTTTTTCTTTAATAAGTGATTTTTCAAGTTTGCACTTACTTTTTCCTTTACATTACACTTTAAGTAAGAGTCACTGTTATTAGTGCTTTATGTGTAATAACAACCTGTGAGATAAGTACTGATGTTATTCACATATCACAAACGAGGAAACTTAGGGCCAAGATGCTTTAAGGACTCATCCACATCCCTGTAAGTGGGTGAATCAGGATTCACGTTTGGCTGCAAAGATGAGTGATATAGTTTGGATCTGTGTCCCTGCCCAGATTTCCTGTCAAATGGTAATCCCCAGTGTTGGAGGTGGGACCTGATGGGAGGTGATTGGATCATGGGGGCAGATTCCCCTGTGGTGCCGTTCTTGTGATGGTGAGTTCTCATGAGATCTGGTTGTGTAAAAGTGTGTGGCACCTCCCCCTCTCTCTCTTCCTTCTGCTCTGGTCATGTGAAGTGCCTGCTCCCACTTTGCCTTCCGCAATCATTCTAAGTTTCCTGAGGCCTACTCAGGAGCTGAGCAGATGCCAGCATCATACTTCCTGTACAGCATGCAGAACTGTGGCCAATTAAACCTCTTTTCTTCATAAATTACCCAATATCAGGTATTTACCCAATATCAGGTATTTCTTCATAGCAGTGCAAGAATGGACCAATACAATGAATGTGTTAACCATGGCGATCCACTAACATGGCTAGTTTTCTTTTCTTTCTTTTTTTTTTTTTTTTTTTGAGATGGAGTTTCGCTCTTGTTGCCCAGGCTGGAGTGCAATGGTGCGACCTTGACTCACTGCAACTTCTGCCTCCTGGGTTCAAGCAATTCTCCTGCCTCAGCCTCCTGAGCAGCTGGGATTACAGGTGTGCACCACCAAGCCCGGCTAATTTTGTATTTTTAATAGAGATGGGGTTTCACCATGTTGGTCAGGCTGGTCTTGAACTTCTGACCTCAGATGATCCACCCGCCTCGGCCTCCCAAAGTGCTGGGATTACAGGTGTGAGCCACCATGCCCAGCATGGCTAGTTATTTCTATCTTTCATGTACTTGACATCTTGACTTAATTTTGTTAGTATCTTTTGTCATAGTGGTTTATCTTTACACATAATTGTGACTGTAGTAAGTATTACATCTATATTTTTATTTCATGGGCCAAATTACTATAAATACATACTTAAATAAGATATAAATACACTGATTACCACATAATCCCAGAAGAAAGATTGTCCAAGATGAAATTGCATTTATTGACCCAAGAATGGTTCACAATTTATGATGGAGAGAGATTTTCCTCAAGCAAGGAACAAGATTCAAATACCAGCTGTTGAAATAATTGCACAATATTGTGAGCTAAGCTATAGAATCTGAAATGTAAGACATAAAACATTGGCCAGGCGTGGTGGCTCAAGCCTGTAATCCCAGCACTTTGGGAGGCCAAGGTGGGTGGATCACAAGGTCAGGAGATCGAGACCATCCTGGCTAACACGGTGAAACCCCCTCTCTACTAAAAATACAAAAAATTATCTGGGTATGGTGGCACATGCCTGTAGTCCCAGCTATTCACAAGGCCGAGGTGGGAGAATCACTTGAATCTGGGAGGCAGAGTTTGCAATAAGCCAAGATTGTGCCACTGCACTCCAGGCTGGGCAACAGAGTGAGACTCCATCTCAAAAAATAAATAAGTAAAAAAAAAAAAAATTTTAGCGTACAGACTAAATTATTGATTTTAGATAATATAATTATTTGTTCATTAATGGATGGCTATTAACAGCAACTTTATTATAATTAATGTAATAATTGAAATATACTCAAAAGATGTAAAATTGTACCTGGAAGATACGGAAATGTGTTCATTAAGTAAATTGATATAGTTAGATTTGTAGTGAGTTCAGAGTTAACACTGGAATTTAAAAAACAGGTTTGTTGAGATCTAATTTATATCCATAAAATTGTTTCATTTTAAGTATATAATTCATTGACTTTTAATACACTTGCTATAAGTTGTGAAACCATCCCCACATTCAAATCTTAGAACATTTCTATCAGCTGCCCCCGAAAAGATATTTTTTAACAAAAAAAAAGAAAAATATCACATGATATATTTGAATGTGTAAACTGCCGAAGTTATATTGGTATGAAAGCCACACTGGTGACATTAACGTTTTCTAAAATGTTTCTTTTGTGAACTCCGGAGGGAAGTTACTCTCACTGTAGTCACCAGACAATAGAGATGTCCTGTTTAAATGCAATTATTGTCTCCGTTTAGCACATGGTAAGGCCAGCATTGGAGAAAAGACGCATATTCTAGCCACGTTCACCCAGACACATAGTTTCTGTAATAATGAGATCACTGTATTCCATTTTTAACGTCATTGTATGCATAGAGGTTTTACAATAATTACTCTATTATCCTGAAAATAATATCAGGGACTCTTGTATGGCAGCTAAATCAGAGTTTAAAACCACAGAAAAGTTTAATCTCACATTGAATGCTACATAGATAAAATATCAATAGTCACCATCAGGGATTGGTGTGGGGGATAGGACCTCTAGTCTGTCTCCACAGACTCAGTCTGTATCTCAGAAATTATTTCTCCTACTTTTGTATCTTTGCCACAGGAATAGTTTCTACTCCAGAGGAATCTCCTTTTTCAGATGTGAGCACTCACAGAGACCCAGCATACTCCTGTTTCCCTTACATACAGACTCTGCCTCACATTCTAAAATAGAAAATACTCATCTGATTTCTTCTTACTGCCAGGACTTTGGGCTTAGTATGATGTCCTAGTGTGTGTAGGGGGAGGGAGCCAGCCAGTCTCTGAGTTATGAGTTTGTCATTTGAGATACCATCTTTTCATAGAACTACAATGGTCAATTCACCATGAGTGCATGCTTGCTTCTGAAAAACTTTTCATTACCAATTATCAGAAACAACTTCAAGTTCCTAATGAACATCACCAAAGAGATATTTGGAGTGTTATGTAGAGGCCGTTCTATTTCCAAGATCCGTGAAGACAGACTGTGGCTCTTATGGAGGAAGCAGAAAATGCTGAGGTCTGAACACCTGATGGACAGTAATGCTGAAAATCTTTGTATTTGCCTATTGGGTTTGTGGATCTGCTTCAGTGAAATGTTCTTAAATATCTTTGCCTTTTTCTAATTCATTTTTAATAGACTTTTTAAACAGCAGTTTTAGGTTTACAACAAAATTAAGTGGAAGGTAGAGATTTCCCATATACACTGTACCCCCACGCAAGGACAGCCTCCCCCATTATTAACAACCCACCAGAGTGGTACATTTGTTACAATCAATGAACCTCCATTGACGTATCATTATCACCCAAAGTTCATGTTTACATTAAGGTTCACTTTTGTGTTGTATAGTCTGAGTCTGGACAAATGTATGAAGCCATGTATTCACCATCATGGTATCATATAAGGTACTTTTACTGTCCTCAAAATCCTCTGTGCTCCACCTAGATTGTCTTCCTTCTTTCAGTTCTATCACTTGTTTCACACGTTTTGCAGCTCTCTGTCCTATATTGTCAATTATTCCCAATTAATTATCACCCTCCTATGAAATTATACAACTCTGCCCTTTGATATCAGGCATGGCCCTTGACTTGAGGCAATGCTTCAAGTCAAGGATTGAAATTCCTTGCCCAATTTATGATAGGCTTGGCTTTGTGAATTCCTTGGCCAATTTGGTGTGAGTAGAGATGACATGTTTCAATTTTTAAAAATATTTTTTTTTAAATAAGAAACTATCAATAAGTTGGAGAAACTGTCAACTTATTTGTTGATTGTCCGTGTCAATTTTCTCTAATTAATTTATAATCATTTAGACTATTTTCAGCTCCTTAAAAAATTGTTTCTCATGGGTATGTCCTTTGGTTGATATAAGCCACCTTCCTCAAGTAGGTCAATGTCATTCTTGTAGCTTTTTTCTTTATTCTTAGGCTTATTGCAGGAATGATATAAAATTCTTTGCTCAGAGAAAATAACTAAAACTCCCCCAAAGGCAGTTGACTCACCAGAGTTCTCGAATGACTTGGAAATCGGTAAAATGCAGATTCCCAGGCTGCATCAAGCCCAGCTGAATTCATCTGGACAGTGTTTTTGTTTTCAACAGTTTTACTGAGATGCAGCTGATACATAGTTATGCACCGCATAACAATATTTTGGTCAATAAAGGACTGCATATATAATGGTGGTCCCATTAGAATACTGTATTTTTACCATACCATTTCCATGTTTGGACATGTTTAGATACACAAATACCATGGTGTTACAATTGCCTATGATAACATGCTGTCCCCATTTGTAGCCTAGGATCAACAGTCTATATGGTGAAACCCTGTCTCTACTAAAAATACAAAAATTAGTCGGGCATGGTGGTGTGTGCCTGTAGTCCCAGCTGCTCAGGAGGCTGAGGCAGGAGAATCGAACCATGGAAGTGGAGGTTGCAGTGAGCCGAGTCTATTGTAAATTATTGTAAAAAGTCTATATGGTTTAGCCTAGGTGTGTAGTAGGCGATCCCATGTAGCTTTGTGTAAGTACACCCTATGACGTTAGCACAATGATGAAATCAACAAATTTCTCAGCACACATCCTCATCATTAGGTGACCCATGACTGTGCTATAAAAGGCTGCACATATTGAGGGTGAGGTCAGCTTGGGGCCCCACTTGCTCAGGGGGCAGGCTCTACCCAGACAGCTGGCACCCCTCAGCTATATGCATCCATCCTTAGGCAGGGAAAACTCAAGAGTCATCTCTACTCCCTGCTGTGCGCAACCCTTTGAGTACCTGGTTCTGCCAAGAAAGCTACAAAATTGTGCGGCTCCAGGGCAGCAACTCGTGGATCATGCTCCCGAGGCCTGGTGAGAGAAACTTGCCTGTTCGAATTTAAATGGAAGCTAGAAGAGGCTTCATTTGCTTCTTCTAACCCTCTCTTTTCTCTGCTACTAATATGGTATGTCCTGATAGAGACTGAATCTTACCCTGAATCCCAGCATCGCATTGTGGAACTAAGTGCTGAATAATAATAGTTCTGAGGAAGAAATAAACGTTTGTTCTTGCAAGCCTCTGAGAATTCAAAGATATTTGCTACCACATTACAACTTCCAGAAAGCTGAAAGTACACTTTCAATGACCTGTTTTTTCTTTACTCACCTTAACCTTCCAAATCCACAGTTACAGATAGTAGCTCATTATCTCCACTACTTGTACGAACTTTGAAATCTGCATTTGAGAATTTTCTTCATATGATTACTTTCTTCCTTTCCGTTTTATATGTTTTACTTCCATTAGAATAACCATTTATTTTAGGCTGGGCGCAGTGGCTCACACCTGTAATCCCAGCGCTTTGGATTTGTGCTTTGGCGGGCAGATTACAAGGTCAGGAGTTTGAGACCAGCCTGGCTAACATGGTGAAACCCTGTCTCTATTAAAGATACAAAAAATTAGCTGGGCATGGTGGCACACGCCTATAATCCCAGCTACTCCGGAGGCTGGGGCAGAAGAATCACTTGAACCCGGGAAGCAGAGGTTGCAGTGAGCCAAGATGGCACCATTGCACTCCACCCTGGGTGACAGTGCGAGACTCCGTCTCAAAAAAAGAAAAAAAAACCATTTATTTTTAATTCATCTAGAAATATATTACCTTTTATTATGTGACCACCCTCAATGAACTATTTGTTCTCTCACTTATAACTTTACCCAATTGGTTTATCATCATCAGATATTTGTAAATATCTTCAAGAAACTTGCCCTCTTTCACCCTGCCTCCTTCACCTTACTAATCATCAGAATCAGACATGCTCAGTTACTGACTATGGTCCCCTTACAATCAGGAAGTTCACATTGATGACAAAACAAAAACAAAAAGAAAACCCCAAGCAAACAAACAAATTAAAAAAAACCTCTAGCTCTACTAAAAATACAAAAAATAGCCCTCTCCCTCTCCCTCTCCCTCTTTCTCCCTCTCCCTCTCCCCACGGTCTCCCTCTCCCTCTCTTTCCATGGTCTCCCTCTGATGCCGAGCTGAAGCTGGACGGTACTGCTGCCATCTCAGCTCACTGCAACCTCCCTGCCTGATTCTCCTGCCTCAGCCTGCCCAGTGCCTGCGATTGCAGGCGCGCGCCGCCACGCCTGACTGGTTTTCGTATTTTTTTGGTGGAGACGGGGTTTCGCTGCGTTGGCCGGGCTGGTCTCCAGCTCCTAGCCGCGAGTGATCCGCCAGCCTCCGCCTCCCGAGGTGCCGGGATTGCAGACGGAGTCTGGTTCACTCAGTGCTCAATGGTGCCCAGGCTGGAGTGCAGTGGCGTGATCTCGGCTCGCTACAACCTCCACCTCCCAGCCGCCTGCCTTGGCCTCCCAAAGTGCCGAGACTGCAGCCTCTGCCCGGCCACCACCCCGTCTGGGAAGTGAGGAGCGTCTCTGCCTGGCCGCCCATCGTCTGGGACATGACGAGCCCCTCTGCCTGGCTGTCCAGTCTGGAAAGTGAGGAGCGTCTCTGCCCAGCCACCCATCGTCTGAGATGTGGGGAGCGCCTCTGCCCCGCCGCCCCATCTGGGATGTGAGGAGCACCTCTAACCGGCCGCGACCCCGTCTGGGAGGTGAGGAGCGTCTCTGCCCGGCCGCCCCGTCTGAGAAGTGAGGAGCCCCTCCGCCCGGCAGCCAACCTGTCTGGGAAGTGAGGAGCGTCTCCGCCTGGCAGCCACCTCGTCCGGGAAGGAGGTGGGGGGGTCAGCCCCCCGCCTGGCCAGCCGCCCTGTCCGGGAGGTGAGGGGCGCCTCTGCCCGGCCGCCCCTACTGGGAAGTGAGGAGCCCCTCTGCCCGGCCACCACCCCGTCTGGGAGGTGTACCCAACAGCTCATTGAGAACGGGCCATGATGACAATGGCGGTTTTGTGGAATAGAAAGCGGGGAAAGGTGGGGAAAAGATTGAGAAATCGGATGGTTACCGTGTCTGTGTAGAAAGAAGTAGACATGGGAGACTTTTCATTTTGTTCTGTACTGAGAAAAATTCTTATCCTGTTGATCTGGAACCTTACCCCCAACCCCGTGCTCTCTGAAACATGTGCTGTGTCCACTCAGGGTTAAATGGATTAAGGGCGGTGCAAGATGTGCTTTGTTGAACAGATGCTTGAAGGCAGCATGCTCCTTAAGAGTCATCACCACTCCCTAATCTCAGGTACCCAGGGACACAAACACTGCGGAAGGCCGCAGGGTCCTCTGCCTAGGAAAACCAGAGACTTTTGTTCACTTGTTTATCTGCTGACCTTCCCTCCACTATTGTCCTATGACCCTGACAAATCCCCCTCTGCGAGGAACACCCAAGAATGATCAATAAAAAAAATAAAAATAAAAATAAAAAAATAAAAAAAAAAACCTCTAGGCTTAGGGGCTTTGTGTTAAATGCGAGTTACAATAAAATTGCCGACGTTCATCCAAGGGTGCTGTTTCCCAATGTGTCATACGGCAACAGAAAATGTCTTCCAACTGGGGTGTTTAGACCACTTCCTTTTAAAGTGATTATTATATGGTTAAACTATCTTGGTATTGGTTTTGTTTTTGCCTTTGTTCTTTCTTCTCTTTTCTTTCGTTGCCTTGGGTTTTGTTTTGTTTTGTTTATGTAGACTGGAAGTCCATATTTTATTTCTCTAGTGACATATTTACAGTTCAATATAAATTAAAGGCCTGCTTGTATGCCAAATCCAGGTCCCTTGGGTGGTTCAGTCAAAGGGGTAAGACCTCCAGCTGGCTCACAAGAGAAGCGTCCACTCCTTGGCCCAGGTTTTGGGATTTTGCCAGCCTTGAGCTCATCAATAATTTCTTCAATATCCTTAGCTGTCAAATCTTCATAGTAATTGTCATTTATTTGAACCATTGGTGCGTTCACACAGGCCCCTAAACATTCCACTTCTACAAGAGTGAAAAGTTTGTCAGGTGTAGTCTCCCCAAGCTTTATTCCAAGCTTTTTCTGAATGGCCTCCAGTATGCTGTCAGAGTTTGGAAGCATGCAGGGTGTAGTAGTGCAGACCTGAATGTGATACTTTTCAACTGGCTTTCGATTATACATTGTATAAAAAGTTGCTACTTCATATACTCTTATTGGAGGTACTTGTAAAACTTCTGCAACCTTGTTCATAGCAGAGATGGGCAACCACCCATTCTGCCTTTGGGCTAAATCCAGGACTGGAAGAACAGCTGCTGCTTTATGGCCTTCTGGATAGTTTTTTACAATTGCCTCTATCCTCTTATAGTTTTCTGGTGTGAAATCAAATGGAGTATCAGGGTTATTCTCAGGAGTATCTCTGTGCACAAATAAAGCTCCTCCAGCTCCATTTTGCATAGCTGTCTTATGCAATTCCTCACATGTCTTCCGGTGGGGCTGCAGCGGCCTCCCTAAGAGGGCTAAGGCCGTAGTGTCCTTGCCGCCGCCTGCAGGCCCGTGTAGAGCCCAGGGCTCTCCTGCGCCCAAAACTAAGGGAGACACGGAGAGCAAGAGAAGGGCGGCGGCAGCGCCGGGCTCAGCTTGAGCCTCCTTACCCAGTGGGCGGTAAGGCCAGCGGCCCGGGCCCGGAGCGCCGCGGAGAAGGCCTTTGGGTTTTTAAGTGGCTCTCTTCCAATTCCTTTTTTGGCTTTAGTGTTAACGATAACCAAATTTTTAGCATTTGCTTTAGGGGGGTTATACTATACAGCTTATCACAGCCTACCTTCCAGTGATTCCATACGACTTCATGTAAAGCATCAGATCCTTACCCATGTATACTTTCATTTCACAACTGTTGGTGTGTGTGCTGTCATTATCATACATCTAACTTTTAGATAACCTACAAGTGGCTCCAGGGCAGCAACTCATGGATCATGCTCCCGAGGCAGATTGTTATTTTCTAAACAGTTACATTTTAAAGAGATTTAAACGGAAGAAATACGTTTAAAAATTACCCATGTGGGGCCGGGTGCGTTGGCTCACGCCTGTAATCCCAGCACTTTGGGAGGCCGAGGCGGGCGGATCACGTGAGGTCAGGAGTTCGAGACCAGCCTGACCAACAAGGAGAAACCCTGTCTCTACTAAAAATACAAAATTAGCCGGGCATGCTGGCGCAGGCCTGTAATCCCAGCTACTCGGGAGGCTGAGGCAGGAGAATCGCTGGAACCCGGGAGGCGGAGGTTGTGGTGAGCCGAGATCGCACCGTTCCATTCCAGCCTGGGCAGCAAAAGCGAAACTCCGTCTCAAAAACAAAAAACGAAAAACAAAAACAAAAACAAAACAAACAAAAAAATTACCCATGTGGTTACTATTTCTGGCACTCCTCATTCTTTTGTGTAGATCATGTGTTACGAAACACAAGTCAAATATGAATTACTGAGAGAGGAGGCAGGGCTTGGACTCCAGACCAGATTGAAAACTAGCTGAAACAGGGAAGAGGCAAAAGCACCTCTCCATAAGACACGCCCCCCATTGCCATGTCAGTTTACCACTGCCATCGCAACACCTGGAAGTGACCACCCCTTTCCACCGCAATGACCTGGAAGTGACCACACCCGTTCTAGAAATTTCTGAATAACCTGCCCCTTAGTTTGCATGTAATTAAAAGTGGGCATAAATATGACTGCAGACCTGCCTCTGAGCTGCTACTTTGAGCACACTCCTTTTGGGGTAGCCGTGCCCTGCAAGGAGCCGTTCATCTGCTGCTGCTGTTGCCGCCGCTCCAATAAAAGTTGCTACCCCACTTTGGGAGGCTGGGGCGGGTGGATCACCTGAGGTCAGGAGTTTGAGACCAGCCTGACCAACATGGTGAAGGCCCGCCCCCATCTCTACTAAATATGCAAAAATTAGCTGGGCGTGGTGGCACAAGCCTGTGATCCCAGCTACTCAAGAGGCTGAAGCAGGAGAGTCGCCTGAACCTGGAAGGCAGAGGTTGCAGTGAGCTGAGGTAGCGCCATTGCACTCCAGGCTGGGCAACAAGAGCAAAACTCCGTCTCGGGGGGGGGTGGGGGGGAGGTGCTACCCACTACCAGTTCACCCTTGAATTATTTCCTGAGCGAATCCCCAGTCTGGGGGCTCACCTGCCCTGCATCATCACCATCTGTTTTTAAATAATGTTTACTTGGAACATGGCCAAACCCACGTGTAGGTACTATTGATCCATTAAAGGCAGAGTAGGGTATTTGCAACCGTATAGCCTGCAAAGAATAAAATACCACTTGGCCCTTTAAAGTTTGTCGATTTCTCATGTAGAGTCATATTCTCTTTTTTCTTTTGAGACCGAGTCTTGCTTTTGTCGCCCAGACTGGAGTGCAGTGGTGTGATCTCGGCTCACTGCAACCTCCATCTCCTGGGTTCAAGTGATTCTCCTGCCTCAGCCTCCCGAGTAGCTGGGATTACGGGTGCTCACCAGAACGCCCGGCTAATTTTTGTATTTTTAGTAGACATGGGATTTCACTATGTTGGCCAGGCTAGTCTCGAACTCCTGACCTCAGGTGATCCACCCGCCTCGGCCTCCCAAAGTGCTGGGATTGCAGGCGTGAGCCACCGCGCCTGGCTGAGAGTCATATTTTCATCACATATCTGAATTACAATAAAGTTGGGGCAATAAAGCGTACAGTCAGTTTTGTAATCCAGTGTAAGGGGAACACAAGGTTTCTCCTAATTGGAAAAGAATAACTGGTAGGTCTTTTCCCTTATACCAGGGAAAACATAGGAAATACGTGATTGTGTTGCTATTTGATTTGAAACTACAGTAATGGCTGGGCGCAGTGGCTCAGGCCTGTAATCCTGGCACTTTGGGAGGCCGAGGCGGGTGGATCACCTGAGGTCAGGAGTTCGAGACCAGCCCAACCAACATGGGGAAACCCCATTTCTACTAAAAATACAAAAAATTAGCCGGGCGTGGTGGTGCATGCCTGTAACCACAGCTACTCAGAGAATTGCTTGAACCTGGGAGGCGGAGGTTGCGGTGAGCCAAAATCGCACCACTGCACTCCAGCATGGGCAACAAGAGCGAAACTCCATCTCAAAAAAAAAAAAAAAAAAAAAAAAAAAAAAAAAAAAAAAAAAAAAAAAAAAAGAAAGAAAGAAACTACGGTATTTTATGTGAAAATAATTTTTGATGACATTGACAGTAAAGATAAAAACTGGGGCTTAAAAACTCCACTAATTTTACTTGACATGCATTCATAAGAGGAAGTAGCAACATACCCCTAAGTGGCCCCAGGGGTAGATGGCAGAGGTGTGTATCCTAACAAGTCTTTGCAGAACTGGTATCATCAAATCTCTCAGACAGTTTTGACAAATGGTATTTACTATCTTTTC
This sequence comes from Homo sapiens, assembly GCF_000001405.40. Classification (NCBI taxonomy): domain Eukaryota; kingdom Metazoa; phylum Chordata; class Mammalia; order Primates; family Hominidae; genus Homo; species Homo sapiens. Next base: position 53,227,601 of record NC_000019.10, read on the forward strand.
ATTAACTCATTACCTCACCCTACCCCCACGTCTCCCCAGCAGCTGAGAGGCTCCTGTAAATAAATTTGTCTGTGCATTCCACAAATAGGTCATCATGATTCTGGATCCACACTTGTATCTTAACCCCTCTAGGAAAAGAATTGTTACAAGAATCAACGTGCAAAAATATAAACAGTTTATATAGGTGTTTTGACTTTTAGGTCCCCCGAAATAAAAAAATTGTGAACCATAAGAAGTCTCAAATTTTAAATGTCTCCAACAGATATGATCACACACCTCACCAAGCCACGCGCTGATTGTGGATATTCCTCAATCATTATAAACATGTTCCCATCCTGACAATTTTCTCCATTTCCTCTGCCCAATTATTTTTCCCCATTTGTATCTATATGACAGAGTCCAATTACTGATTTTGCTCAAATATCATCTTATCCTATGGGTATTTCCTGAACAGTTTAAATTAGGACATCCTGTCACTCTGTCACTACATGTACACTTTGTTGAACTTATCCTCCTATTATAATTATTGCTGACTTACCCGTATAGAACATAAGATACTTGAGAGCAGGGAACTGGTTCAGTTTCTTGCTAGATCATCAATGATTAGAATAATCCCTGAGAGCAGGGACTCTGTGCGTTTGTATTGAATGAATGAATGAACGAATGAACGAATGCATTTTTTTCGATGCAAAGAAGAAAGTTACTGCAATGCATAGGCTCGTAGATTAGCAGGTCATAATTCTACTTTTATTCCCACATTTTGTATCTCAGGCAACATGAACTAAATAGATCCACCTCAGCAGTGGAAAAAGGTTTTCATGAAGTTTTTCTAAGCCATGAAAATGGAAGATTCACTCTCAAATGCTGCATTCTATTCCCAGTGAAAAATAACAATCTTATTTGTCAGGTAGAAAAATTTTTGTAACGACAATCTGAAAAACAGGGACTAAAAAACAAGTAGGAAGTTTATCTTTCTCACATAATAGCAAGTCCGGAGGCTGCAGTTTGGGATGTGGCAGATCCTCTTGAGAAGTCCATTCTGCCTACTCTACCTCCATCAGCACTCAGCCTTCCTTCTCCTTGAGGAGAATGCAGATGGCTGGTGTATGACTGAGAAGGGTATAGGATAAGGGGCAAAACCATTTTCATTTTGAGGCTTTGTCTTGTTTACCTGAAAACAATATTTCCATATTTTTTTCCCAAAGAATATTAATTCTGTTAAATGGCTACTGTAATTTTAATGAAGAACGGGGATTTTCAAATTTCATATTCACACATCAAAAACAGAGGAAGAGAAAGAAACAATTAAGTTAGAAAGCCAGGAACAGTGGCTCATGCCTGTAATCCCAGCACTTTGGGAGGCTGAGGTTGGAGGATCGTTTGAGCTTGAGCACAGGAGTTCAAGACCAGCCTGAGCAACACAGTGAGACCTCATCTCTACAAAAAAATTAAAAAGTTAGCCAGGTGTAGTGGCAACACCTGTGGTCCCAGGTACTCGGGAGGCTGAGGTGGGAGGATCATTTGAGCCCAGGAGGTTGAGGCTACAACAAGCTGTGATCACACTACTGCACTGCAGCCTGGGCTGGACAGAGGGACACCCTTTCTCAAACAACAGCAACAACAAAACCCACAAACATGTTGCAGACCAAATACCTGTTACCAATTATATTAATGACAACGTGGTCACCATAATTTTGGGAAGAGCCAGATTACATTAACTGACTTTGTTCTTTATCCTGAGAGTCTAATATTATATATAGCCTATCGCCTGTCTTTTGGGTGTTCAAAAAGAAAGACAAAAATTATTAAACGTCCTTACTGTTTTTTTTTAACTTACAGATTTACTTCTATTGAGCTCTATTTGTATCTAAATAAAAATATTTCTCCAAGTTTTAATATATTCTAATTCCACTATCAAGGTAGGAAAATGAATTTGAGATTTAAAAAAAAATTCATGCCCTCTTACCTTAAAGTGAGAGAGGTAAACACTTCCAAATGTATTTTCATATTAGACTATAACCGAAAGGTAATCTGTTATATCATAACTTGGGGATTTTCAGAGGGAGCCTATATTTCCAATGAAGCATTAAAGACCTTCACAGGATTTCCTTGCATATATAGAATATACTCAATTGAGGGTGAACATTTAAAATGTTTAAGGCTATATTTGTTCCAAAAAATGAATAATCCCATCTTGTTTTAGTTTTCAATTTGTTTAGTTTCCCTTTTTATTCGTTGCTTTTCCACATGTAAAATATTTTTGTCTCTAAAGTCAAAATTATATTACAAATATATGAAAATCCCTATTCTGTTTTGCCTTCTCAAACTTTTTATTTTCTTAAATAGGTTTCTTGATAGGTATTAATTTCAGATTTTTTTTATCACAAAGAGAATACCATATATGATATTCTATACCTTGTTTTTTAGGTATGGTGGTGATCACTCCAATATGACTTTCCTCATTCTTTTTTTTTCTTTTTTTTTTTTTGAGATGGAGTCTCACTCCGTTGCCCAGGCTGGAGTGCAGTGGCGCGATCTCGGCTCATGCAACCTCTGCCTCCCGGGTTCAAGCGATTCTCCTGCCTCAGCCACCAGAGTAGCTGGGATTACAGGCATGCGCCACCATGCCCAGCTAATTTTTCTATTTTTAGTAGAGACGGGATTTCACCATGTTGGTCAGGTTGGTCTCGAACTCCTGACCTTGTTGTGATCTGCCCACCTCCGCCTCCCAAAGTGCTGGGATTACAGGCATGAGCCACCGCGCCCAGCCCTGACTTTCCTCATTCTTTTAACAGCTTCACATACATAGCCAACATTCCCCTAATTTCTCAGCCACCTTGCCTCAAGTTAAAACCATGAGACCGGTTTTGCCAAACAGGGTGTAAGTGTAATGTATCACTTTCAGGCCAAACCACTTAAAACTAAGTGTGACCTTCTTGCTTGTTTCCTTTGCAATAATCAGAGGCCCATTTTTGAGATAGAGAAACCATAATATGGAAGCCCCTCCATCTCTGAGTTACCACATAAGCATCAGTTGCCCTACAGGGTCAACTATCCCAGTGGTGCAATTGACAGAAAAGACTCATTTTATACAGTAAGCTTCCAGGATTTAACAAAAAAGGTTTTGTATCTCCGGGCACCACAGGACATGCCATTCCTTACAAGACTTTTAAAAGCAAAGCCTAGACAGCTTTAGCAATACCCTCTTTCTTGACAAACTGTTAGAGATCTAGGCCTGAAGGGCAAGGAAAGGACAATAAAGTCTGTCTTTCTACATCATTTGCTTCTCAGTGATGCTCATCAAATTGCTATCAATCACTGTGTCATGTTTCCACTGCCAATTTTTTTAGATATTCACAATACAGCCCCCAAACCCCAACCTATCCTGTGTCTTAGTCCATTTTTTGTTGCTGTAACAGAAAACCTGACCTGGGTAATTTATATGTATGTATATAATTTATGTATGTGTATATATATAATTTATTTCTTCCAGCTCTGGAGGCTGGGAAGTCCAAGGCTGAGCGGCTACATGTGGTGAGGGCCTTCTTGCTGCATCATAACAGAAGTCATCACATGGTGAGAAGGAGGAAGCATGCCAGCTCAGCTCTCTTTTCCTCTTCTTATAAGGCTACTAATCCCAACATAGGGAGCCACCCCCATAACTTCATCTATCCCTAATTACCTCCCAAAGGCTCCCACCTCTAAATACCATCAACATATGGATTTGAGGATTCAATTTCCAACATGAACTTTTGGGGAATACATTTGAACATGGCACCCAGTCACCATTTCCTAAAAGAATAATACTGCAGGTACCCAAAACAACTGAACAAAGACATTAGGCACCATTTGCATTCCCTCTCAAAGTTTCTAAAACCATCTCCAGTTTTGAGGTCAATATGTCTCAGCTACTTTTCTATACTGCAATGTCCTTTGTCCACTTAACAGTACCACCACTGCAATCTGGTGCTCAGAACTGTTTTCCAGAAGGCGTTTCCTGTATGGTTCTTGCTAAACTTTGCCAATGAGAAAAACCTGAATGGGCCAGGCGCAGTGGCTCACAACTGTAATCCCAGCACTATGGGAGGCTGAAGTGGGTGGACTGCTTGAGGTCAGGAGTTCAAAACCAGACTGGGCAACATGGCGAAAACCTGTCTCTACCAAAAATACAAAAATTAGCCCGTCTCTTAACCCGGTCTCAAAATAAATAGATAATAAATTAAAAATAAAAAAAAATTTAAAATGCTGTTAAAAAAAAAAAAAAAGGAAAACCTGAATGGAATAGGAAAGGCAGAAGTGAAGCACTAAGCCATTAATCTCAGATGAATACTGCACAGACCTCACCATCTCTAATCCCAATCAAGCAGCCAGAAGCAGTAACTTCTAAGACATCTCCATGAGCTCTGGTTTCTCACTGAAGCTGCCAGTGACTATTTTTCTTTGATATTCCTGCTGGAGTCTTCCACACCTTTCACTGCTCAAGCACCTCCAAAATTCTTTTTATTTTATTTTTTTTTTTTTGAGACGGAGTCTCGCTCTGTGGCCCAGGCTGGAGTGCAGTGGCACGATCTCAGCTCACTGCAAGCTCCGCCTCCTGGGTTCACGCCATTCTCCTGCCTCGGCCTCCTGAGTAGCTGGGACTGCAGGCCCCCCACTACCACGCCCCGATAATTTTTTGTATTTTTAGTAGAGACGGGGTTTCATCGTGTTAGCCAGGATGGTCTCGATCTCCTGACCTCGTGATCCGCCCACCTCAGCCTCCCAAAGTGCTGGGATTACAGGTGTGAGCCACCGCGCCCAGCAAAAATTCTTAACATATAACTATTCTTATTCTTGAAGTAATTGTATACGTTTTCCTAAACACAGACTAATACAATCATTCAGAATAAAGCTAATTCCATGTTTTCAAAGTTTATTCATCACAATCTGTATTACTGTATTGGTCCTGAGTCTCACTCTGTCACTCAGGCTGAGTGCAGTGTCAGTCATGGCTCACTGCAGCCTCAACCTCCCTGTCTCAAGCAATCCTTTCACCTCAACCTCCCGAGTAGCTGGGACTACAGGTGCATGCCATGACACCCAGCTAATTTTTTATTTTTTGTAGAGATGTGGTCTCACTATGTTGCCCAGGCTAGCCTCGAACTCCTGGACACAGGTGGTCCTCTCTCCTGAGCCTCTCAAAGTGCTGAGACTACAGGTATGAGCCATAGAACATTGCCAACTTTGCCGAAATCCAGAATGCTATCAAGAAAGTGGAAAAACAGTACACAGAAGTGGAAAAAGTACTGGCAAATCTCATAAGGGTGTAGTATTCAGAATATAAAATAACTCATAACTGAACCAAAAATACACAATCTAATTTTTAAAACATTAAAAGAAATGTCTGAGTAGACATTTCTCCAATGAAGATGCACATGGCTAATAAGCATAGGAACAGATGCTCAACATTCATCATTAAGGAAATCCAACCACAATGAAATATCACTTGTAAGTGACTAGAAGGCTATATACTACTACTACTGTGAACCCAACAACTACAAACATCAATAATCGATAGGAAGTGCAGAAAATGGAACACTGGAACATCGCTGGTAGAAAAGTAAAATGGTGCAGCTGCCTTCGAAAACAGTTTGGTGAATCCACAAAAAGATAATCACTGATAATTACTATATGACCCAGAAATTCCACGTTTACAGACATACCCAAGAGAAGTGAAAACATGTATGTGCAAAAACATCTTGTAAAAAGTTGTTCATAGCAGCATTTTCCATAATAGCCTAATTTCTTTTTTTTTTGAGACAGAGTCTCGCTCTGTCGCCCAGGCTGGAGTGCAGTGGCGTGATCTGGGCTCACTGCACGCTCCGCCTCCCGGATTCATGCCATTCTCCTGCCTCAGCCTTCCGAGTAGCTGAGACTACAGATGCCCGCCACCAGGCCAGCTAATTTTTTGTATTTTTAGTAGAGACGGGGTTTTGCCATGTTAGCCAGGATGGCCTTGATCTCCTGACCTCGTGATCCGCCCATCTCGGTCTCCCAAAGTGCTGGGATTACAGGCATCAGCCACTGCACCTGGCCCATAATAGCCTAATTTCAAACAGTAGAAAGAGTTCAAATCTCCATCAAATAATGAATGGACAGACAAACTGTAGAATATTATTCAGCAACAAAAAGTGATGAGGTATTAGGCTGGGTATGGTGGCTCACACCTGTAATCCCAGCACTTTGGGAGGCCTAGGCAGGCAGATCACTTGAGGTCAGGAGTTCGAGATCAGCCTGGCCAATATGGTGAAACCTTGTGTCTATTAAAAATACAAAAATTAGCTGGGCATGGTGGTGCATGCCTGTAGTCCCAGCTACTCGAGAGGCTGAGGCAGGAGAACCGCTTGAGCCTGGGAGGTGGAGGTTGCAGTGAGCTGAGATTGTGCCACTGCACTCCAGACTAGGCACCAGAGTTAGACTCTGTCTCAAAAAAAAAAAAAAAAAAAGTTATGAGGTACTAACAAATGTTAATTTTGGGTGGGTGGTATTTTTTATAGTGACAGTTTGCCCAGGCTAGTCTCGAATTCCTGGGCTTAAGCGATCCGCCCATCTTGGCCTTCCAAAGTGTTAGAATTACAGACATGAGCCACTGTGCCTGGCCTAGAAATTGATTTTTTTTTTGGACAGGGCCTTGCTCTGTCACCTAGGCTGGAGTGCAGTGGCATAATCCTAGTTCACTGTAACCTCCAACTCCTGAGCTCAAGGAATTCTCCTGCTTCAGCCTCCTGAGTAGCTGGCACTATAGAAATGTGCCACCATGCCCAACTAACTTCTAAATTTGCAGACAGGGTCTTGACATATTGCCTATGCTAGTCTCAAACTCCTGGGCTCAGGCAATCTCCTCGCCTGGGCCTCTCAAAGTGCTGACATTACAGATGTCAGCCTCCCTGCCCAGCCGGCTAGCTGAAAATTTAAACCACAGATGAGTATTCACTCCAGCCCCACCAGATAAACATCATAACACCCCAAGTCAATCATCTTTCACTGCCTTCTCTAGCCATTTTTTAACCAGCTTGGGAAGTCTACCCTGTTCTCTCCAGAAAGCCTTTTGTAATAAACATTCTTATAATACTTTGATGTAGAGTACCACCAATCCTGAAATCTAAACCAAACTTTGCACGGGGTTCCCTCCTGTTCCAGTGGAGTGGCGACAAGTGCAAATCAGTAAAAAAAAATGTTTTGGGGGTAAATACATGAGGTTTCTAGTTTCTTTAAAAAAAAAATCCATTGCTTATGTTCATTATTAAGGGGAAACTCATGAACACTGATTTTTTTCAAATTATTTCACGGAGTGCTCCAAGTACAAAAAAAGAAGTTGTGTTATTATTTCAGAAATTTCATTTACTAATAATTTTCATATGCTTACATTTGTTATTTTCCTCTCATGTAAAAGGCATGCAGAAATAAAGTTATGTAGAAAAAAAGGCATGTAGAAATATAACTGCACAGTGCATATTCATGAACAGGAAGACAGGTTTCAGGGGGTCTGATATTGTCCCACTATGGCATGGCATTTTCATTATAGCCATAGAAGTCATCTAGGGCAGAGTGTGGAGAAAATATTTCAAGTGCAAATTATGAATATATACTTCTTAAATTGTATACTGTTTGAACATAACATGGATAGAAATTGTTATAGATGACATTCAACCTTGAGAGTCTAATGATGTATTATAGTGTTTGATATTAAGTGTCCCAATGAGGTGGGATATGCTTGGGTTGACGGAAGGCACACGATTCATTCAGGGTTACTAAAAATGATTATATTTTACTAATTAAGACATAAGAAGTATAATATATTCTAAATAAAATGGTATCAAATGCAATCTCAGGGGCCAAATGTGAATCCCCTATAAGAACACTACTCTGGTTCTTTTGATGGAACTGTCCTCTATGGTAACCATTCTCTCTTCAGTTTCCAAAAATAAGACCTATCTATGTTCAATAATCTGTGATATGCAACAGTAACTACCTTTCAAGAGAGGGTGACTATCATTCCCCCTCCATTTCTTTCTACCACATATGCAGTCTCTAGTAACCGACCATTTCACTTCCATGAAAATCTCTCAATGTCCCACCCTACTCTTCTTGTTTCATGGTCATCTTGTACTGTAACCAATCTCTCCTATAATCGACAAAGGTCCCCAGTCACATCAACAATTCTAAGGGGTCCTGACCACATAAAGCATATATGTTAGACAATAGTTTTACCTCTCTTCTGGCACAAACCCCCATGCTCTTATAGTATATTGTATATTAGTGTTCTTGGCTGGGCACGGTGGCTCATGCCTGTAATCCCAGCACTTTGGGAGGCCAAGGCAGGTGGATCACCTGAGGTCAGGAGTTCAAGATCAGCCTGGCCAACATGGCGAAACTCTGTCTCTACTAAAAATACAAAAACAAAAAAACAAAAAACTAGCCAGGCATGATGGCGCATGCCTGTAATCCCAGCTACTCGTGAGGCTGAGGCAGGAGAATTGCTTGAACCCGGGAGACAGAGGTTGCAGTGAGCTGAGATGGTGCCACTGCACTCCAGCCTGGGTGACAGAGCAAGACTCTGTCTCCAAAAAAAGAAAAAATTAGTGTTCTTGCTTTTTCCAGGTTTCAGTAATATAAAGAAGCCACACCTAAGGAAGTAGTCCCTTCCATCTTACATCCATTCCTTGAGACAATCATGATAAATGAAAAGCATGCCATGAAGATTTAACAGCAACAGATTTCATACTTTTAAAAATATGAAATAACTGAATAAAAAATTTTTAACACTGAAGTTACATCTTTCCACAGATGTCCTTGCTCCTCTGACACACACCATGAGTTTGTGACTTTTTAAAATTGTCTGTGAATTTAACATCAATCACTTAATCTTCAAGAAGGAAAAAAGACTTAGTTCCCTCTAGCCTGAATTTTTGTATGACAAAATGCTTGCATATAAGGATGAATTTCCATTGAGAAATTTAAAATAATTTACCACCTTCACTTGTAATGCTTCTCTCCAATATGAATGGTGTATCCTGAAGTCAGAACATTGCTTAAAGGACTTGCCACATTTGTATGGTTTCCATCCTGAATGTCTTCTGTTATAACCATAATAGGGTAAATATTTTTATAAAGCTGTTCACATTCATTATATTTGTAAGGCTTCTCTACAGTAAGAATTCTATGATGTTCCACAAGGCTTGAACTTTGGATAAGCCTTGCCATACATGTTATCTTTGTGTGGTTTATCTCAAAGATGTATATTCTGGTATCAAGTGAGACATAAGCCATAGCTAAAGGCTTTACCACATTTTCGTTTTATATGGTTTCTTTTCACAATGGAGCCCCTGATGCTAGGTACAGCTTGAATACTTAATTTTTGTCTCATTATATTTGATATGTTTTTCTCTATTATAACTTTTTTGATGATCTCCAAGGTTTGAACTTTGGAATAAAGCATTACCATGTATATTATGTTTACAATGTTTCTTTTCAATGTGTATTTTCTGGTGTCTAGTGAGGTTTGCAAATTGGGTAAAAGCTTTGCCACATTCAGTACATTTGTAAGGTTTCTCTCCAGTATGGATTTTCTTATGCTGAGTAAGATTTGAACGTTCAGTAAAGGCTTTGCCACATTCAGTACATTTGTAAGGTTTCTCTCCAGTATGAGTTCTCTGATGACCCCAAAGGTGTGAACGTTTGATAAAAGCTTTATCACATTTATTACATTTGTAAGGTTTTTCTCCAGTGTGAATTCTCTGATGTTCCACAAGACTTGAACTTTGGATAAAAGCCCTGCCACACACATTACATTTGTGTGGTTTCTCTCCAGGATGTATATTCTGATGCCTAGTGAGATGTGAGCACTGCTTAAAAGCTTTGCCACACTCATTACATATGTAAGGCTTCTCTCCAGTATGGATTCTCTTATGTTGGGTAAGGCTTGAACGTTCAGCAAAGGCTTTGTCACATTCATTACATTTGTAAGGTTTCTCTCCAGTATGAATTCTTTCATGACCCCAAAGGTGTGAACGCTGGATAAATGCCTTACCACATTCATTACATTTGTAAGGTTTCTCTCCAGTATGCATCCTCTGATGACTTGCAAGATTTGAATTTTGACTACAGACCTTGCCACATATATTACATTGATATGGTTTCTCTCCTGTATGGACTCTCTGATGCCTAGTGAGGTTCGAACACTGGTTAAAGGCTTTGCCACACTCGTTACATTTGTAAGGTCTCTGTCCAGAGTGAATTCTCTGATGATTAGTGAGGTTCGAACTTTTGCTAAAAGCCTTTCCACAGTCATTACACTTGTATGATTTTTCTCTAATGTGTGTTCTCCCATACTGTGTATGTAATAAAGGGTATTTCAAAATCTTCCTATATTTATTACAAATGTTTTTGACACAAGGAGGAAGTGGTGAAACTGAGGAACTATTGATAGACTTCTCAACTGGATTACATTCATACATTTTCTCCCCAGTTTGAAATCTCTGTAGTTCAGCCAGCTGTGCCTGTAAGCTTAATCCAATTTTATTTTCAAAACACTTCACGTATTTGTTTCCGGCATACCTTATGTTATTTTTCAGTTTTAACAAATTCCTTATAAATGGCTTGTCATGGATGAAATACTGGTGTGCACTATCTCTTATAGAAACACTCTGCTTTAAAGAGAAATGTATTGAGGATTTATTATGTTGTTGATCTTTTCTGTGAGTGAGATTTTTGTTACAGGTCAAAGGCATTCCTTTGTAATTTTTTACATCATAGTCCCACAGGCTGTCAAACTTAGGCATATTTTCCCAGACTTCCTTGAGGTCAAAATTGTTGATGCCATGGCTTTCCTTTCTTTCTAATATCACCAGATGGTATAATTCCTCTTTATTATTTTCCTTTGGTGATAATCCCTTGCTTGTAAATCCAACAGAAATATCTGAAAGATATTAAAAAAACCACAGGCTTTCCATCAAATAGAGTTGCAAGGTAAATATTTTATTAAAATACATATTACAAGAAAGCTAAGATTTACAATGAACAGAGTTATGAAGCTTCTCAACTGTCTTTAAACGTTTAACAACACAAAGGGACTAGCTGTCCTCAATAAAGTAACACAGTAACAAAACATGTAACAAATTATTTTAAGCACAGTTTAAAACACCCTATAGCTAAAACACTCATACTATGTAAATCCACATAAACTCTGAAAGAAGAGGTATTTTTCCACCACCACTCCAAGGAACACGTAAATTGGCATAGCTATATGGTAGTCTCATATTTGAAGATAAACAAATAGTAATGCATTATTTAGTACATAATTATTACACACAAAAGGTAAGGCACAGCTCAAGCTTATCTAATAAAAAATATTTAAAAATGACAATTCATAATTGCAAACAAAACACTGAAAGAAAAAATTCGGAAGAATTTAATAAAATTTTGAATATTTACAAATTGCAAATGTGAGTACTTGTTATAAAACTACTTACACCCATGTAGAATGTGCATTTTGCAGCATTAACAATTTGTGCATGGTGGTTCTATTGCATAATATATACTGAAAAACCATCATCTGTAAATCATTACAAAAATAAATAAAACACTTTAGTAACCTGTGAAAATCTAACAGGCAAGTTAATGAACAACCACAATTACACAAAATTGTCAGTGAAATTCTAAAGAATTACTGCTTATGAACTACAGAAAAAACAGAAGGGACACACAATAGGAAAAATAATATGTTGAGAATCACTAAATTTTGAAATATCAGCTTCAGGTAAATGCACATTACTATAAAGATGAAGAATTAGGAGGGGAGTCTGAAATAATTTCATGCCTGCAGTTATATGACAGCAGTATATAGAGAAACTCCCTGACTAGGAAATGTCATCTAGTTTTCCAGTTCTATGGCCAAAAAATACATATAATGAAAGCTGTGTGCTTTAACATTTTATTATGTAGAGTCAGAGAAATGTTGATATGAAAAAAAAAATTACAAAAAAGAAAATATGTAAGATATAATGAAGGCAAAGGTCAATCTCATAAGAAACATGACAGACACTTGACATATCTTATTCATAAAGGTAACTTTTCAAAGCATACTAAATGCTATGCAAGTTACTAAGGTCTCTAACAGCACTAATTGATGTAAATCCTCTTGAGGTAAATTATCGCACCTTTTCATACCAAAACAAAGGGCTGAAGAGGTTTACATATCTATCCCTAACTCACAGAGAAAGCACATCTGAAAGCCAGAATCTGAACCTGTGTGTGCGGGCTAAGATGCCATGTTCACAGCATTAAGCACCACTGGCCACCCAGGGCAGCACGGATTATAAATCACAGCAAATACGAGGAGTGTAGGAAGAAATGTTTCAAGGCAGATTATGGGACCTGAGCTGTGTCACCTATAGTGTGACAGCACCACTGCTCTCAGATAGCATTTAAGTCACCTTATCTTGCACAAGTTGTTTAGACAGTGACCAGATCATGTTGCTGTCCTGAGTAAGCTGTCCTGTGTATAAGCAGGAGTCATTCTTTACACAGTGTGTGCAATGAAGGGATGTTATTCTGTGCTAAAAAGAAATGAGCTGTCAAGCTATAAAAAGACATGGAAGAAATTTATTTTATTTATCTATTTTTTGAGATGGAGTCTCGCTCTGTTGCCCAGGCTGGAGTGCAGTGGCATGGTCTCGGCTCATCACAACCTCTGCCTCCCAGGTTCACGCCATTCTCCTGCCTCAGCCTCCTGAGTAGCTGGAACTACAGGTGCCCGCCACCACGCCCGGCTTATTTTCTGTATTTTTAGTAGAGACGGGGTTTCACCATGTTAGCCAGGATCGTCTTGATCTCCTGACCTCGTGATCCGCCGGCCTCGGCCTCCCAAAGTGCTGGGATTACAGGCGTGAGCCACCACGCCCAGCCCTAGAAATTGAAATGCATATTATTAAGTGAAAGAAGCCAATCTGAAAAGGCCATATACTATATGGTTCCAACTATATGACATTCTGAAAAAGGCAAATCTATGGAGACAGTAAAGAGATCAGTGGTTGCCAGGTGCTGGGGGGAGGGAGAGATGAACAGACAGAGCACAGATTTTTTAGGGCAGTGTAATTATTCTGTAAGATACTATTATGGAGGATATATGTCTATTATATATTTGCCCAAACCCAAAGCATATACATAGAGTGAACCCCAACATCGACTATGGACTTTGGGTGATAATGATGTGTCAATGTAGGTTTATCAATTTTAACAAATGTACCACTGTGATGGGGGATGGTGATAATGGGGGAAGACGCTGTGCACGTGTGGGGGAACAGAGTATACAGGAAATCTAGTTTGCTGTGAACATAAAATTGCTAAAAAATAGAAAGTCTATTTTTAAAAAGTATAAGCTAAGAGTTGATATAAAGTTACAGGAAACAGAAGTAAAAGGAATAACTAATACTATCCTTTAACAAAGTTTTGGAGGTTATATATGTTTTGAGGAAACTAATACTCAGACATAAATACTCAAGGAAGAAATCTTCTGGTAAAACATATAAAACATCATGAAAGTATATGAAGCAGAAAAAAATATATATAATAAAACAATATTCATTCATCTCATGGCCCCACACACTGTAGATATAAAACAAAAAACACTAAGAGTATCATGAAAACATGTAACTGCTGATTAAATACATACAAGTTCATTTATACCAATGACATTGGCAAAATGAAAGTGTCAGTGGCTTAACCAAATTATACTGAACTTTAAAAATGTATGCCTAATTCAACTTTGTAAGCTCCCTCAATAAAGGCATAAAAATCATACTGAAGAAAAATGTACAACTGCACGTATGGGATGAATAATGTGGTATGAGCAACAGTTTGGTCAACATGTTCGCAGATATGAGGTTGAGAACTTGGAGAATGCTCTTCCCAGGAGAAACTCCTACACCTTGTACTGCTGGCTCCAAGAGGATGATCAGCATATATCTAACCAGCGTTGTCACACTGCCCTTGGGAGACACTGGAAACTCCACAGAAACCAGAAGGTCAGAAGCACTTATCCCTCCGGCTGTCCTGATTCTCTCTCAGCATACTGGGACATGCAGGCTACTCTACTCAGTGGCTTCAAGAGGCACCTCTATGTAGCAGAATGATACTGTGACAGATTAATTAATGTTCTCTTTCAAGAATGTTCTGTCACCAAGGAAACCTCTTCCATGGGAGAGTCCACCAAAAGTTGTCCATCGCCTATTGGTGGGTTATCACAGCAGAAAGAGAGGAAATTTCAGACTCTAGGAATGTGTACTTTTCTTTTTCTTTTTTTTTTTTTCGAGATGGAGTTTTGCTCTTGTTGCCCAGGCTGGAGTGCAATGGCGTGATCTCGGCTCACCACAACCTCTGCCTCTCGGGTTCAAGCAACTCTCCTGCCTCAGCCTCCCGAGCAGCTGGTATTACAGGCATGCGCCAACACACCCGGCTAATTTTTGTATTTTTAGTAGAGACGGGGTTTTTCCATGTTAGTCAGGCTGGTCTCGAACTCCCGACCTCAGGTGATCTGCCCACCTCGGCCTCCCAAAGTGCTGGGATTATAGGCGTGAGGCACCACGCCCATCCGGAATGTGTATTTCAAAAGCAACTTTCAGAGGCAAATCTTAGAAGAATATGGAATCAGGAAGACTAAGGTCTCCCTAAGTTCCCGGATAGAGTAGAAAGCTAGAAAAGGGAGAGAAATAAAAGGTACGGGAGTAAAATAAAAGGGTCGGATTTTGTAGGATTCTAAGGAAGAGGCAGTGTGCTCTGTCCACAGGCTGCAAGGTGAGAACCTAAAAGAATGAGATATATTCCCATTTTGGAATGGCAATCAAAAAGAGGATCTCTCTGTCAAGTCTTTACATTAATGCTGAGTAACAATCTCAAAAGCCTGCCCATTCCCCTTTAGACACATGTGGCAAAAGCAGAACTGAAGGAATGGCCAAGGGGCTTGAACAAGTAGAGAGACCGACAGTCTTTCAAATTTCAGGGAACCCCAGATACATTTTGGGGGAGCCACTGTTTTCCCATTTTCCTGAAAAGTTCTTGCAGGTATAAGAAATAGGAATAGAAATTGAATAGGTTCTGGAGCCAGGGCTACAAAGGCCCCAGCTCTGATCTGTATAGACTGAAAACCACACATCAGATGAAATTATATACACTAAAAGAGAGTCCTTAAAAACAGCCATTTCGGTCCCTCTCAAAACCAAGAGACCAAAATGGTCAGAGGGGCCAAACAGTATTGTAGGTCATGATAGCACCTTTGCTTTTGTGTCTGTATGAGTTGGGGCATCACGGGAGAGTGGGAGTTCAACCTTTTACACATTTGAATAACAGTATGTTGGGGGACAGTAGGAGCGGGTGTGGACCTTGCTTTGAGAGCTCATAAGAAATAAACTTTTGTTTTCCCACTGATCTTTCCCATTTGCAGAGTTTCCCAAACAATACTCAATGGAGTAGCTTACTCTGTGGCCATCTGAGCGCTTATTTGTGCTCACATTCCGACCTACCTGATTTTTTCCCTATTTTCACTTCACTTTCCATAGTCTAGGACTCTTTCCTGTGCTCCAAAATGAACACAATATTCAGCTCAGGAAAGATTTCAACTTATAAAGAAAAAAAGGAACATGGTATGCTGTGCTTTTCCTGGATACATTCCCAGCCCTTTGTTCAGCTACGAAGAGAGGACATTACACATGGGTCTGCAAAACTATTTCCCAAAACAATTTCATAAATTAGTCAACGGACTGCCTTCTTCTGAATGCTTAGGGATTATTTTAAATATGCAGACTCTGAAAAAACTACTGAATCAAAGGCACAGGGATAAAACCATGATACCAGACACTTTAAAACGTTTTCCATAAGGTTTTGTAAGTACTGATATTCTGGAACCACCACTCGTCAAACCTGATTATGCGCAGAACTTCTGAAGAAAGGGGAAGTTTAAAGTCTATATGCTACATTATGAAGCCTTTCCACTCTCAATCAAAAAGTTTCAATCTCCCCTTTTAGAACAGGGATCGGATTCAGACAAGCACATCAGGGCCTCCCAAGAGACTCACAAGGAAAAATGTAAAGATGTACAAGGGTGGTTACCATCTTCTGGAGGGATGTTATCCTCATCGAGAGAAAGCAGGTTCCTGTAGTTCTCCAACATCACGTCCCTGTACAAGGCCCTCTGGGCAGGGTCCAGGCACTCCCACTCCTCTTGAGAGAATTCTATGGCCACATCCTTGAATGTAAACAGTCCCTGAAATAAAAACACACTTCACCAAGTGGACACAGGAAAATTTCTTATTTTCACACAAAATGGCAGAAAAGAGGTGTACATATTCACTGATTTATGTGAGTTAATGCAAGCAACTTATATATCCCTAATTTTATTTTTTTTAAACTGAGATGAAATTACATAACATAAAATTAGCTATTTGAGGCTGGGTGCAGTGGCTCACACCTGTAATTTCAGCACCTTGAGAGGCTGAGGTGGGAGGACTGCTTGAGCTCAGGAGTTTGAAACAGTCTGGACAACGAAGTGAGACTCCACCTCTACTAAAAAATTTAAAAAATTAGCTGGGCACACTGGAATGGGCCTGTAGTCCCAGCTACTCAGAAGGCTGAGGTGGGAGGATCACTTGCACCTGGGAGGTGGAGACTGCAGTGGGCAGTGATCATGTCACTGCACCCCAGTCAGGGAGACAGAGCAAGACTTCACCTCAAAATAAAACAAATAAATTAGCCATTTTAAAGTACAATTCAGTGGCATTTAGTACATTCACAAAGTTATACACCACCACCTCTGTCTAGTTCAAAAACATTTTTATCAACTCCAAAAGAAATGCCGTACCCATTAAGCAGTCACTCCCCATGTGACTTTAACATGAAATAAGCTTACCCAAATAGGTAAGTGACTTGCATGCTGCAAACTATGAAATACTAATGAAGGAAATTAAAGCAGACAAAACAAATAAATGGAAAGATATCCTATGTTCAAGAACTTAGAAAATTAATACTATGAAAATGTCCATATTATCCAAAGCAATCTACAGTCAATGCAATCCCTATCAAAATCACAGTGACACTTTTTACAAAAATATAAGAAATAATCCTAAAATTCATATAGAACTATAAAGACCCAAAAGAGCCACAGCAATTTTGAGCAAGAATATCAAAGCTGGAGTATCACACTTCCTGATTTCAAAGTATATTACAAAGGTATGGTAATCAAAACAGTATGGTACTGGCATAAAATAGACACACAAAACAAAAGTACTAGAATACAAAGCCCAGAAATAAACTCACACATATACAATCAACTGATATTTGACAAGTGTGTCAAGAATACATAATGGAGAAAAGATGCTGTCTTCAGTAAATAGTGCTGGGAAATCTGTACACCCAAATGCAAAAGAATGAAACTGGATGCTTATCTTATGCCACAAATAAAAATAAACTCAAAACTGACTAAAGACTCAAGGTAAATTTACTCAATTTACCTTGCGTCTTTAGTTTTACCTGAAATTGTAAAACTCCTAGAAGAAAACATAGGGAAAATGTTCTTGACATTATCTTGGCAATGATTTCTTGGATATAACACCAAAAGCACAGGCAAGAAAAGGAAAAATAGACCAGTGGGACTACATCAAACCAAAACACTTGTGCATACCAAAAGAAACAACCAACAGAACAAAAAGGCAACTTATGGAATGGGAAAATATTTGCAAACTATATATCTGAAAAGGGGTTAATATCCAAAAAATATAAGTAACTCCTACAACTCAAGAGCCAAAAAAACTAATTACCCAATAAAAAATGGGCAAAAGAGCTGAACAGACATTTTTTCCAAAGAGAATATAAAAATGGCCATTAGGTACATGAAAAGGTGCTCAATATCACTAATCACCAGGAAAACGCAAATCAACAACATAATATGATCTCACATCTATTAGGATGACCACTAAAGAAAAAAAAGGACAAGCAATGTCTAGGATGTGGAGAAAAGGGAACTGTTGTACAATGTTGGTCAGAATATGAATTAGTGCAGCCACTATGGAAACAGTACGGAGGTTCCTCAAAAATTAAAAATAGGCCGGGCGCAGTGGCTCACACCTGTAATCCCAGCACTTTGGGAGGCCGAGGTGGGCAGATCATGAGATCAGAAGTTCAAGACCAGCCTGGCCAACATGGTGAAACCTCATCTCTATTAAAAACATAAAAATTAGCCAGACGTGGTGGTGGGCGCCTGTAATCCCAGCTACTCAGGAGGCTGAGACAGGGGAATTGTTTGAACCGGGGAGGCAGCAGTTGCAGTGAGCCAAGATTGTGCCACTGCATTCCAGCCTGGGCAACAGAGGAAGACTCCATCTCAGGAAAAAATAAAAATAAAATGACCGGCTGGGTGCAGTGGCTCACGCCTGTAATCCCAGCACTTCAGAAGGCCAAGGCGGATGGATCACACGGTCAGGAGATTGAGACCATCCTGGCTAACATGGTGAAACCCCGTCTCTACTAAAAACACAAAAAATTAGCCAGGCATGGTGGCGGGCGCCTGTAGTCCTAGCTACTTGGGAGGCTGAGGCAGGAGAATGGCGGGAACCCAGGAGGCGGAGCTTGCAGTGAGCCAAGATCGCGCCACTGCACTCCAGCCTGGGTGACAGAGCGAGACTCCGTCCCAAAAAAAAAGCGACCATGATCTAGTAATTCCACTTCTGGGTATATATCCAAAAGAATTAAAATCAGGATCTTGAAGAGAGATAGGTACTTCCATATCTATTGCAGCTTTATTCTTAATAGCCAAGTCATGGCTAAATATCCATCAAGGAATGACTGAATAAAGAAAATGTACACACACACACACACACACACACACACACACACACACACACACTCACACACACGAATATTATTCAGCCTTTAAAAAGAAGGAAATCCTATTTGCTATAGACTACCTGAATGAAAATGGAGTATGTTATGTAAGTGAAATAGGCCACACAGAGAACAAATACATGACTCCACTTATATGAGGAACTGAAAACAGTAAAACTCATAGAAACAGAGAATAGAATGGTGGTTGCTAGGTGCTGAGTGGGGAAATGGTGAGGTAGTAATCAGTTTCAGTTACACAAGATGAAAAAGTCTTAGAGATCTCCTGAATAACACAGTGCTTATAGTTAATCCTGTATTGTATACTTAAAAATTTGTTAAGACAGTAGTTCTTAGGTTGTATTCTTATAAAAATATGAAATAATAAAGACAGCAAGAAAAAAACTTTCTGAGGCAATGGATATGTTTATGACAGATTGTAGTGGTGGTGTCAGAGGTATATACTGATCTCCAAACTCATCAAATTGTATACATTACATATGTATAGGTTTTTATGTCAATCATACCTCAATAAGGAAGTTAAAATTCATTTAAAACTGAATTTTTCAGTTTTCCTTTTATTGATTTCCAGTTTCACTCGATTGTGGTGTGAGAATAGTTTTATAAGTTGTAGCTTTTTAAAATGTATTGAGACTTGTTCTGTGGCCTGACATGTGGTCCATCCTGGAGAATATGCTATGTGCACTAGACAAGAGTGCAGATTCCGTTTTTGCTGGGTGCAGTTTTCTTTCCGTGCTTGTTTGGTGTAGTTTACAGCAGCAGTGTCCAACCTTTTGGCTTCCCTGGGCCACACTGGAAGAGGAAGAATTGTTTTGGGCCACACATAAAATACACTAACACTAATGACAGCTGATGACCTTAAAAAAAAAAAAATCACAAAAAAATCTCATGTTTTAAGAAAGTTTAAAAATTTGTGTTGTGTCACATTCAAAGCCATCCTGAGCCACATGCAGTCTGTGGTCCGTGGGTTAGATAATCTTGGTTTAAAGTGTTGCTCAAGCCCTTTATTTCCTTACTAATCTTCTGTCTGGCTGTTCTATCCATTATTAAACAGAGAGCATAGAATTCTCCAACTATTATAGCAGGACTGTATCTCCTTGTAATTTTTGTTCCAAAATATTTGGGGTGTTGATATTTGATCCATATTTTTTATAGCAGTTACATGTTCTTGATGGATTAACCCCAATATTTACTGTCCTTCAACATCTCTGGTATCAATTTTTGACTTAAAGTTTATTTGGTCTGCTATCTATGTAGCTATCCAGCTAGGTTTAATATTTGCATGAAATACCTTTTTACATCCTTTTATTATACTTTCCAGGCTATTTGTGTTTAGCTCTAAAGGAAGTCTTTTATAAACATTATATAGTGAAATCATAGTTTTAAAAAATTATTCCTCCAATAAGTGCCTTTTAAAGGAGAATTTAATCCACTTATATTTAAAGTAACTACTGATAAAAGAACCACTTTTACCATTTTGCTACTTGTTTTTCACATGCCTATCTTTTTTGTTTTGTAATTATTCCCTTACTTGCTTCTTTGTGTGTATAAGTTTGTGTGTGTATATCATTTCGGTTCCCTTCTTTACATTTTTGTTATTTTCTTAACGGTTGCCCTGGGAATTAAAATTTCCATCAGAAGCTGATAATAATTAAGTTTCAATCGATGCTAAGTTGGCTTCAATTGCATAACAACTTCTGTTTCTATATAGCTCTGGCTGGTTCTCTTTATAATGTCAAAAATTACTTCTCTATGCATTTTATAGCCAGTAACAGATTTACAATTACTGTTTTATACATTTTTAAATCATATAGAAAAAAAGTTTTTAAAAAACCAGTAATATTGGCTTTTGTATTTGTACCTACGTAGGTGTTTTACCTGTATTAATTTGTTTTTATGGCTTTAAGGTACTGCTGGTGTCCTTTTACTTCAGCCTAAAAGACTTTGCTTAACATTTCATGCAGGGTAAGTCCACTAATGCAAACTCCCTCAGCTCTTGTTTATCTGGGGATCTCAATTTCACTGTCAATTCTGAAGGATAATTTGCCTGATACTGAATTCCTGCTGGATAGTTCTTTCGTTTCAAACTTTGAATATGTCATTCCACTAATGTCTAGCCTCCATAGTTTCTGATGAGAATTTGGCTCTTAATCTTTTTGAGGGTCACTGTACATGACAAATTATTTCTATGTTGCTACTATCATGATTCTCTTTTCCTTCCACAGTTTGATTATGTGTCTTGCTGTGGATCTCTATAAGTTTATCACAATTAAAGTTCACTGAGTTTCCTAGGTATACAGATTCATGTTCTTTATATATTTGGGAGGTTTCAGTTCTTATTTCTTCAAATATTCTTTCTGCCTTTTGCTTTCTCCTTTTCTTGGAAAATTCTTATTAAGCATACATACATATGCTTCATGGTGTCCCAAAGCTTTCTTATATTGTATTTTTCTTCCCTTTCTTCTGCTCAGATTAAATAATTTCAATTAACCTAAAGTTTAGGTTAGCTGATTCTGTATTCTGTCACTCTACTCTTGAAACTTTATAGTTGAAATTTTCACGTTATACTTTTCAGCTCCAAAACTTCTATTTCACTTCTTTTTAATAATTTCTATGTTTTTACTGATATTCGTTGAAACACTGTTGTCCTACTTTCCTTTAGTTCTTTGTCCACCGTTTACTTCAGCTCTCTAAGCATGGTTAAGATAGTTGATTTAAAGTATTTTTTAGTAAGTGTAATGTCTGAGCTTCCTCAGAAGCATCATTAAGCCAGTAATCATGCTTCAAATTGCCCAACCTGGAGGAATCCTCACACAGCTGTAGTACAGTTGGCCTGCTCAGAGGCAGCCAATGCGGATTCTTTGTAATGGAGAAAAACTGTAAACAACCAATGTGTCTTCAGTAAGAGAATGCTCCAATGAGAAAGTAAAAACTCAAGCTGTCTCTGTTTACCAGCAAAAAACCAAAACAAAGACATACAGTATACAAATATACAATTTTGCAAAACAGAATATCACAACAAAATATTCACTAAACATTTTCTAAAATTAAATTATGATTTTTACGACTTCTCTTCCATTGAAAAGAATGATCAGTAGTTCCTGATGGAGATAGTGGGTGATGGTGGACTGGACAACATAATGTTTTACTTTTTAGTCCCTAAGCATCACTGCATGACATTTTATCATAAAAAATATATATATCATGTGATGTTTACTACAAAAGAAATGTAGTATTTAACAAGTAGTGTAATCAGAATTTGGCTCCTGCCTCTCTGATGACAGAAAGTTCTGCTCACAGGTCTTAGCTATATTATAGCCATCTTTTGGCTATTATTTTTTAATTATTATTATTATTTTTTTGAGATGGAGTTTTGCTCTTGTTGCTCAGGCTGGAGTGCAACGGCACAATCTTAGTTCACTGCAACCTCTGCCTCCCGGGTTCAAGCGATTCTCCTGCCTCAGCCTCTCGAGTAGCTGGGATTACAGGCACGTGCCACCATGCCCAGCTAATTTTGTATTTTTAGTAGAGACGGGATTTCACCATGTTGGTCAGGCTGGTCTCGAACTCCTGACCTCAGGTGATCCACCCGTCTCAGCCTCCCAAAGTGCTGGGATTACAGGTGTGAGCCACTGCACCCAGCCCCTTTTAGCTATTATTAAAAAGTCAAAAAAATAACAGATGCTGGTGAGGTTGTGGAGAAAAAGGAACACTTACACACCATTGGTGGAAGTGTAAATTAGTTCAACCATCCTGGAAGACAGTGTGGTGATTCCTCAAAGATCGAAAAACAGAATTACCATTCAACCCAGCAATCCCATCATGCGTGCATGAACATACACATACGTGCATATGTTCACTGCAGCACTAGTCACAATAGCGAAGACATGGAATCAACCTAAATGCCCACCAATGGTGGACTGAATAAAGAAAATGTGGTACACATACACCACGGAATACTATGTAGCCATAAAAAAAGAGATCATGTCCTCTGCAGGGACATGGACAGAGCTTGAGCCCACTATCTTTAGCAAACTAACACAGGAACAGAAAACTAAATGCTGCATGTTCTCACAAGTGGGAGCTAAATTATGAGAACACATGGACACATAGAGGGAAACAACACACACTGGAGCCTATCAGGGATGGAGGGTGGGAGGAGGGAGAGGATCAGGAAAAATAACTAATGGGTACGAGGTTTAATATCTGGATGATGAAATAATCTGTCCAACAAACTCCCATGACACAAGTTTAGCTATATAACAAACCTACCCCTGGACTAAAATTAAGAAAAATAATAAATTACAGACATTTTTATCTAAACACCCACTGCATGAGAATTCCCAAATGAACAGGAGAGTCTTCATGAGATGGATGCACTGTGAAGAATTTAAAGAACCTCCTGCTGTTAAGACAACTATGTTGATTTAATATTTTAAAACCAATTATGAAAAAAGACTACCTTCTCCATCCCCAATGTCTACTTCTGAACTTCCCATTCTATTTCAAATTAATATTTTAGAGCCAGAAACACACTGATTCAATTGTTTAGCTACAAATGTATTATAAACTCAAGCTAAGCAAGTTTCCCCCAACAGTCTTCTTTTTCAAAGTTTTCCAGGTATTTGTGCACATTAATATATCACTTCCATATGCAGCTTCTTTAATCCTGGTTTATAAAGAGATGAAAGGGTATCCAAATGAAGTCTCTAAACAGTCACTACCACCCAACCTCACTGACACCATGGAGCCTGCCCCCCATACCCAATCCATGCCTAGGCATAAAACCCTTTCCAGAACAATCATCTAAACGGAGCCTTTTCCAAAGTTCCGTGTTACCGGGTCACAGTGAGATGGAATCTATGTGGAGATGGAATTGAGGGAAAGCCCTGGGTGTGAATATACATATTAGTCAGGACACTTCAGAGTCAGATAAAATTAGCAAGTCCAAAATATGGCATTTCAGGAAGGAGAGGACAAAACAGTGAACCAAGAATATAACTTTTACCTGAGAAAGAGCCATTCCCTCCTCTTCTTTCTTTCCTCTTCCTCTGAGTTTCTTTCTCAGGTAAGTCAGTCTGTATGTCAAAAATATGTTGTTTAATGCTTAAAATCAACACACCCCCTGCCTCTACCACACACACACAGGAAGAGGCTTGATATAGAAAAAAGATGGTCCTTAGCTTCCAATTGCAACAAGAGTGAAAATAAACTCATGAAAAAAATTAACTCCTAAACAGAGACTAAGGAGTTATTCCACCTATGTCTTCAAAAAGTTCTCCCTTCTTGCTGAAACCCACACATTCTGCATCAATTGCATTGTCCTTTGTCCACCTGACACTCAGCCAAGAAAAACTGTTGTGTCCAAGTTCATGGCCAGTATCCAATGACTGTCAGTCAATGCAGGATATAAAAGCCTAAAATTGGAACAGGTGAAGAGCCACCATAGCTCCACGAATCCCTGCTGTAGCCATACTAAGTAGTTTAGACTTTTGTCCCACAGGCAGGGGGAAAGCATAAAAAGATATAACGCCAGGAGATGACATAATAAAACTTAAGACTTACTTCTGATGTAGAGATAGGGAGAAAGAATAAAAAGCTGAGAGAGAAGCAGCTCTCCTATCTCTAACCCTATGCCCCGACCCCTTTCCTAGTAGTTTCCATCATTTTTGGAGGTCTCAGAGTCATTTAAGACTAACTGTAACTGGGCACCCTCTCTCAAAAAATTGCCACATGCAGACACATGCTCAATCCTGAAAATCATTTCAGGGATCCCATCGGCTCAGATTCAGAATTTCTGGTATACCCATCATCTCCACGTTACAGGTGGGCACACTGAGCCTCAGAGAGAGGAGATATTTCACCAAGTTACCTGGAAAAGGTCTGAGTTGAGTGAGCAGAACTCAGTTGTAAATGAATGTTGAAATGGTGGCCTGGATAGGGCAGTAGCAAAGGTTTGTCCTTATTTCCAGATCACCATTCACATTCCTGAGTAGAAACTTCTATTTCATGGGTTTAATTGATCCCAAGGATTTAACTCTTTTCCAGAAAAATATTCAAAAATATGAAATTACAAATAGCTATTACTCTTGGAAAGCATGAAAGGGGGTCAGCTGTGGAGATTAGTGCTGAGTAATCTCTTCATTATGAACAGACGGGCTCTGTTGGAACAAAATTCCACACCAATCCAGGCCATTCTTCAACATCTTGCAGAGAAAGGACAAAGGGGACCTGGAGGAACATCTACTTAGTGGGAGGCTTTTAGATGACATAAGGGAGTAAAGAAACTGAATACAGCTGAGCCTTGAGCAACACCAGTAGTGATGGGGTGCTAATCGCACCCCACCTCCAGTCAAAAATCCAGGTATAACTTTTGATTTCCCAAAAACTTAACTACTGATAACCCATTGTTGACCAGAAGTCTACTGAAAACATAAACAGTTGATTAACACATATTTTGTATGTTACATGTATTATATACTGTATTCTTATAAAAAAGTAAGCTAGAGAAAAGATAATGTGATTAAGAAAATCATAAAGAAGGGAAAATATATTTACCATTCATTAAGAAGAAGTGGATCATCACAGTTCATCTTCCTCGCATCCTCCCCGAGGTCATATTGTGTGGGCTGCAGTGGAAAAGGAAGAGAAGAGGTTCATTTTGCTGTGTCAGGAGTGGCAGGGGTAGAAGAAAATCCCCTGTATAGTTGTACCTGCTTAGCTCAAACTGGTGTTGTTCAAGGTCAACTGTATTAAACTAACTGGTTAAACCAGATTTTAAGTGGTAAAAGATTATCAACACCTTAGAGTGAAACACTGTGAAATCAAGTACCAGACATAAAAGAATAGTTCCAATATATGATAAAAAGTAGAAAGCATTTAGGCCAGGCGCGGTGGCTCACGCCTGTAATCCCAGTGCTTTGAGAGGCGGAGACAGATCACCTGAGGTCAGGAGTTCGAGACCAGCCTGGCTAACAAGGTGAAAATCCCGTCTCTGCTAAAAATACAAATTCACCGGGCATGGTGGCGCATGCCTTTAATCCCAGCCACTCGGGAGGCTAAGGCAGGAGAATCGCTTGAACCCTGGAGGCGGAGGTTGCAGTGAGCCGAGATCAAGCCACTGCACTCCAGCCTGGGTGACAGAGTGAGACTCCGTCTCAAAAAAATAAATAAATAAATAAAAGAAAGCAAAAGAAAGCATTTAAACCTCATAAGCTGAACAATACATTTAAGAGAAAATACTTTGAAAATTTTTTTTAAATCCAATAAATTATGGAATTACATTTAAGACAAGTTGAATACACGTCAAATTTAGAAAATGACACAAGCCACACACAAAAAAGGAGGGAATAATATTGTTAATGTCTGTTTGCAAAAGCAGCATACGGTGTCACAGTTTCTTCCCATTTCTTGACTCTCCTCAAGATCAGAGAAAGGGAAGAGGGTGAGCTGGAATTAACTGAGCTAAGTCAGTTAACCCTCTGGCTGAATAAGGGTTGCTTCTGATGTAATAATTAGAAAACGCAGAAGCCTCACACCGTAGTTTTGCAATTTTCATGCTCTTCTGCACAAACAATGAAGCAAATTTTAAATTAATTATAGAGCCATACATCAGTACTTCACAACTTAATGTTCCATATTAAATCAATCCACACTCACATGGATTTGGGTGCCCCCCCCTTTCTCCACCATTATGTGATTTTTTTCCCCCTCTCTATAAATGTTTCTCTTCCACCTTCTGTTTCTTTCCTTTTCTTTTTCCCATTTCGGCGTTTTCCTGTCCCTTTCTGCTCATTTGGCTTCCCTTCCTCTCCTTCTCTGACAGAGTGTTTGGCCCCATCCTGGTAGCATCCTTTTTTTCAGTCCCTGCTATTGTTTCTGATGGCTCTCTAATTTCGCGCATTTCTCCCTCTTTATCCTCCATTTCTGCTTCCCCTCTGTTCTCCCTGGAGAAGGGCGAAGGGTGTGTATCCACCCCGAGTGAGGGCTTTACCAGGGGGAGGGAAGAGGGAGTCAGAGAAGAGTTTTAAGCAGAGAAACGACGCGGTGGGCGGTCGGTGTCCACACTGACCTAAAGCAAAAAGGTCGGGGCCAGTACCCACTTCAGAACGATTTTAATCCGAAATGGACGCAGATCTCTAGACCCTCTCGGAGCGACGGGACTGGGAACGTCTTAGGGCCACGCCGCGAGAGGAATGAGCAGGTTCGGGGTTTTAACCTACAGGGCGACCCCAAAACCCGACAGCGGAGCGTGGGAACCTGTGGCCCGCGAGGCGCAGGCTTGAACCCGAAAGACGGAGACTCACCCGAGAGCGCCAGTAGCCCCGCGAGATCCGCTTCCGGGTCGGCAGGAACCTGCGCGTACGCGAGTGCACTGGGGCGGCGCAAGGGGCAAGGGCAGGGGCAGGGCGCGGACAACTGTGGGGATGGGCGGGCAAATGGCGGGGATGGGCGGGGACAATGGCGGGATGGGCGGGGACAATGGCGGGATGGGCGGGGCCTAGGGGTCGGACTGCCGGACCTCTCCTCGGCGCGTCCCAGCGACTTTTTTAGGCCTGTTTGTCGCCCAGCAGTACTCGATTCTTCACTTTTGGATTCCCTTGAATCTCTATGGTGTCCTTTGGAGCCTAGCTAAGTAAAAAATTAGAGACCTGTGGGCCCCTTATATTGGAATCGGAGCTTAAGATGGGAAAGGTTTGCTTGAAAACGTTTCTGCGAGCGATGGAGGCGCGTCCTGCGACGAGGCGGGAGGAGCGCTGGGACCTGGTGGATGGGAGAGGGCGACGGTATAAGGAAGCTCTTGGATCCAGGAACTTCTGAAATCCGGACGATTAAAATTTGTATTTAATTAAGCGAAAGCTGGAGTTGTCTGCGTAGGTGATGGAAACTGGAATGAGATGCATTTTTGTGCCTGTGCGGAGTGTACAATTTTATATTGACTTTCACTGGAACGTAATTTTTATTTCCGCTCCCCAGTCACCCAGGAGGCAGAGATGCACCATGGGCTGAGTTCCAGAGAATTTATGGGGTCAGACCCTGGGCGGTGGGGGGTGGAAGGCTGAGGCTTGGCTTTAAAAGAACGCAAAGTTCTGCTTGTATCGATCTAAATTTATTTTCCTTTATTATCCTAATGCACATTTCTTGAGATAAATTACAAATCCAAGTGCTGGATTTATTGGAGTTGGTATGTTGTGTTTTGTCTAAGTTATTAATTACTAATATACTATCGTTATTATTATTTTTATTATTATTTTGAGATGGAGTCTCTGTTTCCCAGGCTGGATTGTAATGGCGCGATCTCGGCTCACGGCAACCTACGCCTCCTGGGTCAAGCGATTTTCCTGCCTCAGCCTCCCGAGTACCTGGGACTACAGGCGTGTGCCACCATGCCTGGCTAATTTTTGCATTTTTAGTAGAGACGGGGTTTCACCACGTTAGCCAGGTTGGTCTGGGACCCCTGAGCTCATGTGATCCGCCCACCTGGGCCTCATGAAGTGCTGGGGTTATAGGCGTGAGCCACCGCTCCTGGCCTTTAGTCTGTAAAGTCTTTATTCTCAGTTATTTGGAAGAGTATTTTTAACATAATATGTGCTTGGCAATTCTCCTGGCCAACTGAATTGATTTCTCTTGGGCCCAGAGAGGAAACTTATTGACTGGAGGCTCCCCAAGAGAAGATGAGCCCATATGGGGGTATCTGAGTAAACCAAGGTCTATCCACTGTCTCTTTGGGTCTCTGTTTTCGTAACTGGGAATTACATCTGATAACAGGTGAAGGGTGAAAAAAAAATGAGAGTGCATTTTAGCATAAAAATACATATATGTTATTTACATATAAACATACACATATAAAAATTCTATTTATTTTACATATAAAAATACATATATGTATTTAAATTTTTTTTTTTTGAGACGGAGTCTCACCCGTACAGACGGGGTTTCACCGTATTAGCTACGATGTCTCGATCTTTTGACCTTGTGACCCACCCATCTTGGCCTCCCAAAGTGCTGGGATTACAGGTGTGAGCCACAGCGCCCAGCCTCTTTCTCTTTTCAATGTATTAAATGCACAAGATTCCATACTTTCAAATTCCATTTTGCAGAATTATTATATTTTCATAGGTTTCCCAAATCAAATATTAATTCAAGTTTCAGTTAGTTGTTTTAAAATAATAAATATATAGTTACATAATCTTTAAAATGATTCGTTTTCTAGCCTAAAATGCTTTATCACCTTTTATGTTTCATGTCTCATATTTTAGTGCACACTCTACCTAATGTTGTACATTAATTTCCGTGATGGGTGCCGTAGTATTTTTAGTCTTTGCAGACAGTGAAATGAGTGTTTCTGCTGGTATCTTAACATCTACTCACATTAAATACATTGGGTCATATGAAATTATTTAGTGCCTATTATAACTTATCAAGACCTATGAATATTCACTCATAAGTTATATTGATATGTAGAATAAATACTTTGACAAAAATAGGAAATTATCAAACCAAATTTATAAAGTGAACATGACAAATATTTATACATATGTAGGTGTGCGTGTATGTATGTGTGTGTGTATATGTATATATATGTGTGTATAGATATATAAAGGACACAACTAGGCAACTATTATAGCGTAGTAGTGAACACCAATGTTACTGCAACCAGGCTACTCACGTTCAAATCTTCACTCTTCTGGTATTTAAATGAGTCACCTAATCTCCTTGTGCTTAAACTCTTTTAGAGTTGGTGAAAGGAGAATAATATGAATTCCTACCTCATGGAGTTGTGAATATTAAATGTCAGAATAGGTACAGCATTTATAAAAGTCACTCATACATTGTAGGTGCTGTAAAAAGAAATACACGAAATGGGAAATTTGTTAACAATATATCTCTCTATATATTTCACTTTTAATATTCAGGGGGAAGAAATCGTCATAAGTGAAAGGTTATTTTCCATGAAAATGTGGCCCACAACTCGTGTTGCCATGCAGAACCTTCTGCTTACTCAATATTGAGTGCTGGAAAATGACAGAATGGCCTCTGTGGACCTGAAAATTGGAATGATCTTCCTATTTGTGGGCAGCAAGCCACCCAGCTGCCGAGGCAAGAGACCGAGGGCACGAGCTGTTCCAGCATAATAAAATATATAAAACAACAAGAGTTATATTAGATCTAGATCATAGACATGATTATATATGAATATCATTAATCATTAGTTGGTAGCAATTACTCTTATTCCAATATTATAATAATCCTCGCTCTATAATCATAACCTAGGAAAAGCCAGGCCATACAGAGATAGGAGCTGAGGAGACATAGTGAAAAGTGACCAGAAGACAAGAGCGCGAGCCTTCTGTTACGCCCAGACAGGGCCACCAGAGGGCTCCTTGGTCTAGGGGTAACGCCAGCGTGTGGGAAGACGCCCGTTGCCAAGTGGACCGTGGTCTAGCGGTAGCGTTAGTGTCAGGGAAAAACACCCGCTATTTAGCAGACCGGGAAAGGGAGTCTCCCTTTCCCTGGGGGAGTTTAGAGAAGACTCTACTCCTCCACCTCTTGTGGAGGGCCTGACTCAGTACCACCTGCAGTTATCCAGAGGCCTGTCTCCCTGTGATGCTGTGCTTCAGTGGTCACGCTCCTGGTCTGCCTTCATGTTCCATCTTGTACACCTGGCTCTGCCTTCTAGATAGCAGTAGTAAAATTAGTGAAAGTACTAAAAGTCTCTGATATGCAAAAATAATGGCATAAGCTGTCTCTCTCTCTCCCTCTCTCTCTCTCTGCCTTGGCTGCCAGGCAGGGAAGGGCCCCCTGTCCAGTGGACACGTGACCCACGTGACCTTACCTATCATTGGAGATGACTCACACTCTTTACCCTACCCCTTTTGCTTTGTATCCAATAAATATCAGCGCAGCCTGGCATTTGGGGCCACTACCAGTCTCCTGCTTTGTATCCAATAAATATCAGTGCAGCCTGGCATTCGGGGCCACTACCGGTCTCCGCGTCTTGGTGGTAGTGGTCCCCCAGACACAGCTGTCTTTTCTTTCATCTCTTTGTCTTGTGTCTTTATTTCTACACTCTCTTGTCTCTGCACACGGAGAGAAACCCACCAAACCTGTGGGGCTGGACCCTACACTATTCCAGGTAGTTGTTGGAATCCTGGGGAATTTTTCACTCTTATATTATTATATGTTCCTTTACTTTAGGGGATACAAGCCAAGATCCACAGATTTGATTCTCAGGCACCTGACTGTAGCTGACTCCTTGGTTATCCTATCTAAAAGAATCCCAGAGACCATGGCAACTTTTGGGTTGAAACATTTTGACAATTATTTTGGATGCAAATTTCTTTTGTATGCACACAGGGTAGGCAGGGGTGTGTCCATTGGAAGCACCTGCCTCTTGAGTGTCTTCCAGGTGATCACCATCAACCCTAGGAACTCCAGGTGGGCAGAGATGAAAGTAAAAGCCCCGACATACATTGGTCTCTCCAATATCCTGTGCTGGGCCTTCCACATGCTGGTAAATGCCATTTTTCCTATTTATACAACTGGCAAATGGAGCAACAACAACATCACAAAGAAAGGAGATTTGGGATATTGTTCTGCCCCACTTAGTGATGAAGTCACAAAGTCAGTATATGCAGCATTGACATCCTTCCATGATGTTTTGTGTCTGGGGCTCATGCTCTGGGCCAGCAGCTCCATCGTTTTGGTCTTGTACAGGCACAAACAGCAGGTACAACACATCTGTAGGAACAATCTCTACCCCAACTCTTCTCCTGGGAACAGAGCCATCCAAAGCATCCTTGCATTGGTGAGCACCTTTGCATTATGTTACGCCCTTTCCTTCATCACCTACGTTTATTTAGCTCTCTTCGATAATTCCAGTTGGTGGCTAGTGAACACTGCTGCACTAATCATTGCCTGTTTTCCAACTATTAGCCCTTTTGTTCTCATGTGCCGTGACCCCAGCAGATCCAGGCTCTGCAGTATCTGCTGCAGAAGAAATAGACGATTCTTTCATGATTTCAGGAAAATGTGAATTGGCTGTCTTGGTTTATGTTCGGCCACTGATGCACTCAGACCTCAAGGGATCTTAAGAATGATTATCAGCCAATTTCACTGCAGAGAGAGGGGTGAATAAGACAGAGACTTATCCAATGTGAAATACTAAATAATAATAGCCATAGTAAATGAAATCTTATGTAATTAACATGTGAGTACTTATATAGTTGTATTTTTTATTAATGATTGCAGTGAAGAACTTCAGATTCCATAAAATAGTCCTGAAATAATGTATAGATACTGAAAGCATCTTTAAATGTGTGATGTCCAATCTGAGATATTAAATTTTCCTAAGACGTACTAGAGCTTGGAATTGTATAAATGGGCATAGCAGTTGCCTAAATGGGCATAGCATGTGGGTGGTTGTTATGGTTTGGATATTTGACCTCTTGAAATCTCATTTTGAAATTGTGCCTTACATCCCATAAAAAAACTGTGGACATTTGAAATATGATAATGTTTATTGAGAAAGATTAGTATATTAAAATATTTCCAGGTAAACATTTGAAGAATGATCCATAAGAGACAAAAAGGAATATAGGGAGCTGTGTCAGCTCACTTTTACAAAGGGTGCAGATGGGGCCAGGCATGGTGGCTCACACCTGTAATCCCAGCACTTTGGGAGGCTCAGGTGGGCGGATCACCTGAAGTCAGGAGTTCAAGACCAGCCTGGCCAACATGGCAAAACCCTGTCTGTACTAAAATACAAAATTTAGCCTGGCATGATGGCGGGCACCTGTAAACCCAGCTATTCGCAAGGCTAAGGCAGGAGAATCACTTGAACCCAGGAGGTGGAGGTTGCAGTGAGCCAAGATCGTACCACTGCACCCCAGCCTGGGTGACAGAGTGAGACTGTCTCAAAAACAAACAAAGGGTGCACATAGGAGACAACAAGTAAATAGAGATTTGGCAGGTGGGAAAGAAATTGAATGGATTTTTGAGATATTCAAAAGGTAGATTGTTCTGGGTAAGCCTTGATAGAGCTGGCTATAGTGGCAAGAAGTAGGTTTCAGGATGGACTTTTTCATTTCCAACTTGAGACAAGTTTTTGGAATAAACTTCCTCAGCCTTGGAGCAGCAGATGAATACAATTTGGAGCCAAAATACATGAATTTGTTTTGTTTAATGCAGAACTTTTTTTTTTTTTTTTTTTTTTTTTGAGACAGAGTCTCCCTGTTACCCAGGCTGGAGTGTAGTGGCACGATCTCAGCTCGCTGAGGCAGGCAACCTTTGCTTCCTGGGTTCAAGTGATTCTCTTGCCTCAGCCTCCCGAATAGCTGGGATTATAGGTGCGCACCACCATGCCTGGCTAATTTTTGTATTTTTAGTAGAGACAGGGTTTCACCATGTTGGCCAGGCTGCTCTCAAACCCCTGACCTCAAGTGATCCGCCCGCCAAGGCCTCCCAAAGTGCTGGGATTACAGGTGTGAGCCACTGTGTCTGGCCTAATGCAGAGTTTTATATTGATTTTGAAGTCACCAAGAAAGCAAAATGAACACCTTCAAAAGAAATAAAAAGGATAAGGCCGGGCGCGGTGGCTCACACCTGTAATCCCAGCACTTTGGGAGGCCAAGCGGGTGGAGCACAAGGTCAGGAGATTGAGACCATCCTGGCTAACACGGTGAAACCCACTCTCTACTAAAAATACAAAAAATTAGCCAGGCATGGTGGCAGGCGCCTGTAGTCCCAGCTAGTGGGGAGGCTGAGACAGGAGAATGGCGTGAACCCGGGAGGCGGAGCTTGCAGTGAGTGGAGATCGCGCCA
This sequence comes from Homo sapiens, assembly GCF_000001405.40. Taxonomy (NCBI): domain Eukaryota; kingdom Metazoa; phylum Chordata; class Mammalia; order Primates; family Hominidae; genus Homo; species Homo sapiens. The sequence continues at coordinate 53,261,351 of NC_000019.10, forward strand.
CTGCACTCCAGCCTGGGCAACACAGCGAGACTCCCTCTCAAAAAATAATAAAAAGGATATTAATTCAAACATAGGAAATATTTTAATATGATCCTCTGTAAATTATAAACGGTTATAATTTTTTAAATTAAACATTTTATTGTAGAATAATTGTAGATCTGAAGAAAATTTGCAAGTATAACACAGAGAGTTCTGAAATATCCGTCACCCAGTGTCCCTCATGTAAACATGTTGCCATGAAACATTTGTCAAGACTAGGAAATGAACGTTGGTTCATTCCTCTTAACTGACTTTATTTATATTTCACCGGTTTTAACACAGTCTTTCTTCTCTTTCAGGGTCCAGTCCAGGACATCACATTACGTTTAGTCATCTTGCCTCCCCAGCCCGTTTTGCTCTGTGTTTTTGTTTTTCATGATCTTGACAACTTTGAAGAGCATTGTTTTACTTTTAGAATGTCGCTAAAATTGAATTTGTCTGTTGTTTATCTCATGGATAGACTAGTTTTATGGGTTTTGGGGAAGAAAACCACACTTGTCACATCATATACTGTCAGAAGTCTAAGGAAATTTGGATGAGTTATCTCTGGTGATGTTAATCTTGATCAGTTAGTTAAGATAGTGTTTGTCAAGTTTCTTCACTATATGGTTACTGTGTTTTCCTTTCCACACTCTAATCTTTGGAAGGGAGTTTCTAAGCCCATCACACACACTTAAAGTGAGTATGTGTGTTTGTGTGAAAGGGGCATTGAATTAACCTTCACCTGCTGGGAGGTATCCACATAGATTATTTGCCATCCTTCTGTAAGGAAGATATGTCTTTTCTCCTTCATTTATTTGTTTGTTCAATTATTTATTCATATCAACATGAACTCATTGATATTTATATTTTGTTATATAATTCAATGCTAAGGAATTAATTTTGTTACTTAAGTTTTTGCAGCTTTGGTCACTGGAAGTTGTGGAATAATAAAAAATATATATCTGGTCTTCATCCTGGTTCCTGTTACAGAGCTTCAAAATCTTTTTTTTTTTTTTTGAGGTGAAGTTTTGCTCTGTTGCCCAGGCTGGAGTGCCGTGGCGTGATCTCGGCTCACTGCAACCTCCACCTTCCGGGTTCAAGCAATTCCCCTGCCTCAGCCTCCCAAGTAGCTGGGATTACAGGTGCACAGCACCACGCCTGGCTAATTTTTGTATTTTTAGTAGAGACGGGGTTTTGCCATGTTGGCCAGCCTGGTCTTAAACTCTGGACCTCCGGCGATCCACCTGCCATGGCCTCCCGAAGTGCTGGGATTACAGGTGTGAGCCACCGCGACTGGCCTAGAGCTTCATAATCTTTTTGAATTTCCTGAATGATGAATGCCTTTGTCATATTCACGAGATGACTCGTGGCACGGGTCCCTACATAGCTTTACAATGAGGACTGGTCACCAGAAAGACCAATTATGTAATTAGAAGAACTTTCAGCCACCAGACCACTGGAAAGGGAAGAGGCTAGAGATTGAGTTCAAGCTCATGGCCGTTGAATTAATCAACCATGCCTAGGTAATTAAACTCTGATAAAAAATTCAGACATGAAAGCTTGGGGGAGCTTTCTGGCATGGGACAAACCACATAATAGAAAATAAAATTGCAAAGTAAACTAATAAAGTCTTCAAAAAAGAGGTTATCACTCAAAGTCTTCTCTTCTAGCTATCTTGAAATATACATGACATTGTGATTTGCTATAGTCATCTCACTGTGTAGTAGAAACTATTCTTCTTGGCTAATTAACTTTGTACCAATTGATGAACATCTCCCAGCAGCAGTCCCCCACCCCTTCCCTCCTGGGCCTCTGGTAACCACTATTCTACCCTCTACTTCTATGAAATCAACTTTTTTAGATTTCACATGAGTGAGATCATGCAGTATTTGTCTTTCTATGTCTGGCTTATTTCAGTAACATAATGTCCTCCAAGTTCATGCATGTTGCCACAAATGACAGGATTTTATTTTGTTTTATGGCTGAATAGTATTTCATTGTGTATATATACCACATTTCTTTATTTGTTCATCTTTGTATGAGCATTTAGGTTGATTTCATATCTGGACTATTGTGAATAGTGCTGCAATAAACATGGGACTGTAGATATCTCTTTGACATACTGATTTCATTTCCTTTGCACGTATATCCAGTAAGAAGATTGCTGGATTACATGGTAGTTCTATTTTTAATTTTTTGAAGAATCTCCAAACTGCTTTCCATAATGGCTTCACTAATTTGCATTCCTAACACTACAAAGAAATGATAAATGTTTAAAGCAATTAACATGGTAATTACCAGCATATGATTATTATACAATGTATACATGTATTGAAACATCACATAATACCCCATAAATATGTACTATTATTATGTGTCAATTACAAATTAAAAATTAGTGAAAAAAGGGGTTACCAAATGTCTAATAAACAAAGAAAATATGCTCAATTGCCTTAGTATTCAGGGAAATAAACATAAAACCGCTAACTAGTACTCAAATACACTAACCAGAAGGCTAAAATGAAAATGACAGAATATACCAAGGGTTGACCATGACGTGAATAAACTAATGATCTCACACTGCTGAGGGTTGTGAAAATTGGTGTAAACCTGTTGGAAAACTATTTGTCAGTGTCTGAAACAGCTTAACAGACACAAAATTATGTTAAGTAGAACTTAACAATTCTACTACTGTATATATACATATCTCTCTCAAATAAACTCATACGTGTGTCACCAAACCACAAGAGAGATATATATATATATATATCTCAAATAAATTCATACATGTGTCACCAAAACACAAGTTCTAGAATGTATATACCAGCATTATTCATAATAGCCCCAAACTGAAAACTACTCACATGTACATCGAGAATGGAATGATTAAGTTAATAGATATTTACACAATGGAATTCTATGCAGCAATGCTAGTGAATGATCCACAACCACCTGCAAAAATACAGACATATTCACAAACAACATATACAATACAAGATGCCAGATACAGAATAGGTTATTTTGTATGATTCCACTTACAGGAAGTGCAAAACACATCAAAGTGATCGATGCTATGAGATGTCTGAATAGTGCTGAATCCTTGGGAGTCATGACAGGAAGGAGTGCATGGGGACACCTTGGGTTCCAGGAATAGCCTGTTTTTTCATCTAGAAGATGCATAGGAGATGCGTTCAGGTTTTAAAATTTCATAGAGCTGTGCACATTTACACAGCTGGGAGATGGTACATAGGTTACAATTTAGAGAACTGGGAGATGGTAAATAGGTTAGGGTTTTAATGTGCCAATATTGCCAAGGTGAAAGTTAAAGGTCTTACATAACTTTATGATTATTTTATAGAAGTAATTTCAAAATGTAAAACGAAGATAGTGAGTACAAAACCTTCTAAACAAAAGTGCAAAATGTAGAATTGCTTTAAAAATGTTTTAAAAACACAGAAGTTAAAATAGAAAGAATAAGAAAATAGGGAAAGTGTAAAGAACACAGAATAAATTGGTAAACATAATCCTGAATATATCCATTATTACATTAAACTGAAACAGACAAATAATTTTTGTTATAGTAACATTGTTTGACTATAATTAATTGAATATTTTAGACAGATACATAAAACATTACGAAAAATATACAATAACGAAAAATACATTCTATGTAATTTTAACCAATTAAACAACTAGCATGGCTATGTAAATAACACATGAAATAGACTTCATAGTTGGTTTAACTTGTCACTATTATAATTAATATTTTTCTACATTTCTTAATGTAAACATTTCTAATATTCCTTGGTAGATAGCAAACATAATGCCACTTACTATAAACATACACACAGGTATGTTCCATCTTGCTTTGTGATCTAATGTGCAGTACATAATCCTAAGTGCCTCATACAAGTTAAAAATGTTTCCTTATTTTCGTTCATGAAGTTCAATACGTTAAGTCAAACGAATTCTTTTGTTCGATGAACTATTGAATCTTTAATACTTTGCATCAGCTTCATAATGAAAATAAAGACTCAGTATGTTAGATTGTTTCTTATAATTGGGGCATAAGCATTTTGCTCCTTTGGAAGTCTACCTGTCATAATCTCCACACGAACACAGTGGATTCATACTTTCTCCCTCAATATAGCCATTTCTCTGCTATTTCAAGTAAATTTGAAGGAAATGAATGTCTGTGCTCACTTGCTCACCTTAGAGGTAGGAAAACGCAACCCCCAAATCTCTTTCTTTCCAACATGGCCAACTGGCATCTTCACATGATAAAGAAAAAGAGTCTACCATCTACTCGTCTAGATCCTCAAATCTATGCAGTCTCACAGAGTGTGTGTGGTTTTCTGTTGTTGTTATTGTTGTTGTTTGTTTGTTTGCTTTGAGGCCGGGTCTCACTCCCTTAGCCCAGGCTGGAGTGCAGTGGCGCGATCTCGGCTCACTGCAAGCTCTACTTCCTGGGCTTCAAGTGATTCTTCCATCTCAGCCTCCCAAGTACCTGGGTCTACAGGCATGTGCTACCATGCCTAGGTAATTTTTTTCATATTTTTAGTAGAGATGAGGTTCCGACACGTTGCCCAGGATGGTCTCGAACTGCTGGGCTCAAGCCATCCTCCCGCCTTGGCCTCCCAGAATGCTGGGACTACAGGCATGAGCCAGCACGCCCAGTCAGCATCTGCTTTTTAATAGTCAGCATTCACAGGATGTTTTTAATTTTGGCATAAATATATTTTTTTGTCTCATTCTTGATCAGTGTAACCATTTCTACATGAAAATGATTTAAATATACTGATTTCCCTCCATATAGTTATATTTTAAATTACTATTATCTGTCTGAGGATGTAACGTACAGATTTTATAACTTGGGACCCAAATCTGGAATTAACCAAAACCTCGCCTCCAAGCAACCTCATTACTTCAGGAGAACATTTTTTTCTTCACTTTCCTGAATGGTCATATCACACACTGCTACTTGTCATGTAACTTTTTCAACAATCTCACGCTTACTTAATTTCTGCATAGATTTATTATATCAGATCGAAGGTTGCACACTCAAAGAGATCCCCATCATTGCCAGATTGATTCAGGACCTAATTTTTTTAATTGCGTAGACCTTTAATGACTCTACTGCAGGCCTTAATAAAACTTTGATAATATGAATATTTACATAATAATTGCATCATATTTCATTTACAATTGTTCTTACTAGTTATTGTTTATCATTGGGGTGGAAGTTCACCCTGTCTTGTTCATCACCTTCTCATAATTGGGAGAGGTTCATAATTAAGATTACATTGCGGCACAGAAGAGTAAGTCATCAATTGAACCATGAGCAAATATATACAATGTACATGTTTATGATGAGGTTAGGAGATCTTGTCATCTTTTCCAGGCAAAACAAAACCTGTATACACTGGGGTCACAGCTCATGAGAACAAAGGGGCTGAGAGTTGGGAAACATACACTCATTAAGGCTGAAGTGTTCACCAGTAAACTATTGGGATTATCCAAAAGAGCCATACAAACTTGGAAAAGGCAGGAGAGAGTGTAAGAAGACACAAAGGTGCTCACCAGGATGAGGATGCTCTGCGTAGCTCTGTTCTCTGGGGAGGCTCTGGGGGAGAGATTGCTCCTATCAATGTGCTGGACCCGCTGCTTGTGCCTGTGCAGTATGCAAACCATGGAGCTGCTGACCCAGAGCATGAGCCCCAGACACAACACATCAGGGAATGATAACAACATTGCACGCAGTGTCTGTGCGATTTTGTTGTTGCCTCCCCCAGAACAGTATCCCAAATCCTCGTTCACTGTGATGTTTGTGTAGTTCCATTTGCCAGTCACATACATGGGAAAGATGATGTTTACCAACATGCACACGATCCAGCACAGGAGAACAGAAAAGCCAACATGCTTGGGGGCTTTCTCTTTAAGTTTTGCCCACCTGGATTTCCTGGAGCTGACCGTGATCACCTGGAAGACACTCAAGAGGCAGGTGGTGCCAATGGACACTCCCCTGCCCACTCTATGGAGATAGAAAACAAGTTTGCACCCAAGAGCATTGAGAAAATATCTAACCCCAAAAGCTGCCATTGTCTGGGGGACTCCTTTACAGCGGAGAGCTAAGAAGTTGGCTACAATCAGGTGCTTAACAATCAAATCTGTGGACCTTAACCTGCACCCAGTGCAGTAAAAGGAGAGATAATGGAGAAGAACAGAGAAGCTCCCCAGGACTCCCACCACGGTCTGTGATAAGATCATTCCCACTGCCACATACCGGGAGGCCATTCTGCCACTGATGTCTGTCACTGATGTTTGTCTTCAGGGCTGGGAGGTCCTGCATGGAAATAGGAGGCATGAGCTACGTTTATAGTGTCACCTGCAACCCAGCATTCTCCACCTCCCATTGCTCTGCCCTTAGAAATACTTAAAGTCACTCTTCTCTTAAGAGGCTTTTGAGAGTTGAATGCGTAACCTTTAAAGAGCACTTCCCATGTGGGAATCACTGCTGTGCAGATCATACGTGCGGCAACTTCTTTATTCACAAACCTATGAGGCAGGCATTACTATTACTTTCATTGTAAATATGAGAAGGACATACACACAGAGAGGTGAAGTGGCTGGCAACATTTCCACCCTACTTACAGGCAAAATGCGAACTTGAACCTGCCTGGTTTTATTGCAAAGACAGTGCATTTAGCCGTTATAGTTGACTAACAAAGCTAGATAGCTGTGTTCTTTGAATAAGACACACACACACACACACACACACACACACACACACACACACATACACACACACACCCCTTTGTTTTTATTCCTTGTCATTATATTTCAGTCTTGTAGTAGGTTACTGTATGTTGTAATGATTTTACATTATGTGTAAAAATGTATTCTATTTGTCAATATCCAAATAAATAAAGGTTTAGAGATCTTAAAAAATGTAGATGCAGGGATTACAGTTTGATACTATAGAAACCTGCACCATGACAAGTTGGATTTAATGACTGCAAGCATGGATCAATATTAGAATGGAAAGAGAGTAAAAAACATTGTGAGCATTTGCTTTTGTGCCACGGACAAAGGCATAAAGGCACCTACCACAATCATGTCTTACCCAAAACAATAGGACATGAAACAACAATATGGGATAAAATAGTGTAAGGTAATAACCAAATTCTTACAAATGTTAGATGACATATCTAGATCTATTAATAACTGAGTTAAATAAATTATTATCCTTAGGACAATATTTGCATAACTAAATTAAAATGTGACAAACGTGAAAATTGGAAACTCTAGTGGGTGTATATTATATATACTTTGTAAACGGAAATTAGAGAGTTTGGGTGATGTTAGAATCTATCTGAAGCAGAGAACACATCAGAGGACACATTTGAGTCTGATAGCTGCTCTCTTTAGCTCATTATTATAAAGTTACCTTTTCCTTAAATGCTGCCTCCTTAACATCAAGAGGAAAGACAGTCTCACCATAATCAACAGACTATGGCAGTTTTCAGTAGAGACACAATTAATGCTCCCATTAAGCCCTGCACACTCTCAGAATTAGAGAAAACATTTTCGTTCCAGCAACTACTAATTAGATACACTGTTTGTGTAAGGAATTACATGACTCCTGTAGAGTCAATCTATTCATTACAAGTATGGTGATATTATAGTCATTTCCTCAGCAATCCTGAAATTTTAGTGTATAATTCCTGTTGGGTAGGCGGAACAGCAGATTGATTTTAGTACCACAGTCCTTAAGAATGCAACCAGCTTTCATTATTACGACAGATTGATTTAAGAATGTTAGTCCTTAAGAACATAGTCAGGTTTCACTGTTATTTGGTGAAAAACCAACAGTGCGGGTCAGTGTGGATTCTCCTAAATCACATCAGGACCGCCCAAGGATTGGTGTGGGGCTAGGACCCCATTTCTCTTTAGTAGCTCAGCTCATGGCTCACAACCATTCCTCTTTTCTTGGTGACTTGGGGGTTAGACTAGTTTTCTTTTTTTTTTTTTTTTATTGATCATTCTTGGGTGTTTCTCGCAGAGGGGGATTTGGCAGGGTCATAGGACAATGGTGGAGGGAAGGTCAGCAGATAAACAAGTGAACAAAGGTCTCTGGTTTTCCTAGGCAGAGGACCCTGCGGCCTTCCGCAGTGTTTGTGTCCCTGGGTACTTGAGATTAGGGAGTGGTGATGACTCTTAAGGAGCATGCTGCCTTCAAGCATCTGTTTAACAAAGCACACCTTGCACCGCCCTTAATCCATTTAACCCTGAGTGGACACAGCACATGTTTCAGAGAGCACAGGGTTGGGGGTAAGGTCACAGATCAACAGGATCCCAAGGCAGAAGAATTTTTCTTAGTACAGAACAAAATGAAAAGTCTCCCATGTCTACCTCTTTCTACACAGACACGGCAACCATCCGATTTCTCAATCTTTTCCCCCACGCTTCCCCCCTTTCTATTCCACAAAACCGCCATTGTCATCCTGGCCCGTTCTCAATGAGCTGTTGGGCACACCTCCCAGACGGGGTGGTGGCCGGGCAGAGGGGCTCCTCACTTCCCAGTAGGGGCGGCCGGGCAGAGGCGCCCCTCACCTTCTGGACGGGGTGGCTGCCGGGCGGAGGGGCTCCTCTCTTCTCAGACGGGGCGGCCGGGCAGAGGCGCTCCTCACTTCCCAGATGGGGCGGCGGGGCAGAGACGCTCCCCACATCCCAGACGATGGGCGGCCGGGCAGAGACGCTCCTCACTTCCTAGATGTGATGGCGGCCGGGAAGACACGCTCCTCACTTCCCAGACTGGGCAGCCAGGCAGAGGGGCTCCTCACATCCCAGACGATGGGCGGCCAGGCAGAGACGCTCCTCACTTCCCAGACGGGGTGGCGGCCGGGCAGAGGCTGCAATCTCGGCTCTTTGGGAGGCCAAGGCAGGCGGCTGGGAGGTGGAGGTTGTAGCGAGCCGAGATCACGCCACTGCACTCCAGCCTGGGCACCATTGAGCACTGAGTGAACGCGACTCCGTCTGCAATCCCGGCACCTCGGGAGGCCGAGGCTGGCGGATCACTCGCGGCTAGGAGCTGGAGACCAGCCTGGCCATCACAGCGAAACCCCGTCTCCACCAAAAAAATATGAAAACCAGTCAGGCGTGGCGGCGCGCACCTGCAATTGCAGGCACTCGGCAGGCTGAGGCAGGAGAATCAGGCAGGGAGGTTGCAGTGAGCCGAGATGGCAGCAGTACAGTCCAGCTTCGGCTCGGCATCAGAGGGAGACCGTGGAAAGAGAGGGAGAGGGAGACCGTGGGGAGAGGGAGACCATGGGGAGAGGGAGAGGGAGAGGGAGAGGGAGAGGGAGAGGGAGAGGGAGAGGGAGAGGGAGAGGGAGAGGGACTAGTTTTCAATCTAGAACAATTTCTTATTATAATAGGATAACTTACCCTGGCTCCTGGGAGGCACCCTTCCCTACAGACTGAAACAGAAACTTTCTCCCCAGCTCCATCTTGCTGCTAGGACGGTGGGCTCAGTGCGAAGGTTGCCACAGCCAGGATCATGTGGGAGGGAAGCAGCCAGACCCTGAGATATGGGTTTGTGGTTCTGTGACCTCACCTCCCCTCAGAACTGCAATTATCTTTTCACCTGCAGTGGCAACGACAGTGCAGCCTTGGGGAGCTGAGAACGTTTCAGAACAACTTTTCTTCCCAATTGCTAATCACCAAAAGCAATGACAAGTTTCTGGCCAGCATCTCTTCAGAGACTATGAGGAGTGTTTGGGAGAGGCTCTTTCGTCTCCATTCCCTGGAGAGACACAGTCTTACATGGAGGGAGCAGGAAACGCTGAGTTCTGACCTGTGGCACACTCACAGTGAGGGACGAGTGTCCCCGGATACTCTGCTTTGCTGGGAGGTTCTGCCCCAAAGCGAGCTCTTTCCTAATCTTCATGCCACTCAGCTGCAGCATCATTAGATTATGTGCAGAGAAGTGAACCCAGACAGAGTGCCTGAGAAGGATTTTCAAAGGGATACAAGTAAAAGGACAAACAGGATGCCAACGGCTCAATGCCAATTAATTTGGAATCTAGATGATGTGGATCAGGTGGCTAAAAAGTCACGCTTTGATCAATCCTGGGAAGCAAATACTGCTTACTAGATTCAAGAGCATTGGATGGTTGCCACAGTCCTCTACATTTGTATGTGTGTGTGTGTTTCTGAATGTTCAGTAATGATCACTGATTGCTCTTGTAATAAATTAAGAAATATAAAATGTGAATTCAAGTTAATCTTTTGGGTTTTCCTACAAACAAATGTTATTCAGGCCCTCCATTCAATGCATCTCAGTTTCCATGTCAGGGATTAGAGCCATAAGGTGAACAACCCCTACCGTACACAAAGACGTATATTCACACATAGATGTACACACACAGGTGCAAACACATGCATACGTGCACAGCAGCACAAATCAAAGGAACATCACATACATATACACAGCTAGACACTCGCCCTCACATACATATTCCACCACAGGCTCACACCCACCCACACACCTATCACAAACCCACACTCATATTCAAATACACTCACTATGCCCAGCACTCACACAGACTCACACAGTCCCACTGACCTTTAAACACCACACTCGCAGAGTCAGCACACGCATTTGTATCTTGATACCAGGTTCCTATCTGGAGAATAGCGGCGGTCATGCCTCTATTGTGATTCAGCCTTTATACTTCTTCTCACTTTGCACCACTCATGATGATGACGTCACCATGTGCAATGTATAAAATGATGTGCACGTTGCTAATTTGGTCCAAGGCATTAAGTAGAAAAGTTGGAGTACTGGGGTCGATATTGCATGGGTGTGTGACAGAGGGTCTGATATTGCGTGGGTGTGTGACAGAGTGTGACATTGCACAGGTTTGTGACATAGGGTAAATCTGGGGGCTCATGGAAAGGACGCTATTGAGGCAGAGCACCTGTAAATGTAGATTGACGGTGAACAGGAGACAGAGCACAGAGGCTTAAAAGGGACAAGGAGGTTAATTTCCAGACAGTGGAAGATGCCGTAGGTTTTAAGGGTGCACAGGGGAAAAGCGTGCAAGGAGCTAAGCATATGGGGGATACTAGGTGCTGTGAGGACAAGGGGTGCCAGAGTCATGGAATGAAAGGAGACGATGGGGAGGTAGAGATAATGAGGGAAAGTGGGTAAACAGCAGGACAGGGTTCAAGACACCGGCGACTTGATGTCAATGGAAGGTTAAAGAAAATGAGGGGAAGGGAAGTAACAGGTGGGGTGCACAGGTCCTGGGAGTGGTCAGTGACCCAAAGTGGAGACGGGGATGGGAATGGTGGAAGGAACTACGTATATGTCGTAGGCCTGGGAGGAAAATGAGAGCAGGGTGATGAGAGGAACTGGAAGGGTCATGGGAATGAGCAGCCAATGGGTTTGGGGGAAGAGGGCAGGGACTAGAGAGTTCTGGGAGAAGGGTTGGAGGGCTGGGGAAGCTGAGGACATCGGGAGGTTGATTGCTGGGACATTTGAAGGAGAAGGGCATGGAGATTATGGAATATGGGCTGAGATCATTGGAATGTGGATTGATTTAGGGCTTAGGAGAAGGAGGACATGGAAGGTGGAGAGTGTGGGGGCAGTGGGAGGTGGGGAGGGCTTGCCTGACTTCCCCACAATGGATGATACAGAGGTGCTGGAGGCATGGAGGCCAAGAAGGGCATGAGATAGCGGTGGGGTCCAACGTAGAAGTCTAAAGCTGTCAGGAGGATGGGGGAGTGGATTGATGTGGAGGCCCGGGTGGTGACTAAGGGTCATAATGGTGGTGAGAGGGAGGCCACAGGGGAGATGAAGGAGGAGGGAGGAACTACATGGAGGTTGGGGTCGTGGAAGGCACTGGGGAAGATTGGAGGTCACTAATTCATTCTCCATTCATCATCTCTCTCATTTACAGTGGACTCACAACTGAGTCATGGATAGACTCTAGTTCCAGTTCGTGAAGAGCAAATTATGATTCTGTAAAACACCCCCAAGAATGCTTAAAAGTTAACATGCAGTAGAGGGCCACAGGGAGCATCTGGGATGTGCAACATGCCACAGCATTTTCTCTTCTCCTTCAGGACACCAGGTACAGAATGTGACTGCAGTGGGTCCGGCAGGAGAGGCTGTTTCCTGGCACCTGGTGCTCAGTGATAGAAGGAGGTGTCAGAAGGCCCCTTCCTGCTTCTGTGGATGTCTTGAGTTTATTTTGTGTCCCAAATTCAAAAGTATGAGCTTCTTTTATTTATTGTGGTATTTCCAAAATATGGCACATGCATATTAATAGCATATAGTAATATGCCATTAAAATATAGCATATTAAGAAAATAAAATACAGAATTCAACATTTGAGCACTCTTTCCTTTTGCTTTTCTGTCACTGGAAACCATCACAAGAGGTGAAGAGTGGTAATCATTTTGTTGATACATTGAGAATATTTTTTCAATAATATTTTATCATCAAAAAATGCATTGGCTGGTTCTCCAACCCCTGGTGTTATCGTGTGGTTATGTTAAGTTCCACGTAGGCAAAAGAGACTTTGTGGTATAATTAACAATCAGCTGAAATGAACCCGGGAGATTATCCTGGATGATCTAGGCGAGTCTAATGTAATCAGCTGAGCTCTTAAAGCAGACAAAGAAGTTAGAGACACCGCCAAAGAGGAAGTCATGGCTTGGAGGGAAGAGGGGGATTTCACAGGCTGTTGCTGGCTCTGAAGACGATAGGCAGGTGGAAATCATGAGAAGAAAAGGGGATTTGTCAGCCACCTAAATGATCGTAGAAGCAGAGATTCTCCCCTGTGGAAGCAGATTCTCTCCCAAGCTTGCAGAGAAAAGCCCAGGCAGCTGACCCCGGGATTCAGACCTTGTGAGACCCTGAGCGGAGGACACAGCCAAGCACTGTGGGCTTCTGACCTACGGGGAAAAAATAAATGGGTGCTGTTGTAAGGCGCTGAATTTGTGTAATGGTGGAGTCATGGGAAACTGATAAGTACAGGATCCAATTTAATGACAAAATGTTTAAACAGTTAAATAAAATGAGCTATAAATACCGCAGCAAAGATACAAGGCTGATCCCAGGCATAACAATTGTTACCAGTTTGAGATGTATCCTCCTTTATATATTGATAGCTCTATAAATACATCTCTCTCTATATATAGAGAGAGAGATACATGTATGAAGATCTTATATATAGACAGATATAGATCTATATCTTCATATCTATATCTAAATGTAGAGTTACAGAGACATAGATCTATAGAGATAGACATAGATACAAATATAGATAAATATGTAGACACACATATATGTTTGCATAGATGGACATATACATAGATAGGTCTATTTGTATATATACATACACATATACATTATAAGGCATTTTGTCTTCCTTCAAAATTCATATAAATATATGTTCATGTTGGAGTCACTGTTCGTGTTGCTTCACCCAGTCAGTGATGAGTGTGGAAGATGTTTCTATACCTCCTTCTCGGAAACACCGCATCCTATTTCCTGGCACGTATGCATGAAGCATGTCACTGAATCGCTCCTGTTTACCCCTGTACAGAGTCGCATGTGCTTGTCTGTCTCCTGCTGTGAAATGCTGCAGGGAGTGTAGGTGGCTGAAAAAACAATACTTTTATCCTGTAATTGATAATGCTGAACGTGAGATTTTATTTTTGCATGGGGTCAGACAGTCTGTAGTATATGATTGTGGGAGGAAGAAGTGGGTAAAGAAATCAATAATATTTTATCATTGAAAAGAATGCGTGAATATGCACTATTACTGTTTGTCAATTTAAAAATAAATTAATTAAATATAAACAGTAGGCACCCCAAAACTTTTTGAATCTATTACACATATGCAATAAAAAGAATGCAGTATGATTAGAAACATCGTTTTCTAAGAAAAAAACTATTTTTTCCATCATCGAAAGTACTCAACCTAAGATTTTATTTTTGCGTGGGGTCGAAAGGTACATAGTACATGCTTGAGGGTGGAAGAATTGGGTACAGAAGTCAGCTACAGGTAGTTTTTTGTTTTAAAAGGGTATGCGACTTTTTAAAACATAAACTTAATTGACAAATAACAACTGTACATATTTACGGAGTACATTGTGATGCTTTGATATATGTATATGTTGTGGAATGATGAAGTCAATCAGTTTTATACCCATTATTGACATAGCTATCACTTTTTTGGCAAGAACATTTGAAATTCACTCTCTTAGTAATTGTGTATATTTACAGTATGCATTATTATGAACTACAGTCATCATCCGGTGCCATAGATCTTAAAAAATTATTCCTCCTTTCTCACTGTGCATGAATTTTTAAGATAAATGCAGTGGAGGTCAAAGGATTAATGCAAGCAAAGATGTTTCAGGGAAGAAGTTTTAGCAGTTCTGCTTCATAAAAATGGTAATTTAACCTGTTTCAGTTTTCTGGACAATATGAGCATTTGGATTTTTTGAAAGCAAGTGAATTTCTTATTGATGGCAAAACAAAACAAAACCATGATGTTTTCAGAGAGAGAACACAGCAATTGACCCAGGACAGGACATTTACCTGAGAACATGCCTTTCCTATCTCCTAATCCTTCTCTTGCTCTTCCTTATTCCCAGAGCTTCTTCCTCAGATGAGATTATCTTGGGAAATCCCACGTGAATTTTGAAAATATGCCTTTTTAACTTCGTTTTCTCTTCCCCACACCACCACTGCACCCACGGGCAGAAGGAACTTGAAATGGAGAAAGGGCAACCTCTGCCTCTGTCCTTTGTCACAGGAGAGGTTCAGGAAGCCTGTGGGTGACAAACCCACCTGAATAGGCCAGACAGACCCCACACCCTGATATCTCTGTGAGAATTCTTGGGAACACTCCTTTATCAGGTCCTTCCTTGCATTGCTGTAAAGAAATACATGAGGCTCGGTCATATTAAAGAAAAGAGAATGAACATGCTCATGGTTCTGCAGGCTGTACGGGAAATATTGCAGCATCTTTCTCTAGGGAGGCCTCAGGAAGCTTTTACTCATGGTGGAAGGCAAAGAGGGATTAGGCATTTCACATGGCAAAAGCAGGGACAAGAGAGTGTGGAGGCAGGTGCTGGACACTGTTAAATGACCAGATCTCATGAGAACTCACTTACTCTGGAAAGGACACAACCACAGGGGAGGAGGCTAAACCATTCATGAGAAAACCGCCCCCACAATCCAATCATCTCCCACCAGGCCCCAGGTCAAACACTGGGGATGACATTTCAATAGGAGATTTGGGCGGGGACACACATCCAAACTATATCAACTCCCATCTCGTCTCTGCAGAGAGGCAAGTCTTCACTCCAGCCCTAATTCCCAAATGCTGCCCAGACCTCAGGATCTTTAAATCCTGGTGAGTTGCTGAGCTCCTGTCCACACCCTGGAGCTGTGCCTGCCTTCCTGTTCCCATCAGAGCCACTGACTCTTTCCAGGAGCTGTCCCTGGAACTGAGAGTTGGCTTCTTGCAGTTCTCCCCATCTGACATGGGCTTTTAAAAATTCCATGGATACATGGAGAGTTTGGGTGACCCATCCCCCATAGCCACACTGCATACTCTAGTCCATTCCTGGACTCACAGTGAGCCAGACTGTTCTTAGACCTCACTCATCCTTGGTCCCACAAGGGCCAGAATCTCCAGTCCTGGTTTCCACTGAGCTCCCTGCCATGGGAGACTGAGCTGCTCATCCCCTTTCGAGATACAGAATGAAACAGCCTGGGCTTATGTATGAACATTTTAAACATGCAGAAAATAGTGTATGTTGTTCAAAATATATAGTTCTAGGTTAAGTTAAACAAATTATGGGACGGGCAAACAGCAAATTATATTATTTGTTTCAGATGTACACATGTGTGATAAAATGAAAGTGCTAGCAACAGAATAACTAAGAAATGGAGAAAGAGGGAGAGGTGATTAGATCAGATGTGATTGCATCATGATTAGGTTAGCCAGGGGGAGTGACTGTGGGGCTCTGGGGCAGTATAAATGCCAGCAGGAGAATGGATCTTCCCCTCAGTGTTCTTTGCTGTCTTCATCGCAGAAGCCCCACTGTGAGGAGTAGAGTCTGCAGAGGGTCCACTTACCTGAGCGACTGCTAGAGGGAAGGAAGACAACAGGTTGGTACATTACAATTTTGGGACTTGGTTTATTCCCACAGGAGAAATAGAAGAGTGAGAAAACTCTGTAGTGGGTGGTTTTAGATGTCGAGGTAAAGATTACTTAATTGCTTAATAGTGTTTCTTAAGACAGAGCCTGACTCAAAAAACGTTTCAGAAATTGTAATGATCGAAAAAATATATATTAAGAAAAACAAAAAGAAGAAAAACAAAAAACAAAACGAAAAAAATTAAAAACAAAATTTTAATGATCATATAAAGATCAACGTTTGCAAGGAATGCTCACCCAGCACCCTGAATTGTGTGGGTGCTGGATGAGCAGTTATGGAGACCTGGTGCCTTTGACGGAGGGCTTTTAAATAAGAGATTTCTTCACTTATCTTTTGTATCGGTATACTCATTGACGTTTGCTAGGAGCTGGTAAAAATTCAGGGCCCTGAGCCTCTATACCTAGATTAAGCCAAGCAAGACTTAGGCTGTGAGCACCCAATCTATAATGGTGGTATAAAGAATGGTTCTACTTAAATACGTAGTTAAAAATGTTTCTTTACCTCTCAATTTTGGCGATTTGGATTTTGAAGAGGAAAGCACACTTTATTCTAGATTTTCGAATGTGTTTGTCCCCAATGTAGCATTCCCTGATCTTTTTTTTTTTTTATTTTCATGGCGGTATTGTCTTCTCTTTTTCCTAATATGATCTATGCAGATAAATTTTATTATCTTTCTATGGGCACCCATGGTAATGTATCCTACTACTGCTTTCAAATAAAGAACACGTTTTCCTGTTGTATTCTATTTATTTTTTCATCTGCTCCAACTTATTGTTTGATTTGCCATTTCCATCTTTTCATTTTTGCAATCTCATGTTTTTCTGTCTCTAAGCTGTCTCCATGGACCTGAGCACTTCCCCTAAATTTTATCTTTTTTCAATCATGTTGTGGCAAAAAAAAGATGCCCGACTGAGACCCCAGGAGAGGGTTCTTTGTTCTCACACAGGAAGGAATTCCAGGCGAGTTGCAGAGAACAGTGAGAAGAGAGAGTTTACTGAAAGCTACTGCATTACACAGTAGGGCGACCTCAGAATGTGACCGGAAAATGCACCGTCTTTTTTTTTCCTTTTAAGTTGTTCTGATATAGAGTCTTTTCCATGTGAAGATTTAACTAAGCTGTGTCTACATGCGGTGGGCTGATAGCATGACAATGTTTAGTATCCTGTTGATTTAAAGAAAACTCTCCTTGACATTCCAGTGTGTAGCTTAGGAAAGCATAGCTATCATTATGTTGAAGGCATCTATTGCTTTGGATATTGGGCATCTGGACATTTTGCTTTCATAGGAGTCTGTCTTGCAAGCATTGCTAAGCTGCTTCCTCAGCCACAGACATCTTAGAACCAGGGTGGTGACTGGCCAGGACTGTGCCTTGCTAGTTTCAAGAAGGAGTTGATTTCTAAATGGTGTTGCCCTCACTCTCCTATGTTCCTGTTTCCCTAGCACTGTGGTCATTTAGACAAAGACATTTCCCCTGAACCCAGGTTTTGCTTTGCTCATCAGTTTGGACATGAAAGGGCTTTACCTGTATTTTCTTTGCACTTTCTGATTTCCACTTGAATATCTTGTTTGAACTTAAGGACTTTGATTGCAGAAATTTCAGAGACTGTGCTTCATAGTTTAAAACATTCTTACAATTTATAAAATGTAGGTATATCTAATTTTGACAAACAGGGACTACAGATTGATAAGATATCCAGTTTTCTAATATATTAAATTTTCTTTGAGGCCAATTCCACGATCAATTTTTCCAGATGTTTGATGGTATACTATGAGGGTCTCTAGAGGAGGGACCTGCATTGCATACATATCAAACACGCTAAGTCCAGTGAACAATTCTTTTAATGGATCACCTGCTTTTCTCATTCACATTGGTGTCATGTCACTGGCAGAGGAAGGATGCGTCCGTGTAGTTTGAATGACAGGATGTGTGAGTTTACTCCTAGGGACACGGTGGGCACAGCAGAGAGATGGGGCTGACTGCATCCTGTGCCTGGGAGAGTCCAGGGATAGGAAGGAATCAGCGTCTCATTTTCTACCCTCCACAGGGAAAGAGAATCCCTCGGGCAGGACCAGCAGTGATGGACCCCAACACTCTCTCCATGGAACAGGGGAAGCAGTTCTTAAAGCAGTGCGGGATCCCACAAAGAGATGTGAGTACAGGAGCTGCGGGGTCACCTGGGAGGCAGGTGGAATGGGTGGAGTCCAAGTCGAGGGGGAAGGCTGAAGCAGGCTCCCCGTCCATGACCGGCTCATATTCAGAGTTTCACACCCTCCATACACGGGCACTGACCCATTAAAATCGATATGTAATTCCTCAAAGGGACATGGGAAAATGACACCACCACTGCCCCTTAGTTCCCACCTGGGAACAGCAGCACTTCCCAATACCCTGGGCTTTCACTCTTGGCGCCATTTGAAGGTCATCAGCCAACTCCTCACCAGCTCTGGAGTAAAGAACTGTGAGATTGCCTTTGCATCCTCATAGCTTAGCTCCCACACATGAGTGAGAACATAAGGTGTTTGGTTTTGCATTCGTGACTTATTCACAGAGAATAATAGTCTCCAATCCCATCCAGGTTGCTGTGAAGGCCATTAATTTCTTCCTTTTTATGGCTGAGTAGTATTCCATCGTGTGTGTGTATATATATAACAGTTCCTTTATCCACCGGTTGATTGATGGGCATTTGGGCTGGTTCCATATTTTTGCAATTGCGAATTGTGCTGCTGTAAACACGCGTGTACAAGTATCTTTTTCACATAATGACTTCTTTAAAAAAAAGAAAAGAAAAAAAAAACCAAAACACCAAAATGTGAGCCTGCCCAGCATTCCCTTTAAAATCTCAGGAAGATGGGAGTTCCTCCTCTCCTCTGCCAAGGCTTCCTCCTGCCTGCAGAACTCAGGTTGCGTCTCCATTCTCCTTTCTCTGCATTAGATTGACTTGATGACAGAGAAATGGGTTGTTCTCGCCTCTGTGGAGGTTCTTCTGCGATTTCCTCTGAAGCCAGGAGAGGATCCGACCGCCCGCTATGTCTCAAATAAAAAATGCCAACCTTCAGTGGACTGGCCCACCACAATTTCACAGAGACGTGGATACCAAGAGAAGTGGTAAGACAAGTATTAGGGAATAAGCTAGGGACAGCCTGGGGGACTCCCCAAGCACTGTTTTCCTGTTGTATTCCTGTTGTGGGCTCAAGGTTTCTGCTGAACACGCCTGGAGGCTTCCGTCTTGCGTGTCCCCCCATGACACGGCCAGTGATGTGTGCGAAGCCTGGCGTGAACACGCACATATGTGTCAGCATCGCAGGATCCTCAGAGGGCTGGTCCTCGCTTGGCTTTGTGCCTGCCTCTGTGTGAAGAGTGGCGTGTGGTCACAGGGGTCTCACGTGAAACGTCACGAGTGTCCATAGGTTGAATATGAAAACTTTGCAAAGCTTTGAGCTTCTGGTTGGTTTTCTGAGTGAGAAGCTATTCTATGAAAATAGTGGGTTTTCTGGAACTAGCTGGAAAAATATCAATAGTTGTTGGCTGTTCATCTCTTGGCTTTGACAAGTATTGTCAGAGGGTTTCAGCTCTGAGGCACTGACTGCACACAAACCGAGAGCCCAGAAAACTTTTATGCAAGGCTGCAAATCTCACTTCGCCCTCTAGAAATCAAGCAGCCTTTGGTTTATAAAATCTGTGTCCTGTTCTGGGAGTAGGTCAGGCTGGGAGAGAGTCACAAAATAGCACAACTGGGACCTGGGTTCAGAGAGGACCAAGTTACAGTGGGCGTGACTCAGTGGCCAGTGCATCCCTCCATCCCTACTTGGGTAAATAGGGGTAGGAGGGACTTCCGTCTGGTGTCTGTGTAATGTTTTCTCTTTTTCTTATGACTAGGAAATCCAACCATCATTTAATGAAGAAGAATGATCGGAAGTTCAAGGACCTGCCACAGATGGCCCGTCATTCCGTCCATCATCAGGCTCAGAGGCCCCCCAGAGCCAAAAACCCACAGGAGCAGCAGAGGAGACCCATGGGGCAGACGACTCTCCCAGCAGAGCAGGAGGAATCCAGGGTCAGTGGGGGCTTGAAAATGTTGGTAACCTATGGACACCAGAGAGTGGGCTTGAACATGGGACTCGTGATTATGACTTAAGAGTTCCCACTGGTCTCAGTCTGACCACATCGGTCAGCCTCCTGTCTTGGCAGATTGGCCCATTCGGAGTCTCTGAGGAGCAGCCTCATTCTCTGTCCAGTGTCATGTCCAGCCTGGTGTTTGCCGAGTCCTCAACACCGGTTCATTATCTTCACTCTCAGACACAAGCGTCCTTCCTCCTGGGATCCCTGTTAAACGGGCTCTGGGGAGGACGATAATATCTTGAATTTCCTGGCAACCAACAGCCCATGGGCGTATGTCCCCCTCCTAAAATAATCCATCTCCAAAACCCAGGCCTTGTGTGAACCTTGCAGGTGCCTGTGATTGCTGTTGACTCACTGCTCTGTGTCCTCCTCCACCTGCAGGTGAAATGCAAGAACTGCGGGGCCTTTGGGCACTCAGCCAGGAGCAAGACCTGCCCCATTAAGAGGTGGAGTGGGGCCCTTCCTCTGCAGGCCCTGGGCTCACACAAGGAGAAGGAGAACCTGAAACCAGCAAAGGCCCAGCTACCCTTTACGACTCCAGGGCCCTTTACGACGAATGACAGAGAAAAGGAGCGAAGTCCAAGGTAAGGATTTTGCAGGGTCAAGGAAGATCCGTGAGGTCGGCGCCTCAGGAGCTGGTGTCTCCCCTAGTCTTTCTGTGCAGCCTTCTCTAAGCACACAAGGAAAGCTCCAAATGGAGGTGGATGGAGGCCCCTGCCTTCCAGGGTCCGCACTCCGAGCTTATTCCAGCGCTGAGAGTCTCTAGAGGGCAGGGGCTGTGGGAGACCTGGGGATGTTACCCGAGGCAGGCAGAGCAGTTCCAGGGCCTGAATGAACTTAGAGAACCTGGGGCCATGGTGGGGGTGGGGGGCGGAGCTTCCTGGAAGTGGGGCTGCTTCTGAGATGAGAGAAGGGGCTGTCTTGGCAAAGTTCACAGAGGCCTGAACGCCTCCCTCACCCAAAGCAAGGGCTAGGGCTGGGTTCCGGGAGGGTGCTTGGTTCCCAGTCACTGGTGTGAGTTGGAGGATCAGGCGGGTCCAGACAGTGAACGTGATTTCTTCTGCAGTCCCCAGCAGCAGCAGAGCGAAGCTCCGACGCAGACATTTCCCAGAACTCCCCAAGAGAAAATGCAGGAAGCCTGGAAGGAGCCAGCAGAAGATTGTTTGTTCCTGAGGGTGCGTATTCCCCCGGCCCCTGCTCTGTTTCTCCTCTAGGTCCCCTGATTCCTTCACTCTGTGCCCCTCATGGATGGGGGTCATGTTAAGACCTAGGCTGCCCTGCAGGAGAACTGCGCTACCCGAGGACTTCCCATACTCCAGTTTCCAGCTTCTTTTTCTTCTTCTCTTTTTTTTTTTGAGACGGAGTCTCGCTCTGTCACCCAGGCTGGAGTGCAGTGGTGCGATCTCGGCTCACTGCAAGCTCCGCCTCCCGGGTTCATGCCATTCTCCTGCCTCAGCCTCCTGAGTAGCTGGGACTACAGGTGCCCGCCACCACGCTCGGCTAATTTTTTGTATTTTTGGTAGAGACGGGGTTTCACCGTGTTAGCCAGGATGGTCTCGATCTCCTGACCTCGTGATCCACCTGCCTCGGCCTTCCAAAGTGCTGGGATTACAGGCGTGAGCCACCGCGCCCGGCCTCAGGTTCTTTATTTGAAAGTTGGTTTCTGTACCTTTATTTGCAAGTTGGCCAGCAAATGCTGCTGGGCGCATTTCAGTGCCCGTGGGGAGTGACTGATCAGATGCCTTCGGGATACTGGCTGCAGATAAGGCGTCTCCTTCATTTTTGTACATGATCTTACATCTGCTTTCAAAAGGAGCTGTGCCATTTCCAGTCTCCACATTGTGTGGGGAATTGATATTCCCTTGATATTAACAATAGAGAACATAAAGAGTTTTAATTTTCATATGTGATAGTCGCAGCAAACAGAATGGTTGGCTATCTTTCCCCAACACTATTCCTGAAGTGACAATTCTGCATATATTCAGTGACCATGTGTACATCCTTTTCTGTGACGTTTAATTTCCTACGTCCTGTCTCTTTTGGAGGGTCTTCCCTATATTTGATCCTGATTTAGACGCAGTCCCAGTGCCTGTTATTCTCTGTTTCTCATGTCAGCCTGTCCATTTTCCTCTGTCCTAGCTTGCTTCTCATCTTCACACAGTGTCTGTTGTGATGTGGTTTTGCATGTGAGTTCCCTGCTTCAGAGTTTGGAAATTCTACTGCTGAGCTGTCTCATGTGGGATGTTTTCTCCCGTAGCATCCTACCATGCCACTGCCTGTCCACACCACCAAGAAGAGATCTGTCCTGGGCCCTGTGTCCACAGGTCCACCGCCTGTCAACAAACCCGAGATGAGATTACTCTGCCCTTCGGGTCACAACGATTCACCTCAACTGAGCACCTGTGGACCCACCAAAGGACATGGCAGGGACGTTACTGCCTCCCTGCTCCCTGTTCTGAAGAGCTCCCACCAGACCCCCACTCTCAGTGCCAGGCTGCCAGCCAACAGGCCTGACATGTCCTCCCATGGTGCTCTCCAGCCTGCCATGCAGGCGCTTGCCCTGGGTCCTGGCCTTAAATCCCAGGCAGAAATCAAACATCCCGACGCAGATGCAAAGCCCAGACCACAGCAAGTCAGAAAACAGTGTGGCCAGGACTCCAGAACCCAGGCACCAGACAAGGAGCCTGCCCCCGTCCCCACCCAGACTTTCCAGAACCCCGCAAAGAAAGCAAGATTCAGCTCCTTCCAGACCCCTGCACTGAGAACTCAGCTCCCGGATGTGGGCGCTGTGCAGACACTCCAGCCTCCCCGCACTGCAACTGGACTTGGATCCAAAGAGGCACCCAAGGCGACCGCAGAGACAGCAGCCACCAAGACAGCAACCCTGCAGCCCAGAGTCAACCTCCAGCCCGCACCCAGCTCACCTTTCCTGGGCCCAGCCCAGGGCTGCCCCGTCCTCCAGCCTGGACCACCCATTCATGTTCCAGGGAGGCCCGGCAGTGTCACCTTCATGAGAGGGGACAAGGGACAGAAGAGCCCCAGGTTCAGAATGCCTCCCACATCCCGTCCTCCTGAAAACTCTGCTTCTGCTCAGAGCCCTCGCTTCTCAAGGCAGCCTGAGGGGCAGGGTCCCCAGGTCTCAACGAGTGTCCTCTATGAGGACCTTCTGGTCACTTCCTCCTCTGAGGACAGTGACAGTGACTGAGGCCCCCAAGGCAAGAAGACCCAGCTTCAAGCCCATGCGACTTGGAAGTGGCTGAAAGGCTGAGAAGGGGAGAGGCAGGAAGCAGCCCTGTACGGGGTCAGCCCTTCCCTGGCAGCGGTGTCTGTTCAAACGTGGACCCCAGATACTATCGGGGATCAACGAACCTGCCTATTTACATTGTATAAATTTAACCTGTATTAAAATGGGGCTGTTGAAAGTATCCTATAGATTTCTTTTTCAATTACATATAATTATATGAGAAACTGAGTCAACATAAGCAAACAATGCTCCACTAGTGTCAATAGAAAGCTCTGAAACTCATCTGAGGGAGGGAGCAAACCACTGAAATTTGAGTAATTCTGGGCAAAGGGCCCTTCAATGGTAGTGGAAAACGTCAGTGTCTCCTGAGTCAAGAATATTTGACTGTGAAGGAGAGTTGTAGTGAGAAACGATTAGCCTTGGAAAATGGGAAATATTTTTTTGCCTTGCAAGAATTTTTTTAAAAATCAGTGAATTCAAATATTTAAGAAACTGTTTTTCATACCCTATAGTTTTTTTTATCAGTCCATTCAAATATGTAATAAACTGTTCTTCATACCCTCTACATTTTTCCAGGATATAAAACAAGGGAAATACTCCATTTATTTTATGAAGCTACCTAGACTCTGATTTCCACTGTGGTAGAGAGGGCATCTCAGCTAGCGCATGTGTAAAGTTGAGGTACCAATATTCTCAATGTTGGAGTTATTCAGTGGATTCAATAAGTTATGCAAAGCACGTCATGAATGGCACATGGTAAAATATATTTTACTATTATTATTATCATACCACAAGTAAACAATAGAGTAACTTGAAGTTTTTAAACGAATTTCACTTATAAGGATGTATTCTACTAGCCTTGGAACTTTTGTTATTAAATGTCATTGTAAAATTCTGTTTGGTTAATTTCTTTCCATATGAATAAAATTCTCTGAACTATGACACGTCTTACTGGTGTTTTGAGTTTTCCTTTTCACCTCAGGCCAATTTCTTTACATTTCAATCATCGTGTTTCATTTACTTGAGCAAAGAGGACTGGGTGCCCAGAGTGTCACCCGCAGACCCATAGCTTCTGAGAAACACAGACCCTCAGGCACAGCCCCACCCCCACCTGCTCAATCAGTAGCTGCAGTTGAATAACAACCCCAGGTGTTTCACATGTGGGTTAAAGTGGGAGAAGCACGAACATAGACTGACTCTCAACTTGGTTGCACGTTGGAATCTCCTGGTGAGCTTCCCCCGCTGGCTGGGTCCCACCCTTGGAGAGAGTCATGTTCTAAGTCCCGTGTGAGGCTGGATATAGGGATGGGTGGACCCTTTGAGGTTAAGTCAAACATGGGTCAAGGTTAGGAAACACTGGAGGGAGAGGGCGAAGACAATGCTTCCCTAACCCGCCTCCTGAGGAAACTCTCCTGAATTCAGAAAGATCAGAAGGCTCTGAGGGTGGGATTTCAGTCTCAGGAGAGCATCCCTGTCTCCCTAGGACCTGGTCCCTAAAAAGCAGTGGATGGAATTGTCCAGGCTGCCTCGTGGATGGGGCTGGAAGCCATGAAATATAAAGAGTGATCTGGAAACTCAGGTTGAACTCCTCCGGCGTGCTTTAGTGGGGGTGATTTTTTAAAATGTGTTATACCAGAGTCATTTCTTCAACACTGGGCAACCAATTTGCTGTACAAAGGGTTTCCCAGATACAGAAGTTACACTCCAGCACGTTGTGTTTAGTACACTCTGGTTTGTCTATGAGCTCCGTGCTGATCTGAACTGAAGAAACTGCACTGTTTTTTTTTTGTTTGTTTCTTTGTTTTTGAGGAGTCTCGCTCTGTCGCCCAGGCTGGAGTGCAATGGCGTGATCTCATCTCAGTGCAACCTCTGCTTCCTGAGTTCAAGCAATTCTCTTGCCTCAGCCTCCCAAGTAGTTGGGACTACAGGCGTACGCCACCATGCTTGGCTCAATTTTTTTTTTTTTTTTTTTTTTTTGTATTTTTAGTAGAGATGGGGTTTCACCATATTGGCCAGGCTGGTCACGAACTCCTGACCTTAAGTAATCCGCCCGCCTTGGCCTCCCAGAGTGCTGGGATTACACGCGTGAGCCACCACACCCAGCCACAATATTTTTTTTTAGATGTTCTTCAAACAAATGACTTCCTGCAATTTGGGAGATGATTTTTTTAGAACAGTTTTATTGAGACATCATTGATGAACAAAACTGCCTATACGGAAGAAGAAGAACTTGATGTTTTCATAGGGTATATTGTGGAATGATTACTATATTCCAGTTCATTAACATACCTATCACCTCAACATAATTACCATCTTTGTGTGGGGGGTGAGGAGATGAAATTTAAGATCTATCCTCTTGGAAAATTTCACACATAACAATATAGTATTTTTAAACAGTCATTCCTAAACTGTACATTAGATCTCCAGCAATTATTAATCTTTTTTTTTTTTTTTTTTTTTTTTTTTTTTTTTTGAGACGGAGTCTCGCTCTGTCGCCCAGGGTGGAGTGCAGCGGCGTGATCTCGGCTCACTGCAAGCTCCGCCTCCCGGGTTCACGCCATTCTCCTGCCTCAGCCTCCCGAGTAGCTGGGACTACAGGCGCGCGCCACCACGCCCGGCTAATTTTTTGTATTTTTAGTAGAGACGGGGTTTCACCGTTTTAGCCGGGATGGTCTCGATCTCCTGACCTCGTGATCCGCCCGCCTCGGCCTCCCAAAGTGCTGGGATTACAGGCGTGAGCCACCGCGCCCGGCCCAGCAATTATTAATCTTGCATACATTACTCTTTGTATCCTTTGACCAACTTTCTCCCATTTCTCCCCCCTACTGCTCCTGGCAACCACCATCCCACTCTCTGATTCTATGAGTGCGACTATTTTGCATTCTATACATAAGTAAGATCATTCAGTATTTCTCTTTTTAAAAAATAAATTTTACCGAATGGAGGTTCCCCAAAGAGGAAAACACTTACGTTAAAACAATTCAATTATTCATTCCTTGGCTAACAGCTAGATTGAACTACTGATCTGACTTGGAGCTGAAGTGCCCTGGAAAACATATTTTAAAAATTGTCACTCTTTTCTTCCCTTGTAGGGTGCTTTAAATTAAGATTTTAAAATGTTGAATATTACAGGTCAAATGCAATTTTATATAACCACACTGAAGTGGCAGACAGTGCTAAGGTGAAGAGCTGAGGATTTGCATAGTAAAATAGGAACAAGGCAGTTATAATTTAATTTTTAAAACTCTCATTTAAATTTGCAGTGCTTTAAACGAGTATTACTTATTCATTTACATCAACTTTGTTGGTTACTACTTAGTAATCAACAGAGTTTAGGAGACCATAAAAATACTCTTTCTGTTAGAAAATACAACAAAAATATAATTTTTAGCAGTTTGACTTTCAAACTGTTCTCTGTAGTGACTCACATCTGCAATACATCTGTTTTGAGAATCTTGAAATGTGAACCCTGAGGGTTCTATGAAGCATTTTTAAACTTCCAGTTTTACCCATTTTTGACTCTTTTTAATTGTATTTAAACAACTCTTCTTTTTTATTTTATTTATTTATTTTTTTTAGGCAAGGTCTCACTCTGTTACCCAGGCTGGAGTGCAGTGTTGTAATCTCAGCTCACTGCAGCCTTCACCTCCCCGGCTCATGGGATCCTCCCATCTCAGCCTCTCCAGTTGCTGGGACCACCGACATGCGCTACCACACCTGGCTAATTTTTTTGTTTTGTTTTGTATTTTTAGTAGAGACAGGTGTTTCACTATGTTACTCAGGTTGGTCTTGAACTCCTGAGCTCAAGTGATCTGCCCAACTCAGCCTCTCAAAGTGCTGGGATTATAGGTGTGAGCCACCAAGCCTGGCCTAAACAATTATTCTTCGCGTTTAAAAATTCATTCACGCAAGTACATGTTTATAATTTTAAAAGAAAATGGACAGAATCCTAAAACACAAACATCTAAATTTAACATGTATCTTTCCACCAGTATGGAACAGTTCATTCCTTTTTCACACAAAATCAGTTATATGATTGGTGCATTAACTCCAATCTCCATGTTTATACAGAATGCTCCATTTGTTAAACCTCTCTGAAAAGAATAAAAAATTCAGATGATTAATTCACTTACACTTAGAAACTAAGTCAGTATACCACAAATATATATTGTGATCAGTTATAATACAATATTTCTTGGCCTAGGGTTTCAATTAAACAACAGAAAAAAATGAATAAATACTACAGCTAATACCCTGAAAAAATGCAAAAATTCAAACTTTAGCTTGCCAACTAAAACACTTGCTTTGAGACGGAGTCTCACTCTTGTCAAGTGCAGTGGTGCAAACTCGGCTCACTGCAACCTCCACCTCCGGGGTTCAAGTGATTCTCCTGCTACAGCCTCCCAAGTAGCTGGGACTACAGGCACGTGCCACCACTCCCAGCTAATTTTTGTATTTTTAGTAGAGATGGGGTTTCACCATGTTGGCCAGGATGATCCCACCTCGGCCTCCCAAAGTGCTGGGATTACAAGTGTGAGCCACCACGCCTGGCTTGCATTTTTTTTTTCTACTTGGCAGCAAATGCTGATGGAATTCAGTGCTGACTACTTAAAGTTGAGTCACATCACACATTTAATCAGGGTAATAAGAACATAGCACACCCACTGTAGAGTTACATTAAGACATAAAAACTCTTTGCTTGAAATCAATAACCGCGCTGCACATGGGACATCTGTCAACTGCTTCAGCACATTGTTTACAAGTGACCAGATGTCCACAAGGAATAAAAACAACAGCGATATGTCTGTCCATGCAGATTTTACAAAGCTTCTCCTCTTGCAGACGCCTTAGCGGCTCTTCAGGGCTGATTTCTCTCTGCAATGAAGTCTGATTCAATTCATTTTCTGTAGTGTCTTTCTGAGCGCTCACTAGATCTGCAACAAGAACCTCAAGCGTTTTATAGTTGCTCCCAGATGTTTGAATTCTTTCCTCCATTATTTTCTTAACGTCCTTGAAATCAAATCCCATTCGTATAGCTTCTTGTAGCATAGGATTAGGGAAGATGGTATCACTGATTCTTTTAGTTAGTGATGGTGTTTTCTTGGTAGTTTGTACCAGAGCTCCCTCAAGTGAACGGGTTAAATGAATGTTGTTTATATATTCATGTCCCTTCTCTTCTAGCAGATATTTGCAACCTGGATACCATTTAGCATGCTGTTCCCAAGGATCTTCCTTGGGCTTCCAGTTGGCTAGCCCTCCTCCACAGTGAAAGCACTGTACTTTATCCTCTTGACCTATAGCATAAAATCCAGCTCTTGCAAGCTGCTCTTTGTTAACGGAGTACATCCATGTCCCAAAAGTAATGAGCCGGGCTTCATAACCCGTCATGGATGGATTCCTTGGAGAACTTGTTGAATTTGAGAAATTCCTATCAGAACTCGCAACATCAGATTCACCTCGAATATTAACGTTGTGGCCCAAAATAAAGAAGCAATTAGGAAAATGTCTCCTGTGTTCTGACCAGGCACGATCACCAGGTTCCCAGTTTTTCAGTTTTCCGCCACAACAGAAGCACTGCACTTGGTCATCAGTGCCTGTGTAGTACAGCCCAGCACTGGCCAGCTCTCTCGGGGTCAAGTGGGCAGAGGCTGGCCAGTTGTGAAACGACTGTTATCTAGCTTCTTCACTATGCATGGCGGGGCTCCTCGGGTGTATGGAGTCTGATCTATCCACCACCTGTCCAGCTCTCAAAAGCCGGTCTGCACGAGTCTCAGACGGCCTGTCTAAAGCACAACGCTTTTCCTCTCCCAGATGGTTTTCAACTTGGTATTGACTATTTGGGACACCAGGATTTGCAGGTTTCGTGGCACTGTCTTCAAAATAAAAGCTGCGGATAAACCTGCAATTCGGCGCTGCTTTCTTGTGTTTGTCAACTCCTGAGCCCCCACGTTGCCACCTGTCTACCGCTTCAGGGCAGCTAAGGCCCCCCAGGGCGTCTCCTCCAACGCGCCGATGCCCAGGCAGGCCCACCACCTGCAAAGCCAGCAAACGTTTTTGATCTATTAATCTCTTCTACTAATTCTTCATCCTCATTGATGTCTGCAGACACATACGTTTTAGATCCTTCGAAACTGTTCAAAGTTATCTTCTCTTGAATATAGGACTTGTCCACCGTCTCGCGCCAGGATAGCGGCTCCAACCGCCCAGGCGATCGGCCTTGTCCCAACGGGAGGGTCCCGCGGAGGGACGGTCCGAGCCCCCTACCATTGGAAATGCCAAACCCTGCCCTAAGCCGGGCCCAGCCACCCAGGCTGACGACCCACGATTAGCACCGCGCGCTCTGGGGAGCCGCCAAGGTGCAGCCACTTCCCAGAGCTCCGAAGGGTCAGCAAGAAAAGAGGAAGCCACGAACGCTCCCAGCCTCCAGCTGGAAACCACGCGGTGGAGTGGGCGCTTGCGCAGTGAGCACCTCGTGCCCCACGCCCGTGTCTCGTTCTTTTTTGTGCTTGTTTCACTTTGCATAATTTTAGCATGATATCGTCCAGCTCCATCTACGTTGTTGCAAGTGGCATTTTTTTTAAAGGCTGAGTATTAGTGCACTGTGTTTTATACACACGCGCACACACACGTGTGTAGGTTGCATGGCACTATATGTATATATAGTGTGTGTGTGTTGTATGTGTATCTCACAAAGTCTTTATCCATTTATCTGTTCGGGCACATTGAGGTTATTTCCGTATCTTGGTTATTCTGTATAATGCTCCAAAAAACATGGGAATTCAAGATATATTTTGGGGATTGTGTTTTAAATTCCTTTGGAGATTTTATATATATGTGTGTGTATAAATATATATTTTTTCATATAAATATAATTATATAAATTATAAAATTATATAAATTATACCAAATGTTATAAAATATATTTTTATAAATATATATTAAATAAATATATATTATACATACATATATTTTTGGGGGGGCAGAGTCTTGCTCTGTCACCCAGGCTGGAGTGCAGTGGCACGATCTCAGCTCACTGCAACCTCCACCTCCCGGGTTCAAGGAATTCTCCTGCCTCAGCCTCACCAGTAGCTGCGATTACAGGTGCCTGCACCACTCCCAGCTAATTTTTGTATTTTGGGTAGGGATGGGGTTTCTCCACGCTGGCCAGGCTGGTCTCGAACTCCTGACCTCAAGTGATCTGCCCGCCTCGGCCTCCCAAAGTGCTGGGATTACAGGTGTGAACCACCGCCCCCTGCCTCCTTTGGATATTTACCCAGACATGTGATTGTTGGATGAAATGGCAGTTCTATTTTTATGTTTTTTGAGATACCTCCATAGTAGTTTCCACAATGGCTATACCAGTTTACATTCCCATCAACAATGTGTAAGGATTTCCCACATCCTCACTGACACTTATCTTTGTCTTTTTGATAATAGCCATCCTATCAAGTGTGAAGTGGTAGCTCATTACAGTTTTATTTTACATTTTCCTGATGATTAGAGATGCTGTCTCTTTTTCATGTCTGTTGACTATTTGGATTTCTTCTTGTGAGATGTGTCTATTTAGGTCCTTTGCCCATTTTAGGACGAGTTATTCATGTTTTTGGTATCAAGTTGTATGAGTTCCTTATATATTTTGGATATATGTGTGTGTGTGTGTGTGCATATATGTGTGTGCATACATATAGATAGATAATATTTTTTTCAGTTGTATTGCCTTTCTTTTTCTTATTGATTTGAGTACACTATATATGCTGGAAACAAGTAATTCCTTGGTTTTTGTTCTATCTTTCTTATCTTTTTATTAATATCAGCTCTTAAATTTTTTATAAACTGAATTGTCATTTCTCCTTTTATACTTCACATTAATGCTTTTCGGGCTGTGTGAGAAATCATTTTGTTCTCCTTTGATCTATTCTAAAAATTTCATTAGTCATCTTTACAATTTAAATCAGATATCCATTCAGAATTAAGTTGTTGCATTGCACTAACAATTGATACTATGTTCAGTTAAGCCTCATGACTTTTACTGGATGGAAACCATCATGTTTCATTACGGTTTCTACTCTTTCTCTCATCACCACTGGAGCTCACATTTCTGTGAAGCCTTGTGGTCATTCTCTCCCTTCTTCCTGCCTACTGGACATGTTAGCAATCCCACAGCACTACAAAACAAAGCTTTGTGTCCAGAATCTTTAATGGGCCTTTTTTCTCAAAGTATCAATTATTTTCATATATATATATATATATATATATATATATATATATATATATATAGACAAAGTTTTGCTCTTGTTGCCCAGACTGGAGTGCAATGGTGTGGTCTCGGCTCACCACAACCTCCCCCACACCGCCCCCGAGGTTCAAGTGATTCTTCTGCTTATTCATTTTACAAATAAAATAAAATAAAACAAAATAATCCCACCTACTCTCCTGAATAGCTGGGATTACAGGCATGCGCCACCATGCCTGGCTAATTTTGTATTTTCAGTTGAGATGGGGTTTTTCCATGTTGGTCAGGCTGGTCTCGAACTCTTGACCTCAGGTGATCCACCTGCCTTGGCTTCCCAAAGTCCTGGGATTACAGGCATGAGCCACTGCATCCGGCCTATTTTCATATTCTAAAGGGAGAAGTCCACTGTGTTTAGAGATATTTTCCCCATGCATTCCTTATGTTTCCTACGTCTTTTATCAGCTTCTGCTCCAGACTCTCTAAAGATTTTGTGTAAAAAACAGCCTTGAAAGATGGTGGTACTGTCTTCATAGGCGTTACAAGATAGATAAATTATTTGAACAATATAACAAAGATAATGCCTTCCACTGAGGCAAAAGTTAGGAAGATTTTCTTGCGATCCACTTTAAAATAGTGGGGGCAGGGTGCGGTGGCTCACGGCTATAATCCCAGCACTTTGGAAGGCTGAGGTGTGTGGATGACTTGAGGCCAGGCGTTTGAGACCAGCCTGGCCAATATGGTGAAATCCTATCTCTACCAAAAATACAAAATTAGCTGGGTGTGAGGGCACTGACCTGGAATCGCAATTACTTGGGAGGCTGAGGCAGGAGAATCCGTTGAGCCTGGGAGGCGAAGGCTGTAGTGAATTGAGGTGGCACCACTGTACTCCAGCCTGGGCGATAGAGCGAGACTCTGTCGCAAAAAATAAATAAAATAAAATAATGGACCGGGCATGGTGGCTCGTGCCTGTAATCCCAGCACTTTGGGAGGCCGAGGCGGGCAGATCACAAGGTCAGGAGATCAAGACCACCCTGGCTAATTCAGTGAAACCCCATCTCTAGTGATAAGCAGAAAAGAGGGTTGAGGAAGGGACTTTACTGGCCCAACCAGAAACAAACTAAGAACCCAGGACTCTATTCTCTCCCTTGGACACCCTACACCAATCCCTGATGTCACATAATGCAATTTAGTGTAATCCGCAGTGACATTGATTGTTGGTGTTTAATCCAAGTGATAATGAAAACTGACTTGTAATGTGCTTAAGGACTTTAGCTCCAAAATTAATCTACTGTTCAGTCCACCCTAGGAGAATTATAGACTCAATTTTCAGAATTATTAAGAGTGCACTACAAGACCACCATGCTTCTCAAAGAGATAGGAGAGGTCAAGAGGAATCACCTAATCCTGTGCAGAAAGGGTGTCTCCAAATGGCAGTTGCTGGAATACGAATGTTTTCTCTCATCCTTAGTGCATGAATGCTTAGTGGAAACTGATTGTCTCCTCCTGAAAACATCCATAGTCTCTTCATACTGACAGATTGTTTTCCATCTTCTAGTTAAAGAATCAGCATTTAAGGAAGTGGTAACATACAAACTGGGTTTCAGAGAGCAGCCCTTGGGCACAAAAGTTTCTAATGATGTATTCTCTGGTTTAAGCATAGTCTCATATGAATCCCACAGTGTACTGCTGGAAATGAAAGCTGGGAGTCGCAAAGAAAATGAGTACTTGAACAAAAGATTTCTCAGCAAGGCAATTTTACTTCTGCAGAAGGGTGCTGCCTATAAGCCTGATTGCCATGAGAGCACCCCAAACAAAGGAAAGCAGGGATTCTTATTCCTAACGCATTGGGCCCCTACTGCTGCGTCCTATCTCCGTTGGCTGGAGCTGGACTGCACAATCTAGACTGATACCGATTGGCTAAAAACTTAAAACTTTACTAAATAGGTAAAGGCACAATGGGGAACAAAGAAAGGGATGGGGTTGGTTGTAGGAAACTAGGAAAACAATAACATTTCCAAATAAGGAAAGAAGCCTGGGCTGCAAGCTGGGACATGCCTGGGCATGTCTAGGCCTGTCCGGACAGGCCAGGAAACATATGGGTTAGGCCTCTTGGTTTACAGTACAGGGATATAGGATTACTTATTTCTTTACTGTGTTTACCAACTGCCCGGGGCACAACAAAGAGTTATTAGTAGGGTAAAAGATTTGTTAATAGTATGAAACATGAAGGAAACTTGAAAGAAGCTTTTAAGTGGGACTATCATTCTTAGAACTTAATATTATTAACAAAAAGGGAAGTTTTGAAGAGGAACTTTTAATTTCCACAGTACAATTTTGATTTGTAAAATACACAAAATTTAACACGTTAAAGATTCCATTTGTACAAGGGGCTTCCACTTAACATGTTTCAGAAATCATGCTTTATTGCTATTACTTTTACTTGTATCAATTATGAATATAGAGATAAGTATATAATTTGAAATTACTAACATTAGGTTTCTACCTTGTATGATTTTATCACATATTGGTGTTTCATTTCCCATAGTTTGGAGCAAGACATAGTGTTCAGTGATTTCTGTGATAGGTTCCAATTTATTTCTGGCATAAAAGCAAAATCTTATGTCTGCTGCCATCTCAAGATAGAGGCAATTGTGCATTCTTTAAATATGATTTGTCATGGAGCAGTTCCTAGAGAATTATAAGGTCATTCTGCGTCTATGTTATGTTAAGATATCTCAATTTTATTTGAAGTTTGTATTGGCATATTCTATAAATCTTTATCCATGAATGTAAACTTGTTACAAAGTTACAAAATAAAATAACACCAATCTACAATAAGAGGACAGGACTTAAAATGACTCTATATACATCTGCATTACTTGAAGAAGACAGTTAAATTCTCCCTTGCATAGAGTTTAACTCCACCACTCTTTACCAACCCTGCCAAGGTCAAGCCCCCTCTTTGCTCTAAAATTTTGGATTTTGACAAATCAGTAGCTTTATCCATCTACGTGTTCCTTAGCTTTCCAGTGAAAGTAATAGTCCTGCCTGTTCTGTGATCTGCCTGCCTTGGCCTCCCAAAGTGCTGGGATTACAGGCGTGAGCCACCGCGCCCGGCCCGAGTGTACCTTTTTGAGTCATTTTCCTTGAGTAGCCCTCATGTTTTTGACATCATTTGTCCACTCCTGTTCCAAAGCACCCTTTCAAGGATTGTTGTATAAGAAATCATTCTAAGAGATGTTGACACTGTCATCATTGGGGGTAAAAGACAGACATGACCATGTAACAAAGATTCTGCCTCCTGCTTGAAGGCCCTACATATTTCATGACAGTCTTGATGATGGTGGGATGCTGAGAGAAAAATGATTTTCTGGAAAAGGAAAGGACGGGTTGAGGGATAAGAGAAGGCACGTGGTCATGGAGTACATGTGTTCATCAAGCTGGAAACAAGGAGGAGTAGGAAGCCTCCCTGCTCTTCCATGCTAGTGAAGCTCATGTAAGGGAAGAAGGATTTAAACAAGCAACTGAATGTGCTTTGCTTACTATTCATTCTTTTCCTGGCAGAACAGTGAAGATTCAAGGGTGACTTGAAAGCATTCTAGCTTCCGTATTTGAGCCTTAAGCAGCCAGCAGGCAGGTGGCACTGGGAGGGTCGAGCTTTGCTGCTGCCTTCCTTACCAGCGCAGACACTCTCCTGCTCTGCACCCCAGTTTCTTCCTCTGTCCCTATCCTGACTTCGTCAACATTAAAGAAGAAACTAAATATTCTTGGAATTTGTTGTAAGTGGGGAACTCAAACTTCTACAGCTCTGCTGGATATGCATGCCCCTGTTTCCATTCTGGCCTCTGTGGTGCATTGCAGGGAGGGTGGGCTAGGTGCGGGGGAGGCTGAAAGTCCCCGGGGATAAGCATGGGTCATGGGTGCACGCGTGGGCAGAAAAAGAAAGGCTCCGTATCTGGCCCTCCCTGGTTGCTGAACGTACAAGCAGAAGAAGGAAGCTTCGCAGAACTTAGGGTGAAGAAACAAAAGATGAAACCTCCCTCTACCCTGGCAGGCCCCATGCTCACCCCATCTACACCCGCGCATTTCCCACAGGCTGCCTGGGATCCTGTGGTGCAGCCTGCTAGAGTGTAATTTCTCTATCAGGGAAACTGTTTGTACAGCAAATTGGGTGGCCGGAGTTGAAGAGATGGCTCTCACGTAACGTATATTTAAAAATTACCTTACTAAAGCACGCTGGAGGAGTTCAACCTGAGCTTCCAGATCACTCTTTATATTTCATGGCTTCCGCCCCCATCCAAGAGGCAGCCTGGAGACTTCCATCCACTGCTTTTTAGGGACCAGGTCCTAGAGAGACAGGGACGATCTCCTGAGACTGAAATCCCACCCTCAGAGCCTTCTGATCTTTCTGGATTCAGGAGAGTTTCCTCCCAAGGTGAAAACGGGAGGAGGCAGGTTAGGGAAGCATTGTCTTCGCCCTCTCCCTCCAGTGTTTCCTAACCTTGACCCATGTTTGACTTAACCTCAAAGGGTCCACCCATCCCTATATCCAGCCTCACACGGGACTTAGAACATGACTCTCTCCAAGGGTGGGACCCAGCCAGCGGGGGAAGCTCACCAGGAGATTCCAACGTGCAACCAAGTTGAGAGTCAGTCTATGTTTGTGCTTCTCCCACTTTAACCCACATGTGAAACACCTGGGGTTGCTATATAAGCTGCAGCTACTGATTGAGCAGGTGGGGGTGGGGCTGTGCCTGAGGGTCTGTGTTTCTCAGAAGCTACGGGTCTGCAGGTGACACTCTGGGCACCCAGTCCTCTTTGCTCAAGTAAATGAAACACGATGATTGAAATGTAAAGAAATTGGCCTGAGGTGAAAAGGAAAACTCAAAACACCTGTAAAACGTGTCATAGTTCAGAGAATTTTATTCATATGGAAAGAAATTAACCAAGCAGAATTTTACAATGACTTTTAATAACAAAAGTTCCAAGGCTAATAGAGTACATCATTACAAATGAAATTCATTCACAAACTTGAATTTACTCTATTGTTTACTTGTGGTATGATAATAATAATAGTAAGATATATTTTACCATGTGCCATTCATGACGTGCTTTGCATAACTTATTGAATCCACTGAATAACTCCAACACTGAGAATATTGGTACCTCAACTTTACACATGCGCTAGCTGAGATGCCCTCTCTACCACAGTGGAAATCAGAGTCTAGGTAGCTTCATAAAATAAATGGAGTATTTCCCTTGTTTGATGTCCTGGAAAAATGTATACCATATAAAAAAGAACAGTTTCTTAAATGTTTGAATTCAATGATTTAAAAAAAACACATTCTTCCAAGAAAAAAAAATTTCCCATTTTCCAAGGCTAAGCGTTTCTCACTACAACTCTCCTTCACAGTCAAATATTCTTGAGTCAGGAGACACTGACGTTTTCCACTACCATCAAAGGGCCCTTTGCCCAGAATTACTCAAATTTCAGTGGTTTGCTCCCTCCCTAGATGAGTTTCAGAGCTTTTACTAGTGGAGCATTGTTTGCTTATGTTGACTCAGTTTCTCATATAATTGTATGTAATTGAAAAAGAAATCTATAGGACACTTTCAACAGCCCCATTTTAATACAGGTTAAATTTACACAATGTAAATAGGCAGGTTCGTTGATCCCCGATAGTATCTGGGGTCCACGTTTGAACAGACACCGCTGCCAGGGAGGGGCTGACCCCGCACAGGGCTGCTTCCTGCCTCTCCCCTTCTCAGCCTTTCAGCCACTTCCAAGTCGCATGGGCTTGAAGCTGGGTCTTCTTGCCTTGGGGGCCTCAGTCACTGTCACTGTCCTCAGAGGAGGAAGTGACAAGAAGGTCCTCATAGAGGACACTCGTTGAGACCTGGGGACCCCGCCCCTCAGGCTGCCTTGAGAAGCGAGGGCTCTGAGCAGAAGCAGAGTTTTCAGGAGGACGGGATGTGGGAGGCGTTCTGAACCTGGGGCTCTTCTGTCCCTTGTCCCCTCTCATGAAGGTGACACTGCCGGGCCTCCCTGGAACATGAATGGGTGGTCCAG
This sequence comes from Homo sapiens, assembly GCF_000001405.40. Classification (NCBI taxonomy): domain Eukaryota; kingdom Metazoa; phylum Chordata; class Mammalia; order Primates; family Hominidae; genus Homo; species Homo sapiens. The sequence goes on from NC_000019.10 coordinate 53,299,290, forward strand.
GCTGGAGGACGGGGCAGCCCTGGGCTGGGCCCAGGAAAGGTGAGCTGGGTGCGGGCTGGAGGTTGACTCTGGGCTGCAGGGTTGCTGTCTTGGTGGCTGCTGTCTGTGCAGTCGCCTCGGGTGCCTGTTTGGATCCAAGTCCAGTTGCAGTGCGGGGAGGCTGGAGTGTCTGCACAGCGCCCACATCCGGGAGCTGAGTTCTCAGTGCAGGGGTCTGGAAGGAGCTGAATCTTGCTTTCTTTGCGGGGTTCTGGAAAGTCTGGGTGGGGACGGGGCCAGGCTCCTTGTCTGGTGCCTGGGTTCTGGAGTCCTGGCCACACTGTTTTCTGACTTGCTGTGGTCTGGGCTTTGCATCTGCAACGGGATGTTTGATTTCTGCCTGGGATTTAAGGCCAGGACCCAGGGCAAGCGCCTGCATGGCAGGCTGGAGAGCACCATGGGAGGACATGTCAGGCCTGTTGGCTGGCAGCCTGGCACTGAGAGTGGGGGTCTGGTGGGAGCTCTTCAGAACAGGGAGCAGGGAGGCAGTAACGTCCCCGCCATGTCCCTTGGTGGGTCCACAGGTGCTCAGTTGAGGTCAATCGTTGTGACCCGAAGGGCAGAGTAATCTCATCTCGGGTTTGTTGACAGGCGGTGGACCTGTGGACACAGGGCCCAGGACAGATCTCTTCTTGGTGGTGTGGACAGGCAGTGGCATGGTAGGATGCTACGGGAGAAAACATCCCACATGAGACAGCTCAGCAGTAGAATTTCCAAACTCTGAAGCAGGGAACTCACATGCAAAACCACATCACAACAGACACTGTGTGAAGATGAGAAGCAAGCTAGGACAGAGGAAAATGGACAGGCTGACATGAGAAACAGAGAATAACAGGCACTGGGACTGCGTCTAAATCAGGATCAAATATAGGGAAGACCCTCCAAAAGAGACAGGACGTAGGAAATTAAACGTCACAGAAAAGGATGTACACATGGTCACTGAATATATGCAGAATTGTCACTTCAGGAATAGTGTTGGGGAAAGATAGCCAACCATTCTGTTTGCTGCGACTATCACATATGAAAATTAAAACCGTCTTTATGTTCTCTATTGTTAATATCAAGGGAATATCAATTCCCCAAACAACGTGGAGACTGGAAATGTCACAGCTCCTTTTGAAAGCAGTTGTAAGATCATGCATAAAAATGAAGGAGACGCCTTATCTGCAGCCAGTATCCCGAAGGCATCTGATCAGTCACTCCCCACGGGCACTGAAATGCGCCCAGCAGCATTTGCTGGCCAACTTGCAAATAAAGGTACAGAAACCAATGTTTTAACAAAGAAGCTGGAAACTGGAGTATGCAAAGTCCTCAGGTAGCGTAGTTCTCCTGCAGGGCAGCCTAGGTCTTAACATGACCCCCACCCATGAAGGGCACAGAAGTGAAGGAATCAGGGGACCTAGAGGAGAAACAGAGCAGGGGCAGGGGGAGACTCACCCTCAGGAATGAACAGGCTTCCGCTGGCTCCTTCCAGGCTTCCTGCGTTTTCTCTTGGGGAGTTCTGGGAAATGTCTGCTTCGGAGCTCTGTTCTGCTGCTGCTGGGGACTGCAGAAGAAATCACGTTCACTGTCTGGACCTGCCTGACCCTCCTTGTCCACACCAGTGACTGGGAACCAAGCACCCTCCCGGAACCCAGCCCTAGCCCTTGCTTTGGGTGAGGGAGGCGTTCAGGCCTCTGTGAACTCTGCCAAGACAGCCCCTTCTCTCATCTCAGAAGCAGCCCCACTTCCAGGAAGCTCCGCCCCCCACCCCCACCATGGCCCCAGGTTCTCTAAGTTCATTCAGGCCCTGGAACTGCTCTGCCTGCCTCGGGTAACATCCCCAGGTCTCCCACAGCCCCTGCCCTCTAGAGACTCTCAGCGCTGGAATAAGCTCGGAGTGCGGACCCTGGAAGGCAGGGGCCTCCGTCCACCTCCATTTGGAGCTTTCCTTGTGTGCTTAGAGAAGGCTGCACAGAAAGACTAGGGGAGACACCAGCTCCTGAGGCGCCGACCTCACGGATCTTCCTTGACCCTGCAAAATCCTTACCTTGGACTTCGCTCCTTTTCTCTGTCATTCGTCGTAAAGGGCCCTGGAGTCGTAAAGGGTAGCTGGGCCTTTGCTGGTTTCAGGTTCTCCTTCTCCTTGTGTGAGCCCAGGACCTGCAGAGGAAGGGCCCCACTCCACCTCTTAATGGGGCAGGTCTTGTTCCTGGCTGAGTGCCCAAAGGCCCCGCAGTTCTTGCATTTCACCTGCAGGTGGAGGAGGACACAGAGCAGTGAGTCAACAGCAATCACAGGCACCTGCAAGGTTCACACAAGGCCTGGGTTTTGGAGATGGATTATTTTAGGAGGGGGACATACGCCCATGGGCTGTTGGTTGCCAGGAAATTCAAGATATTATCGTCCTCCCCAGAGCCCGTTTAACAGGGATCCCAGGAGGAAGGACGCTTGTGTCTGAGAGTGAAGATAATGAACCGGTGTTGAGGACTCGGCAAACACCAGGCTGGACATGACACTGGACAGAGAATGAGGCTGCTCCTCAGAGACTCCGAATGGGCCAATCTGCCAAGACAGGAGGCTGACCGATGTGGTCAGACTGAGACCAGTGGGAACTCTTAAGTCATAATCACGAGTCCCATGTTCAAGCCCACTCTCTGGTGTCCATAGGTTACCAACATTTTCAAGCCCCCACTGACCCTGGATTCCTCCTGCTCTGCTGGGAGAGTCGTCTGCCCCATGGGTCTCCTCTGCTGCTCCTGTGGGTTCTTGGCTCCGGGGGGCCCCTGAGCCTGATGATGGATGGGATGACCGGCCATCTGTGGCAGGTCCTTGAACTTCTGATCATTCTTCTTCATTAAGTGGTTGTTGGATTTCCTAGTCATAAGAAAAAGAGAAAACATTACACAGACACCAGACGAAAGTCCCTCCTACCCCTGTCTACCCAAGTAGGGATGGAGGGATGCACTGGCCACTGAGTCACGCCCACTGTAACTTGGTCCTCTCTGAACCCAGGTCCCAGTTGTGCTATTTTGTGACTCTCTCCCATCCTGACCTACTCCCAGAACAGGACACAGATTTTATAAACCAAAGGCTGCTTGATTTCTAGAGGGCGAAGTGAGATTTGCAGCCTTGCATAAAAGTTTTCTGGGCTCTCGGTTTGTGTGCAGTCAGTGCCTCAGAGCTGAAACCCTCTGACAATATTTATCAAAGCCAAGACATGAACAGCCAACAACTACTGATTTTTTTCCAGCAAGTTCCAGAAAACCAACTATTTTCATAGAATAGCTTCTCACTCAGAAAACCAACCAGAAGCTCAAAGCTTTGCAAAGTTTTCATATTCAACCTATGGACACTCGTGACGTTTCACGTGAGACCCCTGTGACCACACGCCACTCTTCACACAGAGGCAGGCACAAAGCCAAGTGAGGACCAGCCCTCTGAGGATCCTGCGACGCTGACACATATGTGCGTGTTCACGCCAGGCTTCGCACACATCACTGGCCGTGTCATGGGGGGACACGCAAGACGGAAGCCTCCAGGCGTGTTCAGCAGAAACCTCGAGCCCACACTGTGCTTCAGAGTCTCCCATGCCGTCCCTACCTTACTCCCTAATACTTATCTTACCTCTCCTCTTGGTATCAAGGTCTCTGTGAAATTGTGGGTGGCTGGTCCACTGAAGCCTGGCATTTTTTATTCGAGACACAGCGGGCGGTCGGATCCTCTCCTGGCTTCAGAGGAAATCGCAGAAGAACCTCCACAGAGGCGAGAACAACCCATTTCTCTGTCATCAAGTCAATCTAATGCAGAGAAAGGAGAATGGAGAGGCAACCTGAGTTCTGCAGGCAGGAGGAAGCCTTGGCAGAGGAGAGGAGGAACTCCCATCTTCCTGAGATTTTAAAGGGAATGCTGGGCAGGCTCACATTTCATTGTTTTTTTTTTCTTTTTTTTTAAAGAAGTCGTTATGTGAAAAAGATACTTGCACACATATGTTTACAGCAGCACAATTCGCAATTGCAAAAATATGGAACCAGCCCAAATGCCCATTAATCAATGAGTGGATAAAGGGACTATGGTGTGTGTGTATCTATCTATCTATCTATCTATCTATCTATCTATCTATCTATCTATCTATCTATCTATCTATCTGATGGAATACTACTCAGCCATAAAAGGAAGAAATTAATGGCCTTCGCAGCAACCTGGATGGGATTGGGGACTATTATTCTCTGTGAATAAGTCACGAATGCAAAACCAAACACCTTATGTTCTCACTCATGTGCGGGAGCTAAGCTATGAGGATGCAAAGGCAATCTCACAGTTCTTTACTCCAGAGCTGGTGAGGAGTTGGCTGATGACCTTCAAATGGCACCAAGAGTGACAGCCCAGGGTATTGGGAAGTGCTGCTGTTCCCAGGTGGGAACTAAGGGGCCATGGCAGTGGCATTTTCCCATGTCCCTTTGAGGAATTACGTATCGATTTTAATGGGTCAGTGCCCGTGTATGGAGGGTGTGAAACTCTGAATATGAGCCGGTCATGGACGGGGAGCCTGCTTCAGCCTTCCCCCAGGCTTGGACTCCACCCATTCCACCTGCCTCCCAGGTGACCCCGCAGCTCCCGTACTCACATCTCTTTGTGGGATCCCGCACTGCTTTAAGAACTGCTTCCCCTGTTCCATGGAGAGAGTGTTGGGGTCCATCACTGCTGGTCCTGCCTGAGGGATTCTCTTTCCCTGTGGAGGGTAGAAAATGAGACGCTGATTCCTTCCTATCCCTGGACTCTCCCAGGCACAGGATGCAGTCAGCCCCATCTCTCTGCTGTGCCCACCGTGTCCCTAGGAGTAAACTCACACATCCTGTCATTCAAACTACAGGGACACATCCTTCCTCTGCCAGTGACATGACACCAATGTGAATGAGAAAAGCAGGTGATCCATTAAAAGAATTGTTCACTGGACTTAGCGTGTTTGATATGTATGCAATGCAGGTCCCTCCTCTGGAGACTCTCATAGTATACCATCAAACATCCGGAAAAATTGATCGTGGAATTGGCCTCAAAGAAAATTCAATATATTAGAAAACTGAATATTTTAATCATCTGTACACCCTCCTTGTCAAAACTAGATATACCTACATTTTATAAGTTCTTTCTAATATTAAGGACGTTTTAAACTATGAAGCACATTCCTTGAACTTTCTGAAATCAGACTCCTTGAGATCAAACAAGATATTCAAGGGAAACCATCAAGTGCTAAGAAAATACAAAATAAAGCACTTTTATGTCCAAACTGATGAGCAGTGCAAAATGTGGGTTCAGGGGAAATGTCTTTGGCTAAATGACCACAGTGCTAGGGAAACAGGAGCATAGGAGAGTGAGGGCGACACCATTTAGAAATCAACTCCATCTGAAAACTAGTGAGGCACAGTCCTGGCCAGTCACCACCCTGGTCCTAAGACGTTTGTGGCTGAGGAAGCAGCTTAGCAATGCCTGGATGGACAGACTCCTATGAAAGCAAAATGTCCAGATGCCCCATATCCAAAGCAATAGATACCTTCAAGATAATGATAGCTATGCTTCCTGAGCTACACACTAGAATGTCAAGGAGAGTTTTCTTTAAATCAACAGAATACTAAACATTGTCATGCTGTCAGTCCACCACATGTAGACACAGCTTAGTTGAATCTTCACGTGGACAAAACCCCTATATCAGAAAAACTTAAAGACAGTGCATTCTTCTGGTTGCGTTCTGAGGTCACCGTACTCTGTAATATAGTAGCTGTCAATAAACTCTCTTCACACTGCTCTCTGCAATTTGCCTGGAATTCCTTCCTGCATGAGATCCAAGAACCCTCCCTCAGGGTCTGGATCGGGCCTCTTTTTTTTCCACAACAACATGATTGAAAAAAGATAAAATCTGGGGGAAGCACTCAGGCCTATGGAGACAGCTTACAGACAGAACAACGAAAGATTGCAAAAGAAATAAAAAGATGGAAATGGTAAATCAAACAATAAATTGGAGCTAATGAAAAAATAAATAGAATACAGCAGGAAAACGTACTCTTTCTTTGAGAGCAGTAGTAGGATACATTACCATGGGTTACCACAGAAAGATAATAAAATTTATCTTAATAGATCATATCAGGGAAAAGAAAAGGCAATAATGCCATGAAAATAGAAAAAAAATGATCAAGGAATGCTATCTGGAGCAAACGCACTTGAGAAATCTAGAATAAAGTGCGCGTTCCTTTTCAAAATCAAAATTGAGAAGTGAAGAAGCATTTTTAACTACATATTTAAGTAGGATCATTCTTTACACCATCATTATAGACTAGGCACTCACAGCTTAAGTCTTGCTTGCCTTAATCTTTGGGTAGAGGCTCAGGGCCCTGAATTTATACTAGCTCCTAGCAAAGGTCAATGAGTATACTGGAATAAAAGATAAGTGAAGAAATCTCTTATCTAATAGCTTCTTCGTCAAAGGCACCAGGTCTCCATAACTGATCATCCAGCACCCACACAATTCAGGGTGCTGGGTGATCATTCTTAGCAAATGTTGACCTTTATGTAATCATTAGGATTTCTGAAATATTTTTTGAATCTGGCTATGTCCTAAGAAATACTGTTAAATGGCTGGGCGCAGTGGCTCACGCCTGTAATCCCAGCCACTCCGGAGGCTGAGGCGTGAGAATCACTTGAACCGGGAAGGCAGAGGTTGCAGTGAGCCGAGATTGTGCCACTGCACTCCAGCCTGGGTGACAGAGCGAGACTCTGTCTCAAAAGGAAAAAAGAAATACTGTTAAACAATTAAGTATTCTTTACCTCAACATCTAAAACCGCACGCTAAAGAGTTTTCCCACTATTCTATTTCTCCCATTGGGATAAATGAACGCCCGAAATAGTAATGGACTAACCTGTTCTTCTTGCCTACCAGCAGCAACTCAGGTAAGTGGACCCAGGGCAAACTTCACTCCTTACGCTGGGGCTTCCACAGTGAAGGAAACAAAGCTCACTGAGGGGAAGGTCCCTTCTGCTGGCATTTATACTGCTCCAGAGCCCCGCAGCCACTCCCCCTGGCTAACCTAATCGCGATATGATCTAATTACCTCTCCCTCTCTTGATTTATTTGGTGATCCTGTTCCTAGCACTTTTGTTTTATCACAGATGTATACATCTAAAACAAATAATTTGCTGTATGCTCATCTCATAAAATTTTAAAGTTTAACATAGAAGCATATGGTTTGAACAACACAAACTACTTTCTGCATGTTTCAAATATTGAGGCATACATCAACAGCCTGGCTGCCTCATTCTGCGTTTTGCACCGAGGTGGGCAGCTCGGTCTCCCCATGGCAGGAAGCTCAGTGGCAATGTGTACTGGAGATTCTGGCCTTTGTGGGGCCAAAGATAAGTGGTCTAAGAACAGCCTGGTTCACTATGTGTCGGGGGAATAGATGAGGTTGTGCTGTATGGCCGTAGGGGATGGGTCACCCAAAGTCTCAGACGGGGAGAACTGTAACAAGCCAACAGCTCAGTTTCAGCGACAGCTCCTGGAAAGTCAGTGGCTCTTGCTTTTTATCCCTGACGGGAACAGGAAGGCAAGGAGGCCTCCAGGGTGTGGACAGGAGCTCAGCAACTGAGTGGGATTAAGAGATCCTGAGGTCTAGATAGCACCTGGTTATTGAGGGTGGAGTGTAGACTCACCTCTCTGCTAGATGAGGGGGCTGAGTCAGGACGTGGGAGTTGATATAGTTTGGATGTGTGTCCCCTAATCTCCTGTTGAACTGTCATCCCCAGTGTTAGACCTGGGGCCTGGTGGGAGATGATTGGATCGTGGCGGCGGTTTTCTCATGAATGGTTTAGCCTCCTCCCCTGTGGTTGTGTCCTTTCCAGAGTGAGTGAGTTCTCCTGAGATCTGGTCATTTAACGGTGTCCAGCAGCTGCCTCCTCACTCTCTTGTCCCTGCTTTTGCCATGTGAAATGTCTAATCCCTCTTTGCCTTCCACCATGAGTAAAAGCTTCCTGAGGCCTCTCAGAAGCAAAAGCTGCCATGCTTCCTGTGCAGCCTGCCGAACTGTGAGCCAGTTAATCCTCTTTTCTTTATAAATGACCCAGCCTCCGGTATTTCTTTATAGCAGTGCAAGAACAGGCTGATACAGGAGTGGTCCCAAGAATTCTCACAGCGATATCAGGATGTGGGGTCCCTCTATCCCATTCGGGTGGGTTTCTCACCCACATGAAGCAGAACTGCTGAAACTTGTTTCCTGACACATTTTTATTTGCATTAATAATTTACCTCCCCCACATTTATACTAAAAATCCACATACAATGATTCAGTTAGACGGGAGGAATAATTATTTGAGATACGGTATAGCATTGTGACTATGGTTAACAATAAGGTATATTATTAACATGCAAAATTAGAAAGAGAGTGAATTTCAATTGTCCTCACCAAAAAAGTATGTCAGGAATTGAGATATTAATTTGATTGACTTAAAATTTCCACAGCATATACATCTATCAAATTAGTGCAATACACCCCATAAATATATACAATTATTATTTATCAATTAAATTTGTTTTTTAAATTCACACACAAATGAAAATGGAAAAATGGCCAGTAGCTGATTTCTGCACCCAATTCTTTCACCCCCAATCATACACTACATACTGTGTGACCCTACGCAAAAATAAAATCTCATGTCTAGCACTATCAATTACGGGAAAAAGAGTATTTTTTTAAACAAAGATGTTTCCAATTACAGTGGATTGTTTTTTATTGCAAATATTTCATAGATTCAAAAAGGATTTTAAGGCGTCTCTTATTAAGTATATTTAATTTACTTTTAATTGACAAATAGTTCTTATGCATACTCACGGGTCCGTGGCGTCCTTAGGATAGGTTTAATGCGTGGTGATTAGGTTAGGGTGATTAACATGTCCATCATCTCAAGCCTGCGTCATGTCTCTGTGTTGGGGACTTTCCCTCTCCTCCCTCTAGCTACTGGAAACCCTGCGTTATTGGTAACGATAGCCATCCTGCAGTGCCATGGGGCACAACACGGTGGGTTCCTAGGCGCGCTCCCCAGCCTGGGCCCTCTGGAGGCGTCTCCCGGCAGTACTGAGCCACGTGGCGTGGACTGCACGGGGTCGGTGACTTCAAAAGCCCCACTTAGATCCTCTGCACTTACCCCCTGCAGAGCACCGACAGCCCTGCTCTGGAAGCGCGGGTCTGCTTAGATGTCCTAAGCAACTTCTTGCACCAGGCGCCGCCAATGAGGAGTTCGGTGGATTTCTAACCAAGTCCCATTTCACCGAGAGCGGAGTCCCGCGGGGACCAGGAGGTTCCTTCTCGCTCCGGGAGAGGGCGCTCCTGCCCGGCGTTTGTAGCGGCGGCTTCCTGGCTGCTTCCCAGCGTGGATTTGCACCCGGTCGATTTCCTGCGGGTGGGCGGTGCATGACCCTGGTTGGACGCCCTGTTTACCCCTCTTCTCCTTGGGCTGGAACTCCCAGAGCTGGAGGCAGTGCAGCCACGGCTGCGAACTCAACACCAGCACATTCTTAGAAATGGAAAACCCTTTCTTTACCTCTGATGTTCATACCTGAGAGTTTAAAAAATACTTACAAGTTTTATTCCAGGTGGCGGGCTCACTTGAAAAGCAAAGATAGATGTAGATAATCTTTTGTGATTTTATGCATTCATATGTGAAACGCATTTAGAATGATATCCAGTATGCAATAAATGTTAAAAATTTTTGTCTCTTTCACTCCAGTTTGAAACCGTCATTATTTTTTTTAATTTCTTGACTCCAAAGTCATGCATTGAATATTTCCTCAGCACTTCAGCTCCTGGGGCTGGAGAAGCACACTGGAAAATGAGTGAGTGTGCTTTCAGCGATATCCGCATTTCTAGAACAGCATTTATTTTTGCATATGCATGTAGGACACAGATACACAGGGCGGGTTTGGGGCGGGACCTCGTGCGGTGCAGGCGCTGTGGGAAGCGTTGCCCTAACGGCTGGTCTCCAGGGCTGCAGGTCTGGGCCTGTGTCTGGCACCCACGTGCGGGTGTGCGCGAGAAGCGCCGTTAAAGACAGAGCTCATCCTGTTAGCTGTCCCTCTCATCCCCGCCCCTGCAACCTGAGTTTCCCAGATTCCTTACGTCCCGCAATGTCCGAGTTGATGCGCTGAAAGAGCAAAGAGATCAAAAAAAGAAAGGTGGGAGAACCGCGCCACACATTGGTTGGGATATTTAGGTTTTACAGCCGTTGGCGAAGGCAATTTAGCAATTATCCAACCATAGAAGTAACGTGCATTCGGCCGGGCACGATGGCTCACGCCTGTAATCCCAGCAGTTCGGGAGGCCGGAGTGGGCGGATCACGAGGTCAGGAGTTCGAGGCCAGCCTGGCCAACATGGTGAAACCCCATGTCTACTAAAAACACAAAAATGACCGGCTGCGGTGGCTCTCGCCCGTAATCCCAACACTTTGGGAGGCCAAGGCAGGCGGATCAGGAGGTCAGGAATTCAAGACCAGCATGACCAACATGGTGAAACCCCGCCTCTACTAAAAAATACAAAAATTAGCCAGGCGTGGTGGTGCGCACCTGTAATCCCAGCTACTCAGGAGGCTGAGGCAGAAGAATCGCTTGAACCCAGGAGGCGGAAGTTGCAGTGAGCAGAGGTCGCCCCATTGTACTCCAGCCTGGGCGACAGAGCGAGACTCTGTCCCAAAAACAAAAACAAACAAAAAAACATACACACAAAAATTAGCTGGGCATGGTGGTGGGCGCCTGTAGTCCCTGCTACTCAGGAGGCTGAGGCTGATGAATCACTTGAACCCTAGAGGCGGAGGTTGCAGTGAGCCGAGATTGTGCCACTGCACTCCAGCCTGAGCGACAGAGCAAGACTCCGTCTAAAAAAAAAAAAAGAAAGAAAAGAAAGAAAGAAACAACATGCAATCACGGTGGAGCCGCAGTACACGTGTCAGAACCACCCAATAATCTGCATGTTCGCACATCAGTGTGTTCAGCCACCTACACTCCCGGCAGCGTTTCACAGCAGGAGACAGACAAGCACATGCGACTCTGTACAGGGGTAAACAGGAGCGATTCAGTAACATGCTTCATTCATACGCACCAGGAAATAGGATGCAGTGTTTCCGAGAAGGAGGTATAGAAACATCTTCCACACTCATCACTGACTGGGTGAAGCAACACGAACAATGACTCCAACATGAACACATTTATATGAATTTTGAAGGAAGACAAAATGCCTTAATCATGTATATGTGTATGTGTATATACAAATAGACCTATGTATATGTCCATCTATGCAAACATATACGTGTGTCTACGTAGAGATTTGTCTATATTTGTATCTGTGTCTATCTCTATAGATCTATGTCTCTGTATCTCTACATTTAGATATAGATATGAAGATATAGATCTATATCTGTCTATATATAAGATCTTTGTACATGTATCTATATAGAGAGATGTATTTATTTATACAGAGATATCAATATATAAAGGAGGATACACCTCAAACTGGTAACAATCGTTATGCCTGGGATCAGCCTTGTATCTTTGCTGGGGTATTTATAGCTCACTTTATTTAACTGTTTAAACATTTTATCATTAAATTGGATCCTGTACATATCCGTTTCCCATGACTCCACCATTACACAACGTCAGCGCCTTACAACAGCACCCATTTATTTTCTCCCCATAGGTCAGAAGCCCACAGTGCTTGGCTGTGTCCTCCACTCAGGGTCTCACAAGGACCGAATCCCGGGGTCAGCTGCCTGGGCTTTTCTCTCCAAGCTCGGGGGAGAATCTGCTTCCACGATCATTTAGGCGGCTGACAAATCTCCTTTTCTTCTCATGATTTCTACCTGCCTATCCTCTTCAGAGCCAGCAGCAGCCTGTGAAATCCCCCTCTTCCCTCTAAGCCGTGACTTCCTCTTCTGCGGTGTCTCTAACTTCTTTGTCTGCTTTAAGAGCTCACTTGATTACGTTAGACTCCTGGATCATCCAGGATAATCTCCCGAGTTCATTTCAGCTGATTGTTAATTACATCCACAAAGTCTCTTTTGCCTACGTGGAACTTAACATAACCACACGATAACATCAGGGATTGGAGAACCAACCAATGCATTTTTTTATGGTAAAATATTATTGAAAAAAATATTCTCAAAGTATCAGCAAAATGATTACCACTCTTTATCTCTTGTGATGGTTTCTGGTGAGAGAAAAGCAAGGGGAAAGAATACTAGAATGTTGAATTCTGTGTTTTATTTTCTTCATAAAGCATGTGCTATGTTTTGGAAATACCACAGTAAGTAAAAGGAGCTCATCCTTTCGAACTTGGGACACAAAATAAACTCCTTTCATTCCATGACCCTGGCACCTCTTGTCCCCACAGCATCTAGTATCCCCCATATGCTTAGCTCCTTGCACGCTTTTCCCCTGTGCACTCTTAAAACCTGCAGCGTACTCTACTGTCTGAAAATTAACCTCCTTGTGCCTTTAAGCCTCTGTGCTCTGTCTCCTGTTCAGTATCAGTTCCCTGCATTTACAGGCACTCTGTCTCAACGGCATCCTTTCCATGAGCCCGCAGATTTACCCTATGTCACAAACCCGTGCAATGTCACACTCTCTGTCACACACTCATGCAATGTCAGACCCTCTGTCACACACCCAGGCAATGTCGACCCCAATTCTCCAGCTTTTCTACTTAATGCCTTGGGCCAAATTAGCAACGTGCACATCATTTTATACGTTGCACATGGTGACGTCATCATCATGAGTGGTGCAAAGTGGAAAGAAGTATACAGGCTGAATCACAATAGAGCCATGACCGCCGCTATTCTCCAGATAGGAACCTGGTGTCAAGATACAAATACGTGTGCTGACGCTGCGAGTGTGGTGTTTAAAGGTGAGTGGGACTGTGTGAGTCTGTGTGAGTGCAGGGCATAGTGAGTGTGTTTGAATATGACTGTGGGTTTGTGGTGGGTGTGTGGATGGGTGTGAGCCTGTGGTGGAATGTGTATGTGAGGGCGAGTGTCTAGCTGTGTATGTACGTGATGTTCCTTTGATTTGTGCTGCTGTGCATGTACGTATGTGTTTGCATCTGTGTGTGTACATCTGTATGTGAATATATGTGTGTGTGTGTATTATAGAGGTTGTTCATCTTATGGCTCTAATCCCTGATGTGGAAATTGAGAAGCATTGAATGCCAGACAAGAATAAAATGGACTCTTCTTTGTAGGAAAAAAGAAAGCATTAATTTGAGCTCATATTTCATATTTCTTATTTTATTACAAAAACAACCAGTGATCATTGCTGAAAACTTAGCAAAAAACAAGTGCAGAGGACTGTGGCAACCATCCAATGCTCTTGAATCGAGTAAGCAGCATTTGCTTCCCTGGATTGATCAAGAAGTGACTTTTTAGCCACCTGATCCACATCATCTAGATTCCAAATTAATTGGCATTGAGCCGTTGGCATCCTGTTTGTCCTTTTACTTGTATCCCTTTGAAAATCCTTCTCAGGCCCTCTGTCTGGGTTCATTTCTCTGCACATAACCTAATGATGCTGCAGCTGAGTGGCGTGAAGATTAGGAAAGAGCTCGCTTTGGGGCAGAACCTCCCAGCAAAGCAGAGTATCCGGGGACACTCGTCCCTCACTGTGAGTGTGTCACAGGTCAGAACTCAGCGTTTCCTGCTCCCTCCATGTAAGACTGTGTCTCTCCAGGGAATGGAGACGAAAGAGCCTCTCCCAAACACTCCTCATAGTCTCTGAAGAGATGCTGGCCAGAAACTTGTCATTGCTTTTGGTGATTAGCAATTGGGAAGAAAAGTTGTTCTGAAACGTTCTCAGCTCCCCAAGGCTGCACTGTCGTTGCCACTGCAGGTGAAAAGATAATTGCAGTTCTGAGGGGAGGTGAGGTCACAGAACCACAAAACCATATCTCAAGGTCTGGCTGCTTCCCTCCCACACGATCCTGGCTGTGGCAACCTTCGCACTGAGCCCACCGTCTTAGCAGCAAGATGGAGCTGGGGAGAAAGTCTCTTTCGGTCTGTAGGGAAGGGTGCTTCCCAGGAGCCAGGGTAAGTTATCCTATTATAATAAGAAATTGTTCTAGATTGAAAACTGGTCTAGTTCCCAAGTCACAGAAAAAAGAGGAATAGTTCGGAGCCATGAGCTGAGCTAGCAAACCGAAATGGGGTCCTAGCCCCACACCAATCCCTGGGGGGTCCTGACGTGATTTAGGAGAATCCACACTGACCCGCATTGTTGGTGTTTCACCCAATCATAGTGAAACTTGACTACGTTCTTAAGGATTAACATTCTTAAATCAATCTGTCGTAATAATGAAAGCTGGTTGCATTCTTAAGGACTGTGGTACTAAAATCAATCTGCTGTTCCGCCTACCCAACAGGAATCATAGACTAAAATTTCAGGATTGCTGAGGACGTGACTATAATATCACCATGCTTGTAATGAGTAGACTGACTCTACAGGAGTCATGTAATTCCTTACACAAACAGTGTATCTAAATGGTAGTTGCTGGAACGAAAATGTTTTCTCTAATTCTGAGAGTGTGCAGGGCTTAATGGGAGCATTAATTGTGTCTCCACTGAAAACCACCATAGTCTGTTGATTATGGTGAGACTGTCTTTCCTCTTGATGTTAAGGAGGCAGAATTTAAGGAAAAGGTAACTTTATAATAACGAGCTAAAGAGAGCAGCTGTCAGACTCAAATGTGTCCTCTAATGTGTTCTCTGCTTCAAATAGATTCTAACATCACCCAAACTCTCTAATTTCTGTTTATCAACTATATAACACACATCCATTAGAGTTTCCAATTTTCATGTTTGTCACACTTTAATTTAATTATGCAAATATTGTCCTAAGGATAATAATTTCTTTAACTCAGTTACTAATGGCTCTAGATATGTCATCTAAGATTTGTAAGAATTTGGTTATTACCGTACACTATTTTATCCCATATTGGTGTTTCATGTCCTATTGTTTTGGGTAAGACATGATTGTGGTAGGTGCCTTTATGCCTTTGTCCTTGGCACAAAAGCAAATGCTCACAATGTTTTTTACTCTCTTTCCATTCTAATATTGATCCGTGCTTGCAGTCATTAAATCCAATTTGTTATGGCACAGGTTTCTATAGTGTTAAACTGTAATTCATTCATCTACATTTTTTAAGATCTCTAAACCTTTATTTATTCAGATATTGACAAATAGAATAAATTTTTGCACATGATATAAAATCATTACAATATACAGTAACCTACTACAAGACTAAAATATAATGACAAGGAATAAAAACAAAGGTCTCTGTATGTGTGTGTCTTATTCAAAGAACACAGCTATCTAGCTTTGTTAGTAAACTATAATGGCTAAATGCACTCTCTGTGCAAAAAAACAAGGCAGGTTCAAGTTCGTGCTTGCCTGTAAGTAGGGTGGAAATGTCACTAGCCACTTCACCTCTCTGTGTCTATGTCCTTCTCATATTTACAATGAAAGTAATAGTAATGCCTGCCTCATAGGTTTGTGAAAAAAGAAGTTGCCGCACGTATGATCTGCACAGCAGTGATTCCCACATGGGAAGTGCTCTTTAAAGGTTACGCATTCAACTCTCAAAAGCCTCTTAAGAGAAGAGTGACTTTAAGTATTTCTAAGGGCAGAGCAATGGGAGGTGGAGAATGCTGGGTTGCAGGTGACACTATAAACGTAGCTCATGCCTCCTATTTCCATGCAGGACCTCCCAGCCCTGAAGACAAACATCAGTGACAGACATCAGTGGCAGAATGGCCTCCCGGTATGTGGCAGTGGGAATGATCTTCTTATCACAGACCGTGGTGGGAGTCCTGGGGAGCTTCTCTCTTCTTCTCCATTATCTCTCCCTTTACTGCACTGGGTACAGGTTAAGGTCCACAGATTTGATTGTTAAGCACCTGATTGTAGCCAACTTCTTAGCTCTCCGCTGTAAAGGAGTCCCCCAGACAATGGCAGCTTTTGGGGTTAGATATTTTCTTAATGCTCTTGGGTGCAAACTTGTTTTCTATCTCCATAGAGTGGGCAGGGGAGTGTCCATTGGCACCACCTGCCTCTTGAGTGTCTTCCAGGTGATCACGGTCAGCTCCAGGAAATCCAGGTGGGAAAACTTAAAGAGAAAGCCCCCAAGCATGTTGGCTTTTCTGTTCTCCTGTGCTGGATCGTGTGCATGTTGGTAAACATCATCTTTCCCATGTATGTGACTGGCAAATGGAACTACACAAACATCACAGTGAACGAGGATTTGGGATACTGTTCTGGGGGAGGCAACAACAAAATCGCACAGACACTGCGTGCAATGTTGTTATCATTCCCTGATGTGTTGTGTCTGGGGCTCATGCTCTGGGTCAGCAGCTCCATGGTTTGCATCCTGCACAGGCACAAGCAGCGGGTCCAGCACATTGATAGGAGCGATCTCTCCCCCAGAGCCTCCCCAGAGAACAGAGCTACGCAGAGCATCCTCATCCTGGTGAGCACCTTTGTGTCTTCTTACACTCTCTCCTGCCTTTTCCAAGTTTGATGGCTCTTTTGGATAATCCCAATAGTTTACTGGTGAACACTTCAGCCTTAATGAGTGTATGTTTCCCAACTCTCAGTCCCTTTGTTCTCATGAGCTGTGACCCCAGTGTATACAGGCTTTGCTTTGCTTGGAAAAGATGACAAGATCCCCTAAACTGATCATAAACATGTGAAAACATGTAAGTTGTATATATTTGCTCATTGTTTAATTGATGATTCCCTCTTCCCTGCAGTAATGTACACATGATTATGAACCTGTCACAATCATGAGAAGGTGATGAACAAGACAGGGTGAACTTCCATCCCAATGGTAAACAATATCTAGTAAGAACAATTATAAATGAAACGATGAAATTATTATGTAAATACTCATATTATTAAAGCTTTATTAATACCTGCAGTAGAGTCATTAGAGGTCCATGCAATTTAAATTAGGTCATGAATCATGATGAAATTATTATGTAAATACTCATTATTACAGTTTTATTAATGTCTGCAGTGGAGTCGTTAGACATCTATGCAATTAAAAAAAATTAGGTCCTGAATCAAACTGGAAATTATGGGGATCTTTTTGAGTGTGCAACCTTCAGTCTGATATAATAAATCTATGCAGAAATTAAGTAAGCATGAGATTGCTGAAGAAAGTTACATGGGGAAGTAGCAATGTGTGAGGTGATCATTCAAGAAACTGAAGAAGGAAATGTTCTCCGGTAGTGATGACGTAGCATGGAGATAAGGTTTTGGTCAATACCAGAACTGGGGACCAAGTTATAAAATCAGACAGATAGTAGTCATTTAAAATATGATTATATGGAAGGAAATTAGTATAGCATATTTAAATCACTTACATATATAAACAGTTAGACTGATCGACAGTAAGACAAAGGAGAGTACAAAAAATATATTTATGCCAAAATAAAAACATCAGGTGAGTGCTGTCTATTAAAAAACCAATGCTGGCTGGGTGCAGTGGCTCATGCCTGTAGTCCCAGGACTGTGGGAGGCCAAGGCAGAAGGATGGCTCGAGCTCAGGAGTTTGAGACTAGCCTGGGCAATATGTAGGAACCTCGTCTCTACTGAAAATACAAAAAAAAAAAAAAAAATTAGCCAGGCGTGTTAGCACATGCCTGTAGTCCCAGGCACTTGTGAGGCTGAGATGAGAAGATCACTTGAGCCCAGGAAGTAGAGGCTGCAGTGAGCTGTGATCACACCACTGCACTCCAGCCTGGGCTAAGGGAGTGATACCCTGTCTCACAAAAAAAAGAAAAAAAAAGCAGATGTTCAGGATCTAAATCAGTAGAGGGTAATTTTTTTTTCTTTATCATGTGACGATGCCAATTGATCATGTTAGAAAGAAAGAGATTTTGGGGTGGGTGTTCTCATATCCCTAAGGCGAGCAAGCAAGCACAACCACTCATTTTATTAAAATTTACTTGAAATAACAGAGAACTAAACAAACAAAAGAATTAACAATGAAATATCTTATAAATACAAGCATTTATTTTAAATAGATGACAACTTATCTTAGATCACAAAAAAGAATAGAAACAAAGAAAAACTGAAAAACATCTTTACACTTGAATTTCATACCAGCCACTTTTGACTTATGTGCTCTCCATCTATATATTTCTGTATTGCCTCACTCTTTTTTTTTTTTTTTTTTTTTTTGAGACGGAGTCTCGCTCTGTCGCCCAGGCTGGAGTGCAGTGGCGGGACCTCGGCTCACTGCAAGCTCCGCCTCCCGGGTTCACGCCATTCTCCTGCCTCAGCCTCCCAAGTAGCTGGGACTACAGGCGCCCGCCACTATGCCCGGCTAATTTTTTGTATTTTTAGTAGAGACGGGGTTTCACCGTTTTAGCCGGGATGGTCTCGATCTCCTGACCTCGTGATCCGCCCGCCTCGGCCTCCCAAAGTGCTGGGATTACAGGCGTGAGCCACCGCGCCCGGCCTTGCCTCACTCTTAACAGCTTGCTGTAGGTATTACTGTTTTTGATAGACTTGGCCCTTGGGTTTCATGCTAGAGTTATGAGTGGACTGCAAGGCACAATTACAGTATTAGAGTATTCTGGGCTTCCTTTTATACTTCATTTTACCAGTGGGTGTTGTGCCTTCAATTTTTGTGTGTGTGCCAATTGGTGTTTAGTTCATGTTGAATAACTCCTTGTAGCATTTCTTGTCCGCTGGATCTGATGGTGATGAATGCTGTCAACTTTTGTTTGTCCGGGAAAGACAGTTTCCTCTTCCTATTTGAAGGGTAGCTTTGCTGTATAATATTTTTGGATGGCAGCTTTTTTTTTTCTTTCAGCACTTTGAAAATGTTGCCCCACTTCCTCTTGGTCTGTACAGTTTTTGTTGAAAAGTCTGTTGTGAGATAATTTGGAGCGCCCTTGAGTGTTATTTGCCTCTTTTCTCTTGCAGGATACTTCTTACATAAATAAGAATAGTGACTGGTCTGCAGAAATCTTAGATTTAAAAACCTCTTGAATCTAGGAAACCAAATCAAGGCAGATTTCAGACTTTGTCTGCAGTACCCAAAAACAATTTAAATATAATATCACGGTCAAAACCTTGGTAATACAATCAATGTTTTAAATTCTATCCTGTTACAAAGAAAGCAGATTCTTATTGAACTTATGCAAACAACTCTATTGCCATAAAATAAAAATACACATGAAGAGCTTCAAATTTTAGGCAGATCAAATAGGGATCACATTTCCACCTCTGTTCATAAAAGTATATATTACCAAATTGCTGTAAACTTTAGGTAGCTTAATAGAGAACGTTTTCTGAAATCTGGAAAACAAATCTTTTAGGTTAAATAACCAAAACTGTATCCAAAAAGTCATTAAAATATGATCTTCATAAGTTATTAAGTCTCCCGTAATTATTTTTTGTTGTATTTGATCTCAATTAGCAGTTTCATGAAGCCATTAGTTCCCTTATTAGAGTTCCGAAAATTTTTACTTAGTCTATTGTTTTTAAGGTTATCAGAAACCTGTCTTCAGGAGTATTTGTCAGAGTCTTCTCCATGAATCCGATTGCAAATGCCATTAGAGAAGAATTACAACAGTGGATGGCAAAGACTTAGACTAGCTACAATTAAGAATCTAGGCTGGGCACGGTGGCTCATGCCTGTAATCCCAGAACTCTGGGAGGCCGAGGCGGGCGGATCACCTGAGGTCGGGAGTGGGACACCAGCCTGACCAACATGGAGAAACCCCCTCTCTACTAAAAATACAAAATTAGCCGAGTGTGCTGGCACATGCCTGTAATCCC
The DNA here is from genome assembly GCF_000001405.40 of Homo sapiens. NCBI lineage: Eukaryota > Metazoa > Chordata > Mammalia > Primates > Hominidae > Homo > Homo sapiens. The sequence continues at coordinate 53,319,179 of NC_000019.10, forward strand.
AGCTACTCGGGAGGCTGAGGCAGAATCACGTGAACACGGGAGGCAGAGGTTGCCGTGAGCCGAGATAGCGCCATTGCACTCCAGCCTGGGCAACACAAGCGAAACTCTGTCTCAAAAAAAAAAAAAAAAAAAAAAAAAAGAATCTGATGATATTTAGCCATCGATGAGGAAATTTAGTTATCTCTATTTCATGCATCATGGATTCACTAGAATCATGAATTATAAGTTGACGCCAAGACCATTAGACTTCTATAAATTTTACATAAATTTTGGAACACTCACATCAATAATAAATTATTCACTTGACCAGAGTGACAATTAAAATATTTAAAAAATAAATACAGAAAATTACATGGATGTTAAATTTTTAAAAATACCCTTAACTTTATTTAAAGCTCAACATTGCTGAGTAATTAAAGCATAATGACGATAACAGGAAGTGCACAGGAAATCATCTTGATGAAACATAACATGTTTGTTCTCTAGGCCAGTTACCAAAAGGTAAAGAAAAACTTCCTGCAATGTGATTGCTTCTCCCTATGGGAAGCCTGTTCAGATAACCTGGAATTTGAACCTGAAGAAAAGGTACTTAAATTCAATTAGATACTGGAAGAGTGTGTGTCCAAAGTTATAAGCATACACCCTATTACAGAATAAGTAAACAAAACAACTAGTACCTTGGGCAGGGGAGCATGTGGCTTTTAGAAAAAGTAAAATTATGTGAAATTTTCTGGTTACATGGAAAAAACTCAGACACATCAAGAAAAACCAAGAACATAGAATCAAGTTACACTGGAGGAAGATAAATATTTTCAGTGTCAGGTCAATAGCAGAGTCAGAACTGAAAAAAAAAAAAATGCTGTAGAAGCAGATGAAAAGTTGAGAGAGAGAGTTATTTATTTCAGCCAAGCAAAAAGTTGTACCCCCTCAAGAAGAAAAGGAGGAAGAGCTGAAGGCAATGATGCATGAGATGTAGCAAAAGTTGTACTTCTGAAATATGAATCTGAAAAGCTTCAAAATCCCTCTATTTTGAGAAATGAAATTACTATTTAAATGGAGAAGATCACATTTTAAATCTGGAATTAAGTAGATTAAATGTAAACTGTAAAACAGGAAAAAACCTTGCAATGCAGACGATGGTTGAAAATGGATAGAAACAGATTTCAGAACTAAAAATCAAATCCTATTGTAATTTTTATTAAGAGCAGGTCAACATTTCAAGAAAACCCCGTTGCTCCACACATAATAGACCAGATTCTGAATTACATCAGTGCACCCCTGACATCAATGCTCAATTCTTAGGAAAACTTATAAACAATTTCCTCTCAATGCCAGCCAACCCCATCACACAAAAATTCTTTCCCAAGACCCATCCTTCAGAAACCCTCCACGTTGCTGGGCGCAGTGGCTCACACCTGTAATCCCAAGACTTTGGGAGGCTGAGGTGTGTGGATCACTTGAGGTCAGAAGTTTTGAGACCAGACTGGCCAACATGGTGAAACCCTGTCTCTTACCAAAACCTCAAAAATTAGCCAGGCGTGGTGGCACATGCCTGTAATCCCAGCTACTTGGGAGGCTGAGGCACAAGAATTGCTTGAATCTAGGAGGCGGAGGCTGCAGTGAGCCAAGATCGCGCCACTGCACTCCAACCTGGGTGACAGAGCGATATTCCATCTCAAAAAAAAAAAAAAAAAGAAGAAGAAAGAAGAAAGAAAGAAAGAAAAAAAGAAAGAAAGAAAGAAAGAAAGAAAGAAAGAAAGAAAGAAAGAAACCCTCCATGTCTTGCTCAGGCTTTCCATTATTTTTAAAAACCCCAGACTTTTTCCTACCTTTCTCCTTTTTTATATTGGAACAACCAATCATTCTATTCTGGTACAAAAATTGACTTTCTATTTTCTGTTATAATTGAGACCACACAGGATACTTTCTCAGACAAAAATACTTTTAGTATACATTTTGTATTCATAATTACATGTACTAATTAGAACTTTTAATTCTTAGGAACACTAAATTTTAATAAAAACTTAGTAATTTTGAGCTGTTAAATATTAACATTTTATGAATGTATTTCATAATAGCTGGAAAATATTGTAGGAAACAATTTTTAATGTGGAACTGACATGTAATTGATTGACCTATTTTTCCTGACAAATTACTTGATCTTAGTGCTTCTCTCCCTCTTTAACCCAATAGTGCTCGTTCATCTATTTTGGCAGAAAAAAATATATGAATAACATATAGACAGGAAAAAGTATAAACATAAAGACAAACAAAAACAAAGACTTTATAGTTTTTAAAAATTTATTTTGTTCTTACATTATATTTGTACATATTTATGGGATATGTGTGAAATGCTGTTACATGCATAGATTGTGTAATGATCAAATCGGAATATTCAGAGTATCCATCACCTGAGTATTTATCATTTCTATGGGCTGGGAACATTTCAAGTCTTCTCTAGCTATTTTGAAATATACAAGAGTGTTGTTAACGATAGCCACTATACTCTGCTATGAAACCTTAGAACTTATTCCTTCTGTCTAACGGTGTGGTTGTTCCCATTAACCAACCTCTCTTCATCCCCCACGCCGACACACACCCTTTCCAGTCTCATGTCTATCATTTCACTCTCTACCTCCTTGTGAACAACTTTTTTAGCTCCCACATATGAGTGAGAACATGGGATATTTGTCTTTCTGTCTGGCTTATTTCAATTAACAGAATGACCTCCAGTTCCATTCTCTCTTTGTCTCAAAGAGACAAAGTTTCTTTGTAATACGTCATATGTCATATATAGCATATGACAGTTTGACTATCATATGCTATATAGATGATCTTTGTGGCTTATACCTATATGGAAATCTCTAAGCCTCCTGTATTTCAATGTCTAATTCTCTTGCTAGACTTGGAAAGTTTTCAGCTATTATTTTGTTAGTGTTTTTATGCCTTTGACCTTCTCATTTTCTAGAATACTCAAAATTTGAAATACTTAGTCTCTTTATGGTGTCCTATATGTCACATAGGTTTTGTTCATTCTTATTTTTTTTTTCTCTCTCTCTCTCTTATCTGGGTTATTTCAAAAGACTTCTGCTTGGTCTAGTCTATTGCTGTGCCTCTCAAGTGTATTTTTTATTTTGTGTATTGAATTCTTCAGTTCCAGAACTTTGCTTTAGTTCTTTTTTATAAAATCTATCTCTTTGATGAATTTCTCATTCACAGTTTGAACTGTTTTTCTGATTTTTTTTTGTTGTTTATCTGCATTCTCTTTTACCTCACTGAAATTTCTTAATATGATAATTTTGAAATCTTTTTCTGGCATTTCATGAATTTATTTTTATTGGAATTTGCTGTTGGAGAATTATTCTGATCCTTTGTCAAATTGCCTTGGTTGTTCACGTTTCTGGTGTCTTTATGTAGATATCCATGCAGCTGGTGTAACAATCACTCCTTTCAATTTTTCATTGACTTTCGTAGAGGAAGACTTTTTCCTGAAGATGTTTCTATGATGATAACTGGGAAGGATACTTTAGCTTTGCACAGACCATGGTGAGGCTTTCCTAGGAATAAGAACGGCAGCTGGGCCAGCCTTAGGCCTCTGTGGTAGCAGCAGCGAGCCATGCATGCTTTCCTTGGGCCCTTAAGAGGCATATGCAGGCACCAATGTTAGTGAGTCCAGGTGGACCAATTCTCAGGCCTTCAGGCAGCTTGCTCAGATGCCGGCAGTGGCAGTGGTAAGCCAGATGGGTAAGTAGAACTTTGAGCTTCCAGGCAGCTGTAAAATCAGTAACCTAAGATTGCACCTTATGGAACTGGGAAAAGAAGACCAAACTAATCTCATAGCTAGCAGAAGGGTGGAAATAAATATTAGAAGAGAGATAAATAGACAACAGAAAAACAGTAGAGGAAAACAATGAAATAAAAATGTCATTCTTTAAAAGATCAGCTAAACATTAATAAATCTCTAGCTAGACTGACTAAAAAATAAAAAATAAGAGAAACATGCAGATAACCCAAATCAGAAATGAAAATGGGAACATTCTACTTACTTTTAAAGATTATTAAGAATAAAGATAAATTTAGCAATTGAAGTAGAAAGTGGTTAAAAAGATCATAAAAGACTGTTATGAACAATTGTACAACAAGTTAGATAACCTGGATTAAATGAATAAATTTCTAGAAACACAACTAGCAAACGTGACTCAGAAGAAATACTAATTCTGAATAGACCTATTCTACTATGATCTGTTTCTACTCACAGCACTCCTGATACCAAGTATGTAGGGGTTTTTCCCACCAACAACAAACTCTCCAACTCTCCAGACACCAACTGCTTGTCCAATTATTCAGTTCAATTTGACATGACCTGCAATTAGGGCAGCTCCGTAGGTTAAGGATTCAGTTCCACAAGACTGCCCTGCACATCAGACACCAATCACAAGTCTAGGCCACCCATACTTCTGATTAACTGGCTATAAATCAAGGTGCCGTGAAATCCTATAATTTTATGTTGCCTTAGCATCCATTCTAAATATAAGCTAGATTTTCCCACACCAGTAGTAGGGCTTAGTCACCCTTGACCCAGTTTCCAGTTCTCTGCCTCCTCACAGGTCCTCAGTGTGGTCAATCCAGACATTTGCTTTATATAATTGCCTGCTGGTCACCACCCCTCTATAGAGGAGCTACATACAACCTACTTGCCTCACCCACTGACCCCTCCCCCAACAACTTCTGCACTGGGCATGGACTGCGCAGGTATGCCACAGTGACCACCTCTTGGTCACCGCATGACCCCATGGAACTCATGCCGCCTTGCTTTAAATCCACCAGTTGGCCTAGGCGCCGTGGCTCATGCCTGTAATCCCAGCACTTTGGAAGGCTGAGGTGGGTGGATCACCTGAGGTCAGGAGTTTGAGACCAGCCTGGCCAACATGGTGAAACCCCGTCTCTACTAAAAAGACAAAAATTAGCCGGGCGTGGTGGCACGCACTTGTATTCCCAGCTACTCAGGAGGCTGAGGCAGGAGAATCGCTTGAACCTGGGAGGCGGAGGTTGCAGTGAGCCGAGATCGTGCCATTGCACTCCAGCCTGGGCGACGAGAAAAAAACTTCGTCTCAAATAAATAAATAATAAATCCACCAATTAGAATTCCCCTCCAAAATCTGCTTGGGTAATTTCCCAGTCCCTAGTTAAGGCTTTAGGGCCACATATCCTCCCTCTCTGTCACTCCCCACCCACTGGTTGCACATGCCTGTCTTGAATGGCTTCCCACTTCCCACTGGCCCTGCAATGTGTGCTGCTGTCTTCTCTCGGATCTGTAAGTAATAGATGGCTTCTGATGTTTCATACGTATGATTGTGCTGCCTTCTCTGTGTCTTACCTGGCCAACACACTCGAGCCTCGCTTTTTTCATGGTTAGAGCTTTCCTAGAGAGTGGTTATCAAGAGTTATCTTGTCTGACACCAATCAGACAAGAGCCACAAGGGCATCTGCCAGTATAAACAAGTTTCCTGTGAGCGGAACACCTGGCCACAGGTCACACACTTAGGCATTAGGCAGTCTGCCAGGATAAAGCAGTATCCCATGAAAGGCACACTGTAAACATCCACAATCATCTTCCCTAGAGCCCCATCAGGGCAGGCCTAGAATTTAAGCCACTTTTCAGAGAGAGATCTGAAGACCAAATTAGAAAGAATTTTTACAACATGAGCATTCTCACAACTCCCTCCTTGGGTTCAATAATTTGCTAGAATGGCTCACACATCTCAGGGAATACAGTATACTTATTACCAGCTTATGTTGAAGGATATTATAAAGCAGGGGTCCCCAGCCCCCAGGCTGTGGACCAGTACCAGTCTATGGCCTGTTAGGAACTGGGCTGCACAACAGGAGGTGAGCATCGGGGGAGTGAGCATTACTGCCTGAGCACTGCCTTCAGATGAGTGGCAACATGAGATTCTCATAGAAGCATTAACCCTATTGTGAACTGCACATGCGGGGGATCTAGGGTGCCCATTCCTTAGGAGAATCTAATGCCTGATGATCTGAGGTAGAACAGTTTCATCCTGAAACCATCCCCCTTCTGCCATCCATGGAAAAACTGTCTTCCATGAAACCAGTCCCTGGAGCCAGAATGACTGGGGACCACTTTTATAAAGCATACAAATTTATAGCCAGATGAAGAAGTACGTAGGGTGGGGTCCAAAAGGGTCAGAAGTGCAGGACCTTCTGTTCCATGGAGTTGGATTGCACCACCCTCCTTGCAAATAGGTGCATTCATCAACCCAGAGGCTCCCTGGACCTTGTTTCAGGTTTCCATGAAGGTTCCCTTATGTAGGCATGACTGACTAAGTCACTGGCCATTGGTGATTAACTCAAACTTTTTTGGCCCTTCTTCCTTCCCTGGAGAGGAAAAAGGGGTGTACAGCTGAAAGTTCCAACCCTTTAATCACATGGTTGGTTCCTCTGGCAAGGGGCCCACCAAGAGTCATCTCAACAAAAACTCAGATATGGTTGAGGCTTAATATAATAACAAAAGACTTACTCCTATCACTCAAGAAGTTTCAACGGTTTTACAGTCTCTCTGCCAGGAACCTGGGACCTAGATCAAACATATATTTTTTATTTTATATCACAATCTATAACAAGAAAAGAGAGGGAATAATTTTAAAACTACTCACAAAGAAAAGGGCAGGATCAGATATCTTCCTTGATGATGTCTATCAAACATTTAAAGAAGAGTTAACACCAATCTTTCCCCAACTCTCCCAAAAAGTAGAAGGGGGAAACATTTCTTAATTTATCCTATGAAGCCAGCATTACCTTTTTTATCAAAGCCAGACAATGAAATAACAAGAAAGGCAAACCACGGGCCAATAGCCCTCACGCATACAGGTGCAAAAATCCTCAGCAGCATACAAGCAAATCCTATGCAGTGGCTTACCAAAAGGATTATACACCATGAACAAGTGAGATTTATCCCAGGAAAACAGGAATGCTTCAACATATGAAAATGAATTATAATGCACCACATTAATAAGATGAAGCAAACCACATGGTCATTTCAGTTGATGCAGAAAAAGCATTTTACAATATTTTACAGCCTTTCATGATTAAAAAAACACTCAACAAACTGGGAATATAAGAGACTTCTTCAACATGATAAAGAGCACTTATGAAAAACCCACACCTAGCATTATACTCAAGGGTGAAAGACTGAAAACTTACCCCCTAAGATCACAAGACAAGCCCAGTTTTGACAGTTCTATTCAACACTGTATTAGAAATTCTAGCCAAAGAAATTAGACAAGAAAAAAATTTCAAATTTGAAAAAAGATGAAATCTATCTTTATTAGCAGATGGATATAGAAAATCCTAAAGAATCCACACACAACAAACTATTAAAGCTAAAGAATAAATTCAGCAAAGTTGCTGATACAAGATGGGCACACAAAAATCAGTTGTATTTCTGTGCTAGCAATGAACAATCTAAAGAGGAAATTAAGAAAACAACTTTATAATAGCATAAAAATTATAAAGTACATAATAATAAACTTAACCAAGAAAATTGCAAGACTTATACATAGAAAACTACAAAACATTGCCTTGACCTCCCTCAGTTACCTTGTGATTCTGTGTGTTGTGTTGGGACAAATGGGGAGGTGACAGAGAGAGGCCAATATTGTGTAACCATGTAACCAGCACTGACATTTCCTCAAGAATATTCCCCCAAAGATAAGCCTTTGAACTGCATAGTTGCTGTGGGTGGTGTCTGCACATTCTTTATTGGGATAATGTGTGCTCTTAAGCCAGGGACCCCAATACCCCTCTTTAGTTGTGCCCAGAGACCCATCCCTAGGAAACCCTCCTCCAGTGAAAACTACCAGTTTCCTGAGTCTTAGCCCCTCACTCTTTACCTTCTTTCTGGAGTCACACAATCCTGGAAGCTCCATGGGGTCCAATTCACTCTTGAGAGCCCATAATGATTCCCCCATTCTGCTATGAAATCCCACAGCACATTGCAAGCCCTAATAACATATCTATTCATGTTGTAATGACATACATAAATTGACCCATGGACCCAATGATCCAGGAGCCCATATTTCCACTTACAACACCCTCTCCCAAAGTCATACACCTCTGTAATATCCTAATCAAAGAGATATTTCTATGATGGTAAAGTAATTTGAAAGTAATTTAGAAATTATAAAGAAAAATCGAATGAATTCAGGATCCAAGTTAAATTTGTGAATATAGGAATGGAATATAGGCTGCTGGGGAATAGCAATTTCTGGTGGGGAATTGAGACCGCAACACACCACAGTTGTTACCAGTGGAGGGTGTCCAGGTTCTTCGTGTCTTGAACAAAGAATTGGACAAAATGCATAAATTAAGGAAGGAATAAATGGATTTATTGAAAATGAAAGTACACTCCACAGTGTGGGAGCTGGCCCAAGCATAGGGTCTCAAGGGCCCCGTTACAGAATTTTCAGGAGTTAAATACCATCTAGAGGATTCCAGTGGTTACTTGGTGCATGCCCTATGTAAATAAAAAGGATGAAGTAAAGTTACAAAGTCATTTACTCGGTGTACGCCCTATGGAGGGGCTATTTCCTGTCATAGCTGAAGTGTGAAGTGGCCTTATGTTTCATGCCTCCAGATCCTATTTGCCTGCCTCACAGCTAACATATGTGATTCGGGACAGAAGAAACTCATAGTGTCACAGGACAGGAGTCTGTCATCTCCCGAGACCCAGGGGACTCCTGAAGACAACGACCTCGTGTGAAGGGGAGTTCTAGGGAGAGGCAGATGCTGACCCAGGGAGGACTTCAGGATAGGGACTTTCAGGGAAGCAGTAAGGCCTGCAGAATCCTAGGCCCAGGAAGAAGATGCAGCATTCAGGGCTGCACTTGAGAGGCCTAAAACGGTGAGGGAGGCAGAGCTCAAGAGCTTGACTCTATCTCCTGAGTCAGGGATTTATAGGGAATAAGGCAGGGGAGGGAAGACAGTGAAGGGACTGAAGTAGGAAAATGACTCAGCAGTGTGAAGAGGCTTAATTCTCCCTGTTGAAAACGAGATGCCCTACCGTCCTTTTTCTTAGAACATTTACTTTAGAAAACTTGTAAGCACTTCTCTCTTAGACATGCATTTGAATGCCTCCGAAAACTGGGTCGTTCTTTTGCCAGCTTTATGACCCAGTGATGTCTTTCTAAAGAACCTGGGAAACTTCTCTTTGAAATGTAAACATTAAGGAAAATAGCACCCCATCCCCTAGTTTCTGTGGGAGTGTAGGAGCCTCGCATCAGGCTCTTGGAGCCTTAATCCAAGCTGCAAAACGACTTCTTGTCATAAAGTGTATGAAGTTTGTGTTTCCTCTGGATAAAGCCAATTACCTATAACAGATGGTCACCCCAACTACCAGGTGAATCTAGGATGATCTATGTGTGACCAATGGGGCAGTCAAGTCCTCTTACTTGAGAACTAGCTATTATTTGCCTTGAAGACAAGTATGTTCTACTTGGCTACATAAAAGTGCGAGATTTCTTTGCGTCTTTGCAATGGCTTAGTGGCTTGCCTGTGACGCACATCACATTTGGGTTTAATGCTTTTTCAAACTATTTTCTTTCTCTACCATCTTTGCAGAGAGGTTTTCTACACTGGGAAAAGATTTTGTTTTTAATTGTGTCTCTCCAACAGCAGGCAGTGTCTACAGAGCTTCGAGGCACAAACGTCGTTTCAAGGACCTAGCCTGAGGACGACTTTAAGGGGATACAGATGCGCAGGGGAGCAACTGGATTCCCAGCGTCTCATAATGACGCCGGGACTCTCAAGAGAGGAATGGGTGTGCAGATTTTAAAGTCTAGAGGATCCCGGACATCGGTGCGGAACACTGTAGAATAGGAGTGCAAGTTTGAAAGAGGAAGACGGAAACCCTTCTCACTGACGCGTGACCTCTCCATCCGCTTCCGGGTCTGCGGGCAATCCCTCTCATGGCAGGGCGGGGTCGCAGCGTCCTGGACCAGCGCCTAGACCCTGGCTGGTCTCGCAATGGAGAGGGCTGGATCCGAGGTGGGAGCCGAGATAGGGGCGGGTCTGGGAAAGGGGCGGAGCCTGGCCTTCCTAGTTTCGCCCCGCCCCAGGAAGTTTCCCGGTCTGTGGGTTATTTTTCTGCCCAACTACATGATGGTCCTCATTTGCAGCCATTTGAATCTCTGTGATGTCTTCCTTTTTCTACATAGACACGGTAACAGTCTGATCTCTCTTTCCACCACAATCTTACAAGTGTAATAAATGTGGCAAATTTTTCAGACATCGTTCATACATTGCAGTTCATCAGTGAACTCAAACTGGAGAGAAACCTTACAAATGTCATGACTGTGGCAAGGTCTTCAGTCAAGCTTCATCCTATGCAAAACATAGGAGAATTCATACAGGAGAGAAATCTCACAAGCGTGATGATTGTGGCAAAGCGTTTACTTCACGTTCATACCTCATTAGACATCAGAGAATCCATACTGGACAGAAATCTTACAAATGTCATAAAGGTGGCAAGGTCTTCAGTCTGTGGGCACTCCATGCAGAACATCAGAAAATTCTTTTTTTTTTTTGAGACGGAGTCTTGCTCTGTCGCCCAGGCTGGAGTGCAGTGGCACAATCTCAGCTCATTGGAACCTCCGCCTCCTGCATTCAGGCAATTCTCCTGCCTCAGTCTCCGGAGTAGCTGGGATTAGTGGTGTGCGCCAACACATCACGCTAATTTTTGTATTTTTATTTATTTTTATTTTGTATTTTATTTTATTTTTGTCTTCAGATGGAGTCTCGCTCTTGTCACCCAGGCTGGAGTACAGTGGTGTGATGTCACTGCAACCTTTGCTTCCCAGGTTCAAGCAATTGTCCTGCCTCAGCCTCCTGAGTAAGCTGGGATTACAGGTGCCTGCCACCATGCCTGGCTAATTTTTGTATTTTTAGTAGAGAGGGGGTTTCTCCATTTTGGTCAGGCTGGTCTAGAACTCCTGACCCCAGCTGATCCACCCACCTCAGCCTCCCAAAGTGGAAGGATTACAGGCATGAGCCACTGCGACTGACTTTTTTTTTTTTTTTTTTGAGCCTGTTTTGCAGCATTTACAAATATCAGGGTTTTCCCACGAGATCATGAAGATTTTCACATAAGAGATTTCTGGCCATTTGTGTTGGTGTTGGCAGTCCAGGTCAAGCAGGAATATGTAATAACATTCAAGCTACCCACCTTTGGCCACATTCCTGCATTTGTAGTTCATATTTTGATGAAACTCAGCTACTTGGGAGGCCGAGGCAGGAGAATCACTGGAACCCAGAAGGTGGAGGTTGCAGTGAGCTGAGATTGCACCATTGCACTCCAGCCTGGGCAAAAAAAAAAAAAAAAGAAAAGAAAAGAAAAGAAACTTAGTCTAAAAAAAAAAGTCATGCCTCTTCTCCTCCTCTTTCCGTCATCGTGGTGTGTGCTTGACTCCGCTTCTTGCCATGTCTTCTCACAAGACTTTCAGGATTAAGCGAGTCCTGGCCAAGAAAAGCAAAATTGTCCCATTTCCCAGTGGACTTGCATGAAAACTGGCAATAAGGTCACAATCATGTTACCATATCAAGCTGAAAGTGTCACCACTACCTGGAGAGTTGGACATGTTTTATTGGGAATATATTTTTTAATCTCTGAATCTGTTATGAATGCATTGGTTGGCTGGGTTCAATAATAAATATGTAAACATTTCATTTCAAAAAAAATGTCAAATGAAGTAATTCGATAGAGTACCTTGATCTTTGTTTTGTTTTTTTGAGCTGGAGACTCCACTATGTTCAGTGGATCACACCTGTGGTCCACGCACCTTGGGAGGCTGAGGTGGGAGGATTGCTTGAGACCGAGACTCCTGGTAATCTTCTCGTCTCTTCTAACCCAGTTTATGACAGACCCTTGGACTTTACTTTGTTATCCACCTGTGACCCGGAAGCCCCCCAATTCCAGTTATTGCACCTTTCCAGACCAAACCAATATATATCTTACATGTTTTGATTGATGTATTATGTCTCCCTGAAATGTGTAAAACCAAACTGCAGCCTAAACACTTTGGGCACATGTCATCAGGACCTCCTGAGGCTGTGTCACGGGGGCATTTTTAACCTTGGCAAAATAGATTTCTAAATTGAGTGAGACCCAGTAGATACTTTTGGTTCACGAGCTCATGAACACAGAAAAAATCAAGAGAAAAAAATCTAGAGAGAATAGGAAAAAAACTAGATGTAATGGAAAGCACAAAATCAGGTCCAAAATCTGAACTCTTTCATATGTACTCAACATAAGGAAATGCTCTTCAACTTTGTGTGAAAGATAGATTACGAACATTTGATTAAAATAAAAACCCATTCTATGTGATTTTAGCCAATTTAACCCTGCAAATAATGATCAATTATATACATACATAAAACTTCCTAATATTTCACTTAGTGTTGCTATTTCTATGTTCTTGGGGCAGAAGCTCAGCCTGTCAGATACATTACAAGACAGTGGTGTCTCCATAATTGTGCTTAGGACTCTGTGTTGCATGAGTGGACAAACTGTTAAGCAGGAACCTAGGAGAGCTAGGGTGTCAAAGTTCAAGTCCATTAAAACTAGCAAGACGTAGGCCGGGCGCGGTGGCTCACGCCTATAATCCCAGCACTTTGGGAGGCTGAGGCAGGTGGATCACGAGGTCAGGGGTTCGAGACCAGCCTGATCAATATGGTGAAACCCCGTCTCTACTAAAAATACAAAAAAAATAGCTGGGCGTGGTGGCGGGCGCCTGTAGTCCCAGCTACTCAGGAGGTTGAGGCAGGAGAATTGCTTGAACCCGGGAGGCGGAGGTTGCAGTGAGCCGAGATCGCGCCACTGCACTCCAGCCTGGGCGACAGAGCAAGACTCTGTCTCAAAAAAACAAACAAACAAAAAAAACAAATAGCAAGATGTATTCCTTACTGCTCACTCACGAGTCACGGTTATAAGATGTTTACGGTTAAGGAAAGCAGCTTATTGATACCTGCAAGGACAAACTCCTACAGAAACACAATGTCCAGATGACCCAATATCCCATGACAGCGTATTCTTTTAAGATAGCAGGCTGGGGTTGAACTCCTGACCTCCAGTGATCCGCCCGCCTCGGCCTTCCAAAGTGGTGGGATTACAGGCGTGAGCCACCGCGCTGGCCTGAAGTGGTATTTTTTAGAAACCACGTAATCCTTTTTTCAGCTTAATAACCCCCATGGATGTATTTCTGAAGGACTTGGGGTCTCTCTTTGAAAGGCAAAGAACAAGGGAGACAGTACCCGTATCTCGGTAGGAAATTAAATATTTCAAACATCAAATAATTCCAATGTAAATGTATGGATCTTTAAATAATTCTGAGCCTTGAAAGGAATGTGGTCATGCAAGCTGAGTCCAGTGGTATGCAGGCGCAACTTCTAAGAGTTTTCCTGGCCAGACGCGGTGGCTAACGCCTGTAATCCCAACACTTTGGGAGTCCGAAGCAGGTGGATCACTTGACGTCAGGAGTTCGAATCCAGCCTGGCCAACGTTGTGAAACCCAGTCTCTACTAAAAATACAAAACTATTAGCCAGGCTTGGTGGCGCGCGTCTGTAATCCCAGCTAGTTGGCAGGCTGAGGCAAGAGAACTACTTTAACCCGGGAGGTGAAGGTTGCAGTGAGCCGAGATCTCGCCACTGCACTCCAGCCTGGGTGACAGAGAAATACTCTGTCTCAAAAAAGAAAAGAAAAGAAAAGAAAAATCTAAATATAAAAATGAAAGTAATAGATCTCTTCCACAAATGTGCTGGGACAACTAACTGGATATCCACGTGAAAATGAATAATGTTGGATCCCTAACTCACAAAATCAAAAATTTTATTTAAAGAAATTTTAAAAAAGGAGAGAGAGAGAGACGAGGAAGGGAGCGCTGCCGGAGGAGGTGTTACTTTGTCGCCCAGGCTAACTTGGACCCCCCCCCCGGCTCAGCGATCCTCCTGCCACTGCTTCCTGAGTAGCTGGGACCTCAGGCTTTCGCCCCGCGCCCGCATCTCTGCTGTGTTTAAGCAGTAGGTGGTGACCTCACTCCTCCCTGGCCTGAGCACTCCGTCCCGCATCCCAGGGGGAGGCCCTAGGGAAATCTCTGAAGCTGAGGACAGGGTGGACTCTCCTTTCCCAGTGAATGGAGAATAGAAAGGGAGAGGATTTCTATTCTGTTCTGTGGGCCGTCAGCATGAAATCGTATGTTCCACCCAGGCAGGGCTTTGCATTTCACATTCTAGTTTGCATCCCCGTTTCAGACAATTCCAGGGCTTTTGAATCATGCCTCAGCCTTCCTGTCCGGTCTCGCCTCCAAAGCTCGAAAACAAGAGGCGCTGGGAGCGAGGTTGAGAGACGCACGGGTCCCACCCCGGCCCCGCCTTCTGCCAATTCTAAAGGGGAAGGTCTCTCCGCTTCGCGCCCCGCCCCTACCTCGCTCAGGCCCCGCCTACCTCCCCGCGGGTCCCGCCCAGGCCTGGCTTCTGTCCTGCGCGCGCAGATTCGCGCAAACCCGGAAGCGGATCGCATGGAGTGATGGTCCCACCGCAGCGGTGAGTTTTGCTCTGTGTTGTGTTAAGTCTGCGCTTCCCAAGTCCCCGGCGCTTCTGTACCTGGGACGTGGGGTCCCCATAGACCTGGAAATTCTCACCCGTGTTCCTTCACCTAGAGCAAATTTAGACGTCCTCGTCAGAGTCCAGGGGTCGCTTCCTTTTGGGTTTAAAGTCGCCCTGAGGATGGTCCCTTCCCGAATCTTTCTGCTATAGGGCAATGTATACACTTCCCATCGCGTAGTTTCCCTGCTCAAAACCTTTTTCTGACTCCTCCCGACCCGCACTTTTTAAAGTCCTTACCGCGAGGCGGATTCCCGCCCTTGGCGCCTCCCAGTCTTGTCTTAAGGCGCCGTCGCCCCCCACCTCCCTCCTCGTTCCAGGCCCTTATGCTCCCCAGGTCTCCCCACCGCAGTCACCGCTTACCCTGAGCCCGCGTTGGGGAGGTGCCCGGGGCTGTCCTATGACACCGGGTGTTCTTGCCTGCCCTGCACCAGCCCCTGGAAAATGCGCTCCTCCGGGATGCAGGCGTCTTACTCCAAAGCCCTCCTGTGATTGTGTTGGCCAAAGGGATCAGGAGACTGAGAGAGAGAGCAGTAGAAAACCTGAGACAGAGAAAAGAAGAATGAGAAAGACCATAACAGATGGCAAAGTAGAGGATGAGTGAGGGATTTGCCAAGAGAGAGCAAAAATGAAAAAAACAAAACAAAACAAAAAACAGCAGGAGGAGCAGATCCCAGGGAAAAAGAAAACAAGAGCTAGAGAGAGAAGGGGAGAATGAGAGATATGTACAGAATTAGGGAGGGAAGCACAGTAATGAAGAAAGGGGGGCTGGGCGCAGTGGCTCACGCCTGTAATCCTAGCACTTTAGGAGACTGGGGCAGAGGGATTGCTTGAGTCCAGGAGTTCAAGACCGGCCTGGGCAAAATAGTGAGACCCCCCCCCCCATCTCTGTCAAAAAAAAAAAAAATTTAACTGGGCGTGATGGTGCACACCTGTAATCCCAGCTGCTCTGGAGGCTGAGGCAGGAGGATCACTTGAGCCCAGGAGGTCCAGGCTGCAGTGAGCAGAGATCATGCCACTGCACTCCAGCCTGGTCAACAGAGCAGAGCCTGTCTCAAAAGATTAAAAGGGGTGGGGGACTTTGGGTTCAGATGAGTGGGTGAGTTCATTGGATATGATTAGTTGTGATATGTTGACTTCTGTTTATATAATCTAATAACTTAGAACTTGTTTAAATTATACAGATGATATTGAGAATTTTAAAATTCCTATCTATAAGACACATACATTCTGTAAATCTTGGCATTAGAGGTCAGCTTCCACTTGGAATCCCTATTC
Source organism: Homo sapiens (assembly GCF_000001405.40). NCBI lineage: Eukaryota > Metazoa > Chordata > Mammalia > Primates > Hominidae > Homo > Homo sapiens. The sequence continues at coordinate 53,335,131 of NC_000019.10, forward strand.
AGCCAGAGGGTAGTGACTTAATTCAATTGTGAGAGCCTCTCTTCCCTCTTCCCATGGTGAGGTAGGAAATGGGGCAGTGAAGTGGGAGAAAAAAATCACTTTCTGTTATTATGTAATAATTTTAATTTAATTAATTAATTTATAGTTTGAGACAGGGTCTGGCTCTGTCGCCCAGGCTGGGGTGCAGTGGTGTGATCTCCTCTAACTGCAGCCTCGACCTCCTAGGCTCAAGCGATCCTCTTACCTCAGCCTCCTGAGTAGCTGGGACCACAGGCGTGAGCCACCAAGTCCGGCTAGGTTTTGTATTTTTTTTTTGTAGAAATGGGGTTTCACTGTTTCCCAGGCTGGTCTCAATTCTGGCCTCAAAGGATCGTCCTGCCTTGGCCTCCCAAATTACTGGGATTACAGGTGGAATTACAGAGAGGAGCCACCGTGCCTGGCCTACATAGTCGTTTTTTGTTTTTTGTTTTTGTTTTTGTTTTTGTTTTTTTGAGATGGAATCTCACTCTTGTCCAGGATGGAGTGCAATGGCACAATCTCGGCTCGCTGCAATTTCCGCTTCCCAGGTTCAGACTGATTCTACTGCCTCAGCCTCCCAAGTAGCTGGGATTACAGGCATGAGCCACTGCATCCAGCTAATTTTGTGTTTTTAGTAGAGACGGGGTTTCTCCATGTTGGTCAGGCTGGTCTCAAACTCCCAACCTCAGATGATCCACCCGCCTTGGCCCCCCAAATGCTGGGATTACAGGCATGAGCCACCACGCCTGGCCCATAGTACTTTTTAAAAGGGACATCAGGGCGTAGTGGCTCATGCCTGTAATCCCAGCACTTTGGGAGGCGGAGGCAGGTGGATCACAAGGATCACAAGGTCAGGAATTCAAGACCAGCGTGACCAACATGGTGAAATCCCATTGCTCCTAAAAATTCAAAAATTAGTTGGGCATGGTGGCATGCACCTCTAATTCCAGCTACTTAGGAGGCTGAGGCAGGAGAATCACTTGAACCCAGGAGGCGGAGGTTGCAGTGAGCCAAGATTGCGCCACTGCATTCCATCCTGGGCGAGAGCGAGACTCCATCTCAAAAAAAAAAAAAAAAGGAACATCAAAGCTGGGCGTGGTGGCTCATGCCTGTAATCCCAGCACTTTGGGAGCCAATCACCTAAGGTCAGTAGTTTGAGATCATTCTGGCCAACATGGTGAAACCCTGTGTCTAGTAAAAATACTAAAAAAGTAAGCTGGGCATGGTGGCATGCATCTGTAGTTCCAGCTGCTCGGGAGCCTGAGGCATGAGAATCACATGAACTTGGGAGGTAGAGGTTGCAGTGAACCGAAATGGTACCACTGCACTGCAGCCTGGGGGGCAGAGCGAGGCTTCATCTCAAAAAAACAAACACCACCACCAAAAAATGAAAGCAAAAGGCACATCAAAAGTGCTTTTGTTCTCGTTGTGTAACATATTTTCTTTTTTTTCTTTCTGGTTCCTCTTCCTTCCTTTCTTTCTTTCTTTTTTTTTTTTTTTTTTTTGCAGTTTTACTTTGAGATAAATCTTAGTTTTAAATATTTCTTTTTTAATACATAATCACTTCTGAAAGATGCATTTGCAGCATCCTATAACCAGCTCACATTGTTCAGTTATTTTCCCATTGACATCTGAATTTGTTCGATTTTTTAAAAAACAATTTCCAAATAGTTTCTGTTTGAAATTAGTTGCGTCCAGTTCAGATCGAGGTCTGCATGCTTTCTAGTCTTTATTATTTATTGGAAACCTTTAACATCAAAATGTAGTTTAACGAGTTAGCCTGTTTTTCAGTTTTGTTGTCATTTGTTAAAATCTTGAGCTGTGAGCTATTAAGTGCATGTTTCCCTCAAGGCACCTCTGGTCCATGTGGACAAATGTTGAAAGCCCAACTCCTCACTGTGGCTCCATAGCCCTGTGTCCAGGGCCCCTGCCAGTGTCCAGCCTCCTCCTGGGAGCTTGCCCTCATCGCATGACTGTCTCTGCCCCAGTCATATTTGCTTTTCTCTTTTCCCAAACACTAAAACCCTTCCTGTCTCAGGTTGCTGTCCCTGCTCTTACCCTGTGTTCCTAAATGATCACGGCCCTGTGCCTTTCTTCTCCTTCAGGTCTAGGCTCAGAGATGTCTCCCATGCCCTCCCACCCCCATCTGAAGTTCCCTCTGCCCGTCAGTCTCTATCACGTTACTCAGATTTTATTATCTCTGCATCAGTCACATCAGAAACACTCTTTTTATTTTATTTTCTTTTTTTTAGACAGAGTCTCACTCTACCGTCCAGGCTGTGAGTGTAGTCTGGTGACCTTCTCTCCCTGCAACCTCTGTCTTCTAGGTTCAAGCAATTCTTCTGCCTCACCCTTGCAAGCAGCTGAAATTAAATGTGTGTGCCACCACAGCCAGCTAATTTTTGTATTTTAATTTTAATTTAATTTAATTTAATTTTACTTTTGAGTTTCAATCTGTCTCCCAGGCTGGAGTGCAGTGGCGTAATCATGGTTCACTGCAACCTCCTCCTCCCGGGTTAAAGTGATTCTCCTGCCTCAGCCTCCTGAGTAGCTGGGATTACAGAGTCGCACCAAGCCCAGCTACTTTTTGTATTTTTAGTAGAGATGGAGTTTCACCATCTTGGTCAGGCTGGTCTCGAACTCCAGACCTTAAGTAATCCACCTGCCTTGGCCTCCCAGAGTGCTAGGGTACAGGTATGAGCCACCGCGCCCGCCCCAATTTTTGTATTTTTAGTAGAGACAGGGTTTCACCTTGTTGGCCAGGCTTATCTCAAACTCATGACCTCAGGTGATCCGTCTGCCTAGGCCTACCCGTGTGCTGGGATTACAGGCAAGAGCCACAGTGCCCGCCCAGAGATGCCTTTCTGCATGGATTATTTTGAGTGTTTTGTGTCTCCCTTCTTTGGAGGATGCACAGTTCCCATCTTGGCCACAGGACAACTGCAGCACCTACTCTGGGGTTGTGGTTCAGATGCTGAGGCGTCTTCAGGGAAGACTCAGGGCCTGGGGCAAGTGCAAGGATGGTCCCACATTTCTTCTGGAAATTTCAATTCTAATTGATCTGAACTTCCTGTGGCTATTTATTTCAGTCAAAATAAAAGGAGAAGGCCTCACTAAGGTCAGAAAGCCCTACAGACCAGACCCTGTGTCCTCAGGCAGTGCCGAGGCATCTCCATTTTTGTCATCTGTGTCACTGCCTCACTCCAGCTCCCGGGTCTCCGTGCTCTGTACATCACCAGGACCCAGTTTGGCCATTATGGGCAGGGGCTTTGCCACCAGTAGGTGATGCGCTCAGCGTCAAGGGTCCTGGATTCCCTTCAGGAAGGGTGGGGAGAAGGTCAGGGACCTGAGGGGCATGAAGGACACACTCCTACACAACTAGTTCTGTTCCGGAGCAGCTGGAGGCTCCGTGACTTTAGGAAAGATTCTTCCAAGAATCAAGAGTGCAAACAGCACCGTGAACTGCAGCCCGAGGGCCACCTCCTCCTGCCAGGCCAGTGGTGATGACGCTCTACTGGCTTTTCCTTGCCTGTCACAACACGTGAGCACACACACACACACACACACACACACGCACACACACACTCCCACACACACAGTCACAAGGCAGCTGGGGAGTCGAAGGTCAAGATGCTATAATGTAAATGTGTGGCCGTGTGTGGTGGCTCACGCCTGTAGTCCTACAGCTTTGGGAGGCTAAGGCAGGCAGATGATGAAGTCAGGAGTTCGAGACCAGCCTGGCCAACATAGTGAAATCCCATCTCTACTAAAAAAAAAAAAGAAAGAAAGAAAGAAAAAAAAATGAGCCAGGCATGGTGGTGCACATCTGTAATCCCAGCTACTCGGGAAACTGAAGCAGGAGAATGGCTCGAACCTGGGAGGCAGAGGTTGCAGTGAGCCGAGATCGCGCCATTGCACTACAGCATGGTGACAGAGCAAGACTCCATCTCTAAATAAATAAATAAATGTGCTATAATGTAAATGTGGAGCACAAATATTTTTTCCACAAAGAGGGGCCACTGGTTCCTGGGAAGGGAGTTTGAGGGTTATAGCCCTGGTCATGGCCAGAAGACTTAGGAACTGGAGGAAGGAAAAGCTGTATTTATCCTCACAGGATGCTCCTGTGAACAGATGGGCTGATCTAATGGAGTGACATTTAGAAAAAGGGGTTTTTCTCTCCACCCAGCACACACCGTCACCCACCCTATGCACAGTCCTCCCTTTCCCGTTGTCTTCTCTAGAATGACAAAGTTGATGCTTCCCCAGGTGGGCGTCTGAGGGAGGGGAGTGGTTTCCCTGCCTGTCCTTGATCCCCTCCCTCAAGTCTTCCACCTTCGTGTCCGCTGTTCTGTTCTGACACTCATTGCCTGCAATTCTATCGGTTTGCACCATCCCAAGACCCAACTAAGACCCAAGGATTTGAGTCTGGGAATATTTAAGCCAATGTCATTGCCAAGTCAGAAGTCTTAGACCCCAGGAATTTTTCTTCATTGAGAGTCTGGGCAGCCAGGAAGCCTCTCCTCTTTCTGCAGAGTTGAGGTCAACCAGGACCCTGGCACATGTGAGACCCCAGAGGGGACATACTAGTATCACTCAGTCATTCTCATTCATTCACTCACTCAGTAGCTATGAAGCTATAGTATATGCCAGGGGACACAAATAGAGGTGCTGTCTGTGCCAGGGATCAAAATGTTAAACCAACAGACTATCCTTCCCTGCTTTATCCAGGTTATTTTTCATTTTTATTTATTTGAGGTGGAGTCTCACTCTGTCACCCAGGCTGAAGTGCAGTGGTGCGATCTTGGCTCACTGCAACCTCCAACCTCTGGGTTCAAGCGATTCTCGTGCGTCAGCCTCCCAAGTAGCTGGGACTACAGGCACACGCCACCATGCCTGGCTAATTATTTGTTTATTTATTTTGAGACAGAGTTTTGCTCTTGTGTCCCAGGCTGGAGTGCAGTGCCGTGATCTTGGCTCACTGCAACCTCTGCCTCTGGAGTTTAAGCGATTCTCATGCCTCAGCCTCCTGAGCAGTGGCGATTACAGGCGTGTGCTACCATGCCCAGCTAATTTTTGTATTTTTGGTAGAGACAGGGTTTCACCATGTTGGCCAGGCTGGTTTCGAACTTCTGACGTCAAGTGATCTGTCCGCTTTGGCCTCCCAACGTGCTGGGATTGCAGGTGTGAGCCACTGTGCCCAGCCTCATCTCGTGGCTTTAAACTTTACCCCCATGGCCCCATGGCCCCTGCAGACCTCTCCCCTGAACGCTACAGTCCTGTGTCCAGTTGACTCCTTAACTCTCTGCTGGGAGGATGAACAGGCATCTCCACCTTCATGTGTCCAAAGGTGACTTCCCGAACTTCCGTAAACGCATTCCCCCATGCTCCTGCCCTTCTCAGATGAGGGTGACCTTGTGCTTCCTAGGATATCACTAAAATCTCAGCATGCTTTTAAAATGTAAAGGATAATTACATTGTTTATAAGGGTTTTAATTTGTAATATAAAGAAAAAATTACATGTTTACTCACAATGGGTGAAGAAATTCATCATTTTAAAAATTCTTTGGAGGTGTGGGAGAAAAATGTTAGAAGACCTCATCCCTGCCTGATCTGCCCTCCCAGGTCCTCTCTGACCTCATCTGTTTCCCGTGTCCTCCTCCCTCCCTCTGCTCCAGCCATGCAGGCGTCTTTCCTGTTCCTGGGCCGAGGTTGCTCCTGCCTCAAGGCGTTCATGTGGGCTGTCCCTCTGCTGGAACTCGCTGGCCCCTCAGCTGCAGGTGCAAACACCCCTCCTTCCCCAGGTCTCTGTTCTGATATCACCTTCTCAGTGGGGACTTCTGTGACCCACCTCCCATTTCACACTCCAGCTACACCCTCACCCCCTCCTCTGGTCCATATTGGCTGCTCTGCATGCTTCTTTCTGTTTTTTCACCTTCCACTGCCTGTAGGAGTTTATCGTCCCTGGTACAGTGGGCAGCAGAGGGGACCATATTTCCTCAGGGTGAGGTCTCCTTTGTATGTTTCATTGTGTTAACGGAGGGGGTGTGTTGATTCTGAGCAATAAACAACATATTTTTAACATTCAGGATTGACTTCTAAAGACTCTTGGTACGTGAGGAAGAAACCCGGAAGAGGAAGAGGAAAGCAAAGGAGTCAGGGATGGCTCTTTCTCAGGTGAGATGATATGTTGGGTGGATTGTTCTGTCTCCTTCCTCTCAGAAATCCTGGGCCTTGGAGTTGGGAATCTTCTCTGAGTCTGAAGCATCCTGCCTGACAGGTTTGCTCGCACTCACCCATGCCTTCCCTCAGTCCCTCTCATCTCGCTTAGATTCCATCTCTTGTGACACAGTGACATCAACTTGGGAAGAGGCCGCACTGGGCATGGTCCTGGGAAGGGCTCACACCGAGACATGGATGGAGATGGGATGAGGGCCCCATGGTGTCAGTGCTGTTGGGCAGCAGGGATTGTTCAGGGGCCACATCTGGATGCACTGTCAGCTCTCTGTGAACCAGGATTAGAGCAGCTGCCAATGGAAGTCATGTATTCATGTGCACAAAGTAGGTGGTAAATTCTAGAAAAGGTGACCAATAAGGGGAAACGTTTTCTGCCTGATTTTATACTACATTTTTAGTTTTTTGAGTGAGTTACTGTGTTTCTGACTCCAAAAATCTTAGTAATTAGAATGGAAAGTTCATACACAGACATGAATGATAGAAGATGTTTTATTCCATCATTTCTTTAAGAATAGGAAATCAACCTGAATCATAGCAGGAGATTCATTCAACCATTCTTAGCACATTAAAGCTCATGGAGACTGTGGGGTTACTGCGGAGAGGCTTGTGAAACAGGTGTTTTCAGGAAAAATGGTTATAATTTTTCTCAAATATGGGAGCAGTACTTCATTTTTATCCTAGAGGATGGTGCCATATTCTCATTCCACCTATTATTATTTTTATATTATTATAATATTATTATATTTTAAATATACAAAGTCTTGCTTTGTCGCCCAGGCTGAAGTGCAGTGGCATGATCTTGGCTCACGGCAACCTCCACCTCCCGGGTTCAAGAGATTCTCCTGCCTCAGCCTCCCAAGTATCTGGGATTATAGGCACGCACCACCACACCCGGATAATTTAGTTGCATTTTTATTAGTGACGGGCTATCACCATGTTGGCCAGGCTGGTCTCAAACTTCTGACCTAAGGTGATCTGCCTGCCTCAGCCTCCCAGAGTGCTGGGATTACAGGCATGAGCCGTGCCCAGCCCCACCAATTATTATTAAATATATATTTTTATATGTAAACATCACATGATATATTTATTTGTTTTCTGGTAAAACTCGAAGGAAAGCTGCAGCTTAGACCCATTGCCATAAAGCATCTCTTTTCCCTGTCACGTCCTCCACCCTCCTTCCAGCCTCATTGTGGAGCCGCTACTGTCAGTTCTGTGCCATGGGTCAGAGCAAATCTCGCGCGTCTGTATTTCTGCATCGTTACGAGACTTTAGAAAAAATTCTGCGGTAAATTTAAAAAATATATATTTATGGTTTTACTTTAGGTTTGGGGCGCCATGTTCAGGTTTGTTACATAGGTAAAGTAGGGTCATCAGGGTTTGTTGTACAGATTATTTCATCACTCTGCTATTAATCCCCGTATCCAATAGTTATTTATTTATTTATTTATTTTTTGAGACTGAGTTTTGCTCTTGTTGCCCACGCTGGAGTATAATGGCATGATCTCGGCTCACTGCAACCACTGCCTCCCAGGTTCAGGCGATTCTCCTGCCTCAGCGTCCCGAGTAGGTGACATTACAGGTGCCTGCCACCACTCCTGGCTAGTTTTTGTATTCTTACTAGAGACAGGGTTTCACCATGTTGGCCAGGCTGGTCTTGAACTCCTGACCTCAGGTTATCCACCCACCTTGGCCTCCCAAAGTGCTGGGATTGCAAGCGTGATCCACCGCGCCCAGCCCCCAATAGTTATTTTCTTCTAGTCCTCTCCTTCCTCCCCGCCTCCACCCTCAAGTAGACCCCAATGTCTGTTGTTTTCTTCTTTGTGTTCCAGTAAATATTTTACTTTGATATTTGATCCTACTGGTTGTGAAAATTTACATGTTGTCATGTTAGTTAACATGGCTAGCTTGCCCTTTGACATCTGCATTAGAAATTGACTGGATGACCTGTGTGTTCTTTGCAATTTTTCCCTGTATAAAGAGTGCCATAGTGGCTGCCTCTGTGCACACCTGCGTTACTACAGATACCTGAAGATTCCTCCAGGTCAGGCGGTTGAAAGGGTGATTGCTTCTTCTAGGATGGGGCATTCCCTGTTTTCTTAGATCTGACAAGATTCCCCCCTGCCCCCACCTGCCAATGTATCCTCTTCTACCAAGATGTGATTCTTCTTAAGTTAAACAAAACTTGCCACTTTTTATATTTTTAAAACCTTTCTATATATGCACACCCACCTACACAAGTATACACACACACATGCATATACATACATATATACACACACGTATATATTTTGAACATCTTTTATTTTTTGAATATCTGGGGGAAATGACAATCCTTTGTATTAACATCTAGTTTTTTGTGAGTCTGTGTAGGTTTTATTATTTTGTGGACATATGTATATATAAAATGGATTTTCATACTTTGAGTCATCTAGTTTTCATGTATTTTCTTTTATTTTGAGACTGGGTGTCACTGTGCTGCCGAGGCTGGAGCACAGTGGCGCGATCTTAGCTCACTGCAACCTCCACCCTCAGGCTCAAACCATCCTTCTACCTCAGGCTCCCAAGTAGCTGGAACCACAGGTGCCTGCCACCATGCCCGGCTGATTTTTTTTTTTTGAGATGGAGTCTCTGTTACCCAGGCTGGAGTGCAATGGTGAGATTTAGGATCACTGCAACCTCTGCCTCCTGGGATCAAGCAATTCTGCGTCAGCCTCCTGAGTAACTGGGATAACAGGCATGTGCCACTGTGCCAGGCTGGATTTTAGTTTCTGATCCTGATCTTTCACTGCGGACGTTGTCATCTCTGAAGACATCACTCATACCCTGTCTCATCTAGATACTGAATGTCACTTGCATTGTCAGTAAAAGTTTCTGGGCCAGGCACGGTGGATCACGCCTGTAATCCTAGCACTTTGAGAGGCTGAGGCAGGCAGATCATGAAGTCAGGAGTTTTGAGACCAACCTGGCCAATATGGTGAAACCCCGTTTCTACTAAAAATACAAAAATTAGCTAAGAATAGTGGTGCATGCCAGGAATCCCAGCTCCTCAGGAGACTGAGGCAGGAGAATCACTTGATCCTGGGAGGTGGAGGTTGCAGTGAACTGAGATGGCACCTTTGCATTCCAGCCTGGGTGACAGAGCGAGACTCTGTCTCAAAAAGAAAAAAAAAGTTTCTAACATTTCTGTAACGAGAACCCTACATTGATTTTTATTTTATTTTATTTATTTTATTTTATTTTATTTTATTTTATTTTATTTTATTTTGGGATGGAGTTTCACTCTTGTTGCCCATGCTGGAGTGTAATGGCACAATCTCAGCTCACCACAACCTCCGCCTCCCTGCTTCAAGCAATTCTCCTTCCACAGCCTCCCAGGTAGCTGGGATTACAGGCATGTGCCACAACGCCTGGATGATTTTTGTATTTTTTCTTTTTTAGTAGAAACGGGATTTCTCCATGTTGGTCAGGCAAGTCTTGAACTCCCGACTTCAGGTGATCTGCCTGCCTCAGCCTCCCAAAATGCTGAAATTATAAGCATGAGGCACTGTGCCCGGCTCCTGCATTGATTTCTTTTGTGTGTATTTTTAGTATTATCCACAAACATCAGAAATTCATACTGAGAGGGTATTGTGACCTCTTCAAAAGGTATAAGAAGGCCGGTGTGGTGGCTCATGCCTGTAATCTCAGCACTTTGCGAGGCCGAGGCAGGTGGATCACGAGGTCAGGAGTTCGAGATCAGCCTGACCAATATGGTGAAACTCCGTCTCTACTAAAAATACAAAAATTAGCCAGGCGCGGTGGCACCAGCCTGTAATTCCAGCTACTCATGAGGCTGAGGCAAGAGAATTCCTTGAACCTGGGAGGCAGAGGTTGCTGTGAGCCGATATCGTGCCACTGCACTCCGGCCTGGGTGACAGAGCGAGACTCCGTCTCAAAAAGAAAAAAAAAAAGAAGTGTAATAAAACACAACTCAGAAGACAAAATGTGGTGAAGAATCCCTTACTCGGATTTGTCAGAACATTCACTACAATTAAATCCATGCTTTCCTCTCTCCTCTTCTCATTTCGTGTAAAGATAAGAACTCCTCCCATAACCATTTCCTTAAAATGTGTTTTCATTTCAGGGTCTATTGACATTCAGGGATGTGGCCATAGAATTCTCTCAGGAAGAGTGGAAGTGCCTGGACCCTGCTCAGAGGACTCTATACAGGGACGTGATGCTGGAGAATTATAGGAACCTGGTCTCCCTGGGTGAGGATAACTTCCCTCCAGAAGTGGGGATGTGCCCTTGTGTATCTTTGTATTTTCTCTTTTTTTTAGATACAATGTCTTGCTCTGTCACCCAGGGTGGAGTGAAATGGTGTGATCATGTCTTACTGCAATCTTGAATTCCTGGGCTCATGTGATTGTCCCACCTCAGCCTCCCCCAGTAGCTGGTACAGGTGCATGCCACTATGCCGGGCTACTTTTTTAGTTTTTTTTTTTTTTTGTAGTTGTTGTTTTTGTTTTTGTTTACAAACAAGGTCTTCCTGTGTTGTTGAAGCTGGTCTTGGTCTCCTGGGCTCAAGAGATCCTCCTTGGCCTCCTGAGTAGCTGGGATTACAGGTGCCAACCCCCATACCTAATTATTGGTTTTTATTTTTTAAATTGTAGCATATGTGTGTCCTTAGGGTTTATATGAGTTTTCTTTGGACAACATGTAGTTGGTTCCTGTTGATTGAGCCAGTCTTTGCCTTCTGAGTGCAGAGTTAAATATTTACATTTGAAGTATTACTGATGGAGAAGACCTTACCGTTGTGTTTCTGTTTCATGTTATCTGTATCTCTTGTAGGTTTTTTTGGTTATTCATTTCTCATTTATTACTTTTTGCGTTTAATTGCTTTTTTGTGTAGACATGCTTTGACTCCCTTCTTATTGACTTTTGTTTATGATGGAGTCTCACTCTGTCGCCAAGGCAGCAGTGCCGTATGTGATCTTGGCTCACCGCAGCCGGCTTCGCTCTCGTGCTCAAAAAATTCTCGTGCCCCAGTGGCTCATGCCTGTAATCCCGGCACTTTGGGAGGCCGAGGCAGGCAAATCACCTGAGGTCAGGAGCTCAAAACCAGCCTGGCTAGCGTGGCGAAATTCTGTCTCTACTAAAAATACAAAAATTAGCCAGACACGATGGTGGGTGCCTGTAATCTCAGTTACTCAGGAGGCTGACACAGGAGAGTTGCTTGAACCCGGGAGGCGGAGGTTGCAGTGAACCAAGATCATGCCACTGCACTAGAGTCTGAGAGACAGAGCGACACTCTGTCTCAAAAAAATATTTTCATCACCTGTGAAAACTATTCTTTCTCCACTAGAACTCTTTGTTCTTTATGTTAGAATTATTTCTGTGTGTGTTGCATTTTCAATATCACGTACAGTGTTTTCTCATGCTGTTTTCCTCTAAATAATAGGAAAGTTGTGTTATGAAGAAAAGGTACACTTATACAAGTTTCTGTGTCTATCCTTTTATTTGCTTATTTATTTATTTATTTGACGAAGTTTTGTTCTGTTGCCTAGGCTGGAGTGCAATGGCACAATCTCAGGTCACTGCAACCTCCGACTTCTGGGTTTAAGTGATTCTCCTGCCTCAGTTTTCCGAGTAGCTGGGATTACAGGCCTGTGCCACCATGCCTGGCTAATTTTGTATTTTTAGTAGAGACAGGGTTTCTCCTTGTTGGTCAGACTGGTCTCGAACTTCTGCCCTCAGGTGGTGATCCGCCTGCCTTGGCCTCTTAAAGTGCTGGGATTACAGGTGTGAACCACCGCGCCCAGCTTATCTGTCTTTTTATTTACCTTTACTGGAGAACTTTTTGTATATTTGTGGGTTGGAGTTACTCTTTAGACTTCTTTCATTTCTTTCTTTCTTTTTTTTTTTTTTCTTTCTTGAGAAGGAGTCTGTCTGTTGCCCAGGCTGGAGTGCAGTGGCGCAGTCTTGGCTAACTCCAACCTTTGCCTCCCAGGTTCAAGTGATTCTCCTGCCTCAGTCTCCCAAGCAGCTGGGACTACAGGCACATGCCACCACACCTGGCTGTTTTTTTTTTTTTTTTTCTGTAGAGATGGGGTTTCACCGTGTTAGCCAGAAAGGTGCTGAAAGGATGGTGCTGATCTCCTGATCTTGTGATCCTCCTGCCTCAGCCTCCCAAAGTGCTGAGATTACAGGCATGAACCACCGTGCCCAGCCAGCCTCACAGTTTTTAAAACATGTTATTGTTATTAGATTGGCTTCAAGTATTGCAATAGTACAGTCTCTAAACTTCCTTTGTTTAATAAGATTTGTCAGCCTTCGGTGATGTTGATGATGAGATGTTCCTGTTCCTGTCTCAGTCATTTCACTGTCCTCTCAGAAATAGCTTAGACTGGCCAGCCAAGGTGGCTCACACCTCTAATCCCAGCAGTTTGGGAGGCAGAGGTGAGTGGATCACTTGAAGTCAGGAGTTTGAAACCAGTCTGGCCAACATGGTGAAACATGAAATCTACTAAATACAAAAAATTGGCCAAGTGACCCCACAGACTCACGCCTGTAATCCCAGTTCTTTGGGATGCTGAGACGGGCGGATCACCTGAGTTAAGGAGTTTGAGGCCACCCTGGCCAACGCGGTGAAATCCCGTCTCCACTAAAAATACAAAAATTAGCTGGGCATGGTGGCGGGCACCTGTTATCCCAAGTAACTCGGGAGGCTGAGGCAGGAGAATCACTTGAACCCAGGAGGTGGAGGTTGCAGTGAGCCGACATTGTGCCACTTCACTCCATCCCGGGTGACAGAGTGAGACTCCAGGCTGAGGTGGGAGAATCTCTTCAGGCAGGAGAATCATGCCACTACACTACAGCCTGGGTGATAGAGCGTGACTCAATCTCAAAAACAAACAAAAAAGGTAGTAGCTTAAACTGGGAGGCTTACGGCACAGATATTTATTTCTCATGAATTTGGAAAGTGGGAAATCCAAGAGCAAGGTGCCAGCCACATTGGTTCCTGGTGAGAGCATTCTTCATGGTTTAGCCCAGCCATCTTCCTGCTGTGTCCTGACATGGTGGAAAGAGGAACAGGAAACGAGCTCTTTAATATCTCTTTTTATAAAAGCACTAGTCCTATTCATGAGTAGTCAACACCCATGACCAAATTCTCTCAAAGGCCCCATCTGCAGGAACATCCTATTGGAGAATAAGAACTTTGAACCTGGCTTTTGGCCAATAAGAACATTCAGACCAGGGAGCCTGCATCATCTTGTTAATGTTTTTATTGTGCAATTTGTTATATACAATGTTTTCTCTGATCTCAGTTTATAAATTTTCCCAGTACACATTCTATGTTTTATATTAGTGCATAGTGAACTAGATAACTAAGGCCAATGCTTATATATGGAATTGCTGTATTGCCTGGCTGTTTCATAAATGTAGTTGTGACATCGTAGTTGCACCTTCTGACATTGTTAGTCAATTTTTTTTTTTTTTTTTTTTTTTTTGTGAGACAGAGTCTCACCCTGTCACCCAGGCTGGAGTGCAGTGATGCGATCTCGTCTCACTGCAACCTCCACCGCCTGGGTTCAAACGATTCTCCTGCCTCAGCCTCCCGAGTAGTTGGGATTACAGGCTCCCGCCACCATGCCCAGCTAATTTTTTTTGCATTTTTAGTAGAGTTAGGGTTTCACCATATTGGCCAGGCTGCTCTTGAACTCCTGACCTTGTATCCACCTGCCTTGGACTCCCAAAGTGCTGGGATTACAGGCATGAACCACAGCGCCCAGCCGTTAGTCACTTCTTATTCCTTATAATGCTGTGTGTTTTTTTGACCTCGTACATCAGAAGGTAATGATCTTAACATGTATTTCAGTTCTTATATTGTATGCTGCTGGTAAGTAGAAATTGTGGCTTTTTTTCTGTTTTTTGTTTTTGTTTTTGTTTTGAGACAGAGTGGCGCGATCTCGGCTCACTGCAAGCTCCACCTCCTGGGTTGATGCCATTCTCCTGCCTCAGCCTCCTGAGTAGCTGAGACTACTGCCACCCGCCATCACACCCGGCTAATTTTTTTTTTTTATTTTTAGTAGAGATGGGGTTTCACCTTGTTAGCTAGGATGGTCTCGATCTCCTGACCTCATGATCTGCCCGCCTCAGCCTCCCAAAGTGTTGGGATTACAGGCGTGAACCACTGTGCCCGGCTGTGGCTTTTTTCTTAATAGGAAATTGTTTAGAATTCTGCAGGCTGTATAAATGTACTTATTATTTGCTTGCTGATTTTATGGGTTACGTTATTTTACTAATTAATTTTTATGATTTTACATAAGGCTTTTCGGTATGTGGTATGCAATATAACTGACACAGTCCACTCGTTAATGTCACAAAGTGCTGCCTGGCACTATGGCTCACACTTATAATCCCAGGAGTTTGGGAGGCTCAGGCGCCTAAATTGCTTGAGTCTAAAGTTCGAGGCCAGCCTGTCCAACATGGTGAAACCCCATCTTTACTAAAAACACAAAAATTGGCCAAGCATGGTGATGCATGCCTTTAATCCCAGCTACTCAGGAGGCTGAGGCAGGAGAATGGCTTGAACCCAGCAGGCGGAGGTTACAGTGAGACAAGACTGGGCCATTGCACTCCAGCCTGTTGTGATGGAGTGAGACTTCATCTCAAAAATATAAAAATACAAACAATTTCTTAAAATGTCACAACTTGCCTTTTCTGCATGAATATAAGTAATTTTATAACAGTTATTCAGAAAAATATTGTATTAACTTTTTAATTTTTTTTTCGAGATGGACTCTTGTCACCCAGGCTGAAGTACAGTGGTGCAATCTCAGCTCACTGCAACCTCTGCCTCTTGGGCTCAAGCAATTCTTGTGCCTCAGCCTCCTGAGTAGCTGGGACTACAGGCATGGGCCACCACGCCTTGCTTAATTTTGTAATGTTTTCTTATCTTCTCAGTGCTATGATTGTTTGACAATACAGAATTTCCATTGATTTTGGTTATCCTTACATGAGCTTGTTGTGGATTATTTACCAATATAGTATATTGTGTGGTCTTTTAGCATTTATTTGTATATAGTAAATATGCTGTAAATATGAAGAATATATGCTTTTCTCCTCATTGATGTGACAGTGATATGTTTTTTGCAAAGTCTTATACACTTTAGGGTCACAGTGGAAAAATACTCCTTACTTTAGGCTTATATACATTTGTGTGCTGTCAGTGTTTTGACATGATATTGGAAATAGGCTTCCATAGAAATGATTTCAAGTACATGTAATCGCCCTTTATTTATTGATGAATCTTACCCTTTTGCGTTCCTAAACTTTCAAGATAATGTTTGGGAAGTTTAAAATAAGTATTGTTTTTAGTGTCACATTTACACATTTCAGTATTATTTACCATCTATACTTAAGTGGAAACCTATTGGTGTTTATATTTTCTAGATATCTCTTCCAAATGCATGATGAAGGAGTTCTCATCAACAGCACAAGGCAATACAGAAGTGATCCACACAGGGACATTGCAAAGACATGAACGTCATCACATTGGAGATTTTTGCTTCCAGGAAATGGAGAAAGATATTCATGATTTTGAGTTTCAGTGGAAAGAAGATGAAAGAAATAGCCATGAAGCACCCATGACAGAAATCAAACAGTTGACGGGTAGTACAAACCGACATGATCAAAGGCATGCTGGAAACAAGCCTATTAAAGATCAGCTTGGATCAAGCTTTCATTCGCATCTGCCTGAACTCCACATGTTTCAGACCGAAGGGAAAATTGGTAATCAAGTTGAGAAGTCTATCAACAGTGCTTCGTTGGTTTCAACATCCCAAAGAATTTCTTGTAGGCCTAAAACCCACATTTCTAAGAACTATGGGAATAATTTCCTGAATTCTTCATTACTCACACAAAAGCAGGAAGTACACATGAGAGAAAAATCTTTCCAATGTAATGAGAGTGGCAAAGCCTTTAATTATAGCTCAGTCTTAAGGAAACATCAGATAATCCATTTAGGAGCGAAACAATATAAATGTGATGTGTGTGGCAAGGTCTTTAATCAAAAGCGATATCTTGCATGTCATCGTAGATGTCACACTGGCAAGAAACCTTACAAGTGTAATGATTGTGGCAAGACCTTCAGTCAGGAGTTAACCCTTACATGCCATCATAGACTTCATACTGGAGAGAAACATTACAAGTGCAGTGAGTGTGGCAAGACCTTCAGTCGAAATTCAGCCCTTGTAATTCATAAGGCAATTCATACTGGAGAGAAATCTTACAAGTGTAATGAATGTGGCAAGACCTTCAGTCAAACGTCATACCTTGTGTACCATCGTAGACTTCATACTGGAGAGAAACCTTACAAATGTGAAGAATGTGACAAAGCTTTCAGTTTCAAATCAAACCTTGAAAGACATAGGAAAATTCATACTGGAGAGAAACCTTACAAGTGTAATGAATGCAGCAGGACCTTTAGTCGGAAGTCATCCCTTACACGCCATCGTAGACTTCATACTGGAGAGAAACCTTATAAGTGTAATGATTGTGGCAAGACCTTCAGTCAGATGTCATCCCTTGTATACCATCGTAGACTTCATACTGGAGAGAAACCTTACAAATGTGAAGAATGTGATGAAGCTTTCAGTTTCAAATCGAACCTTGAAAGACATAGGAGAATTCATACTGGAGAGAAACCTTACAAGTGTAATGATTGTGGCAAGACCTTCAGTCAGACATCATCCCTTGTATACCATCGTAGACTTCATACTGGAGAGAAACCTTACAAATGTGAAGAATGTGATGAAGCTTTCAGTTTCAAATCAAACCTTGAAAGACATAGGATAATTCATACTGGAGAGAAACTTTACAAGTGTAATGAATGTGGCAAGACCTTTAGTCGGAAGTCATCCCTTACACGCCATTGTAGACTTCATACTGGAGAGAAACCTTACCAGTGTAATGAGTGTGGCAAAGCCTTTCGTGGGCAGTCAGCACTTATTTACCATCAAGCAATCCATGGTATAGGGAAACTTTACAAATGTAATGATTGTCACCAAGTCTTTAGTAATGCTACAACCATTGCAAATCATTGGAGAATCCATAATGAAGAGAGATCGTACAAGTGTAATAGATGTGGCAAATTTTTCAGACATCGTTCATACCTTGCAGTTCATTGGCGAACTCATAGTGGAGAGAAACCTTACAAATGTGAAGAATGTGATGAAGCTTTCAGTTTCAAATCAAACCTTCAAAGACATAGGAGAATTCATACTGGAGAGAAACCTTACAGGTGTAATGAATGTGGCAAGACCTTTAGTCGGAAGTCATACCTTACATGCCATCGTAGACTTCATACTGGAGAGAAACCTTACAAGTGTAATGAGTGTGGCAAGACCTTCGGTCGAAATTCAGCCCTTATAATTCACAAGGCAATTCATACTGGAGAGAAACCTTACAAGTGTAATGAGTGTGGCAAGGCCTTCAGTCAGAAGTCATCCCTTACATGCCATCTTAGACTTCATACTGGAGAGAAACCTTACAAATGTGAAGAATGTGACAAAGTTTTCAGTCGCAAATCAAGCCTTGAAAAACACAGGAGAATTCATACTGGAGAGAAACCATACAAATGTAAGGTTTGTGACAAAGCTTTTGGGCGTGATTCACACCTGGCACAACATACTAGAATTCACACTGGAGAGAAACCTTACAAGTGTAATGAATGTGGCAAGAACTTCCGTCACAATTCAGCCCTTGTAATTCATAAGGCAATTCATAGTGGAGAGAAACCTTACAAGTGTAATGAGTGTGGCAAGACCTTCCGTCACAATTCAGCCCTTGAAATTCATAAGGCAATTCATACTGGAGAAAAACCTTACAAGTGTAGTGAATGTGGCAAGGTTTTTAATAGAAAAGCAAACCTTTCACGTCATCATAGACTTCATACTGGAGAGAAACCTTACAAGTGTAATAAATGTGGTAAGGTTTTTAATCAACAAGCACACCTTGCATGTCATCATAGAATTCATACTGGAGAGAAACCTTACAAGTGTAATGAGTGTGGCAAAACCTTCCGTCACAATTCAGTCCTTGTAATTCATAAGACAATTCATACTGGAGAGAAACCTTACAAGTGTAATGAATGTGGCAAGGTTTTTAATCGAAAAGCAAAACTTGCACGTCATCATAGAATTCATACTGGAAAGAAACATTAGAAATATGAAGAATGTGACAAAGTTTACAGTTGTAAATCAAGTCTTGAAAGACAGGAGAATTCATACTGGAGAGAAAGCTTACAAATGTAAGAGTTTGTGACAAGAATCTTGGGCGTGATTCACACCTGGCCCAACAAACTAGAAGTCACACTGGAGAGAAACCTTACAAGTGTACTGAGTGTGGCAAAGCCTTTAGTGGGCAGTCAACACTTATTCACCATCAGGCAATCCATGGTATAGGGAAACTTTACTAATGTAATGATTATCACAAAGTCTTCAGTAACACTACAACCGTTTCAAATCATTGGAGAATCCATAATGAGAGATTTTGAAAGTGTAATAAATGTGGCAAATTTTTCAGACATTGTTCATACCTTGCAGTTCATCGGTGAACTCATGCTGGAGAGAAACCTTACAAATGTCATGATTGTGGCAAGGTCTTCAGTCTAGCTTCATCTTATGCAAAACAGGAGACTTCATACAGGAGACAAACTTCACAAGTATGATGATTGCAGCAAAGCCTTTACTTCACGTTCACACCTAATTAGACATCAGAGAATCCATACTGGACAGAAATCTTACAAATGTCATCAGTGTGGCAAGGTCTTCAGTCTGAGATCACCCCTTAAGGAACATCAGAAAATTCATTTTTGAGATGATTGTTCCAAATGCAATGAGTATAGCAAACCATCAAGCATTAATTGGCATTAGAGTCAATTCAGCATTGACTTGAGTTTGAATTGACTTAACATTGAGTTCAAGCATTAATTGACATTAAAGTGTTTATGTTAAGAAGATTGGGCCAGGCGGGGTGGCTCACGCCTGTAATCCCAGCACTTTGGGAGGCCAAGACCAATAGATCACTTGAGGTCAGGAGTTTGAGACCAGACTGGCCAACAGACATGAGTCACTTTTCCCACCCTGTATTTTGTTTCTTTAATAAAAACTGTTACGGGTTTTTATGGGTATCTGTTGAATCTAAATCACATTTGTTTGTATAATCATTCAACAATATTAAGACTTCCAATCCATCAATATGGGTTGTATGTCTATTTAGTTTTTTTGATCAATGTAGATTTCAAGGTACAAGCTTCTCACCTCCTTAATTCAGTTTATTTGTAAGTATTAAGTTTCATAGCAAATTGAAGTGTGTTCATAAGTTTCTTTAAACATTATTTATTGTTAATGTAAGGAAATTCAACTAATTTTGGGTGCTGATTTTGTATTCTGCAAATACATTGAGTGGGTTTATTAGTATCAGTAAAATCTTGGTTGATTCTTTGTGATTTTCTTTCTTTTTTTTTTGAGACAGTCTCACTCTGTTACCCAGGCTCTTTTCTTTTTTTTTGAGAAGGAGTCTCACTCTTGTCACTTGGACTGGAGTACAATGGCACGATCTTGGCTCACTGCAGCCTCTGCCTTTCGGGTTTAAGTGATTCTCCTGCCTACTAACTGAGATTACAGGTGCCTGCCACCATGTCCGTATAATTTTTTTGTATTTTTAGTAGAGACGGGGTTTCACCATGTTGACCAGGTTTTTCTTGAACTCCTGACTTCAGGTGATCCGCCCCCATCAGCATCCCAAAGTTCTGGGATTACAGGTGTGAGCCACCGCACCCAGCCAGTGATTTTCTATATAGAATGTCGTATCATCTACAAGGAAATAATTTTTTTTTTTGAGACAATGTCTCTCTCTGTCGCCAGGCTAGAGTGCCGTGGAATGATCTTTGCTCACTGCAACCTCTGTCTCCCACGTCCAAGCAATTCTGTCTCAGCCTCCTGAGTAGCTGGGACTACAGGCGCATGTCACCACACCTAGCTAATTTATTTATTTTTTTTATTTTAGTAAAGACGGGGTTTCACCATGTTGGCCCAGATGGTGGGCCAACATGGTGAGTACCTTGAAGAGAACTTGAAAGAATATGTTAGATCGCCTAACCTCATTATCCGCCCACTTCGGACTTGCAAATTGCTGGGATTATGGGTGTGAGCCATGAGCCCGGCCCCAACAAATGTAATTTTACTTCTGTCTTTCTGATTTGGATGAGTTTTATTTCTTTTGCTATTTAATTGCTCTGCCTAGGACAGCCAGTATTTATTGAATATCAGGGGTGAGAGCATTCTTGCATCATGTGATATCCTACAGGAAAACCATTCCATTTTCCTTCATTGGTTATTTCAGCTGTGGTCATTTCATGGATGATTTTTATATTTTTGAGGTAAAACTCTACCTATATTGTTTAGGATTTTTACGAAGAATGAATATTGAGTTCTGTGAAATGCTTTTTCTCTATCTATTGAGATAATGTGTTTTTTATCTGTCATTCTGTGCAAGTGTGTATCCCATTGATTTGAGTATGTTGAACCATCCTTGCATCCCATGAATAGGTAGCACTTGGATGTTTACAATCCCTTTTTATATCCTCTTGAATACAGTTTGCTAGTATAAGGGTCTTCAAGAAGTTCATGGAAAAATACATATTATGAAAAATTTGTGCATAAATTTCACACTTTTTGTACCAAAATAAACCAGTATAAACTTGTTATAACGTCTGAACAGGCTCTAGTTTGAGGCACTCAGAAGGATAAGACATCAGTTTGAAAAGAACCTCTATCACAGCAATACAAATTCTGTTAAAACAAGAAGAAACATCAAATTTACGATGAGACCAGACGCAGTGGCTCAGGCCTGTAATCCCAGCGGTTTTAGAGGCCCAGGCAGGTGGGTGACGTGAGCCTAGGGATTCAAGACCAGCCTGGGCGACATAGGGGACCTCTTCTCTGCTAAAAGTAAAAAAAGTCAGCCAGGTGTGGTGGTGCACTGCTGTGGTCCCAGCTACTCTGGGCACTGAAGTGGGAGGATCAGTTGAAGCAGGGATTTTGAGGCTGAAGTGAGCCCTGATCTCACCACTGCACTCCAGCCTGGGTGACAGAGCTAGACCCTGTCTCAAACAAGCAAATAAATGAGAGGCATAATTCCTCCTTTGAGAATAAAGGAAAAGATTTCCCTTCCTTTTGTCTCTTTTCTCAGGACGTTTATTTAGAAAATTTGTAAATGAGGCCGGGCGTGGTGGCTCACGCCTGTAATCCCAGCACTTTGGGAGGCTAAGGTGGGCGGATCACGAGGTCAGGAGATCGAGACCATCCTGGCTAACACGGTGAAACCCCGTCTCTACTAAAAATACAAAAAATTAGCTGGGCGAGGTGGCAGGCACCTGTAGTCCCAGCTACTCGGGAGGTTGAGGCAGGAGAATGGCGTGAACCCAGGGGGGCGGAACCTGCAGTGAGCCGAGATCGCACCACTGCACTCCAGCCTGGGTGACAGCGAGACTCTGTCTCAAAAAAAAAAAAAAAAAAAAAAGAAAATTTGTAAATGTATTTTCTCTGTCTTCAGAAGTGGTATTTTTTAGAAACAATAAAACTTGTTTTCATCTTAGTGGTGATCCAGGGGTGTTTTTCTAAAGGACTTGGGAGTTCTGTCTTTGAAATGCCAACAACAAAAAAGATAGTACATCTATCTCAGTAGTAAATTAAGTAATTCAAAATGAAGCTGGGTGCGGTGCCTCACGCACTTTGGGACAGTGAGGCAGGTGGATCACCTGAGGTCAGGAGTTCGAGACCAGCATGACCAACGTGGTAAAACCCCATCTCTGAGATACAAAGGAGGTTGCAGTGAGTGGAGGTTGCACCACTGCACTCCAGCCTGGGCAACAAGAGTGAAACTACTTCTCAAAAAAAAAGAAAAAAAAATCAAGTAATTCCAATTTAAAGCTGTTGGACCTTTAAATAATCCTACTTTTTTTTTTTTTTTGAGATGGGGTACCCCTCTGCATCACAGGCTGGAGTGTGGTGGCCTAATGTCAGCTCACTGCAACCTCCACCTCCCGGGTTCAAGTGAATCTCCTGCCTCAGCCTCCGGAGTAGCTGGTATTACAGGCATGTGCCACCACGCCCAACTAATTTCTGTATCTCTAGAAGAGATGGGATTTTGCCATGTTGGTCAGCTTGGTCTCCAACTCCAGACCTGAAGAAAGTGATCCGTCTACCTTGACCTCCCAAAGTGCTGGGATTACAGGCATGAGCCACTGCCTCCAGCCTCTTCTTTTTTTTTTTTTTGAGATGGAGTTTCTCTTGTTGCCCAGGCTGAAGTGAAATGATGCTATCTCAGCTCACTGCAATTTCTGCTTCCCAGGTTCAAGCAATTATCCTACCTCAGCCTAAACCTACCAAAATCAAAATGGCTAGGAGAGTGACCTGTGGTCGTCCTCACTGCTACACCCCCACCAGCTCCATGACAGTTTAAAAATGCCATGGCAACGTCAGAAAGCTACGCTATAAGGTCTGAAGAGGGGAAGCATGAATAATTCACCCCTTGTTTAGTAGATCATTAAGAACCTCACTCATCCCTGGCCTGCGTACTCTGTCCCGCATCCCAGGCGGTGGCCCTAGGGAAGTCTCCGGAGCTGAGCACAGGGTGGACTCTCCCTCCCGAGTGAATGAGGAATAGGGAGAGGATTTCTACTCTGTTCTGTGGGCCTTCAGCATAAAATTGCTCTTTCCACCCAGGCAGAGATTTGCATTTTACATTCTAGTTTGCATCCCCGTTTCAGGCAATTCCAGGGCTTTTGAATTATGCTTCAGCATCCCGGGCGGGTCTCGCCTCCAAAACCTGGAAAACACAGGCTGCAGAGCGAGGCGGAGCAAATTGTAGGCCCCGCCCTGCCCAGCCCAGCCCCGCCCCGCCCCGGGGATCCCTACCCCGCGGGCCACTTATCCACTTCCGTGCCACGCCCCTTGCCCTTCGCGCCCCGCCCTTCCTCGCCCGGGCCCCGCCCACCTTATCAGGGTTCCTCCCAGGCCTGGCTCCTGTCCTGCGCAGATTCGCACAGACACGGCAGCGGATCACCTCAGTGAAGGTCACACTGCAGCGCCTGAGTTTGGCTCTGTCTCTAGTTAAGTCGGCCCTTCGCAGGCCCCTGGCTCTGCTATACTTGGGACGTGGGGTCCCCAGAGACCTGGAAATTCCCACCCCCTTTTCTCCAAATAGAGCATATTGAGACTTCCCTGTGAGGGTCTGCAGGTCGCTTCCTTTTGGGGTTTTTTTTGCAGAGACAGAGTCTCACTCTGTCGCCCAGGCTAGAGTGCGGTGGCGCAATCTTGGCTCACCATGACCTCTGCAGCCCAGGTTCAAGCAATTCTCCTGCCTCAGCCTCCTGAGTAGCCAGGACTACAGGCACCTGCCACCGTGCCTGGATAATTTTTGTAGTTTTTGGTATAGACAGGGTTTCACCATCTTGGCCAGGCTGGTCTTGAACTCCTTGTCAGGCCTCTGAGCCCAAGCTAAGCCATCGTATCCCCTGTGACCTGCACGTGTACATCCAGATGGCCTGAAGCAACTGAAGATCCACAAAAAAGTGAAAATAACCGGTTCCTGCCTTAACTGATGACATTACCTTGTGACATTCCTTCTCCTGGACAATGAGTCTTAGAAGCTCCCCACTGAGTAAAAGGATATTAACCCCAGAGGCAACAAAAGAAATTAAATTAGTGGAAGAAAAAATTCAGTCAGCACAAATAAATAGATCCCTTAGTCTCACTCCAACTTTTGATTTTTGCTACTGCACATTCTCCAACAGGCATCATTGTTCAAAATACTGATCTTGTGGAGTGGTCATTCCTTCCTCACAGTACAATTAAGACTTTTACATTGTACGTGGATCAAATAGCTACATTAATTGGTCAGAAAAGGTTATGAATAGTAAAATTGTGTGGAAATGACCCAGACAAAATAGTTGTTCCTTTAAACAAGGAACAGGTTAGACAAGCCTTTATCAATTCTGGTGCATGGCAGATTGGTCTTACTAATTTTGTGGGAATTATTGATAATCATTACCCGAAAACAAAAATCTTCCAGTTTTTAAAATTGACTACTTGGATTCTACCTAAAATTACCAGACATAAACCTTTAGAAAATGCTCTGACAGTGTTTACTGATGGTTCCAGCAATAGAAAAGCAGCTTACACAGGGCCAAAAGAGCGAGTCATCAAAACTCAATATCAATTGGCTCAAAGAGCAGAGTTGGTTGCAGTCATTACAGTGTTACAAGACTTTGATCAACCTATTAATATTGTATCAGATTCTGCATATGTAGTGCAGGCTACAAAGGATGTTGAGACAGCTCTAATTAAATATAGCATAGATGATCAGTTAAACCAGCAGTTCAATTTATTACAACAAACTGTAAAAAAAAAAGAAATTTCCCATTTTATGTTACTCATATTCGAGGACACACTAATTTACCAGGGCCTTTAACTAAAGCAAATGAACAAGCTGACTTACTGGTACCATCTGCATTCATAAAAGCACAAGAACTTCATGCTTTCACTCATGTAAATGCAGCAGGATTAAAAAACAAATTTCATGTTGTAGGGTCCAGCCCCATAGGGTCGGTGGGTCTCTCCCCATGTGCAGAGATGAGAGAGTGTAGAAATAAAGACACAAGACAAAGAGATAAAAGAAAAGGCAGCTGGGCCCGGGGGACCACTACCACCAATGCACGGAGACCGGTAGTGGCCCCAAATGTCGGGCTGCGCTGTTATTTATTGGATACAAAGCAAAAGGGGCAGGGTAAAGCGTGTAAGTCATCTCCAGTGATAGGTAAGGTCACGTGGGTCACGTGTCCACTGGACAGGGGGCCCTTCCCTGCCTGGCAGCCGAGGCAGAGAGAGAGAGGAGACAAAGAGAAAGACAGCTTACACCATTATTTTTGCATATCAGAGACTTTTAGTACTTTCACTAATTTACTACTGCTTTCTAGAAGGCAGAGCCAGGTGTACAGGATGGAACATGAAGGCGGACTAGGAGCATGACCACCGAAGCACAGCATCACAGGGAGACGGTTAGGCCTCCGGATAACTGCGGGCGAGCCTGACTGATGTCAGGCCCTCCACAAGAGGTGGAGGAGCAGAGTCTTCTCTAAACTCCCCCGGGGAAAGGGAGACTCCCTTCCCCAGTCTGCTAAGTAGCGGGTGTTTTCCCTTGACACTTATGCTACCGCTAGACCACGGTCCGCCTGGCAACGGGCGTCTTCCCAGACGCTGGCGTCACCACTAGACCAAGGAGCCCTCTGGTGGCCCTGTCCGGGCATAACAGAAGGCTCGCACTCTTGTCTTCTGGTCACTTCTCACTGTGTCCCCTCAGCTCCTATCTCTGTATGGCCTGGCTTTTCCTAGGTTATGATTATAGAGCGAGGATTATTATAATATTGGAATAAAGAGTAATTGCTACAAACTAATGATTAATGATATTCATATATAATCATGTCTATGATCTAGATCTGGTATAACTATTCTTGTTTTATATTTTATTATACTGGAACAGCTCGTGTCCTTGCTCTCTTGCCTCAGCGCCTGGGTGGCTTGCCGCCCACAGATGTCACATGGAAACAGGCAAAAAATATTCTACAACATGGTACCCAGTGTCAAGTCCTACACCTGCCCACTCAAGAGGCAGGAGTTAATCCCAGAGGTCTGTGTCCTAATGCATTATGGCAAATGGATGTCACACATGTACCTTCATTTGGAAGATTATGATGTGTCCGTGTAACAGTTGATACTTATTCACATTTCATGTGGGCAACTTGCCAGACAGGAGAAAGTACTTCCCATGTGAAAAAACATTTATTGTCTTGTTTTGCTGTCATGGGAGTTCCAGAAAAAATCAAAACTGACAATGGACCAGGATATTGTAGTAAAGCTTTCCAAAAATTCTTAAATCAGTGGAAAATTACACACACAACAGGAATTCCCTATAATTCTCAAGGACAGGCCATAGTTAAAAAAAACTAATAGAACACTCAAAACTCAATTAGTTAAAGAGAAGGGGGAGACAGTAAGGAGTGTACCACTCCTCAGATGCAACTTAATCTAGCATTCTATACTTTAAATGTTTTAAACATGTATAGAAATCAGACTACTACCTCTGCAGAACATCTTACTGGTCAAAAGAACAGCCCACATGAAGGAAAACTGATTTGATAAAAAGACAACAACAATAAGACATGAGAAATAGGGAAGGTGGTAACTTGGGGGAGAGGTTTTGCTTGTGTTTCACCAGGAGAAAATCAGCTTCCTGTTTAGATACCCACTAGACATTTAAAGTTCTACAATGAACCCATCAGAGATGCAAAGAAAAGCACCTCCACGGAGATGGAAACACCACAATCAAACACCATCGATTCACAAGGTGAACAAAATGGTGATGTCAGAAGAACAGATGAAGTTGCCATCCACCAAGAAAGCAGAGCCGCCGACTTGGGCACAATTAAAGAAGCTGACACAGTTACCAAAAAAAAGCCTAGAGAACACAAAGGTGACACAAACTCCAGAGAACACGCTGCTTGCAGCTTTGATGATTGTATCAACGGTGGTAAGTCTCCCCTTGCCTGCAGGGGCAGCTGCAGCTAATTATACCTACTGGGCCTATGTGCCTTTCCCGCCCTTAATTCGGGCAGTCACATGGATGGATAATCCTATTGAAGTATATGTTAATAATAGTGCATGGGTACCTGGCCCCACAGATGATCGTTGCCCTGCCAAACCTGAGGAAGAAGGAATGATGATAAATATTTCCACTGGGTATCGTTATCCTCCTATTTGCCTAGGGAGAGCACCAGCATGTTTAATGCCTGCAATCCAAAATTGGTTGGTAGAAGTACCTACTGTCGGTACCACCAGTAGATTCACTTATCACACGGTAAGTGGAATGTCTCTCAGGCCACAGGTAAATTATTTACAGGACTTTTCTTATCAATGATCATTACAATTTAGGCCTAAACAAAAGCCTTGCCCCAAGGTAATTCCCAAAGAATCAAAAGGCACAGAAGTTTTAGTTTGGGAAGAATGTGTGGCCGATAGTGCGGAGATATTACAAAACAATGAATTCGGAACTATTATAGATTGGACATGTCGAGGTCAATTCTACCACAATTGCACAGGACAAACTCAGTCATGTCCCAGTGCACAAGTGAGTCCAGCTGTTAACAGTGACTTAACAGAAAGTTTAGACAAACATAAGCACAAAAAATTACAGTCTTTCTACCCTTTGGAATGGGGAGAAAAAGGAATCTCTACTCCAAGACTAAAAATAATAAGTCTTGTTTCTGGTCCTGAACATCCACAATTATGGATGCTTACTGTGGCCTCATATTGCATTAGAATTTGATCTGGAAATCAAGCTATATAAAGAAGAGATCGCAAGCCATTTTATACTATCGACCTAAATTCCAGTCTAACAGTTCCTTTGCAAAGTTGTATAAAGCCCCCTTATATGCTAGTTGTAGGAAATATAGTTATTAAACCAGACTCCCAAACTATAACCTGTGAAAACTGCAGATTGTTTACTTGCATTGATTCGACTTTTAATTGGCAGCACCATATTCTGCTAGTGAGAGCAAGAGAAGGCGTGTGGGTCCCTGTGTCCATGGACTGACCGTGGGAGGCCTCGCCATCCGTCCATATTTTGACTGAAGTATTCAAAGCCATTTTAAATAGATCCAAAATATTCTTTAATTGCAGTGATTATGGGACTAATTGCAGTCACAGCTACGGCCTCTGTGGCAGGAGTTTCATTGTACTCTTCTGCTCAGACAGTAAACTTTTTTAATTATTGGCAAAAGAATTCTACAAGATTGTGGAATTCATAATCTGGTATTGATCAAAAATTGGCAAATCAAATTAATGACCTTAGACACAATGTTGTTTGGATGGGAGATAGGCTCACGAGCTTGAAACATCATTTCTGGTTACACTGTGACTGGAATATGTCACATTTTTGTATTACATCCTAAGCCTATAATGAGTCTGAGCATCATTGGGACATGGTTAGATGCCATCTACAAGGAAGAGAAGATGATCTTACTTTAGACATTTCAAAATTAAAAGAAAAATTTTTGAGGCATCAAAAACCCATTTAAATTTGGTGCCAGGAACTGAGGCAATCGCGAAAGCTGCTGATGGCCTCGCAAATCTTAACCCGGTCACTTGGGTTAAAACCATCGCAAGTTCCACTATTGTAAATTTCATATTAATCCTTGTGTTCCTGTTCTGTCTGTTGTTAGTCTGCAGGTGTACCCAGCAGCTCCGAAGAGACAGCGACCATTGAGAATGGGTGATGACGACGATGGTGGTTTTGTCAAAAAGAAAAGGGGGAAATGTGGGGAAAAGAAAGAGAGATCAGACTGTTACTGTGTCTATGTAGAAAAGGAAGACATAAGAAACTCCATTTTGATCTGTATTAAGAAAAATTGTTCTGCTTTGCGATGCTGTTAATCTGTAACTTTAGCCCCAACCCTGTGCTCACAGAAACATGTGCTGTATTGAATCAAGGTTTAATGGATTTAGGGCTGTGCAGGGTGTGCCTTGTTAACAATATGTTTGCAGGCAGTATGCCCGGTAAAAGTTATCGCCATTCTCCATTCTCTGTTAACCAGGGACACAATGCACTGCGGAAAGCCGCAGGGACCTCTGCCCTAGAAAGCCTGGGTATTGTCCAAGTTTCCCCCCACTGAGACAGCCTGAGATATGGCCTCATGGGAAAAGAAAGACCTTATATCCCCCAACCCGACACCCGTGAAGGGTCTGTGCTGAGGAGGAGTAGTGAAAGAGGGAGGCCTCTTTGCAGTCAAGATAAGAGGAAGGCTTCTGTCTCCTGCTCATTTCTGGGAATGGAATGCCTCGGTGTAAAGCCGACCATTCATTCTATTCTGAGGTAGGAGAAAACCGCCCTGTGGTTGGAGGTGAGACATGCTGGCAGCAATACTGCTCTGTGACTCTTTGCTACACTGAGATGTTTGTGTGAAGAGAAACATAAATCTAGCCTACGTGCACATCCAGGCACAGTACCTTTCCTTGAACTTATTCATGACACAGATTCCTTTGCTCACGTTTCCCTGCTGACCTTCTCGCCACCATCACCCTGTTGCCCTGCCACACTCCCCTCACAAAGATAGTAAAAATAGTGATCAATAAATACTGAGGGAACTCAGAGACCAGCGCCGGTGCGGGTACTCGCACACTGAGCTCCGGTTGTCTGGGCCCACTGCTGTTTCTCTATACTTTGTCTCTGTGTCTTATTTCTTTTCTCAGTTTCTCATCTCCACCTGATGAGAAACACCCGCAGGTGTGGAGGGGCAGGCCCCCTTCAGGCTGAGGCAGGGGAATCACTTGAACCCAGGAAGCAGAGGCTTGCAGTGAGTCGAGATCCCACCACTGCACTGCAGCCTGGATGACAGAGAAATACTCTGTCTCAAAACAAAAGAAAAGAAATAAGTAAATACATAAAAGAAAGTAACAGATCTCTTCCACAAATGTGGAATGGACAACTAACTGGATATCCACATGGAAAAGAACAATGTTGGATCCCTATCTCATACAATCAACCTCTTATTTTAAAACGTAAAAAAAAAACAACGAAAAATAAAGAGAGAAAGAGAGAAACGAGGAAGGGAGCCCTGCGGGAGGGGGTGTTACTTTGTCGCCCAGGCTGGCCTGGACCCCCAGGTTCAGCGATCCTCCCGCCCTGCTTCCTGAGTAGATGGGACCTCAGGCTCCCGCGCCCGCGTCCGCATCCTTGCTGTGTTTATCCGGCAGGTGGTGACCTCACTCCTCGCTGGCCTGAGCACTCCGTCCAGCATCCCAGGCGGTGGCTTTAGGGAAGTCTCTGCAGCTGAGCACAGGGTGGACTCTCCCTCCGGAGTGAATGGAGAATAGAAAGGGAGAGGATTTCTATTCTATTCTCTGGGCCGTCAGCATGACATTGTAAGTTCTGCCCAAGCAGGGCTTTGCATTTCACATTCTACTTTGCATCCGCGTTTCAGACAATTCCAGGGCTTTTGAATCATGGATCGGCCTTCCTGGCCATCTCGCCTCCAAAACCCAAAAACAGAGGCGGTGGGAGGGAGGCTGAGAGACGCACAGATCCCGCCCCAGCCCAGCCCCGCCCCGCCCTCTGCCGGTACTAAAGGGCAAGGTCTCTCCGCCTCTACCCCTACCTGGCCCAGGCCCCGCCCACCTCCTCGCAGGCCCCGCCCAGGCCTGGCTTCTGTCCTTCCCCGCTCAGACGCGCGCAAACCCGGAAGCAGATCGCGTGGAGTGAAGGTCCCTCAGCGGCGCGTGAGTTTCGCTCCATCTTGTATGAAGTCTGCTCTTCCCAGGTCCCCGGCGCTTCTGTCCCTGGGACGTGGGGTCCCTACAGACCTGGAAATTCTCACCCGTCTTCCTTCGCCCAGAGCAAATTGAGACGTCCCCGTGAGAGCCCGGGGGTCACTTCCTTTTGGGTTTAAAGTCTCCCTGAGGCTGGTCCCGTTCCGGATCTTTCTGCTATAGGGCAATATATACACTTTCTATCGCGTAGTTTTCCTGCTCTAAACCTTTTTCTGACTCCTCCCGCCCCGCGCTTTTTAAAGTCCTCACCCGAGAGGTGAATTCCCGCCCTGGGCGCCTCCCAGCCTCGCCCTCGTCGGCCCCTAGAGCGCAGCGTCGCAGCTCCGGTCCCGGGGAGGCCGAGTTCTCTGCCTGTCCTGGGATCCTACAAACCCCACCCTTGTCTTAAGGCGCCGTCGCCCCCCACGTCCCTCCTCATGCCGGGCCCTGCTGCTCCCCAGGTCTCCCATCCGCAGTCACAGCTTGCCCTGAGCCTGCGTTAGGGGAGGTGCCCGGGTTCTGTCCTGTGACACGGGGTGTTCTTGCCTGCCCAGTTCCAGCCCCTGGAAAATAAGCTCCTCCGGGATGCAGGCGTCTTACTCCAAACCCTCCTGTGATTGTGTGGGCCAAAGGGATCGGGAGACAGACAGCAGTAGAAAACCTGAGACAGAGAAAAGAAGAATGAGAAAGGCCCATAACAGATGGCAAAGTAGAGGATGGGTGAGGGATTTGCCAAGAGACAGCAAAAGTGAAAAAAAAAAAAAAAAAGATAAGCAGGAGGAGAAAAGCAACTAGAGAAATGTAGAGAAAAGCTAGATGTACAGAGAGATGAAGGACAGCAAGGTAGGGAGAGGGACAGCAAAGAGGGAGGCTCATCAGGGTGAGGGAGAGGAGGAGGGATTTGGAGCCAGGGCAGACAGAGCAGAGTGGTGCTGGTGGCAAAGAGAACAGAGGGAGAACCACAGCAGGGAGGACACCTGGGGATCTGGGGTGCCAGAGAGTGGGGACAGGGGGTATAACAGAGAAGAGAGAATTTAACGGGGAGAGCAGAGGAGGCGCAGAGATGGTGTTGCGGGAAACTGAGGACTAGAGAGACTGATATGGGGGAGACAGGAGGATGTTTATTTAAGGTACACAGCGGCTCAGCAGATTTACATCTAAAAAGCTGAGCATTTCAACAAACACAGAGTGGGTTTTTTTTGCTTTCAGAAGCAGAGTAGAAGCAGTTAATCATATAATAGGTCACGTAATCTATAGCATAGCATAACTTGTGTCCTTCCATAGCTGGTGGCCTTGTAGCTGCATTGAAAGAAAAACAAGAACAGCTAAATACACACGTTTGTCCTTTTTTTTTCCTTCACCCTTGTTCTGGAGGTGGGGGTGTCAGGAGCTCATTCCTTTGGCTTCAACTTCTCAAACAGCGTCTCATAACTGTTCTTGAAGTGAGCTTGCTAGGCAGAGGAAAACTTCTTTTCTTTTTAACCCTTGCCTTGCCTGTTACTATTCTTGGAGTGAATGAATACATTTTTTTTTTTAAATTTCTGCTTCAGTTTCTTCCCTTAGATGCTTTTTATTATCAAGATTTTAATAGAAAGCATCACTATTACTGGATTCTTCATGAAAGAGCAGGTTTTCTTCTTTAGGCACAGGCTGATATTTATACAGAGCTATTAGCTGAGTGGTAGTCTGCCTGGTTACAATTGCTTCTATAGTTGATTAAATGTTCTTAACAAGGAGAGGTAAGAGGTAAGGGAGTATTAAACCAATTCTTAGTATTTCTAGAACTACTCCTATTAAGGTTTTGAATCGACTGAAGGAGGAAAACCAGCCTCTAAAGAGGGACTCGGGAGTCTACTTTGTCTAAGTCTGGACTGGAACATGGGATAATTTTTTCATACTTGCAGTTATTTCTATAACAGCCTTCCTGTTGTCATTGATTTCTAGGCAGCAATTAGTTAGATTAAACTTTCTACATACTCCTCCTTCCTAGGCTAGGAGGTAGTCTAAAGCTAATCTATTTTGGTAGATGGCATTTCTCATTTTCATGGCTTACTGGGCCAGTTTCATTAGTGATGATTTCAAGTACTGCTTGCAAATTTATGATGTGGTTAAGCGTGTAAATCGGGGTGCGATACCTTTATGACTTATCTCGTGCCCAGGTAGCTGGCCTAGAGTACAGAATTAGTCTTTCAGGGGGCCAGTCTGTATCTTTCTAATCTTCTATTTTTATGTCTTTTCTTATGTCTATATCTCTTTTGTTTTTTTTCTTTAATTTTGTTGTAGACAGGATACCTTAAAATTTCTCCTTGTTGCAATGGGAGTTAGAAGAAAGATGGTCTGATTGTTTCAAGTACACAAGCCCTTGTCCATTTGGCTGGCAACTGTCAGTAGGCCTGTGGCACACAGTTCTAATAGAGACCAGAGGGTGCTTGCCAGGTATTTGGAGCTTCAAGCTGATACTATGTGTGGTTTAGAGAAGAGAAACGGGAGAATGAGTTTGGATGAGGTGATCTGGAGTCATCTTTGCCTTGCCACAAAGTTTTCTTTAGTGTTTTATTATAATATTGCTGTCTTAAACAAGTTAATTCTTCTAGTGACTCTGTAAAAGCTTTTCCTTAGTGAGCAACACAGTATCTCCTGATAATAGAAGTTTTTAAGAGCTAGGGGCTTGAAACTGTGGGCATTGCTTTGGGGGAAGAGTCAGTTAGAGTTAAATTATCTTGTGGCATTAACGCTTTTGCTTCTTAAGGCCAGTGGTCTCCTATGTTAGTCCTTCTACAAACATAACATGAGGAAATGCTTAGGCTGCTAGCAATGTTTTCAGCTAGCCAAGCAAACAGGCTTTTAGCTAAAGGAGGAGGCTCTGGTAACTTCTGGTCTACCTGCTTGTAGAATAATTTAAAGATTTGGAATTGTTGCTGGGCCAGAAGGGTCGGGGTTCCTTTTTTGATAACATATAGGTAGGTTGCTGGGTAGGTGTGTGTGGAGACATGAATGGGGTAACCTGCGGTCCACACGGGTAAGTCTGGCTTTAGAATGGTGAAATTTACGGGATGACAGATTTTTGTTTCACAATCTGGTTTTACCGGCATTTTGGTAAGCATGATTGTCCTTTGTTGTGTGCTGGGGTGCCACGATATGCAATACTGAGAATCTTTTTCTGGGGTCTCAGAAGGACAAGGTGGCATGCATACGTATCTGTAGTCATTTCTATAGTATCTTTTTATAGGTAGGTTACCATAGACAGATGAGTCTAGGTCTGCTGATGACAAGCATCAAAATACAGAGAAATAGGCCCTCGGTAAAAGGGAAGGACCTTGGTTTGGTTTAAAAGGGAACTTTTTTTTGACCTTGCATGAATTTTAAACTATTCACCAGGTGAAAACTTGGAGTTATAAGATACATAAGGTTGGTTATTTTCTTGGTCACAAATTGAGTAGATTGTCTATGTACAAGTTCTTTTTTTTTTTGAGCTGGAGTTTTGCTCTTGTTGCCCAGGCTGGAGTGCAATGGCACAATCTTGGCCCACTGCAACCTCCACCTCCCAGGTTCAAGTGATCCTCCTGCCTCAGCCTCTCAGGCACCCACCACCATGCCCAGCTAATTTTTTGTATTTTTAGTAGAGACGGGTTTCACCATGTTGGCCAGGTTGGTCTCAAACTCCTGAACTCAGGTGATCCACCTGCCTTAACCTCCTAAAGTACTGGGATTACAAGCATGATCCATTGTTCCCGGCCACCCATGTATTCTTGATGGAAACAATTTGCTTATGTCTTAGTTCTACAGCTGACCTTCTTTTCACTGTTTTTAAGGTCAATAGCTGTGGGTTCGCACTTCTGCATTTTATAAATGTTACTGTGATTTTCTTGTAAGGAAGAATTAAACGTCGGGAACCAAAGGCAACAGAACCTTGCAAAAGAAGTTTCTTTTTTTTTTTTTTTTTTTTTTTTTTTTTGAGACGGAGTCTCGCTGTCACCCAGGCTGGAGTGCAGTGGCGCGATCTGGGCTCACTGCAAGCTCCACCTCCCGGGTTCACGCCATTCTCCTGCCTCAGCCTCCCCAGTAGCTGGGACTACAGGCGCCCGCCACCACGCCCAGCTAATTTTTTGTATTTTTAGTAGAGGTGGGGTTTCACCGTGTTAGCCAGGATGGTCTCGATCTCCTGACCTCGTGATCCGCCCGCCTCGGCCTCCCAAAGTGCTGGGATTACAGGCGTGAGCCACCGCGCCCGGCCAAGAAGTTTCTTTAGCCCAGATATGTGAAAGATACCTCTCTAATTTTCAAGGATAGGGGTGATAAAGACCAACACTTCCATTAGCTCTTCCAGGCCCCCATGTAATAATTCAGGTAGCTGGGTGCGGTGGCCCACGCCTGTAATCCTAGCACTTTGGGAGGCTGAGGCGGGCAGATCAGGAGGTCAGGAGATCGAGATTATCCTGGCTAACTTGGTGAAACCCCTTCTCTACTAAAAATACAAAAAATTAGCCAGATGTTGGGTGGATGCCTGTAGTCCCAGCTACTCGAAAGGCTGAGGCAGGAGAATGGTGTGAACGTGGGAAGCGGAGTTTGCACCGAGATCCTGCCACTGCTCTCCAGCCTGGGAGACAGAGCGAGACTCCATGTCAAAAAAAAAAAAAAAAAAGAACAGGCACACCTTCTCACTCATCTCAGACCTTCTCAGGGTAACTTGGTGAAAATTTCCCTGCTCTGAGCCCAGTGAGCCTCCCTGCAACTTGGAGATGAGGGGCTAGACCAGAAAAGCTCAACCCGAGTGACCCTGGCCCCTTAAATGGTTGGCAAAATAGAATGCATGTCTGGGTGTGGCTTTTCTTCTGGGAGAGGGGAGTGCCCAGTTGTAATTAGAATTTTAAATGGGATGCAGTACCCCAAAAATGAAAAAAAAATAATAAAATGCAGAAGAATGGAAGAAACAGAGTTGCAGACTCAGACACAGAGACTATCTTCGGGGCCTTTCTCTGTATGAGGACATCACAGCCAAATCTAAAGCAGGTCACGTCAGTCCCTGGCAGGGAACCCTCCACCGGCTTCCCGTGTTCCCCAGGACAAAAGCCCAACTCCTCACTGTGGCTCCACAGCCCTGTGTCCAGGGCCCCTGCCAGTGTCCAGCCTCCTCCTGGGAGCTTGCCCTCATCTCATGACTCCCTTTGCCCCAGTCACATTTGCTTTTCGCTTTTCCCAAACATCAGAACCTTTCCTGTCTCAGGTCGTTGTCCCTGCTCTTAACCTATGTCCCTAAATGATGACAGCCCTGTCCCTTTCCTCTGCGTTCAGGTCTAGGCTCAGAGCTGTCTCCCATGCCCTCCACCCCATCTGAAGTTCCCTCTGCCCATCAGTCTCTATCACATGACTCAGGTTTTATTATCTCTGCATCAATCACATCAGAAACGCTTTTTTTTTTTTTTTTTTAGACAGAGTCTCACTCTGTCGCACAGGCTGTGAGTGCAGTCTCATGATCTTGGCTCACTGCAACCTACGTCTCCTGGGCTCAAGCGATTCTTGTGTCTCAGCCTCCCAATTAGCTGAGATTACAGGTGTGTGCCACCACACTCAGCTAATTATTGTATTTTTATTTTTAGTTTAGTTTTGAGTCTCATTCTGTCACCCAGGCTGGAGTGCAGTGACATGATCTCGGCTCACTGCAACCACCACCTCCAGGGTTCAAGCGATTCTCCTGCCTCAGTCTCCCGAGTAACTGGGATTACAGACACCTACCAAGCCCAGTTACTTTTTGTATTTTTAATAGAGACAAGGTTTCACCATGTTGACCATGCTGGTCTCAGACTTCTGACCTCAAGTAATCCACCCACCTTGGCCTTCCAGAGTGCTAGTATTACAGGCGTGAGCCACTGTGACTGGCTCAATTTTTGTATTTTTAGTAAAGGCAGGGTTTCACTATGTTGGCCAGGCTGGTCTCGAACTCCTGAGCTCAAGTGATTCTCCCACCTCAACCTCCTAAGTAGCTGGGAGCACAGACACACAGACATGCACCGCTATGCCTGGCTAAGTTTTTATATTTTTGGTAGAGATGGGGTTTCACCATGTTGCCTAGGCTGGTCTCAAACTCCTGAGCTCAAGCGATCTACCCCTCTCAGCCTCCCACAGTGCTGGGATGACAGCTGTGAGCCACTGCACCCAGCCTCTGTATGAAGTTTGGTCAGGTCTGGGTCGGTGCCCTGAAGAGCTCATTCCAGCCCAGCTCCCCACTGCTGCAGCGTGTGTGTAGGCTTCCCCAGGAGGGGAGTGGGAGTTTTCCTGTAGGAGTTTATTGTACCTGGTACCTGGTGTGGAGGGCAGTAGAGGGGACTGTATTTCATCAGGGTGAGGTCTCCTTTGTATGTGTCATTGTGTTACAGGGAGGGTGTGTGTTGATTCTGAGCAATAAACAACATATTTTTATCACTCAGGATTGACATCTAAAGACTCTTGGTACATGAGGAAGAAACCCGGAAAAGGAAAGCAGAGGAGTCAGGGATGGCTCTTCCTCAGGTGAGACGATATTCTCAGTGGATTGTTCTGTCTCCTTCCTTTCAGAAATGCTGACCTTGGAGTTGGGAATCTTCTAAGTCTGAAGCTTCCTGCCTGACAGGTTTGCTCACATTCACCCATGCCTTCCCTCAGTCCCTCTCATCTCACTTAGATTTTATCTCTTGTGGCTCAGTGACATGAACTTGGGAAGAGGCTGCACTGGGCATGGTCTTGGGAAGGGCTCACAACCAGACATGGATGGAGACGGGGTGAGGGTCCCGTGGTGTCAGTGCTGTTGGGCAGCAGGGATTGTTCAGGGGCCACATCTGGATGCACTGTCAGCTCTCTGTGGACCAGGATTAGAGCAGCTGCCACTGGAAGTCACGCACTAATGTGCACAAAGTACGTGGTAAATTCCAGAAAAGGAGACCAATATTGGGAAATCCTTTCTGCCTGATTTTATACTATATTTTTAGGTAATTGAATGGGTTGCTGTGTTTCTGACTCCAAAATCTTAGTAATTAGAATGGAAAGTTCATACACAGACATGAATGATACAAGATGTTTGATTCCATCTTTATTTTAAGAATATGAAATCAACCTAAATAATAGCAGGAGATTCATTAATCCATTTGCAGCATATTAAGCTCATGGAGACCGTGGTGTTACTGTGGAGAGGCTTGTGAAACAGGTGTTTTCAGTAAAAATGGTTATAACTTTTCTCACATATGAGAGCAGTACTTCATTTTTATCCTAGAGGATGGAGCCATATTCTCATTCCACCTGTTACAATTATTATTATTATGATATTCTGATAATATTATTATATTTTAAATATAAGAAGTCTTTCTCTGTCACCCAGGCTGAAGTGCAGTGGCATGATCTTGGCTCATGGCAACCTCCACCTCCCAGGTTCAAGCGATTCTCCTGCTTCAGCCTCCCCAGTAGCTGAGATTATAGGCATGCACCACCATGCCAAGCTAATTTTGTTGTATTTTTATTAGTGACAAGTATCACCATGTTGGCCAGGCTAGTCTCAAACTCTTAACCTCAGGTGATCTGCCTGCCTCAGCCTCCAGGAGTGCTGAGATTACAGGCATGAGCCACCATGCCCAGCCCCATCAATTATTATTAAATATATATGTTTATATTTAAACATCACATGATGAATATATTTGTTTTGTGGTAAAACTCCAAGCAAAGCTGCAGCTTATACCCTTTGCCATAAAGCATCTTCTTTTCTCTGTCGTGTCCTCCACCCTCCTTCCAGCCTCACTGGGGAGCCGCTACTGTCAGTTCGGTGTCAGGTGTCAGGTGTGGTACTCATGTATTTCTGTATCGTTATGAGACTCCGGAAAAATTCTGCAGTAAATTACAAAATTTTTTTTTTACAAAAATTAACCAGGCATGGTGGCGCATGCCTGTAATCCCAGCTACTCAGGAGGCTGAGGCAAGAGAATGACTTGAACCTGGGAAGCGGAGGTTGCAGTGAGATGAGATTGTGCCACTGCACTCCAGCCTGGGCACAGAGCAAGACTTCGTCTCAAAAAAAAAAAAATAGTTTTTATATTTATGTTTTTACTTTAGGTTTGGGGCTGCATGTGCAGGTTTGTTACATAGGTAAACTAGGGTCATCAGGGTTTGTTGTACAAATTATTTCATCACTCTGGTATTAAGCCCAACTGCAACCTCTGCATCCCGAGCTCAAGCGATTCTCCTGCCTCAGCCTCCTGGGTAGCTGAAATTACTGGGGCCTGCTACCACACCTGGCTAATTTTTGTATTTTTAGTAGAGATAGGGTTTCACCATGTTAGCCAGGCTGATCTTGAACTTCTGACCTAAGATGATCCACACACCTCGGCCTCCCAAACAGCTGGGATTACAGGTGTGAGCCTCCTTGCCCAGCCCCCAATAGTTATTTTTTCTGCTCCTCTCCTTCCTCCCACTCTCCCCACTCTCAAGCAGACCTCAGTGTGTTTTGTTTTCTTCTTTGTGTTCCAGGAAATATTTTACCTTGATATTTCATCCTGCTAGTTGTGAATTTACATGTTGTCATGTTAGTGAACATGGCTAGCTTGCTCTTTGACATCTGCGTTGGAAATTAGCTGAATGACAACATGTGGGTCCTTTGTGATTTTTCCCTGTATAAAGAGTGCCATAGTGGCTGCCTCTGCACGTGCCTGCATTCCTACAGATATCTGAAATTTCCTCCAGGTCAGGCAGTTGAAAGGGTGATTGCTTCTTCTAGGATGGGGCATTTCCTGTTTTCTTAGATCTGACAAGATTCCTCCCTGCCCCCAACCGCCAAAGTGTCCTTTTCCAGCAAGATGAGATTCCTCTTCAGTTATACAAAACTTGCTATTTTATATTTTTACAACCTGTATTTATATATACATACACACACACATATACATATACATACGTATAGACACACACAAATGTATATATTTTGAACAACTTTTACATTTTGAAAATCTGGGGAAAATGACAACCCTTTGTATTAACATCTAGTTTTTTTGTGAGTCTGTGTAGGTCTCATTATTTTGTTGACAAATATATCTATATAATGGATTTTCCTACTTTGAGTAATCTAGTTTTCATGTATTTTCTTTTATTTTGAGACTGGGTCTCACTGTGTTGCCCAGGCTGGAGCACAGTGGTGTGATCTTAGCTCACTGTAACCTCCACCCTCAGGCTCAAGCCATCCTCCTCCGTCAGGCTCCCAAGTAGCTGGAACCACAGGTGCCTGCCACCATGCCCAGCTAATTTTTTTTTTTTTGAGATGGAGTCTCTGTTGCCCTGGCTGGATTGGTGCAATTTTGGATCATTGCAACTTCTGCCTACTGGGATCAAGCAGTTCTGCATCACCCTCCTGGGTAGCTGGGATAACAGGCATGTGCCACCGTGCCTGGCTGGATTTTAGTTTCTGATCTTTCACTGTGGACGTTGTAATCTCTGAAGACATCACTCATACTCTGTCTCATCTAGATACTGAATGTCACTTAGTGTGTCAACAAAAGTTTCTGCGCCAGGCAGGGCCCAGAATTGGGCCTGCAATTCCAGCACTTTGAGAGACTGTATCAGGCAGATCACGAGGTCAGGAGTCTGAGACAAACCTGGCCAGTATGGTGAAACTCCGTTTCTACTAAAAATACAAAAATTAAATTGGCGTGGTGGCATGCACCTGTAATTTCAACTACTCAGGAGGCTAAGGCAGGAGAATCGCTTGATCCTGGGAGGTGGAGGTTGCAGTGAGCGGAGACTATGCCATTGCACTCCAGCCTGAGTGACAGAGTGAGACTCTGTCTCAAAAAAAATAAAAGTATAACAAAACACAACTGGGAAGACAAAATGCAGTGAAAAACCCCTTACTCGGATTTGTCAGAACATTCACTGCAATTAAATCCATGCTTTCCCCTCTCTCCTCTTCTCATTTTCTGTAAAGATAAGAACTCCTCCCATAACCATTTGGTTAAAATGTGTTTTCATTTCAGGGTCTATTGACATTCAGGGATGTGGCCATAGAATTCTCTCAGGAGGAGTGGAAATGCCTGGACCCTGCTCAGAGGACTCTATACAGGGACGTGATGCTGGAGAATTATAGGAACCTGGTCTCCCTGGGTGAGGATAACTTCCCTCCAGAAGTGGGGATGTGTCCTTTCGTATCTTTGTATTTTCTCTTTTTTTAGATAGAGTATCTCTCTCTCTGTCCCCAAGGGTGGGGTGCAATGGTGTGATCATGGCTCACTGCAATCTTGAATTCCTGGGCTCAAGTGATTGTCCCACCTCAGCCTCCCCTCGTAGTGGTACAGGTGCATGCCACCATGCCAGGATACTTTTTTAGTTTCTTTTTTTAGAGACAGGTTCTTGCTGTGCGGTTGAAGTTGGTCTTGATCTCCTGGGCTCAAGACATCCTCCTCGGCCTCCCAAGAAGCTGGGATTACAGGCGCCAACCCCCGTACCTAACTATTGGCTTTTGTTTTTAAACTTTTTGCATATGTGTGTCCTTAGGGCTAATATGAGTCTTCTGTGGACAACAAGTAGTTGGTTCCTGTTGATTGAGTCAGTCTTTGCCTTCTGAGTGCAGAGTTAAATATTTGCATTTGAAATATTACTGATGCAGAAGACCTTACCATTGCCTTTTTGTTACATATTATCTGTATTTCTTGATTTTTTTTGTTGTTATTTTGTTCTTATTTTGTTTTTTCAGGTTTGTTTTTTGTTCTTCATTCTCCATTTCCTGCTTATTGTGTTTAATTGCTTTTCTGTGTAGACACGCTTTGACTCCTTTCTTCTTTACTTTTGTTTGTTTGTTTGTTTATGATGGAGTCTCCCTCTGTGGCCAAGGCTGCAGCGCAGTGGGGCGATCTTGGCTCACCGCAGCCGGCTCCACATCTCGGGCTCAAACAATTCTTGTGCCCCAGTGGCTCATGCCTGTAATCCCAGCACTTTGGAAGGCCGGGGGTGGGCAAATCACCTGAGGTCAGGAGTTCAAAACCAGCCTGTCTAACGTGGTGAAACTCCGTCTCTACTAAAAATACAAAATTAGCCAGACACGGTCGTGGGTGCCTGTAATCCCTGCTACTCAAGAGGCTAATGCAGGAGAGTCACTTGAACCCTGGAGGTGGAGGTTGTGGTGACCTGAGATTGTGCCATGCACTCCCGCCTGGGCAACACAGTGAGACTCTGTCTCAAAGAAAAAAAGATTCCACAACCTGCAAAAGCTTCTCTTTCTCCACCAGAACTTTATTTATGTCGGAATTATTTCTGTGTATGCTGCATTTTCATTAACATATATGTACAGTGTTTTTTCATGCTTTTTTCTTCTAAATAATAGGAAAAAAAGTTGAATTATGAAGGGACACATATACCAGTTTCTGTATCTGTCCTTTTATTTGCCTATTTATTTATTTATTAATGAGACGAAGTTTTGTTCTTGTCACCCATGCTAGAGTGCAATGGCACAATCTCGGGTCACTGCAACCTCCAACTCCTGGGTTCAAGCAATTCTCCTGCCTCAGTTTCCCGAGTAGCTGGGATTATAGGCATATGCCACCATGCCTGGCTAATTTTGTATTTTAATAGACATGGGATTTCTCCTTTTTGGTCAGGCTTTTCTTGAACTCCCGCCCTCAGGTGATCTGCCAACCTCGGCCTCCTAATCTGCTGGAATTACAGGTTTGAAAAACTGCGCCCGGCCTATCTGTCTTTTTATTTACCTTTACTGGAGAATTTTATATATATTTGTGGGTTGGAGTTACTCTTAGGCTTCTTTCATTTCTTTTTTTTTTTTTTTTGAGATGGAGTCTCGGTCTGTCACTCAGGCTGGAGTGCAGTGGCACAATCTTGGCTAACTGCAACCTCTGCCTCCCAGGTTCAAGCGATTCTCCTGCCTCAGTTTCCCAAGTAGCTGGGACTACAGGCATGTGCCACCACACCAGGCTAATTTTTTGTATTTTTGTTTTTTGTAGAGACGGGGTTTCACTGTGTTAGCAAGAATGGTCTCGATCTCCTGACCTCATGATCCTCCTCCCTCAGCCTCCCAAAGTGCTGGGATTACAGGTGTGAACCACCTCACTCAGCCGGCCTCAAAGTTTTTAAAACATGTTATTGCTATTAGATGGCTTCAAGTATTGCAAAATTTATAGTACAGGCCCTAAACTTCCTTTGTTTAATTAGATTTGTCAGCCTTCAGTGATGTGAATCATGAGATGCTTCTTTTCCTGTCTCAGTCATTTCACTGTCCTGTCAGAAATAGCTTAGACTGGCCAGCTGAGGTGGGTCATGCCTTAATCCCAGCAGTTTGGGATGCTGAGGTGGGCAGATAGCTTGAAGTCAGGAGTTTGAGACCAGTCTGGCCAACATGGTGAAACCTCGAATCTACTAAATACAAGAAATTGGCTAGGTGTAGTGGCTCAAGCCTGTAATCCCAGCACTTTGGGAGGCCGAGAGGGGCGGATCACCTGAGTTAAGGAATTTGAGACCAGCCTGACCAACATGGTGAAACCCTGTCTCTACTAAAAATACAAGAATTAGCTGGGCGTGGTGGCACATGGCTGTTATCCCAAGTACTCGAGAGGCTGAGGAAGGAGAATCTTGAACCCGGGAGGTGGAGGTTGTAGTGAGCCAAGGTTACACCACTGCACTCCAGTCTGGGCACCAAAGTGAGACTACAGGCTGAGGCGGGAGAATCTCTTGAGGCAGGAGAATCGTGCCACTACACTCCAGCCTGGGTGATAGAGCGTGACTCGGTCTCAAAAACAAACAAAAAAAGAAATAGCTTAAACTGGGAGGCTTAAGACACAGAAATTTATTTCTCATGAGTTTGGAAAGTGGGAAATCCAAGAGCAAGGTGCCAGCCACATTGGTTCCTGGTGAGAGCCTTCCTCATGGTTTAGCCCAGCCATCTTCCTGCCATGTCCTGACATGGTGGAAACAGGAACAGGCAACGAGCTCTTTAATGTCTCTTTTTATGAAAGCACAAGTCCTATTCACGAGTAGTCAACACCCGTGACCAAATTGTCTCAAAGGCCCCATCTGCAGGAACATCCTATTGGAGAATAAGAACTCTGAACATGGCGTTTGGCCAATACAAACATTCAGACCAGGGAGCCTGCATCATCTTATTTATGTTTTTATTGTTTAATTTGTTTCATACAATGTTTTCTCTGATCTCAGTTTATAAATTTTCCCAGTACACATTCTATGTTTTATATTTTATGCATAGTGAACTAGATACATAGGGCAATGTATATATATATATAGAATTGCTGTATTGCCTGGCTGTTTCATAAATGTAGTTGTGACATCATAATTGCACCCTCCGGCACTATTAGTCAATTCTTTTTTTTTTTCTTAGAGACGAAGTCTCACCCTGTCACTCAAGCTGGAGTGCAGTGGTGGGACCTTGGCTCACCACAAACTCTACCTCCTGGGTTCAAACGATTCTCTTGCCTCAGCCTTCTGAGTAGCTGAGATTACAGGCACCCGCCACCACACCCAGCTAATTTTTTTGTATTTTTAGTAGAGTTATGGTTTCACCACGTTGGCCAGGCTATTCTTGAACTCCTGA
Source organism: Homo sapiens (assembly GCF_000001405.40). Classification (NCBI taxonomy): domain Eukaryota; kingdom Metazoa; phylum Chordata; class Mammalia; order Primates; family Hominidae; genus Homo; species Homo sapiens. The sequence goes on from NC_000019.10 coordinate 53,379,348, forward strand.
CCTCATGGTCTTCCCACCTCGGCCTCCCAAAGTGCTGGAATTACAGGCATGAGCCACTGCACCCGGCTGTTAGTGAATTCTTATTCATTATAATGCTGCATATTTTTTTGACCTCATACATCAGAAGGTAGTGATCTTAACATGTATTTCAGTTCTTATATTGTGTGCTGGTGGTAAGTAGAAGTTGTGCTTTTTTCTTAACAGGGAATTGTTTAGAATTCTGCAGTTTGTATAAATGTACTTATGATTTGCTTGCTGGTTTTATGCGTTACAGTTATTTTACCAATTCATTTTTATGATTTTACATAAAGCTTTTCGGTATGTGGTATGCAATATAACTGACACAGTTTACTAGTTAATGTCACAAAGTGCCAGCGGGTGCTGTGGCTCACGCCTGCAATCCCAGGACTTTGGGAGGCTGAGGCGGGTGGATCACTTGAGGTCAAAAGTTCAAGGCCAGCCTGGCCAATATGATGTAACCCTATCTCTACTAAAAATACAAAAATTAGCCAAGCATGCTGGCATGTGCCTGTAATCCCATGTACTCAGGAGGCTGAGGCAGGAGAATGGCTTGAACCCAAAAGGTGGAGGTTGCAGTGAGCTGAGATCAGGCCATTGCCCTCCAGCCTGTTGTGACACAGTGAAACATTGTCTCAAAAATACAAAAATAAAAAAAAAATTTTAAATGTTACAATATGCCTTTTCTGCATGGATATAGGTAATTTTATGACAGTTATTCAGAAAAATATTTTTTTTTTTTTGAGATGGAGTCTCACTTTGTCATCCAGGCTGAAGTACAGTGGTGCGATCTCGGCTCACTGCAACCTCTGCCTCTTGGGTTCAAGCAATTCTTGTACCTCACCCTTGCGAGTAGCTGGGAGTACAGACGTGCACCACCATGCCTTGCTAAATTTTGTAAACTTTTCTTATCTTCTCAGTGCTATGATTATTTAACAATACAGAATTTCCATTGATTTTGGTTATCCTTACATGAGCTTGCTGTGGATTATTTACCAGTATATTATATTGTGTGGTCCTTTAGTATTTATTTGTATACAGTAAGTATGCTGTAAATATGAAGAATATATACTTTTCATTGATGTGACAGTGATATGTCTTTTGCAAACTGTTAGACACTTTAGGGTCACAGTGGAAAAATACTCCTTATTTTAGGCTTACACATGTTTGTGCCCTTCAGTGTTTTGTCATGATATTGGAAATAAGCTTTCATAATAATAATTTGAAGCACATGTAATCGCCCTTTATTTATTAAAGAATCTTACGATTTTGTGTTCCTAAACTTTGAAGATCATGTTTGGGAAGTTTAAAATCAGTATTGTCTTTTGTGTACCTATTAGTGTTTATATTTTGTAGGTATCTCTTCCAAATGCACAATGAAGGAGTTCTCATCAACAGCACAAGGCAATACAGAAGTGATCCACACAGGGACATTGCAAAGACATGAACGTCATCACATTGGAGATTTTTCCTTCCAGGAAATTGAGAAAGATATTCATAACTTTGAGTTTCAGTGGCAAGAAGATGAAAGAAATGGCCATGAAGCACCCATGACAAAAATCAAAAAATTGATGGGTAGTACAGAGCAATATGATCACAGGCATGCTGGAAACAAGCCTATTAAATATCAGCTTGGATCAAGCTTTCATTCACATCTGTCTGAACTCCACATATTTCAGCCCAAAGGGAAAATTAATAATCAAGTGGAGAAGTCTATCAACGATGCTTCCTCGGTTTCAACAGCCCAAAGAATTTCTTGTAGGCCCAAAACCCATATATCTAATAACTATGGGGATAATTTTCTGAATTATTCATTACTCACACAAAGACAGGAAGTACGCATGAGAGAAAAATCTTTCCAATGTATTGAGAGTGGCAAAGCCTTTAATTATAGCTCACTCTTAAGGAAACATCAGATTATTCATCTAGGAGAGAAACAATATAAATGTGATGTATGTGACAAGGTCTTTATTCGGAAGCGATACCTTGCACGCCATCGTAGATGTCACACTGGTGAGAAACCTTACAAGTGTAATGAGTGTGGCAAGTCCTTCAGTCAGATGTCATCCCTTACATATCATCATCGACTTCATACTGGAGAGAAACCTTACAAATGTGAAGAATGTGACAAAGCTTTCAGACACAATTCAGCCCTTCAAAGACATAGGAGAATTCATACTGGAGAGAAACCACATAAGTGTAATGAGTGTGGCAAGACCTTTAGTCAGAAGTCATACCTTGCATGCCATCGTAGCATTCATACTGGAAAGAAACCTTACGAATGTGAAGAATGTGACAAAGCTTTCAGTTTCAAATCAAACCTTGAAAGTCATAGGATAACTCATACTGGAGAGAAACCATACAAGTGTAATGATTGTGGCAAGACCTTCAGTCATATGTCAACCCTTACATGCCATCGTAGACTTCATACTGGAGAGAAACCTTACAAGTGTGAAGAATGTGATGAAGCTTTCCGTTTCAAATCAAGTCTTGAAAGACATAGGAGAATTCATAATGGAGAGAAACTGTACAAATGTAATGAGTGTGGCAAGACCTTCAGTCAGGAGTTATCCCTTACCTGCCATTGTAGACTTCATAGTGGAGAGAAACCTTGCAAGTGTGGAGAATGTGACAAGGCTTACAGTTTCAAATAAAATCTTGAAATACGTCAGAAAATTCATACTGGAGAGAAATGTTATAAGTGTAATGATTGTGGCAAGATCTTCAGTCATACGTCATCCATTGTATACCATCATAAATTTCATAGTGGAGAGAAACCTTACAAATGTGAAGAATGTGATGAAGCTTTCAGTTTCAAATCAAACCTTGAAAGACATAGGAGAATTCACACTGGTGAGAAACCTTACAGGTGTAATAGGTGTGGCAAGACCTTCAGTCATACATCATCCCTTACATGCCATCATAGACTTCATACTGGAGAGAAACCTTACAAATGTGAAGAATGTGATGAAACTTTCAGATACAAATCAAATCTTGAAAGACATAGGAGAATTCATAATGGAGAGAAACCGTACAAGTGTAATGAGTGTGGCAAGACCTTCAGTCAGAAGTCATGCCTTACACGCCATCATAGACTTCATACTGGAAATAAATCTTATAAGTGTAATGAGTGTGGCAAGACCTTCAGTAAGGAGTTAACACATGCCATCATAGACGTCATACTGGAGAGAAACCTTAGAAGTGCAATGAGTGTGGCAAAACCTTTCATAGGCAGTCAGCGCTTATTTACCATCAAGCAATCCATGGCAGAGGGAAACTTTACAAATGTAATGATTGTCACCACGTCTTCAGTAATGCTACAACTATTGCAAATCATTGGAGAATCCATAATAAAGAGAGACCTTACAAGTGTGATAAATGTGACAAATTTTTCAGACATCGTTCATACCTTGCAGTTCACGGGCGAACTCATGCTGGAGAGAAACCTTACAAATGTGAAGAATGTGATAAAGCTTTCAGATTCAAATCAAACCTTGAAAGTCATAGGAGAATTCATACTAGAGAGAAACCTTACAAGTGTAATGAGTGTGGTAAGATGTTCAGTCAAAATTCGGCCCTTGTAATTCATAAGGCAATTCATACTGGAGAGAAACCTTACAAGTGTAATGAATGTGGCAAGGTTTTTAATCGCAAAGCAAAGCTTGCATGTCATCATAGACTTCATACTGGAGAGAACGCTTGCAAGTGTAATAAATGTGGCGAGGTTTTTAATCAACAAGCACACCTTGCACGTCATCATAGAACTCATACTGGAGAGAAACATTACAAGTGTAATGAGTGTGGCAAGACCTACTCTCACAATTCAGTCCTTGTAATTCATAAGACAATTCACACTGGGGAGAAACCTTACAAGTGTAATGAGTGTGGCAAAACCTTCCATCACAATTCAGTCCTTGTAATTCATAAAACAATTCATACTGGAGAGAAACAAGCGTAATGAATGTGGCGAGGTTTTCAATCAACAAGCACACGTTGCACGTCATCATAGAATTCATACTGGAGAGAAACCTTAGAAATGTGAAGAATGTGACAAAGTTTACAGTCGCAAATCAAACCTCGAAAGACAGGAGAATTCATACTGGAGAGAAACCATAAAAATGTAAGAGTTTTTGACAAGGCTTTCGGACGTGATTCACACCTGGCACAACATCCCAGAGTTCACACTGGAGAGAAACCTTACAAGTGTAATGAGTGTGTCAAAGCCTTTAGTGGGCAGTCAACACTTATTCACCATCAGGCAATCCGTAGTGTAGGGAAACTTGACTAACGTAATGATTCTCACAACGTCTTCAGTAATGCTACAACCATTGTAAATCACTGGAGAAGCCATAATGAAGAGAGATCTTACAAATGTAATAATTGTGGCAAATTTTTCAGACATCGTTCATACATTGCCGTTCATTGGCGAACTCATGCTGGAGAGAAATCTTACAATGTCATGATTGTGGCAAGGTCTTCAGTCAAGCTTCATCTTTTGCAAAACAGGAGAATTCATACAGGAGAGAAACCTCACAAGTGTGATGATCGTGGCAAAGCCTTTACTTCACATTCTCACCTCATTAGACATCAGAGAATCCATACTGGACAGAAATCTTACAAATGTCATCAGTGTGGCAAGGTCTTCAGTCCGACTTCACTCCTTGCAGAATATCAGAAAATTCATTTTTCAGGTAATTGTTCCCAATGCAATGAATATAGCAAACCATCAAGCATTGATTGACATTAGAGTCAGTTCAGCATTGACTTGAGTTTGAGTTGACTTAACATTGAGTTCAAGCCTTAATTGACATTAAAGTGTTTATGTTAAGAGGACTGGGCTGTGTGGCATGGCTCACGCCTGTAATCCCAGCACTTTGGTAGGCCAAGGTGGGTAAATCACTTGAGGTCAGGAGTTTGAGATCAGCCTGGACAACAGACCTGAGCCACTTTTCCCAGCCTGTTTTTTGTTTCTTTAACAAAAACTGATAGGGATTTTTATGGGTATCGTATTGAATCTAGATTACATTGGGTTATATAATCATTTAACATATTAATTTTTCCAAACCATCAATATGGGTTGTGTCTCTATATATGTTTTTAATCATTTTGATCAATTTTTGTTGATTTCAAGGTACAAACGTCTCACCTTTTTACGTTTATTCCTAAGTATTTCTTATTTTAAGTTCTCCAGCAAATGGAAGTGTGTTAAAATTTTCTTTTAAAATTGTTTATTATTAAAATATGGAAATTCAACTAATTTTTGGTGCTGATACTGTATTGTGCAAATCCACTGAATATGTTTGTTAGTTCCAGTACTATTTTGGTTGAGTCTGTGATTTTCTACACAGAAGGTCATGTCGTCTACAAACAAATGTAATTTTACTTCTTTCTTTCTGATTTGGATGAGTTTGATTTCTTTTGCTATTTAATTGCTCTGGCTAGGACAGGCAGTATTGATTGAATAGAAGGGGTGAGAGCATTCTTGCATCATGTGAGATCGTACAGGAAAGCATTCCATTTTCCCTGCTTGGTTATTTACTCATTTGTCATTTCATGGATGTTCTTTCTATTGTTGAGGTAAATTTCCTTTTCTATTTTGTTTAGGATTTCTATGATGACTGGATTTTGAATTTTGTGGAACGCTTTTTCTCCATCTACTAAGGTGATGTGGTTTTAATCTTTCATTCTGTTCTAGTGGTATATAACATTGATTTGCTTGAATATGTTGAACCATCCTTGCATCCCAGAAATAACTGGCACTTGAATATCTACATTTTTTTAATATCCTCTTGAATACAGTTTTCTAGGACAAGGGATCTTCAAGAAGTTCTGGAAAAATACATATTATGAGAAAATTGTGCATGAATTTCACAATTTTTGCACCAAAATAAACTAGTGCTAGTCTGTTATAACATGTCTGAACAGGCTCTAGTTTGATGCCCTCAAAAGGATAAGACATGAGTATAAAAAGAGACTCCATCAAAGCAATATAAATTCTGATGAAATTTAAACAAGAAGAAACATTAAATTTATGATGAGACCAGATGCAGTGGCTCAGGCCTGTAATCCCAGCATTTTCAGAGGCTGAGACAGGTGGGCCACATGAGCCCAGGTATTCAAGACCAGCCTGGGAAACGTGGGGAAATCCCCTTTTCTACAAAAAATACAAAAATTAGCTGGGCATGGTGGCACATGCCTGCCGTCTCAGTTATTGTGAAGTCTGTGCAGGGAGGATGGCATGAACCTGGGAGGTCAAGATTGCAGTGAGCTATGATCATGCCACTGCACTCCAGCATGGGTGATGGAGAGAGATACTGTCTTAAAAAAAGAATACTTGTGGTAACGTTTGGGTAGAGGAATAATGAAATCATTGATGCTTTATAAAAAGGTTATGGGGACAATGCCCAAAAGAAATAAACAGTTTGTAAACGGATAACTTATTTTGAGTTAGGGCAAGACAATGTTGACAGTGATGCATGAAGCAGCAGGCAGACCTTCCACATCATTTTTACAGAAAAAAAAATTAATCTTGTTCATGCTGCAATGAAGAGGACTGACAGCAAACAGCAGAAACATAGTCAGAATTTAGAGAACAGCCTGGTTAACATGGTGAAACACCATCTCTAGTAAAAATACAAAAATTAGCTCAGCATGGTGGCATGCGCCTGTAATCCCAGCTACTCAGGAGGCTGAGGCAGGGGAATCTCTTGAACCCAGGAGGTGGAGGATGCAGTGAACTGAGATGGCAACATTACACTCTAGCCTGAGCAACAAGAGCAAAACTCCATCTCAAAAAAAAAAAAATTGTCAAGTTCCTTCTCTTCCATTCTTTGCCATCGTGGTGTGTGCTTGACTCTGCTTCTTGCCACATCTTCTCAGAAGACTTTCAGGATTAAGCGATTCCTGGCCAAGAAACAAAAGCAAAACCATCCCACTCCCCTGTGGATTCAGATCAAAACTGGTAATAAAATCAGGTACGACTCCAAAAGGAGACATTGGAGAAGAACCAAGCTGGGTCTATAAGGAATTGCATGTGAGATGGCACACATATTTATGCTGTCTGAGCATCACAATCACGTTACCATATCAAGCTGAAAATGTCACCACTATCTGGACAGTTGGACATGTTTTATTGGGAATATGTTTTTTCTCTGTAAATTTGTTATAAACGCATTGGTTGGCTGTGTTCAGTAATAAACGTGAGACTTTTCATTTCAAAACAAAAGTCAAATGATGTAATTCCATAGAGTACCTTAATTTCTGTTTTTTGTTTTGTTTTGTTTTGTTTTGAGATCGAGACTCCACTGGGTTCAGTGGATCACACCTGTGGTCCTGCCACTTTGGGAGGCTTAGGTGGGAGGATTGGTTGAGACCAGGAGTCTCCTGGGAATCTTCTCGTCTCCCCTAACCCAGTTAATGACAGACCTTTGTCCTTTCTGTTATGGAAAAGTCTATAGAAAACAATATCAGTGTGTCAAAGCATTATGTCTGTCACAAGCTCATGAAAGGAAAATAAAAATGACTAAGCCAGAGAGAAAAGTCAAGCTGGGAACTGTATCAGATAAACCTACCTCCCATTTTGTTTCTAAACGAGATAGCTACAAAGACTAAAAGAAAGCTACATACAGACTGGGCGCAGTGGCTCATGCCTCTAATCCTAGCACTTTGGGAGGCCGAGGTGGGCAAACCACAGTACGTCAGGAGTTCCAGACCAGCCTGACTAATATGGAGAAACCCTGTCTCTACTAAAACTGCAAAATTAGCCGGGCATGGTGGCGCATGCCTGTAATCCCAGCTACTCAGGAGGCTGAGGCAGGAGAATCGCTTGAACCCAGGAGGCAGAGGTTGTGGTGAGCCGAGATTGCGCTATTGCACTCCAGCCTGGGCAACAAGAGTGAAATTCCATGTCAAAACAAAACAAAGCTATAGACTCCCCTCACAAACTGGGGACCTCGAGATCTCCACCCTAAAATAGTTCTTTTGAATTTCCCACTGCCAATGTAAACTAATAGCTTATCTTCACAGGTGTGGGACAGAACCCATCCCTCTGCACACCTGAGATGAATGCCTATCTGATTGCTTCCCCTGTCCTATTTATGTAAAAATGTAGAGTCACTGAGGCAGTCTAAGGCATAAGTGACTATTCCTCCACCCCCTCTCACATGTAAATTGTGTATTCAGGGCCAGGCATGGTGGTGGCTCACGCCTGTAATCCCAGCACTTTGGGAGGCCGAGGTGGGTGGATCCTGAGGTCAGGAGATCGAGACCATCCTGGCAAACATGAACACGGTAAAACCCTGTCTCTACTGAAAATACAAAAAATTAGCCAGGTGTGGTGGTGGAAGCCTGTAGTCCAGCTACTCGGGAGGCTGAGGCAGGAGAATGGCGTGAACCCAGGAGGCAGAGCTTGCAGTGAGTGGAGATCGGGCCACTGCACTCCAGCCTGGGTGACAGAGCGAGACTCTGTCACGGAAAAAAAAAAAAAAATTGTGTATTCAGTGAAAGGCTGATGAAAGACTCAATGTGATCATTTGTTATCTACGTGTGACCCAGAAGCCCCCCAATTGCAGTTATTCCACCTTTCCAGACCAAACCAATGTATAACTTACATGTTTTGATTGATGTATTATGTCTCCCTAAAATGTGTAAAACCAAACTGCAGCCTGAACACCTTGGGCACACGTTGTCAGGACCTCCTGAGGCTGTGTCACGGGGGCATTTTTAACCTTGGCAAAATAGATTTCTAAATTGATTGAGACCTAGTAGATACTTTTGGTTCACAAGCTCATGAACACAGAAGAAATCAAAATAGAATAAGAAAAAAATGAGGTGTAGTGGAAAGCACAATATCAGTTCCAAAATTTGAACTCCTTCATATTTATTCAACATAGGGAGATGCTCTTCAACTTTGGGTGGTTAGATTCCATTTGTGAAAGATACATATTTCTAATGTAGCAGGATGAGTCACAGACAAAACTCCTCAGACACCAGATTAAAGAAGGAAGAGGTTTTTTATTCAGCTGGGAGTGTCAGCAGACTCGCGTCTTAAGAGCCAAGCTCCCCAAAAAAGAAATTCCTAGCCCTTTTAAGGGCTTACAGCTCTAAGGGGTCTACGTGAAAAGGTCATAATCAAGTAAGTGTGAGGAATGTGACTGGAGGCTACATACATCAGCTAACAGAACAGAAAGTTTTACAGTACTTTCTCATACAATGTCTGAAATTTACAGATAACACCAGTAGTTTTGGTCAGGGGTTAATATTATTATTATTATTATTATTTTCACCACCAGGGTCAGGTGGTGGCGCCAAGGTCGTCTAGCTATTTATCTTAGTTCTGCTTCTTTCCAACTTTTTGCTTTCTCCCTTTTCTCCTGTCTTATAAACCAGGCAAAAGGGGAGGTTGGGGAGAAGCTGGGAAGGACAACAGGAGAAGTGGTGGCCTCATTCCATACTAATATTTGATTAAATAACCCATTCTATGTAATTTTAGCCAATTTAAATGGCAAATAATAAATGATCAATTATATACATACATAAAACTTCCTAATATTTCACTTAGTATTGCTATTACTATGTTCTTGGGACAGAAGTTCAGCCTGTCAGATACAAGAGAGTGGTGTCTCCATAACTGTGCTTAGAACTCCGTGCTGCATGAATGGATAAACTGTTAAGCAGGAACCTAGGAAAGCTAGAATGACAAAGTTCAAGTTTATTAAAACTAGCAAAACATATTCCTTACTGCTCATGCATGAGTCACGGTCATAAGATGTTTACAGTTAAGGAAAGCAGCTTCATGATACCTGCAAGGACGAACTCCTACAGAAACACAATGTCCAAGATAACCTAATATCCGATGACAATGTATGCTTTTAAGAAGCAGGCTGGTCGCAAACTCCTGACCTCAGGTGATCTGCCCACCTCAGCCTTCCAAAGTTCTGTCATTACAGGCTTGGGCCACTGTGCCCGGCCAAAGATAGCTTTAAATCAACAAAGTAATAAGTTTTGTCACACTGTCAGCTCACCGGCAGGTAGACATAACTTAGCTTTTACTTAGGCCCCTATGTAAGAAAAACTTCATGAGGAGGCACTCCCCCAGCCTTCTGAGGACACCCTACTGTGTAACTGGTAGCTTTCAATAAACTCTCCTCACTGCATTCGGACACTTGCCTTGAATTCTTTACTACGCAAGATCCAAGAATGTTAACATGGGGTGTAGACTGTGACCTCGTTTTAGGCAACAAAATGACTGAACGTTATACAAAAACAACAATTGATCCAATTCTCATAAAAGTAGGAATTTTGTAGTCCTCATCCAGCATGCCAAGCAAAGATCGACACTGTGGAGTCACCGCTCATGAGAACAAAGGGGCTGACAGCTGGGAAACATGGGTAGATGAGGGTGAGGCGCTCAGCAGCTGCCAACTGGGATTATTGAAAAGGGCAATAGGATCTTGGAAGGGGGAGAACACAGTATAAAGCGACACAAATGCTGCAGAGGCACTGGCCCTGCAAGCTTCACATGGGGGAGTTGGAAATCCCTGACAACTGCACAATCTTGCGTGTGGATTTCAACATCCCGAAGCAACCAGATTCCTGCTGTGGCTAGACTCGGGGATAAGGTGCTGCGAAAGACAGGTTTGAAGCAGAAAGACCAAGAAAACACTCATCTGAGCCAGCCCCGGGCGCTGCAGAACAACCATGGGCAGGCCCTCCACCCCGTCTGGGCGGATTCTGGACAGTCGGCGGTGACCCGGAGGGAGAAGGAAAGGTCGTCGAGGGGGCGGAGCCTGAACCGGTGCTTGGGCGGGGCCAGAAGGTGGAGGCCGCTTTGGAAGCCGGGCCAGGTTAGAGGGTGGGGGTGGGACCTGGAACGGGACTGGGGCGGGGCAAGAGGGAGGAGGCTGCCTTGGGGCCGCCCAGGACAGCGAGAAGGGCTGGGGCCAGAGGGTTATCATTTTCGGGGCGGGGTCTGAAAGGGGTTTTGTTCTGAAGGGCGGGGCCTGAAGGGGGGCGGATCCGGGTTCTTTCCTCAGCTGGGCCATGGCTGTCGCCTGCTGTCATACTCTTGCCCTCCAGGACTGGGTCCTCCGGGTTCTGATTGGTGGATTGTTTCTGATGTACCGTGATATTACCCCTAATATTACATGTAGTGAGCCACCTGTACCGAACGCTTAATCGTTTTTCCTCTTAAGTTGAAAATAGTTTTAATGCAAAGAGCCTTTTTGGAGCAGGTAGAGTCATGCATCCTTCAGGCGGGGCACGCTCCCCTCAGTCTGAAGCAGGGCGGGGTAGAGGGGCAGGGACCTCGGTAAAGGACTGGAGTAGGGCGCTGGTTGCAGCTGGGACTGACAACGAGAAGGCTTATTAAACTAAGCAGGATCCTGGGTTGAGTGGATAATGGGAACTGAAAGGTGACATGCAAAACTGCCTATTACACACAGGAGGTGAAGGACAATTCGTATTTCATGGAAATAAAGTCAGGGCCCAGAGTAGTGGCTCACATCTGTAATCCCAGTGTGTCTGGAATTGGTTCCCTCTGGTGGGTTCTTGGTCTCGCTGACTTTAAGAGTAAAGCCACAGAGCCTCGCGGTGAGTGTTACAGTTCTTAAAGATGGCATGTCCAGAGTTTGTTCCTTCAGATGTTCAGATGTGTCCGGGGTTTTTTCCTTCTGGTGGGTTGTGGTCTCGCTTGACTTCAGGATTGAAGCGGCAGACCTTTGCAGCGAGTGTTACAGCTCTTGAAACTGTCGCGTCTGGGGTTGTTTTTTCCTCCTGGTGTGTTCGTGGTCTTGCTGACTTCAGGAGTGAAGCTGCAGACCTTCGCAGTAATTTGGCCCTGCCCATGTCCTGCTAATGGGTCCATTTTACAGAGTGCTGATTGGTCCATTTTTACAGAGTGCTGATTGGTGATTTTCAAACCTTTAGCTAGACACAGAGCACTGATAGGTGCATTTTTACAGAGTGCTGATTGGTGCGTTTACAAACTTTTAGCTAGACACAGAGGCCTGATTGGTGTGTTTACAATCCTTTAGCTAGTCAGAGAAGTTCTCCAAGTCCCCACCCGACCCAGAAGCCCAGCCGGCTTAACCTCTCACCAGCACTTTGAGAGGCAGAGGTGGGAGGATCTCTTGAGCCAAGGAGTTCAAGATCAGCCTGGGCAACATGATGAGACCTCGTCTCTACTAAAAAAAAAAACAAAACAGCCCGGTGTGGTGGTGCACGCCTGTGGCCCCAGCTGCTCGGGGCACTTAGGTGGGAGGATCACTTGAGCCAGGGAGTTGGAAGCTGCAGTGCCCTGATCTCGCCACCACACTCTAGCTTCAGTGACAGAGCTAGACCCTGTCTCAAACAAACACGTAAATAAATGAGAGGTGTAATTCCTCCCTTGAAAATAAAGGAAGAGATTTTCTTTCCTTTCATCTCTTTTCTTAGGACACTGATTTCGAAAGTTTGCAAATGGATTTTCTCTGTCTTCTGAGTTTTTTTTTTTTTTTTTTTTCAGATGGAGTTTTCCTCTAGTTGTTTAGGATGGAGTGCAATTGCACGATCTTGGCTCACCGCAACCTCCGACTCCCGGGTACAAGCCTGGTTTTGAACTCCTGACCTCAAGTGATTTGCCCGCCTTGGCCTCTCAATGTGCTGGGATTACAGGCATGAGCCACCGCGCCTGGTCTGAAGTGGTATTTTTTAGAAACGAACTAAACCTTTTTTCAGCTTAATGACCCAGGGATGTATTTCTGAAGGACTTGGGAGCTCTCTTTGAAAGGCAAAATACAAGGGAGACAGTACCTGTATCTCAGTAGGAAATTAAGTAATTCAAACATCAAATAATTCCAATTTAAAGCTATGGCCTTTAAATAATTCTGAGCCTTTGAGGAGAGAGGCCATTTCTCTTACTGTCTCCTGTCTCTGAAGAGGAGGAAGTAAAAGCTGAAAAACAACAGGAATGAATTCAGTGACAAGACCAGCCAGCGCCACTGATGACCAGGCCTGAGGTTAAAAGATTAACTGCCCCCCAACTCTAACCACATGTGCTCTTAATCTGTCATGACCTTTTCCCGTGGAACCCCTTAGAGCTGTAAGCCCTTAAAAGGGCCAGGAACTCTTTCTTCGGGGGGTTCAATTCTTGAGAGGCAGGTCTGCCGACACTCCCGGCCAAACAAAGTCTTCAAAGAGCTCGGTTCTTGAGACGTGAGTTGGCCGATGCTCCCGGCTGAATAAAGCCACTTCTTTCTTTAACCGGGTGTCTGAGGGCTTTTATCCGCGGCTGCTCCTGCTACACCTTGAGAGGAATGTGCTCATGCAACCTGAGTCCAGCGGAACGCAGGCGTAACTTCTACGAGTTTTCCTGGCTGGCTGCGGTGGCTTATGCCTGTAATCCCAGCACATTGGGAGGTCAAGGCGGGCAGATCACTTGAGGTCAGAAGTTCGGAACCAGCCTGGCCAACATGGTAAAACCCACTCTCTACTAAAAATGCAAAACAAAAGGCGAGGCGCGGTGGCTCACGCCTGTAATCCCAGCATTTTGGAAGGCTGAGGCGGGCGGATCACAAGGTCAGGAGTTTGAGACCAGCCTGCCCAACATGGCGAAACCCTGTCACTACTAAAAATACAAAATTTAGCGGCTGGGCCAGGAGAATCGCTTGAACCCGGGAGGTGGAGGTTGCAGTGAGCAGGTGAGATCGTGTCACTGCACTCCAGCCTAGGCAACAGAGCGAGACTCTGTCTCAAACAAACAAACAAAAAATTAGACAGGCATGGTGGCGTGTGCCTGTAATCCCAGCTACTTGGGAGGCTGAGGCAGGAGAACTGCTTGAATCCAAGAGGTGGAGGTTGCAGTGAGCCGAGATCGCCCCACTGCACTCCAGCCTGGGCGAGTCTTGCCCTTATTTACAGGAAAAGAGTTCTCCTGTAAATAACTAGGAAGACTAAGCAGCCCCAGAGATAAGGCCTCCTGGGATCATTGTCCCTTTTTATGGAGTGATAACATAACCTTCCTTGAAGTGTATGACTCCGTCACCAATCAACTTGCTGCAACCTATGCACTGGTCTTGAATGGAAAATGTGTTGATTCTCCTAAAACTTCTCTGTCTTTCCCTGTGTGTGAAACCTTAACGTCTCTACTTGGGAACGTTGATCCCATTCATTAGGAGTTGATGTTTGCCGGTGGCTATCCTCATGCTTTGTGTTCAGATAAACTCTATACTTAATCATAAATTCTAAATGTTATTATTTACTGCTGACATCAGTTTCTGTCACATTGTAGGAGCCTCACCAGAGAGGGCACCTGTAGCCATGTTGTAAAACTCACACTTGTCAAAAAGACATGGGTTAGTGTTTCTCCCCCTCCCTCTGCATGAAGCTAATTAGCTGACACAGATGGTCACCTCCATTACCAACTAGAGCCAGGATGAACTATGTGTGACCAAGGGTGTTGTCAAGTCCTTTTCCCTGAGGACTGATTAGTGTTTATCTTGAAAACATGTACTTAATGGGTTGTATAGAACTGTGAAGTGTCTTTCTCTTTTTTCAACCTCTTAGCTCTTTGCCTCTATTTCCCATCACATTCTGGTCTAAGGCTTACTTATTAATAAAATGGTGTTTATTTCTTTCTCTATTATCGTCATGGAGATGTTTTGTCATTTGGGGGAAGATTTTTTTGTTTCGTTTTCAATTGTATTTTCTTAACAATTAGAAAGTGAAGTAAAAAGTATTTGGCCAGGCGCGGTGGCTCCCGCCTGTGATCCCAGCACTTTGAGGAGGCCCAGGCAGGTGGATCCCTTAAAGTCAAGAGTTTGAGACCACACTGGCCAACATGGTGAAACTCGTCTACAAAAATACAAAAATTAGCCGGGCATGGTGGCACGCGCCTGTAATTGCAGATACTCTGGAGGCTGAGGCAGGGGAATCGCTGAAACCCAGGAGGCAGAGGCTGCAGTGAGCCGAGATCCCATCACGGCACTCTAGCCTGGGCGACAGAGAAATACTCTGTCTCAAAACAAAAGAAATAAGTAAATAAATAAAGGAATAAATCTCTTCCAAAAATGTGCTGAGGCAACTAACTGGATATCCACATGGAAAAGAATACTGTTAGATCCCTATCTCACACAATCAAACTCTTATTTTAAAACGTTTAAAAAAAAAGGAAAAAAAAGAGAGAGTGACGAGGAAGGGAGCCCTGCGGGAGGGGGTGTTACATTGTCGCCCAGGCTGGCCTGGACCCCCAGGCTCAGCAATCCTCCCGCCGCTGCTTCCTGAGTAGCTGGGACCTCAGTCTCCCGCGCCCGCGCCCACATCCCTGCTGTGTTTATCCAGAAGGTGGTGACCTCACTCCTCGCTGGCCTGAGCATTCCGTCCCACATCCCAGGCGGTGGCCCTAGGGAAGTCTCTGCAGCTGAGCACAGGGTGGACTCTCCCTCCCAAGTGAATGGAGACTGGAAAGGGAGAGGATTTCTATTCTGTTTTGTGGGCTGTCAGCATGAAATCGTACGTTCCATCCAGGCAGGGCTTTGCATTTTACATTCCAGTTTGCATCCCCGTTCCAGACAATTCCAGGGCTTTTGAATCATGCCTCAGCCTTCCTGGCCGGTCTCGCCTCCAAAACCCGAAAACTGAGGCCCTGGGAGCCAGGCTGAGAGACTCACAGGTCCCGCCACAGCCCCGCCCTCTGTCGGTTCTAAAGGGTAAAGTCTCTCTGCCCCGCCCCTACCTCGCCCAAGCCCGCCCACCTCCTCGCGGGTCCCGCCCAGGCCTGGCTTCTTTCCTGCGCGCGCAGCTTCGCGCAGACCCGGAAGCGGACGGCGTGGAGTGACTATCCCACCGCCGCGGGTGAGTTTCGCTCTGTTTTGTATTAAGTCTGTGCTTCCCAGGTCCCTGGCGCTTCTGTACCTGGGGCGTGGGGTCTCCACTAACCTGGAAATTCTCAGCCGTCTTCCTTCACCCAGAGCAAGTTGAGACGACCCCGTGAGAGTCCGGGGGTCGCTTCCTTTTGGGTTTAAGGTCCCCCTGAGGCTGGTCCCGTCCCGGGTGTTTCTGCTATAGGGCAATGTATACACTTTCTATCACGTAGTTTTCCTGCTCTGAAACTTTTTCTGACTCCTCCCGTCCCGCGCTTTTTAAAGTCCTCACCCGAGAGGTGAATTCCCTCCCTGAGCGCCTCCCAGTCTCGCCCTCGTTGGCAGCTGGACGCAGCGCGGCGGCCCCAGCCCCAAGGAGGCCGCGTCCTCTGTCTGGTCCTGGGATCCTGCAGACCCCACCCTTGTCTTAAGGCGCCGTGGCGCCGCCGCCTCCCTCCTTTTGCGGGCCCTACTGCTCCCCAGGTTCGCCTCCACAGTCACTGCTTTCCCTGAGCCCGAGTTAGGGAGGTGCCCGGGGCCTGTCCTGTGACACGGGGTGTTCTTGCCTGCCCAGCTCCAGCCCCTGGAAAATGCGCTCCCCCGGGATGCAGGCGTTTTGCTCCAAACCCTCCTGTGTCTTATCCAAAGCCTCCGGTGCTTGTGTAGGCTAAAGGGATCAGGAGACAGACGTAGAGCAGTAGAAAACCTGAGACAGAAAAGAAGAATAAAAAAGACTCATAACAGATGGCAAAGTAGAGGATGGGTGAGGGATTTGCCAGACACAGCAAATGTGGGGGAAAAAAAAAAAAAGGAGGAGAAAAGCAACTGGAGAAATGTAGAGAAAAGGTAGATGTACAGAGAGATGAAGGACAGAGAGCAAGGTAGGGAGAGGGACAGCAAAGAGGGAGGCTCATCAGAGTGAGGGAGAGGAGGAGGGATTTGGAGCCAGGGCAGACAGAGCAGAGTGGTGCTGGTGGCAAGGAGAACAGAGGGAGAAGCACAGCAGGGAGGACACCTGGGGATCTGGGGTGCTAGAGAGTGGGGATGAGGGTATAACAGGGAAGAGAGAATGTAACAGGGAGAGCAGAGGAGGCGCAGAGATGGTGTTGCGGGAAACTAAGTACTAGAGAGACCGGTATGCGGGAGACAGAACGATGTTTATTTAAGGTACGCACCGGCTCAGTGGATTTACATCTAAAAAGCTGAGCATTTCAACAAAGACAGAGTGGGGTTTTTATAAGCAGGCTTACAGAAGCAAAATAAAAGCAGTTAATCATGTAATGATTGGTCACATAATCTATAGCATAGCATAACTTGTGGCCTTGCATAGCTGGTGGTCTTGTAGCTGCATTGAAAGAAAAACAAGAACAGCTAAATACAGACTTTTTTTTTCTTCACTCTTGTTCTAAAGTGGGGTTTTCTGGAGCTCATTCCTTTGGCTTCAGCTGCACAAAAAGCGTTATCTTATAACTGTCCTTGAAGTGAGCTTGCTAGGCAGAGGAAAACTTGTTCTTCTTTTCTTTTTAACCCTTGCCTTGCCTGTTAGTTTTTTGGAGTGAATGAATGCATATTGATTTTTTAAATTTCTGCCTCAGTTTTCTCCCTTTGCTGCTTTTTATAAATAAGGTTTTAATAGAAAGCACCACTATTACTGGATTCTTCATGAAAGAGCAGGTTTTCTTCTTTAGGCACAGGCTGATATTTATATGGAGCTATTAGCTGAGTGGTAGTCTGCCTAGTCACAATTGCTTCTATAGTTGATTGAACGTTCTTAACAAGGAGAGGTGAGGTAAGGGAGTATTAAACCAATTCTTAGTATTTCTAGAACCACTCCTGTTAAGGTTTTGAATCGACTGAAGGAGGAAAACCAGCCTCTAAAGAGGGACTCGGGAGTCTACTTTGTCTAAGTCTGGACTGGAACATGGGATAATTTTTTTATTCTTGCAGTTACTTCTATAACAGCCTTCCTATTGTCATTGATTTCTAGGCAGCAATTAGTTAGATTAAACTTTCTACATACTCCTCCTTCCTAGGCTAGGAGGTAGTCGAAAGCTAATCTATTTTGGTAGATGGCATTTCTCATTTTTGTGGCTTGCTGGGCCAGTAAGTCTAATGCATTTGCTGTTTCATTAGTGATGATTCCAAGTACTGCTTGCAACTTTATGATGCGGTTAAGCGTGTAAACTTAAGTGTGCCCGGCTCAATTTTTGAATTTTTAGTAGAGACAGGGTTTCACCATGTTGGCCAGGCTGGTCTCGAACTCCTGAGCTCAAGCGATCCTCACACCTCAGCCTCCTAAGTAACTGGGACCACAGACACACAGACGTGCACAACCATGCCTGGCTAAGTTTTTGTACTTTTGGTAGAGATGGGGTTTCACCACGTTGCCCAGGCTGGTCTCAAACCTGAGCTCAAGAGATCTACGCACCTCGGCCTCCCAGAGTGCTGGGATGACAGGCATGAGCCACCGCACCCAGCCTTTGCATGAGGTTTGGTCAGGCCTGGGTCTGTGCCCTAAAGGGGAGCTCATCCCACCCCAGCTCCCCACTGCTGCAGCGTGTGTGTGGGCTTCTCCGGGAGGGGAGTGGGAGTTTTCCTGTAGGAGTTTATTGTCCCTGGTGTGGTCGGCAGCATAGGGGACCGTATGTCCTCAGGATGAGGTCTCCTTTGTATGTGTTGTTGTGTTACAGGGAGGGGATATGTTGATTCTGAGCAATAAACAACATATTTCTAACATTCAGGATTGACTTCTAAAGACTCTTGGTATGTGAGGAAGAAACCTGGAAGAGGAAGAGGAAAGCAAAGGAGTCAGGGATGGCTCTTCCTCAGGTGAGATGATATTCTTGGTGGATTGTTCTGTCTCCTTCTTTTCAGAAATGCTGACCTTGGAGTTTGGAATCTTCTCTGAGTCTGAAGCATCTTGCCTGACAGGTTTGCTCGCACTCACCCATGCCTTCCTTCATTCCCTCTTATCTTGCTTAGATTCCATCTCCCATGATCCAGTGACATGAACTTGGGAAGAGGCTGCACTGGGCATGGTCCTGGGAAGGGCTCACACCCAGACATGGATGGAGATGGGGTGAGGGTCCCATGGTGTCAGTGCTGTTGGGCAGCAGGGATTGTTCAGGGGCTACATCTGGATGCTCTGTCAGCTCTCTGTAGACCAGGATTAGAGCAACTGCCAATGGAAGTCATGTATTCATGTGCACAAAGTATGTGGTAAATTCTAGAAAAGGTGACCAATATGGAGCAATTTTTTCTGCCTGATTTTATACTACATTTTTAGGTAATTGAGTGAGTTACTGTGTTTCTGACTCCAACTATCTTACTAATTAGAATGGAAAGTTCATACACAGACATGAATGATACAAGATGTTTTATTCCGTCTTTATTTTAAGAATAGGAAATCAACCTGAATAATAGCAGGAGATTCATTCAACCATTCTTAGCACATTACGCTCATGGAGACTGTGGGGTTCCTGTGGAGAGGCTTGTGAAACAGGTGTTTTGGTTATAATTTTTATTATCAGTACTATTATATTATGATAATATTATTATATTTCACATATATGAAGTCTTGCTTTGTCGCCCAGGCTGAAGTGCAGTGGCATGATCTTGGCTCACAGCAACCTCCACCTTCCGGGTTCAAGTGATTCTCCTGCCTCAGCCTCCCGAGTAGCTGGGATTATAGGTGTGCACCACCACGCCCAGCTAATTTTGTTGTATTTTTATTAGTGACGAGTATCACCATGTTGGCCAGGCTGGTCTCAAACTACTGACTTCAGGTGATCTGCCTGCCTCAGCCTCCTGGAGTGCTGGGATTACAGGTATAAGCCACCATGCCCAGCCCCAATGATTATTATTAAATATATATTTTTCTTTTTTTTAAAATTATTATTATACTTTAAGTTTTAGGGTACATGTGCACAATGTGCAGGTTAGTTACATATGTATACATGTGCCATATTGGTGTGCTGCACCCATTAACTCATCATTTAGCATTAGGTATATCTCCTAATGCTATCCCTCCCCCCTCCCCCACCCCACAACAGTCCCCAAAATATATATTTTTCTATTTAAACATCACATAGTGAATATATTTGTTTTGTGGTAAAACTCCAAGCAAAGCTGCAGCTTAGACCCTTTGCCATCAGGCATCTCCCTTCCCTGTTACATCCTCCACCCTTCTTCCAAACTCACTGGGGAGTCACCACTGTCAGTTCTGTGCCAGGCGTCAGAGCAAGTCTCATACACATGTATTTCTGCATCATATGAGACTTTAGAAAAAATTATTCAATAAATTGAAAAAAAAATAACTTTTTTACAAAAATTAGCCTGGCGTGATGGCACGTGCCCCTAATCCCAGCTATTCAGGAAGCTGAGGCAGGAGAATCACTTGAACCTGGGAAGCAGACATTGCAGTGAGCTGAGATTGTGCCACTGCACCCCAGCCTGGGCACAGATCAAGACTCCATCTCAAAAAAAAAAAAAAATTTTTACGTTTGGGGCCATATGTTCCGGTTTCTTACATAGGTAAACTAGGGTCATCGGGGTTTGTTGTTCAGGTTATTTCATCACTCTGGTGTTAAGTCCCGTACCCAATAGTTATTTTTTATTTATTTATTTTTTTGAGACTGAGTTTTGCTCTTTTTGTCCAGGCTGGAGCATAATGGCATGATCTCAACTCACTGCAACCTCTGCCTCCCGGGTTCAAGTGATTCTCCTGCCTCAGCCTCCTGAGTAGCTGAAATTACAGGGGCCTGCTACCATGCCTTGATAATTTTTGTATTTTTAGTAGAGACAGGGTTTCACCATGTGGGCCAGGCTGATCTTGAACTCCTGACATTTGATCCACCTGCCTCAGCCACTCAAAGTGGTGGGATTACAGGCATGAGCCACCGCATCTGGCCCCCAGTAGTTATTTTTTCTAGTCTTCTCCTTCCTCCCACCCTCCACCCTCAAGTAGACGCCAGTGTCTGTTGTTTTCTTTGTGCTCCAGTAAATATTTTACTTCGATATTTGATCCTGCTGGTTGTGAAAATTTACATGTTCTCATGTTAGTAAACGTGGATAGCTTGCTCTTTGACATCTGCATTGGAAATTGGCTGAATGACAAATGGGCCTTTGCAACTTTTCCCTGTATAAAGAGTGCCATAGTGGCTGCCTCTGTGCACACCCGCGTTACTACAGATATCTCACGATTCCTCCAGGTCAGGCAGTTGAAAGGGTGATTACTTCCTCTAGGATGAGGCATTTCCTGTTTTCTTAGATCTGACAAGATTCCCCCCTGTCCCCAACTGCCAATGTATCCTTTTGCAGCAAGATGAGATTCCTCTTCAGTTCAACAAAACTTGCTACTTTTTATATTTTTAAAGCCTTTATATGTATACACACCCACACACACAATATACACATACACATATACATATACATACATATACACATGCACAAATATATATATTTTGAACAACTTTTCCATTTTGAAAATCTGGGGAAAATGACAACCCTTTGTATTAACATCTAGTTTTTTGTGAGTCTGTGTAGGTTTCATTATTTGTTGACATATATATATATATATATATACACACATACATAAAATGGATTTTCATACTTTGAGTAATCTAGTTTTCATATATTTTCTTTTGTTTTGAGACTGGGTCTTACTGTGTTGCCCAGGCTGGAGCACAGTGGCACGATCTTAGCTCACTGAAACCTCCACCCTGAGGCTCAAGCCATCTTCCTACCTCAGGGTCCCAAGTAGCTGGGAACCACAGGTGCCTGCCACCATGCCTCGCTAATTCGCTAATTTTTTTTTTTTTTGGAGATGGAGTATCTGTTGCCCAGACTGTAGTGCAGTGGTGCGATTTCGGATCATTGCAACCTCTGCCTCCTGGGATCAAGCAATTCTCCTGCATCAGCCTCCCAGGTAGCTGGGATAACAGGCATGTGCCACTGCACCCAGCCAGATTTTAGTTTCTCATCTTTCACTGTGAACTGTGAATGTCATCTCTGAAGACATCATTCATACTCTGCCTCATCTAGATACTGAATGTCACTTGGTGTGTCAATAAATGTTTCTGGGCCGGGCACTGTGTCTGACGCCTGTAATCCCAGCACTTTGGGAGGCCGAGGTGGGCGGATCACGAGATCAGGAGATCAAGACAATCCTGGCTAACACGGTGAAACCCCGTCTCTACTAAAAATACAAAAAATTAGCTGGGCGTGGTGGTGGGCGCCTGTAGTCCCAGCTACTCGGGAGGCTGAGGCAGGAGAATGGCGTGAACCGGGGAGGCGGAGCTTGCAGTGAGCCGAGATCGCGCCACTGTACTCCAGCCTGGGCGACAGAGCGAGACTCCGTCTCAAAAAAATAAAAATAAAAAAAAAAACGTTTCTGGGCCGGGCACGGTGGATCATGCATGTAATTCCAGCACTTTGAGAGGCTGAGTCAGGCAGATCAGGAGGTCAGGAGTTTGAGACCAAACTGGGCAATATGGTGAAACCCCGTTTCTGCTAAAAATACAAAAATTAACTGGTCGTGGTGGCACGTGCCTATAATTTCAGCTATTCAGGAGGCTAAGGCAGGAGAATCGTTTGATCCTGGGACTTGGAGGTTGCATTGAGCAGAGACTGTGCCATTGCACTCCAGGCTGGGCAACAGAGTGAGACTCCACCTTTAAAAAAAAAAAAAAGAACTTTAGTAAACACAACTGGGAAGACAAAATGCGGTGAAAAATCCCTTACTCAGATTTGTTAGAACATTCACTGCATTTAAATCCATGCCTTCACCTCTCTCTTCTTCTCATTTTCTGTAAAGATAAGAACTCCTCCCATAACCATTTGGTTAAAATGTGTTTTCATTTCAGGGTCTATTGACATTCAGGGATGTGGCCATAGAATTCTCTCAGGAGGAGTGGAAATGCCTGGACCCTGCTCAGAGGACTCTATACAGGGACGTGATGCTGGAGAATTATAGGAACCTGGTCTCCCTGGGTGAGGATGACTTCCCTCCTGGGGATGTGCCCTTGCGTATCTTTGTATTTTCTCTCCTTTTTTTTTTTTTTTTTTTTTTTTTTGAGATGGAGTCTCGCTCTGTCGCCCAGGCTGGAGTGCTGTGGCATGATCTCGGCTCACGGCCAGCTCCGCCTCCCGGGTTCACGCCATTCTCCTACTTCAGCCTCCCAAGTAGCTGGGACTACAGGCACCCACCAACATGCCTGGCTAATTTTTTGTACTATTTTTTACTAGAGACGGAGTTTCACCATGTTAGCCAGGATGGCCTTGAAATCCTGACCTCGTGATCCACACACCTCGGCCTCCCAAAGTGCTGGGACTACAGGCATAAGCCACCGTGCCCGGCCTATATTTTCTCTTGTTTTTAGATAAAGTGTCTCTCTCTGTCAGCCCGGGTGGAGTACAATGGTGTGATCATGGCTCACTGCAATCTTGAATTCCTGGGCTCAAGTGATTGTCCCACCTGAGCCTCCCCTGGTAGCTGGTACAGGTGCATGCCACCATGTCGGGCAACTTTTTTAGTTTGTTTTTTTTCCAGACAGGGTCTTGCTGTGTTGTTGAAATTCATCCTGATCTCCTGGGCTCCAGAGATCCTCCTTAGTCTCCCGAGTAGCTGGGATTACAGGTGCCAAACCCCATACCTAATTATTGGCTTTTATTTTAAAAATTTTTGCATATGTGCAGCTGGGCATGGTGGCTCACACCTGTAATCCCAGCACTTCGGGAGGCTGAGGTGGGTGGATCACGAGGTCAGGAGATCAAGACCACCCTGGCCAACAGGGTGAAACCCCCTCTCTACTAAAAATACAAAAATTAGCCAGGTGTGGTGGCACGTGCCTGTAATCCAGGCTGAGACAACAAAATCACATGAACCTGGGAGTCAGAGGTTGCAGTGAGCCAAGATTGCCACTGCACTCCAGACTGGCGACAGAGCGGGACTCTGTCTCAAAAAAAAAAAGAAAAAAAAATTTCATATGTGTGTCCTTAAGGCTGAGTCTGTGAGTCTCTTGTAGACAACATGTAGTTGATTCCTGTTGATTCAGCCAGTCTTTGCCTTCTGAGTGCAGATTAAATACTTACAGTTGAAGTATTACTGATGGAGAAGACCTTACCCTTGTGATTCTGTTACATATTATCTGTATTTATTGTAGGTTTTTTTGTTCTTCATTTCTCATTTACTACTTTTGTGTTTATTTGCTTTTTTGTGTAGACATGCTTTGACTCCCTTCTTATTGACTTTTGTTTGTTTGTTTGTTTATGATGGAGTCTTACTCTGTCCCCAAGGCTACAGTTCAATGGTACGATCTTGGCTCACCGCAGCCGGCTCCGCCTTTCAGGCTCAAACAATTTTTGTGCCCCAGTGGCTCACGCCTGTAATCCCAGCACTTCGGGAGGCCGAGGCAGGCAAATCACCTGAGGTCAGGAGTTCAAAACCAGCCTGCCTAACATGGCGAAACTCCGTCTCTACTAAAACACACAAATTAGCCGGACACTGTGGTGGGCGCCTGTAATCCTGCTACTCAAGAGTCTAATGCAGGAGAGTCGCTTGAACCCTGGAGGTGGAGGTTGAAGTGAGCCGAGATTGTGCCACTGCCCTCCAGCCTGGGTGACAGCACGAGACTCTGTCTCAAAAAAAAAAAAACAACAACAACAAAATTCCATAACCTGCAAAAGCCACTCTTTCTCTACTAGAACTCTGTATTTATGTCAGAATTATTTCTCTGTATGTTGCATTCGCATTAACATATATGTAGTGTTTTTTCATGCTTTTTTCTTCTAAATAACAGAAAAAAAAGTTGAATTATCTAGAGAAGGTATACTTACACCAGTTTCTGTATGTGTCCTGTTATTTGCCTATTCATTTATTTATTTCTTTGTTGATGAGATGAAGTTTTGTTCTTGTCGCCCATGCTGGAGTGCAATGGCACAATCTCGGGTCACTCCAACCTCCAACTCCCAGGTTCAAGTGATTCTCCTGCCTCAGTGTCCTGAGTAGCTGGGATTACAGGCATGTGCCACCACACCTAGCTAATTTTGTATTTTAGTAGACACAGGCTTTCTCCTTTTTGGTCAGGCTGGTCTCGAACCCCTGCCCTAAAGTGATCCACCAACCTCGGCCTCCTAAACTACTGGGATTATAGGTGTGAACCACCGTGCCCGGCCTGTCTTTTTATTTACCTTTACTGGAGAACTTTATATATATTTGTGGGTTGGAGATACTCTTTAGAATTCTTTCATTTCTTTCTTTTTTTCTTTTTAAGACGGAGTCTCGGTCTGTCACCCAGGCTGGAGTGCGGTGGTGCGATCTTGGCTAACTGCAGCCTCTGCCTCCCAGGTTCAAGTGATTTTCCTGCTTCAGTCTCCCAAGTAGCTGGGACTACAGGCACATGCCACCACACCTGGCTAATGTGTGTGTGTGTGTGTGTTTGTGTAGAAATGGGGTTTCACCCTGTTAGCCAGTATGTTCTTCATCTCCTGACCTCGTGATCCTCCTGCCTCAGCCTCCCAAAGTGCTGGGATTACAGGCGTGAACCACCATGCCTGGCCAGCCTCAAAGTTTTTAAAACACGTAATTGCTATAGATGGCTTCAGGTATTGCAAGATTTATGGTACAGGCTCTAAACTTCCTTTGTTTAATCAGATTTGTCAGCCTTCAGTGATGTTGATGATGAGATGCTCCTGTTCCTGCCTCAGTCATTTCACTGTCAGAAATAGCTTAGACTGGCCACCCGAGGTGGCTCACACCTCTAATCCCAACAGTTTGGGATGCCAAGGTGGGCAGATCGCTTGAAGTCA
Source organism: Homo sapiens (assembly GCF_000001405.40). Taxonomy (NCBI): domain Eukaryota; kingdom Metazoa; phylum Chordata; class Mammalia; order Primates; family Hominidae; genus Homo; species Homo sapiens. Next base: position 53,405,009 of record NC_000019.10, read on the forward strand.
GGAGTTTGAGACCAGTCTTGCCAGCATGGTGAAACCTCAAATCTACTAAATACAAGAATTTGGCCGGGCACGGTGGCTCAAGCCAGTTATCCCAGCACTTTGGGAGGCCGAGAGGGGCAGATCACCTGAGGTCAGGAGTTCAAGACCAGCCTGGCCAACATGTTGAAACCCCGTCTCTACTAAAAATACAAAAATTAGCTGAGCGTGGTGGCGCAAGGCTGTTATCCCAAGTACTTGAGAGGCCGAGGCAGGAGAATCACTAGAACCTGGGAGGTGGAGGTTGCAGTGAGCCAAGATTGCCCCACTACACTCCAGTCCAGGCAACAAAGTAAGACTCCGGGCTGAGGTGGGAAAATCATGCCACTACACTCCAGCATGGGTGATAGTATGTGACTCAGTCTCAAACACAAACAAAAAGAGAAATAGCTTAAACTGGGAGGCTTCAGACACAGAAATTTATTTCTCATGAATTTGGAAAGTGGGAAATCCAAGAGCAAGGTGCCAGCCAAATTGGTTCCTGGTGAGAGCATTCTTCATGGTTTAGCCCAGCCATCTTCCTGCCGTGTCCTGACATGGTGGAAACAGGAACAGGCAACGAGCTCTTTAATATCTCTTTTTATGAAAGCACAAGTCCTATTCACGAGTAGTCAACACCCATGACCAAATTGTCTCAAAGGCCCCATCTGCAGAACATCCTTTTGGAGAATAAGAACTCTGAACATGGCTTTTGGCCAATATGAACATTCAGACCAGGGAGGCTGCATCATATTGTTTGTGTTTTTATTGTATGATTTGATTTATAAAATGTTTTCACTGATCTCAGTTTAAAAATTTTCCCAGTACACATTCTATGTTTTATATTTTGTGCATAGTGAACTAGATAATTAATACCAACTATATATATATATATATATATATATATATATATATATATATATATATAAAATTGCTGTATTGCCTGGCTGTTTCATAAATGTAGTTGTGACATCATAATTGCACCCTCTGACACCGTTAGTCAATTTTTTTTTTTTTTTTTTTGGAGATGAAATCTCACTCTGTCACTCAGCTGGAGTGCACAGGTGCAATCTCGGCTCACTACAACCTCCACCTCCTGGGTTCAAATGATTCTCCTGCCTCAGCCTTCCAAGTAGCTGAGATTACAGGCAGCCACCACCATGCCCAGCTAATTTTTTTGTATTTTTAGTAGAGTGGGGATTTCACCATGTTGGCCAGGCTACTCTTGAACTCCTCACCTCATGATCTGCCCACCTCAGCCTCCCAAAGTGCTGGGATTACAGACCTGAGCCACCGTGTCCAGCCGTTAGTCAATTCTTATTCCTTATAATGCTGTGTATTTTTTTGACCTCATAAGTCAGAAGGTAGTGATCTTAACATGTATTTCAGTTCTTATATTGTCTGCTGGTGGCAAGTAGAAGTCGTGGCATTTTTCTTAACAGGGAATTGTTTAGAATTTTGCATGTTGTATAAATGTACTTATTATTTGCTTCCTGGTTTTATGGGTTACAATATTTTACTAATTAATTTTTATGATTGTACATGAGGCTTTTCGGTATGTGGTATGCAATATAACTGACACAGTCCACTAGTTAATGTCACACAGTGCCACCGGATGCTGTGGCTCACGCCTGCAATCCCAGGACTTTGGGAGGCTGAGGTGGCTGGATCACTTGAGGTCATAAGTTCGAGGCCAGCCTGGCCAACATGTTGAAACCCTATCTCTACTAAAAATACAAAAATTAGCCAAACGTGGTAGTGTGTGCGTGTAATCCCAGGTACTCAGGAGGCTGAGGCAGGAGAATGGCTTGAACCCAAAAGGTGGAGGTTGCAGTGAGCTGAGATCGGGCCATTGAACTCCAGGCGGTTGTGACAGAGTGAAACTTCATCTCAAAAATATAAAAATAAAAAATTTGTTTAAAAATGTCAAAATGTGCCTTTTCTGCAAGGATATAGGTAATTTTATGACAGTTATTCAGAAAAACATTGTATTAACATTTTTTTTCAAGATGGAATCTCACTTTGTCACCCAGGCTGAAGTACAGTGGTGCAATCTCAGCTCACTGCAACCTTTGCCTCTTGGGTTCAAACGATTCTTGTGCCTCGTGAGTCCCATGAGTACGTGGGACTAAAAATTTGGGACTAAAAAAGATTAAAAATTACATTTTGTAATCTTTTCTTATCTTCTCAGTGCTATGATTGTTTGACAATACAGAATTTCCATTGATTTTGGTTATCCTTACATAATCTTGTTGTGGATTATTTTCCAACACAGTACATCATGTGGTCCTTTAGCATCTATTTGTATACAGTAAATATGCTGTAAATGTGAAGAATATATACTTTTCATTGATGTGACAGTGATATGTTTTTTACAAACTGTTAGACACTTTAGGGTCACGATGGAAAAATATTCCTTACTTTAGGCTACACGTTTTTGTGCCCTGTCAGTGTTTTGTCACGATATTGGAAATAGACTTCCGTAAAAATAATTTGAAGCACATGTAATCGCCCTTTATTTGTTAAAGAATCTTATGCTTTTCTGTTCCTAAACTTTGAGGGTCATGTTTGCAAAGTTTAAAATAAGTATTGTTTTTTGTGTCATATTTACACATTTCAGCATTATTTACCATCTGTACTTAATTTGAAACCTTTTGGTGTGTATACTTTTTAGATATCTCTTCCAAATGCATGATGAAGGAGTTCTCGTCAACAGCACAAGGCAATAGAGAAGTGTTCCATGCAGGGACATCTCAAAGACATGAAAGTCATCACAATGGAGATTTTTGTTTCCAGGATATTGATAAAGATATTCATGACATTGAGTTTCAGTGGCAAGAAGATGAAAGAAATGGCCATGAAGCACTCATGACAAAAATCAAAAAGTTGACAGGTAGTACAGAGCGATATGATCAAAATTATGCTGGAAACAAGCCTGTTAAATATCAGCTTGGATTCAGCTTTCATTCGCATCTGCCTGAACTGCACATATTTCACACTGAAGAGAAAATTGATAATCAAGTTGTGAAGTCTATCCACGATGCTTCCTTGGTTTCAACAGCCCAAAGAATTTCTTGTAGGCCTGAAACCCATATTTCTAATGACTATGGGAATAATTTCCTGAATTCTTCATTATTCACACAAAAACAGGAAGTACATATGAGGGAAAAATCTTTCCAATGCAATGACAGTGGCAAAGCCTATAATTGTAGCTCACTCTTAAGGAAACATCAGTTAATCCATTTAGGAGAGAAACAATATAAATGCGATATATGTGGCAAGGTCTTTAATTCGAAGCGATACGTTGCACGCCATCGTAGATGTCACACTGGTGAGAAACCTTACAAGTGTAATGAGTGTGGCAAGACCTTCAGTCAGACATATTACCTAACATGCCATCGTAGACTTCATACTGGAGAGAAACCTTACAAATGTGAAGAATGTGACAAAGCTTTCCATTTCAAATCAAAGCTTCAAATACATAGGAGAATTCATACTGGAGAGAAACCGTACAAGTGTAATGAGTGTGGCAAGACCTTTAGTCAGAAGTCGTACCTTACATGCCATCGTAGGCTTCATACTGGAGAGAAACCTTACAAGTGTAATGAGTGTGGCAAGACCTTTAGTCGGAAGTCACATTTTACATGCCATCATAGAGTTCATACTGGAGAGAAACCTTACAAGTGTAATGAGTGTAGCAAGACCTTTAGTCACAAGTCATCTCTTACATACCATCGTAGACTTCATACTGAAGAGAAACCTTACAAGTGTAATGAGTGTGGCAAGACCTTCAATCAGCAGTTAACCCTTAACATTTGTAGACTTCATAGTGGAGAGAAACCTTACAAATGTGAAGAATGTGACAAAGCCTACAGTTTCAAATCAAACCTTGAAATACATCAGAAAATTCATACTGAAGAGAATCCTTACAAGTGTAATGAGTGTGGCAAGACCTTCAGCCGGACGTCATCCCTTACATACCATCATAGACTTCATACTGGACAGAAACCTTACAAATGTGAAGATTGTGATGAAGCTTTCAGTTTCAAATCAAACCTTGAAAGACATAGGAGAATTTATACTGGAGAGAAACTACACGTGTAATGAGTGTGGTAAGACCTTCAATCAGGAGTTAACCCTTACATGCCATCGTAGGCTTCATAGTGGAGAGAAACCTTACAAATATGAAGAACTTGACAAAGCTTACAATTTCAAATCAAACCTTGAAATACATCAGAAAATTCGTACTGAAGAGAATCTTACAAGTGTAATGAGTGTGGCAAGACCTTGAGTCATACGTCATCTTTTGTGTACCATCATAAACTTCATAGTGGAGAGACCTTACAAATGTGAAGAATGTGAAGAAGCTTTCTGTTTCAAATCCAACCTTGAAAGACATAGGAGAATTCACACTGGTGAGAAACCTTACAGGTGTAATGAGTGTGGCAAGACCTTCAGCCAGACCTCATCCCTTACATGCCATTGTAGACTTCGTACTGGAGAGAAACCTTACAAATGTGAAGAATTTGAGTTTTCCATTTCAAATCAAACCTTGAAAGACAAAGGAGAATTCATACTGGAGAGAAACCATACAAGTGTAATGAGTGTGGCAAGACCTTTAGTCAGAACTCATACCTTACACGCCATCGTAGACTTCATACTGGAGGATACCTTACAAATGTAATGAGTGTGGCAAGACCTTTAGTCAGAACTCATACCTTACATGCCATCATAGACTTCATACTGGAGAGATACCTTAAAAGTGTAGTGAGTGTGGCAAGACCTTTAGTCTGAAGTCATACCTTACGCACCATCGTAGACTTCATACTGGAGAGGTACCTTACAAGGATAATGAGTGTAGAAAAACCTTTCATGGGCAGTCAGCATTTTACAAATGTAATGATTGTCACCAAGTCTTGAGTAATGCTACAACTATTGCAAATCATTGGAGAATCCATAATGAAGAGAGATCCTACAAGTGTGATAAATGCAGAATAAATGCAGAAAATTTTTCAGACATCCTTCATACCTTTGCAGTTCATGGGTGAAGTCGTATTAGAAACCTTACAAATGTGAAGAATGTGATGAAGCTTTCAGATTCAAATCAAACCTTGATAGTCATAGAATTCATACTAGAGAGAAACCTTAGCAGTGTAATGAACGTGGCAAGGTTTTAAATCAAAAAGCAAAGCTTGCACATCATCATAGAATTCATACTGGAGATAAACGTTACAAATGTGAAGCATGTGACAAAGTTTACAGTCGCAAATCAAGCCTCCAAAGACAGGAGAATTCATACTGGAGAGAAAGCTTACATATGTGAAGAATGTCACCAAGTTTTCAGTCACACTCAAACCTTGAAAGACACAGGAGAATTCCTACTGGAGAGATAGCATAAAAATGTAAGAGTTTGTGACAAGGCTTTCAGGCATAATTCGCACCTGGCACAACATCCTAGAATTCACATTGGAGAGAAAGCTTACAAGTATAATGAATGTGACAGGTCTTTAGTGGGCAGTCAACACTTGTTTACCATCAGGCAATCCATGGTGTAGGGAAACTTTACTTATGTAATGATTGTCACAAAGTCTTCAGTTACACTACAACCATTGCGAATCATTGGAGAATCCATAATGAAGAGAGATCATACTAGTTTAATAAATTTGGCAAATTTTTCAGACATTGTTCATAACTTGCAGTTCATCGGCGAACTCGTACTGGAGAGAAACCTTACAAATGTCATGATTGTGACAAGGTCTCAGTCAAGCTTCATTCTATGCAAAACATAGGAGAATTCATACAGGAGAGAAACCTCACAAGTGTGATGATTGCGGCAAAGCCTTTAATTCACATTCACACCTCACTAGACATCAGAGAATGCATACTGGACAGAAATCTTATAAATGTCATCAGTGTGCCAAAGTCTTCAGTCTGAGCTCACTCCTTGCAGGATATCAGAAAATTCATTTTGGAGATAGTTGTTCCAAATACAATGTGTATAGCAAACCATCAAGCATTAATTGACACTAGAGTCAGTTCAGCATTGACTTGAGTTTGACTTAACATTGAGTTGAAGCCTTAATTGACATTAAAGTGTTTATGTTAAGAGGACTGGGCCAGGCACAGTGGCTCACACCTGTAATCTGAGCGCTTTGGGAGGCCAGCACCGGTAGATCACTTGAGTTCAGGAGTTTGAGGTCAGCCTGGCCAACAGACGTGAGCCATTTTCCCAGCCTGTTTTTTGTTTCTTTAACAAAAACTGATAGGGATTTTTTTTTTTTTTTTTGAGATGGAGTTTCACTCTTGTTGCCCAGGCTGGACTGCAATGGAGCGATCCCAGCTCACTACAACCTCCGCCTCCCAGGTTCAAGCAATTCTCCTGCCTCAGCCTCCAGAGTAGCTAGGATTACAGGCATGAGCCACCACGCCCAGCTAATTTTGTATTTTTAGTAGAGATGGGGTTTCTCCATGTTGGTTAGGCTGGTCTTGAACTCCCAGCCTCAGATGATCCACCCACCTCGGCCTCCCAAAGTGCTGGGATTACAGGCGTGAGCCACTGCGCCCAGCCCCAGTGATAAGGATTTTTATGGGTACCGTGTTGAATCTAAATCACATTGGGTTATATAATCATTTAACAATATTAATTTTTCCAAACCATAAGTATGGGTTGTAGCTCTATGTTTCTAATCATTTTGATCAATGTTTGTAGATTTCAAGGTAAAAACCTCTGACCTTTTTACGTTTATTTCTAAGTATTTCTTACTTTAAGTTCTCCAGCCAATGGAAGTGTTTTAAAATTTTCTTTTAAAGTTGTTTGTTGTTAAAAGTATGGAAATTCAACTAATTTTTGGTGCTGATACTGTATTGTGCAAATCCACTGAATATGTTACTTAGTTCCAGTAGTATTTTGGTTGACTCTTTGTGATTTTCTGCACAGAAGATCATGTCGTCTACAAACAAATATAATTTTACTTCTTTCTTTCTGATTTCGATGAGTTTGATTTCTTCTGCTATTTAATTGCTCTAGCTAGGACAGCCAGTATTGATTGAATAGAAGGGGTGAGAGCACTCTTGCATCATGTGAGATCCTCCAGGAAAGGCATTCCATTTTCCCTACTTGATTATTCACTCATTGGTCATTTCATGGATGGTCTTTCTATTGTTTAGGTAAATTTCCTTTCTATCTATTTTGTTTAGGATTTCTATGATGACTGGATTTTGAATTTTGTGAAATGCTTTTTCTCCCTCTATTAAGATGATGTGGTTTTCATCTTTCATTCTGTTCAAGTGGCATATCACATTGATTTGCTTGAATATGTTGAACCATCCTTGCATCCCAGAAATAAGTGGCACTTGAATATCTACAATCCTTTTTACATCCTCTTGAATACAGTTTTCTAGTACAAGGGATCTTGATGAAGTTCATGGAAAAATACATATTATGAGAAAATTGTGCATGAATTTCACAGTTTTTGCACCAAATTAAACTGGTACAAGTCTGTTATAACATGTCTGAACAGGCTGTAGTTGAAGGCACTCAGAAGGATAAGACATAAGTTTGAAAAGAGACTCTATCAAAGTAAAATAAATTCTGCTAAAATTGAAACAAAAAGAAACATCAAATTTATGATGAGATCAGATGCAGTGTCACCACACCCTGCTAATTTTTGTATTTTTAGTAGAGATGGGGTTTCACCATATTGGCCAGGCTGGTCTTGAACTCGTGACCTCGTGATCCACCCGCCTCGGCCTCCCAAAGTGCTGGGATTACAGGCATGAGCCACTGCACCTGGCCCACATCAGTTTTACAAAAAAAAATTAACCTTGTTTGTGCCGCAATGAAGAGGACTGACAGGTAACAGCAGAAATAGTAGTCAGGAGTTCGAGAACAGGCTGGTTAACATGGTGAAACCCCGTCTCTACTAAAAATACAAAAATTAACTGGGTATGGTGGCAGATGCCAGTAATCCCAGTTACTGGGAAGGCTGAAGCCAGAGAATCACTTGAACCTCAGAGGCAGAGGTTGCAGTGAGCCGAGATGGCGCCATTGCACTCCAGCCTGCGCAACAAGAGCGAAACTTTGTCTCAAAAAGAAAAAAAAAAAGATGTCAAGCCTCTTCTCTTCCTCTCTCCCCTTGTGGTGTGTACTTGACTCTGCCTCTCACCAGATCTTCTTATAAGACTTTCAGGATTAAGCGATTCCTGGCCAAGAAACAAAAGCAAAACCGTTCCATTCCCCAGTGGATTCAGATCAAAACTGGTAATAAAATCAGGTACAACTTTAAAAGGAGACATTGGAGAAGAATCAAGCTGGGTCTATAAGGAATTGCACGTGAGATGGCACACATATTTATGCTGTCTGAGCATTACAATCATGTTACCATATCAAGCTGAAAATGTCACCACTATCTGGAGAGTTGGACATGTTTTATTGGGAATATATTTTTTCTCTCTGAATCTGTTAGGAACATGTTGGTTGGCTGGGTTCAGTAATAAATATGTGAGGCTTTTCATTTAAAAAAAAAGTCAAATGATGTAATTGCATAGAGTACCTTAGTTTCTGTATTGCTTTTTAGGTTTTTTTTTTTTTTTTTTTAACTCCACTGGGTCAGTGGATCACACCTGTGATCCTTGCACTTTGGGAGGCTGAGGTGAGAGGATTGGCTGAGACCAGGAGTCTCCTGGGAATCTTCTCGTCTCCTGTAACCCAGTTCACGACAGACCCTTGGACTTTACTATATTGGAAAAATCTACATAAAACAATGTCAGTGTGTCAAAGCATTATGTCTGTCACAAGCTTGTGAAAGGAAAATAAAAATTACTAAGCCAAAGAGAAAAGTCAAGCTGGGAACTGCAGCAGACAAACCTGCCTTCCATTTTATTCTTAAACAAGATAGCTAGAAAGACAAAAAAAAAAAAAAAAAAGCTACATAGAGGCCGGGCACGGTGGCTCATGCCGCTAATCCCACCACGTTGGGAGGCTGAGGCGGGCGGATCACCTGAGGTTGGGACTTTGAGACCAGCCTGACTAACATGGAGATATCCCGTCTCTACTAAAAACACAAAACTTGGCAAGGCATGGTGGCACATGCCTGTCATCCCAGCTACTCGGGAGGGTGAGGCAGGAGAATCGCTTGAACCCAGGAGGCGGAAGTTGCAGTGAGCCGAGATCGCGCTACTGCACTCCAACCTGGACGACAGAGTGAGACTCCATCTCAAAAAAAAAAAAAAGAAACTTGCAGCAAACATGGTATGATATAAAAATCCTTTGCCACAGGGGAGAACCAGGTATGATAAGTTGCTACATGGAGAGCAATATGTGAGTTTCTACTCTGTCTTCGGGTGCCTTCCCAGAGATGCCCCCACATTTTCCTACAGCAGTGGGGATATAGGATGGACTGACCCTCCCCACCACACACACACACACACACACACACACACACACACACACACACACACACACACACCCCCCCCCCCCCCCCCCCCGGGGAAAAGCCCATATAAAGCAGTTCCCATTTCCCTCCACAAACTGCGGGCTCCCAGTGAAAACTACCTTATAGACTTTCTTGCAAATCCCATTCTTTTCTGGCCTTCTACGGGATGACAGGGGCCTAGAGAAGGCAGTACTGGGTGGAGTTACCTGGGTGCGCATTTGTTGGGATGTGGCATTTTATGGCTATTCTAAGGTCTGTTATCAGTTGTCTGTCTTGGGGAGAATGTGCAGTCGCCATGGTCCAATAATCCTCTATCCAAGGACCACACAGGTCACCACAGGTGCTCAATCAGTGTGATCCACATGGTGTGATGTGTGCTCTGGCAGGGCACAGATGGACACACTCAGCTCTGTCAATGTGTAAACAGGGAGTGCTGCAATGACATGGTTTATTCACAGTCACCATGGAATCTGATGTGGCATTTTAAAAAATGCGTAGATCTATTGCAACTGTTATGAAAACATCACTGATTGGCCACGCACGGTGGCTTACACCTGTAATCCCAGCACTTTGGGAGGTTGAGGCAGGCAGATCACCTGAGGTCGGGAGTTTGAGACCAGCCTGACCAACATGGTGAAACTTGTCTCTACTAAAAGTACAAAATTAGCCTGGCATGGTGGCACATGCCTGTAATCCCAGCTTCTCCAGAGGCTGAGGCAGGAGAATCACTTGAAGCCAGTTGGCAGAGGTTGGGGTAAGCGGAAATCACGCCATTGCACTCCAGCCTGGGCAACAAGAGTGAAACTCCATCTCGAAAAAAAAAAAGAAAAGAAAAAGAAAAAGAAAACATCACTGATTGGTGAAAGCTATTGAATTAGACAGAAATGTAACTCTGCAAATATATATTTAAATATTTAATAGTGAACAGAATATCTGAATGGTGTGTATATACATATATATGTTGTATGTGATTTCAGATGCAATTTTAGATATTCTATGAAATTGTGTAGGCAGAAGGATACACCTCAAACTGGTGAAAATTATGTGTAGATATAAATGACTACTTTTTATTTTAGTGTTTAAATATTTTATTACGTTTGTTGAGGTGTGTATTAACTTTCTAATGAATTACCACAGTATAGCCAGCAGTTTACTACAGCACTCATTTATTTTCTCACAGTTCACAGATGAAAAATGTGTCAGGTTTTTCTGGGTACTCTGTCTAGTCTCACCAGGCCAAAATCAAGGTCAAAGCCATGGGATCGACTCTTGAGACTGTGGGGGCAGAATTCTCTTCTAAGCTCATTCAGATTGTTGTCAGAATTCATTTCTTTCTCCTGGTCCCCATATTTTCAAAATACAGCATGTGAAATTACTCTCGTGCTCCTGAGTCCTGACTTCCTCCACTATTGCATCTCTCTGACATATATTTCTGCTTCAAGGACACATAGGACCCACCCAGATAATCCAAGATAACTTTCTTTTGTTTTGTTTTGTTTTTTGTTTTTTGTTTTTGAGACTGAGTCTGGCTCTGTCAACCAGGCTGCAGTGCAGTGGTGCCTTCTCTGCTCACTGCAACCTCTGCCTCCCAGGTTAAAGTGATTCTCCTGCCTCAGCCCCCCGAGTAGCTGGGATTACAGGCGTGCACCACCGTGCTGGCTAATTTTTATATTTTTAGTAGAGATGGGGTTTCACCATGTTGGCCAGGCTGGTCTTGAACTCCTGACCTCAAGTGATCCACCCACCTCGGCCTTTCAAAATGCTGGCATTACACACAGTTTTTTCTTTCAAAGTCAAATGAGGCCAGGCATGGTAGCGGGTGCCTTTAGTCCCACCTACTCAGGAGGCTGAGGTAGGAGGATCGCTTGAACGCAAGAGGCAGAGGATGCAGTGAGCCGAGATCGCACCAATGTACTCCCACCTGGCCGACAGAGCGAAACTCAGTCTCAAAAAATAAAATAAAATTCAAATGACTAGTAGCCTTCATTAATTAATAAATTACCAGACAAATTCCTTTTTGCAGGTAACATAAACAAGATTAGCACCAGGAGTTGGAGACCTGCCTACAACATTATAGGACCAGTAAACCTTTTTGCACTGAGAAAATAATTTGTCAATCTAGCTAGAAAATTATTACCGTCTGGGATATTTCGGTTAAGAGAAATTTGTATACTATATATTGATAAACTGTATTTGTAATACTCTATTTTACATAGTTATATAACTATACATCAATATAATTAACTATACATCAATATAATTATATAGTAATATATATTTAAATATTGGTAAACTCTACGTTTCTATGAAATTTCTATATTATTTGGTATTCAGTTGTGCTCACGTGTCCATTGATTTCTTTTCTTTTTTTTTTTTCTGAGACCAAGTCTCGCTCTGTAGCCCAGGCTGGGGAGCAGTGTTGTGATCTCAGCTCACTGCAACCTCTGCCTCGCAGGTTTGAGCAATTCTCCTCTCTCAGCCTTCCAGGTAGCTGGGATTACAGGCGCGCACCACCACGTCCAGCTAATTTTTGTCTTTTTGGTAGAGACGAGGTTTCACCATGTTGGCCAGGCCGGTCCCTAACTCTTGACCTCAGGTGATCTGCCTACCTAGGCCTCCCAAAGTGCTAGGATTACAGACGTGAGCCACTATGCCCGACCAGGTTTCTTTCATTTTTAAAAGACTTTTAAGTTCAGGGGTACATGTGCAGGTCTGTTACATAGGTAAACGTGTGTCATGGGAGTTTGTTGTACAGATCACTTCATCACCAGGATATAAATTCTAGTGCCCACTAATCATATTTCCTGATCCTCTCCCTTCTCCCACCCTATGCCCTCCAATAGGCCCCAGTGTGTGTTGTTCCCCTCTATGTATCTGTCTTCTCATCATTTACCTCCCTCTTATAAGTGAGAACATGTGGCATTTGGGTTTGTGTTCCTGTGTTACTTTGCTAAGGAAAATGGCCTCCAGCTCCATCCATGTCCCTGCAAAGGACATGATCTCGTTCTTTTTTATGGCTGCATAGTATTCCATGGTGTATAGGTACCACATTTTCTTTATCCAGTCCATGGGTGATGGGCATTTTGGTTGACTTCATGTTTGCTATTGTGAATAGTGCTGCAACGAACATACACGTGCATGCGTCTTTACAATAGAACAATTTATATTCCTTTAGGCATATATCCTGTAATGAGATTGCTGGGTCGAAGGATATATCTCTCTTTAGGTCTATTTTGTGGAAAGCAGAGTGGGAATTCAAAAATTTCTAATGTAAACTAACGGCTTCATGTTCTTCCTTTTACTTCCTTTCATGTCTTTCAAAATCCTTCTTAGGTACTTTGCCTGATTCCATTTATCTGCATATAACTTAAAAGATCAAAGGTCTAAATATTATAAGGAAATCTACTTTGGGTGGAAAGACTTCTCAGGGAGGCAGAGAATCCACTGAGACATACGTAGTGTGCGTTCAGTCCCTGATGTACCAGAGCTCAGTATTTCCTGCTTCCTTCTTGTGAGACCCTCTCTGCCTCCAGGGATCAAGGAGAAGAAAGAATCTCCCCAGACACTCCAAAATCCCTTTGGAGATGCTACCCGCGAATTAGTACATGTTTTCTTGGTAATTATAACAGGGAAATAAAAGTTTTAAAAATATAATAGCGTCCTGGCTGGGCACGGTGGCTCACGCCTGTAATCCCAGCACTTTGGGAGGCCAAGGCGGGAGGATCACGGGTCAGGAGATCGAGACCATCCTGGCTAACATGGTGAAACCCCTTCTCTACTGAAAATAGAAAAAATTAGCCGGGCGTGGTGGCGGGTGCCTGTAGTCCCAGCTATTCGGGCCACTGCATTCCAGCCTGGGTGACAGAGTGAGACTCCATCTCTAAATAAATAAATAAAAATATAGTAGCATCCTAGGACTGCACTGTCATAGCTGTGACAGGTAAAATGATCATTGCGGTTGTGACAGCAGGTGAGTACACAGAACCACAATCCCATATCTAGCAGCCTGGCTGCTGCCCTCTCATATAATACTGACTGGCATGACCAGCACACTGAGCTCACCATCCAGACAGAAGGATGGGTGAGGTGACTGTTTTATACTTCACTTTGACAGGTAGAGTATGGAATAGAAGGAGGTATATAAGAAGTCCAGATATGGCCGGGCATCGGGGCTCATGCCCGTAATCCTAACACTTTGGGAGGCCAATGGTGGGGGGGGCGGTGGATCACCTGAGGTCAGGAGTTGGAGACCAGCCTGCCCGACATGGCAAAACCCATCTGTACTAAAAATACAAAAATTAGCCGGGCTTAGTGGTGGGCCCCTGTAATCCCAGCTACTCTGGAGGCTGAGACAGGAGAATCGCTAGAACCTGGGGGGCGGAGGTTGCTGTGAGCCGAGATCACTCTACTTCACTCCAGCCTGGGCATAAGAGCGAAACTCCGTTGTGGGAGGAAAAAAAAAAAAAAAAAAAAAGTCCAGATAAGTGATCACATCAAGAAAAGCGAATCTTAGGGGTTTGAAACTAGTTTAATGTCAAAGCCACACAGGAAGGAGGAATAATTCCTGAGGCATGAGTTGAGCCAGGAAAGAGAGTTGGGGACTGTAGACCCTATACCAGTCCCTGATAGCTCCTAATGTAGTTTAGTTTAATCCTTCAATAATAATGATTTTTTTGGTGTTTAATCCACATGATAATGAAACCTGGGTTTTAAGGTGCTTGAAGACTGGAATTCTAAAATCTATCTGTGGTTCAGCCTACTTTACACAAATCATAGAAAGAGTTTTAAGGATAATTAGAAGTATGCCCTTATGACCCACATACTGGAAATGATTGGGATAAATCTACAAGAATTACCTAATTCTGTGCAGAATCCACACCCTCAAGTGGCAGTTCTGGGGCTAGAAATGTTATCTCAAAGTCTCCTCTTTGAAGGGCTAAATGGAGAGTCATTGTTTCTCTATTGAAAACATAAGGAGTCTGTTGATTATGGTGAGACTCTTTTCAGTCTTGAAGTTAGGAAGGCAACATTTAGGGAACAGGAAAGTTTTAATAATCAGTTTTAGATAGCAGTTGTCAGTCTTGAATTGTAATGCTGTTGTCTGGCTTAAAAGAAAGTCTAATATCCGGCTCTGATCACAACAATTCGGTAAGTTGGTGAGGTGATGCATACGTTAATTAGCTTGATTGAATCTTTCTACAATGTATACAGAGATCAAAACATCCCATTATATCCCCTAAATAGACACAATTATTGGCCAATTAAAAATAAATAAATGTGGCCGGGGCAGTGGCTCACACCTGTAATCCCAGCACTTTAGGAGGCCGAGGCGGGTGGATCACCTGAGGTCAGGAGTTCGAGACCAGCCTGGCCAACATGGCGAAACCCCATCTCCACTAAAACTACAAACGATTACCTGGGCATGGTGGCAGGCGCCTGTAATCCCAGCTAGTTGAGAGGATGAAGCAGGGAGAATTTCTTGAACCCAGGAAGGCGAAGGTTGTGGTGAGCCGAGACCATGCCACTGCACTCCAGCCTGGGCAACACAGCCAGATTCCGTCTCAAAAATAATAATAAAATAAATAAATAAATGTGGCCGGGTGCAGTGGCTCATGCCTGTAATCCCAGCACTTTGGGAGACCGAGGCGGGCAGATCACAAGGTCAGGAGATTGAGACCACCCTGGCCAACTTGGTGAATCCCCATCTCTACTAAAAATACAAAAATTAGCTTGGCGTGGTGGCGCATGCCTGTAATCCCAGCTACTCAGGAGGCTGAGGCAGGAGAAATGCTTAAACCAGGGAGTCAGAAGTTGCGGTGAGCCAAGATCGCACCACTGCACTCCAGCCTGGTGACAGAGCAAGTATCCATCTCAAAAAATAAAATATAAATAAATAAATGTAATCAAATCCAAATCTACCATTTCAGTTTATCAAATGCACAAGATTCCATGCCTTACAGATTTAATTTTTTATATATGTTCTATATTAACACCTTTTACAAAACTCACCTCAACACTTATTGTTTTACTCAATTTATGTATTCATTAATTGATGAGTATATGAACTGAAAATTGTGGGGAAAAGAAGGAGAGATCAGACTCTTACTGTGTCTATGTAGAAAGAAGTAGACATAAGAGACTCCATTTTGTTCTGTACTAAGAAAAATTCCTCTGCCTTGAAATGCTGTTAATCTGTAACCCTAGCCCCAACCCTGTCATTGCAGAGACGTATGCTGTGTTGACTCAAGGTTTAATGGATTTAGGGCTGTGCAGGCTGTGCTTTGTTAAAAAAGTGCTTGCAGGCAGTATGCTTGGTAAAAGTCATCGCCATTCTCCAGTCTCGAGTACCCAGGGACACAATACCCTGTGGAAGGCCACAGGGACCTCTGCCTAGGAAAGCCAGGTATTGTCCAAGGTTTCTCCCCATGTGATAGCCTGAGATATGGCCTCATGGGAAGGGAAAGACCCCTACCCCGACACCCATAAAGGGTCTGTGCTGAGGAGGATTAGTGAAAGAGGAAGGCCTCTTTGCAGTTGAGATAAGAGGAAGGCATCTGTCTCCAGCTCATCCCTGGGAATGGAATGTCTCAGTGTAAAACCTGGTTGTATGTTCTATTTACTGAGATAGGAGAAAACCGCCTCAGGGCTGGAGGTGAGACATGCTGGCGGCAATACTGCTCTTTACTGCACAGAGATGTTTGTGTACGTGCGCATCAAAGCACAGCACCTTTCCTTAAACTTACTTATGACAGAGACACCTTCGCTCACATGTTTTCCTGCTGACCCTCTCCCCACTATTACCCTATTGTCCCGCCACATCCCCCTCTCGGAGATGGTAGAGATAGTGATCAACAAATACTGAGGGAACTCAGCAACCAGTGCTGGCGCAGGACCTCCTTATGCTGAGTGCCGGTCCCCTGGGCCCACTGTTCTTTTTCTATACTTTGTCTCTGTCTCTTATTTCTTTTCTCAGCCTCTCGTCCCAACTGACAAGAAACATCCACAGGTGTAGAGGGGCTGGCCCCCTTCAGAAAATAGACATAATTTAATTTTATTTATTTATTTTTTTTTTTTGAGACGGAGTTTCACTCTTGTTACCCGGGCTGGAGTGCAGTGGCACGATCCCGGTTCACTGCTACCTCTGCCTTCTGGTTTCAAGCAATTCTCCTGCCTCAGCCTCCCTAGTAGCTGGGCTTACAGGTGCCTGCCACTATTCCTGGCTAATTTTTGTGTTTTAGTAGAGATGGGGTTTCTCCATGTTGGTCAGGCTGGTCTCAAACTCCCAACCTCAGGTGATCCGCCCACCTTTGCCTCCCAAAGTGCTGGGATTACAGGCATGAGCCACCACGCCCAGCCATGATAATTTAATTTCTACCCTACTTTATTTTATGATGCCCTAGTGTTTCACGTCATGTAGTTAAGACATGATATCAGAATGTCCATTAATTCCTGTGGTAGGTGCCATCGTACTTTCCTTCCTGGCATAAGAAGAAATGAGTCTCTGTGTGGCTGTCCTGATATGGGGTCGACTTTTTAAACCTACTTTAGTCATGAGGCAGATTCCTGTAATTTTATACTCCAATCAGTGTATCTACATTTTATCAAGGTCTTTAAAGATTTATTCATAATTGGTATCAGCCTCTGGGGTAATGTTTTACATGTCAATGGAAACCGGTGAAAAATAAAATTATGAAATTAAATGTCACCTGTGTAAAATATAAAGACCAGGTATAAAATAGAAATTAAATATGTATGTTCATTATTGGAAGAACCCCGCTAACTGGCTTTGACAGTAGAGCATGGTGGTTAATGCACTCTGAAATCAGCCCAGACAAGATCAGTCCCCATTCTACCCCAAACATGGTGTGAATTTACACAAATCATGTCACCTCTCTGTGCTTGAGTCCTCTTTGTCTTTATAATGGTGGTACCTGGCTCATCGATTATGAAGAATATGGAGGTGAATACATGTCTGTTCTTCACAGCAAAGAGCAATTCATTGCAAATACACTTAAAATAGGACACATCCAAATATGGCGAATTCTTCATACTAGAAAGTAACTTTATTATTTCTGTTGCATTTCAGCTGGGTTTATTTTTATTTTTATTTTTATATATTTACTTATTTATTTATTTTGAGACGGTGTCACTTTATCATCCAGGCTGGCGTGCAGTGGCGCGATCTTGCCTCACTGCAGCCTCAACCTCCTGAGTTCAAGGGATCCTCCTACCTCAGCCCCCACCAAGTACCAGCTGCCTTTTTAATGTCACTCATGCATCACGTTCCCTGCAGGATCCTGTGTCTCTGAAGATAAGTAGCAGCCTGTGAGAACTGACAGAATGGCTGCTGGGATGTGGCCATGGGAATGATCTTCTTATCACAGACTGTACTTGGAATCCTGGGAATTTCTATCTTATTTACCATTATCTGTCCTTTTACATCACTGGGTGCAGGTTAAGGTCCACAGATTTGATGATCAGACACCTAATTGTAGCCAACACGTTATTCCTCCTCCCTAGAGGAGTCCCACAGACAATGGCAGCTTTTGGGTTTAGGCATTTCCGGAGTGATTCTGGATGTAAATTTCTTTTTTGTGTCCACAGAGTTGTCAGGGGAGTGTCCATTGGCAGCACCTGCCTCCTGAGTGTCTCCCAGGCCATCACCATCAGCCCCAGGAGCTCAGGTGGGCAGAGCTTAAAGGGAACGCCCCCAAGCACGCTGGCTCCTGTGTGTTCCTCAGCTGGCTCCTCCCTGGTCAATATCATTGTTCTCATGCACGTGACCGGCAAGTGGAGCAACAAAAATACCACGAAGACAAAAGATCTGGGATACTGTTCTGCTGCTGATCACGAGGGCACCAGAGAGTCGCTGACGCGGCACTGCTGTCCTTCCCTGATGTGATCTGCCTGGGGCTCATGCTCTGGGGCAGCAGCTCCATCGTTTGCATCCTGCACAGGCACAAGCGGCGGGTCCAGCACATTCATAGGACCAGCGTGTCCCCCACATCCTCCCCTGAGTCCGGAGCTACCAAAACCATCCTCCTGGTGAGCACGTTTGTGTCCTTTTACACTCTCTCTTCACCTTTCAAGTTTGTTTGGCTCTTTTGAATAATCCCAGTCAGCTGGTGGTGAACATCTCTGCAATGATCAGTGCAGGTTTCCCAACTGTCAGCCGCTTTCTTCTCATGAGTGGAGACTCCTGTGTATCCAAGCTTTGCTTTGCTTAGATAAGTAACACAAAACCCCCTAATCTTATCAGAAATATGTGAATTGGACATGTTTGTACAATGTTTATGTTTCTTCATTGATCTCTAGAGACCCATAAACACGGTTATGAAACGAGGCTTGTTAGTGCTGTGCTTGCCAGCAGGGGCCACTGTTTTATTCTGTACCTCCTGATCCCCCCTCCAACCACACCGCCCTGGAGCAGCTCTGTGGAAAAAGTGGAATCAGCTTAGAGGTTTTGGAGAGGAAGATACTGAAACGTAAACGATATAAGAAAGTCACGGTGCACAAATATACATACCTCATTTCTGTGTCCCTTGGAGCAGATGGGGGAATGTGCGCAGATGCGAAGCTCTTGCTGTAATTTATGTGACAAATAATAAAATATATGTTTTGTCGGATCCAGAAATCTCATGCCTTCAGCCAACATCCATAAACTGACAGTCTAACTTGTTGGCTTGTAAGTAAGGTAAAAATCTAAAACTGGCCAGGCGCGGTGGCTCACGCCTGTAATCCCAGCACTTTGGAGGGCCGAAGCAGACGGATTAACTGAGGTCGAGAATTTGAGACCAGCCTGACAAACATGGAGAAACCTCATCTCTACTAAAAAAAAAAAAAAAAGAAAAGAAAAAAGAAAAAACATTAGCCAGGCATGGTGGCACTTGCCTGTAATCCGAGCTACTTGGGAGGCTGAGGCAGCAGAATCACTTGAATCCAGGAGGCGGTGGTTGCGGTGAACCGAGATCGCGCCACAGCACTCCATTCTGTGTGACAAGAGTGATACTCTGTCTCAAAAAAAAATCTAAAACATTTTGCAATTTCTGATAGTTTTGGTGATGCTGAGACAGATATGACTTTGTGTAAGAGGAAGGTAGAAAGATTCTTCACTGGCGTGGTTAGTAGGCAGAAAATGGCTCTCTGGAACAAGCAGCGAATTCTCACCCAAACTGAGGTGAAATGACAGTAAGACTTCTCCATTCTTTTTTTTTTTTTTTTTTGAGACGGAGTTTCATTCTTGTTGCCTAGGCTGGAGTGCAATGGTACGATCTCGGCTCACTGCAACCTCTGCCTCCCAGGTTCAAGTGATTCTCCTGCCTCAGCCTCCCAAATAGCTGGGATTACAGGCATGCGCCACCAAGCCTGGCTAATTTTGTATTTTTTAGTAGAGACGGGGTTTCACCATGTTGTTCAGGCTGGTCTCAAACTCTTGACCTCAGGTGATCCGCCCACCTCAGCCTCCCAAAGTGCTGGGATAACAGGCTTGAGCCACAGTGCCCGACCAAGATTCCTCCATTCTATAACCCTTGAATGGGACTGTTGTGTGAGAGGGAGGATTGAAATGAACTGTCCGAATGTGATTTATCTGTTGCTCATTCTCTTCCTGGCAGGAGCAGGAAAGGACAAGGAGTCCCCGAAGCTGACACTGAGTTCATGGGGTTGAGCTGACAGCGGCCAACAGGCTGTGGTAAACGCTAATGAAACGAGCCTTGTTAGTGCTGTGCTTGCCAGCAGGGGTCACTGTTTCCTTCTGTACCTCCTGATCCCTCCCTCCACCCACACCGCACTGCAGCAGCTCTGGGGAAAAAGTGGAATCAGCTTAGAAGTTTTTGGGAGGAAGACACTGAAAGTCCTACTTTTTTTTTTCAGATGGGATCTCACTCTGTCGGCCAGGCTGGAATGCAATGGTGCCAACTTGGCTCAGTGCAACCTCCCCACCCCGGGCTCCAACAATCCTCCCATCTCAGCCTCTGAAGTAGCTGGGACTACAGGTGTGCCTCATCACCATGGGCTATTTTTATTTTTGTATTTTGTAGAGGCAAGGTCTTGCCATGTTTCTCAGGCTGGTCTCAAACTCCTGGGCTCAAGTGATCTGCCCACTTGGGCCTCCCAAAGTGCTGGGATTACAGACGTGAGCCACCGTACCTGGCCTAAAACTCTTTTACTCCTGTTGCATGCAAGGATTTAAGTCACCAACGTACGTGGATTCCAGCAAGAAGGGTCAGTAGACGCAGGGGTGGGTAAAGGTGCTAAGGATGGTGGGGTGAAGTGTGGCTGCAAACAGGCAGAAAGAGACAAGCTTCTGACCCTGAATAGTCACCAAATGCTGGATGGTGCAATGCTAAGAATGCAGCACAGGCCGGGCGTGGTGGCTCACACCTGTAATCCCAGCGCTTTGGAAAGCCAAGGTGGGTGGATCATGAGGTCAAGAGATCGAAACCATCCTGGCCAACATGGTGAAACCCCGTCTCTACTAAAAATACAAAAATTAGCTGGGCGTGGTGGCATCTCTTTGTCTGTGTCTTTATTTATTACAATCTCTCATCTCCGCATACAGGCGTTATCTCCTGTCCGGGGAAGAGGTGGGCCTCTCTCCGTCGTGGGAGGAGCTCTGAACTTCTCCTTCATCCAGGGATGGGCCCCAGGGACCCACCAGTGGGGCTGGGAGAAGCCCCCCTCAGCAGGAAGACAGAGGTGCCTGGGTGGCCGAGGCCTGGAAGGTCTGCACCATGGTGCACAGAGGCCCCGGAGCTGGGTGAGGCCAGAAAGCTGCTCTGGGGTCAGCGGGGAATGTGCCTGCTGAATCTGTACCTGAGCTACGTCTTCACAAATGGCCTCAGACCTAGAGTGCAGGGAGATCCCCTGGCTTTTCTGAAGTGGTGGCAGGTGGTCTCCTGGGTAGCAGGATCTGGGCTGCTTACTTCCCTTACCCAGTGAGGGCCCGCGGGGAGCTCTTAAGTTGGGCATCATGGGGCTGCGTGATGTGGCTGCTGTGCCCACATCAGAGGGTTTTTGTTTCTTTTCCAAAGTCAAGCTGCACTAATCTAGACCAGGGATCCCCACCCCTGGGCTGCAGACCGGTCCCCATGGGTGGCCTGTTAGGAACTGGACCGCACAGCAGGAGGTGAGCAGTGGGTGAGTGCGCGTGACCACCTGAGCTCTGCCTTCTGTGAGATCAGCAGCGCCACTGCATCTCAGAGGAATGCCAACCCTACTGTGAACTGTGCATGCGAGGGATCTGGGTTGCATGCTCTTTATGAGATCAAACTAATGCCTGATGATCTCAGGTGGAACAGTTTAATCCTGAAACCATCCCCCCATCTGTGGAAAAACTGCCTTCCACTAAACCAGTCCCTGGTGCCAAAAACACTGGGAACCGCTAATCTAGACAGTTCTCTGCTAAGGAAGCAC
Organism: Homo sapiens; assembly: GCF_000001405.40. Lineage (NCBI taxonomy): Eukaryota > Metazoa > Chordata > Mammalia > Primates > Hominidae > Homo > Homo sapiens. Next base: position 53,426,872 of record NC_000019.10, read on the forward strand.
GTGGTTGAGAAGCATCAGAATCGTTCCCACGGACCATGCTCCGGAGTCTCAGCAGGCTCCTGCAGGTGAGCCCCACTGGCCTCTCCTCTTCCTTCCGGACCTCCTCAGCTTTGGTAATGGAAAGCTGCATCCTCTTCTGTCCCCAGTTCCTCTCTGGGTGTCAGGATCTCTAAAACCCTCTCAGCCGCTGAGAAGTCTGTCTGTCTGTCTCACAGTGTGTTTATCCGTGCATCATGAAGGACCCTCATACGGCTGACGTGCCTTGGCTGATGCGAATAACACTGCAGCAAGCGTGGCAGTGCAGATAGCTCTTGGAAATACCCATTTCCTTCAGACGCATACTCAGAGGTAGGATTGCTGGATTGTTTGGTCATTTTGATTTTTAAAATTAAAAAGAATTTTAATTCTCATATTGTTTTGAGTAAAATTAAATTATAACTTGTAAGGCAACTCCATGTTTTTTAGAATTTTTAAGAAAAATAATTGCTCTACCAATTGACTGTCCCAACAACAACGTACAGGGGTATTTTTTTTCCTCCGCATCCTCACCACTTGTTACCTTTTGTCTTTTTAATAATAGCAATCCTAAGACATGTGAAGTGATACCTCACTGTGATTTTGATTGGCATTTTCCAGATGATTAGTCTATTCAGGCCCTTTACTTTTTTTTGTTGTTGTTGTTGTTTTTGAGATGGATTCTCACTCTGTTGCCCAGGCTGGAGTGCGATGGCACGATCTCGGCTCACTGCAACCTCCGCCTTCCGGGGAGGCGTGATTAGCCACCACGCCCGGCTAACTTTTGTATTTTAGTAGAGATGAGGTTTCACCATCTTGGCCAGGCTGGTCTCGACCCCCTGATCTCAGGTGATCCACTTTGCCCAGCCTCCCAAATTGTTGGGATTACAGGTGTGAGCCACCACGCCCAGCCCCTTTGCTCTTTTTTAATAGGGTTATTACTATTACCATATTTGCTTTTGAGTTGTGAGTGTTCCTTATATATTTTGGATATAAACTCCTTATCACAGGTATGGTATATATGGTTTGAAATATTTTCTCCCATTATCATGCCCCAATATCACTAAGTTACATTTCACTGCTCCCTCTTGAACACCTGAAAAAATTTCCTATTTCCATGTGTCTGTATCCAGGTTATTGTCACTTTTACCTGAAGACACATTTATATATGCTGATATTCCCCAATAACTAATATATTTTTACTCTTTTTTTTTTTTTTGAGATGGAGTCCTGCTCTGTCACCCAGGCTGGAGTGCAGTGGCATGATCTCAGCTCACTGCAACCTCTGCCTCCCAGGTTCAAGTGATTCTCCTTCCTCAGCCTCCCAGGTTGCTGGGATTACAGGCACATGCCACCACCACTAGCTAATTTTTTTGTATTTTTATTAGAGATGCGGTTTCACCACATGGGTCAGGCTGGTCTTGAACTCCGGACGTCATATGATCCACCCGCCCTTGGTCTCCCAAGGTGCTGGGATTATAGGCATGAGCCGCTGCACCCGGCCCTAACTAATATATTTTAAATAACTTTTTGCTCTTGGCACATGGACTAAAACCACATCACCAGGCCTTCAATGACGTCCAATGTCTGCCATCTTATTTCCACTCCAGCTCCGCCCCAGGCATAGTTGCCTTTCTTTTTATTGAAGCCTTCTCCTTGCCAAGTTAATTAAAGAGAATGTTTTCTTCATCAAATTAGAAATTACATCCTCAGAGCTTTCCAGTATTTGTAGTTCTTACAGGCCACATTTATTACAAGTTTATAGACTCCAAACTTCTCCACTGAACAGTTAATAAAAAGGACACAGGCTTATTGTAAAATAATTCATTTAGTGCCTGCCATTCTGATTACACTAGAAATTTAGTTCTCCTGCTCAGCGTTCTGTTATGTGACTGTTCAATGCATTACTTAAAACTGCAAGATTGAATAGAGAGATCAGCTTCTGACACTGATGAATGCAAACCACAAGAAACCAAGTCTCCTCTGCAAAATGATGAAAACACTCGCAAAGTCACTAAAATCAATCATTTCAGACTTCTGAAATTTACCAAAGCCACAGAACAAAGTGAAAAGTATCTATCCCACAGAAAGTACCAAACTTCAGTAAGACAGCAGCATTTGTGTCATTTTAATGTGGAGGCATTACCATTACCCTCCATCCTTCGTTCAGTGTAGAGCACTGACCTCTTTTGAAGCTCCTTTTAAACACCTCCTATCAGGCCAGTCGCGGTGGCTCAAGCCTGTAATCCCAGCACTTTGGACGACAGAGCGAGACTCCATCTGAAAAAAAGAAAGAAAAAAAAAAGAGAAAGTGACTTTTCAAGACTGTGATTTATGGTCTCCCCTGGGAACCAACAGTATCTGTGCTGAGAGCAGATATTTGGGTGGAAGGGGCTCTGGTGTGCAGGGCATGCCTTCTGTAGCTCAGTGCTTCTGACAATGGGTCCGAGGGGAGAAACATTGGCATTAACAGGGAACTTGTTAAAGATGCCAATTTATAAATGCTACCTCAAACCTGCAGAATCAAACATTATTACAGTGGGTTGTGGAGTGCCAGATGACTTATATTCACCTTAAAGCTTGAGAGTCAGTGCTTAGCTAAGAGGCTCTCAGCCCAGGCTTCCAGTTGGATCAAATGGTCATATTCAGTTACTACCATCACCTGTGCCCTCCCCATAGCGTCTGTCTATTGGTGTCGGGGGAAACATCCATGCTGTTTCAATTAACTACCCTGCCCCCAGGTGATTCTAGGGTGAGGAGAAGTCCAGCATGAGGGCTTCCATATGCATTTGTGAAGGTTGATGGCAGACTGTTCCAAATGAGAATAATGGTTTCCGTGATATGATAAAAGCAATGCTATTGAATATGATGATGACTGATGAGAAGTTTTGCATAGCATTCGCTGTAAAAAAGCCACTTATAGGCTGGGCACGGTGGCTCACGCCTGTAATTCCAGCATTTTCGGAGGCTGAGGTGAGCAGATCACCGGAGGTCAAGAGTTCAAGACCAGCCTGGCTAACATGGTGAAACCCTGTCTCAACTAAAAATGCAAACATTAGCCAGATGTGGTGGTGGATGCCTGTAATCCCAGCTACTTGGGAGGCTGAGGCAGGAGAACTGCTTGAATCTGAGAGGTGTAGGTTGCAGTGAGCTGACATCATGCCTCTGCACTCCAGCCTGGGTGAGAGAGCAAGACTACGTCCAAAAAAAAAAAAAAAGAGAGAGAGAATTTTCCTGTAAATAATTAAAAAGACTAAGCAGCCCCAGAGATAAGACCTCCTGGGATCATTGTCCCTTTATATTGAGTGATAAAGTAACCTTCCTTGAAGTATATCAATCCATAACCAATCACCTTGCTGCACCCTATGTACTGGTCTTGAATGGAAAATGTGGTGATTCTTCTAAAGCTTCTCTGTCTTTCCGTGTGTGTGAAACCTAAGGGAACGCTGATCCCATTCATTTGGAGTTGATGTTTCCAGGTGGCTATCCTCATGCTTTGTGTTCAAATAAACTCTGTGCTTAATCATATATTCTAAATTTTATTATTTACTGCTGATATCAGTTTCTGTCAGACTGTAGGAGCCTCACCAGAGAGGGCACCTGTCGCTATGTTGTAAAACTCACACTTGTCAGAAAGACATGGGTTAGTGTTACTCCCCGTCCCTCAGAATGAAGCTAATTAGCTGACACAGATGGTCACCTCCATTACCAAGTAGAGTCAGGATGAACTATGTGTGACCAAGAGTGTTGTCAAGTCCTCTTCCCTGAGGACTGATTAGCGTTTATCTTGAAAACATGTCCTTAATGGGTTGTATAGAACAGTAAAGTTTCTTTCTCTTTTTTCAACCTCTTAGCTGTTTGCCTGTATTTCGCATCACAATCTGGTCTAAGGCTTATTTATTAATGAAATGGTTTTAATTTCTTTCTCTATGATCATCGTGGAGATGATTTCTCATTTGGAGAAAGACTTTTTGTTTGTTTTCAATTATATTTTCTCAACAATTAGACAGTGAAGTAAAAAGTATTTTGGGGGGGCCAGGCACAGTGGCTCACGCCTGTAATCCCAGTACTTTGGGAGGCCGAGGCAGGTGGATCACTTGAAGTCAGGAGGTTGAGACCAGCTGGCCAACATGGGGAACCCACCTACAAAAATACAAAAATTAGCCGGGCATGGTGGCACGCGCCTGTAATGGCAGGTACTCCGGAGGCTGAGGCAGGGGAATCGCTTGAACCCAGGAGGCAGAGGCTGCAGTGAGCCCAGTTCCTGCCACTGCACTCCAGCCTGGGCGACAGAGAAATGCTCTGTCTCAAAATAAAAGAAAAGAAATAAGTAAATAAATAAAAGAAAGTAATAGATCTCTTCTACAAATGTGCTGGGACAACTAACTGGATATCCACATGGAAAAGAATAATGTATCCCTATCTCACACAATCAAAATTTTATTTTAACGTTAAAAAATGGAGAAAAAAAGAGAGAGAGACGAGGGAGGGAGTCCTGAGGGAGGGGTGTTACTTTGTCGCCCAGGCTGGCCTGGACCCCCAGGCTCAGCGATCCTCTCGCCGCTGCTTCCTGAGTAGCTGGGAACTCAGGCTCCCGCCCCCGCGCCTGAATCCTTGCTGTGTTTATCCAGCAGGTCGCCCCTGGCTGGCCTGAGCATTCCGTCCCGCATCCCAGGGGGAGGCCCTAGGGAAGTCTCTGCAGCTGAGCACGGGGTGGACTCTCCCTCCTGAGTGAGTGGAGAATAGAAAGGGAGAGGATTTCTGTTCTGTTCTGTGGGCCGTCAGCATGAAATCGTACGTTCCGCCCAGGCAGGGCCTTGCATTTTACATTCTAGTTTGTATCCCGTTCCAGACAATTCCAGGGCTTTTGAGTCCATGCGTCAGCCTTCCTGGGCGGTCTCACCTTCACCACCCGAAAACAGGTGCTAGGAGAGAAGCTGAGAGGAGCACCGGTCACGCCCCGGCCCCGCCCTCTGCCGGCTCTAAAGCGCAAGGTCTCTCCGCCTCGCGCCCCGCCCCTGCCTCGTCCAGGCCCCGCCCACCTCCTTGCGGGTCCCGCCCAGGCCTGGCTTCTGCTCTGCGCGCGCAGATTCGTGCAGACCAGGAAGCGGATAGCGTGGAGTGACGGTGCCACCGCGGCGCGTGAGTTTCGCCCTGTCTTGTATTAAGTCTGCTCTTCCAGGTTCCTGGCGCTTCTGTACCTGGGACTTGGGATCCCCACAAACCTGGAAATTCTCAGCCGTCTTCCTTCACTCAGAGCAAATTGAGACGACCTCGTGAGAGGCCGTGGGTCGGTTCCTTTTGGGTTTAAGGTCCCCCTGAGGCTGGTCCCGTCCCGGGTGTTTCTGCTACAGGGCAATGTATACACTTTCTAACCTGTAGTTTTCCTGCTGTAAACCTTTTTCTGACTCCTCCCGCCCCGCGCTTTTTAAAGTCCTCACCTGAGAGGTGGATTCTCGCCTTTGTCGGCCCCTGGAGCCCAGCGCCGCTGCCCCAGTCCCGGAAAGGCCGCGTCCTCTGCCTGGTCCTAGGATCCTGCAGACCCCACCCTTGCCTTAAGGTGCTGTCGCCCCTTCACCTCCCTCCTTGTGCCGGGCCCTGCTGCTCCACGGGTTTCGCCTCCACAATCACCGCTTCCCCTGAGCCCGCGTTGGGGAGGTGCCCGGGGCCTGTCCTGTGACGCGGGGTGTTACTGCCTGCCCAGCTCCAGCCCCTGGAAAATGCGCTCCCCCGGGATGCAGGCGTCTTACTCCAAACCCTCCTGTGACTGTGTGGGCCAAAGGGATCAGGAGACGGACAGAGAGCAGTGGAAAACCTGAGACAGAAAAGAAGAATGAGAAAGACCTATAACAGATGGCAAAGTAGAGGATGGGTGAGGGATTTGCCAAGAGACAGCAAAAGTGAAAAGAAAACGATAAGAAAGCAGGAGGAGAAAAGCAAGTGCAGAAATGTAGAGAAAAGCTGGATGTACAGAGAGATGAAGGACAGCAAGGTAGGGAGAGGGACAGCAAAGAGGGAGGCTCATCAGGGTGAGGGAGAGGAGGAGGGATTTGGAGCCAGGGCAGACAGAGCAGAGTGGTGCTGGTGGCAAGGAGAACAGAGGGAGAAGCACAGCAGGGAGGACACCTGGGGATCTGGGGTGCTAGAGAGTGGGGACAGGGGGGTATAACAGGGAAGAGAGAATTTAACGGGGAGAGCAAAGGAGGCGCAGAGATGGTGTTGCGGGAAACTGAGGACTAGACAGACTGATATGGGGGAGACAAAAGGATGTTTATTTAAGATACGCACCGGCTCAGTGGATTTACATCTAAAAAGCTGAGCATTTCAACAAAGACGGAGTGGGGTTTTTTGCTTTCAGAAGCAGAATAAAAGCAGTTAATCATATAATGATAGGTCATGTAATCTATAGCATAGCATAACTTGTGTCCTTCCATAGCTGGTGGCCTCGTAGCTGAGTTGAAAGAAAAACAAGAACAGCTAAATACACACATTTGTCCTTTTTTTTTTTTTCTTCACTCTTGTTCTGGGAAGGTGGGGGGCTGTCTGGAGCCCATTTCTTTGGCTTCGACTTCGCCAAGTCGAGCTTGCTAGGCAGAGGAAAACTTGTTCTTCTTTTCTTTTTAACCCTTGCCTTGCCTGTTACTTTTCTTGGAGTGAATGAATGCATGTTTGTTTTTTAACTTTCTGCCTCAGTTTTCTCCCTTAGATGCCTTTTATGAACAAGATTTTACTAGAAGACATCACTATTACTGGATTCTTCATGAAAGAGCACTGGCTGATATTTATATCGGGCTATTAGCTGAGTGGTAGTCTGCCTGGTCGCAATTGCTTCTATAGTTGATTGAATGCTCTTAACACGGAGAGGTAAGAGGTAAGGGAGTATCAAACCAATTCTTAGTATGGCTAGAACTACTCCTATTAAGGTTTTGAATCTACTGAAGGAGGAAAACCAGCCTCTAAAGACGGACTCAAGAGTCTATTTTGTCTAAGTCCGGACTGGAACGTGGGCTAATTTTTTCATTCTTACAGTTATTTCTTTAATAGCCTTCCTATTGTCATTGATTTCTAGGCAGCAATTAGTTAGATTACACTTTCTACATACTCCTCCTTCCTAGGCTAGGAGGTAGTCTAAAGCTAATCTATTTTGGTAGATGGCATTTCTCGTTTTTGTGGCTTGCTGGGCCAGTAAGTCTAATGCATTTGCTGTTTCATTAGTGATGATTTCAAGTACTGCTTGCGAGTTTATGATGCGGTTAAGTGTGTAAATTGGGGTGCAATACCTTCGTGACTTATCTTGTGCCCAGGTAGCTGGCCTAGAGTACTGAATTAGTCTTTCAGGAGGCAAATCTGTGTCTTTCTAATCTTCTATTTCTATGTATTTCCTTATGTCTATATATCTTTTGTTTTTTTCTTTAATTTTATTGTAGACAGGATACCTTCAAGTTTCTCCCTGTTGCAGTGGGAGTAAGAAGAAAGATGGTCTAATTGTTTCAAGTACACTAGCCCTTGTCCATTTTCCTGGCAACTGTCGGTAGGCCTGTGGCCCACAGATCCAATAGAGACCAGAGGGTGCTTGCCAGGTATTTGGAGCTTCAAGCTGATACTAGGTGTGGTTTAGAGAAGAGAAACAGGAGAATGGGTTTGGATGAGGTGATCTGGAGTCATCTTTGCCTTGCCACAAAGTTTTCTTTAGTGTTTTATTATAATATTGCTGTCTTAAACAAGTTAATTCTTCCAGTGAGTCTGTAAAAGCTTTTCCTTAGTGAGCAACCCAGTATCTCCTGATAATAGAAGTTTTTAAGAGCTAGGTGCTTGAACTTGTGGGCATCGGTTCGGGGGAAGAGTCAGTTAGAGTTAAATTATCTTGTGGCATTAACTCTTTTGCTTCTTAAGGCCATTGGTCTACTATGTTCGTCCTTCTACAAACAACATGAGGAAATGCTTAAGCTGCTAGCAATCAATGTTTTCAGCTAACCAAGCAAACAGGTTTTTAGCTAAAGGATGATGCTCTGGTAACTTCTGGTCTACATGCTTATGGAATGATTTAAAGACTCGGAATTGTTGCTGGTCCGGGTTCCTTTTTGATAACATATAGGTAGGTTGCTGGGTAGGTGTGTGTGGAGACACGTATGGGGTAACCTGCAGTCCGCATGGGTAAGTCTGGCTTTAGAATGGTGAAATTTACAGGATTACAGGTTGGACAAGCATCAAAATACAGAGAAATAGGCCATCGGTAAAAGGGGGGGACCTTGGTTTGGTTTAAGAGGTGACTTTCTTTTGACCTTGCACGAATTTAAACTATTCACCAGGTGAAATCTTGGGGTTATAACATACATAAGGTTGGTTATTTCCTGGTCACAAATTGAGTAACTGAGTAGGTCGTCTGGCTATAAATACAAGTCCTTTTTTTTTTTTTTTTTTTTTTTTTTTTTTTTGAGATGGAGTTTTGCTCTTGTTGCCCAGTCTGGAGTGCAATGGCATGACCACGGCTCACCACAACCTCCACCTCCTGGGTTCAAGCGATTCTCCTGCCTCAGCCTCCTGAAAGGCTGTGATTACAGGCATGCGCCACCATGCCTGTTTAATTTTGTATTTTTATTCAATACGGGGTTCTCCATGTTGGTGAGGCTGGTCTCGAACTCCCGACCTCAGGTGATCCACCCATCGTGGCCTCCAAAAGGGCTGGAATTACAGGCATGAGCAACTGTGCCTGGCCTTTATAAGTACAAGTTCTTAAGTGAGTCCTTGTACACTCATAATAAGTATGGTGCAGTAGAGTCTTAGTTATCCTGTTCCCTGACCAGGTAGTATGTGTACAGTGGGGACACATTTCTATAGTTGCTTCTTCTACCATGGTTAAGGGGGGTGACAACAGCAAAACAGTGTACAGCATGTTCATATCCAGCAAGGACAGAAGAGGGCCTTGCCTGGCAGAGGAGGTTGAGCACAACGACAGAACAATAATAAAACAGTTAGTATTACAAGGAAAACTACTAGTCTTAAGATTTCTAACCACATTTACTTGCTTGACGAGTCCTCAAGCTTCGGCCGTGCGTAGACTAGTCAGCTTCTGGTGTGTGACTAGAGCTGGGCTTGTCGTCCCCTCCAGCTTCAGCTGTGCATAGACTGGTCAGCCTCCAGAGTGACCAGAGCAGGGCTGTCGTCCTCAGCAGCAGCTTGGTCTCATCTCAGGATCGGCTGAGTTGGATGATCTGGGTCTTGCTGGCTGTTCCACTTGTCCTGAACTGCTGGTTTCAGCTGACTGTGGTGGACCTATGGCATGATTCCTGCAAATTTAACAGCAGTGGGAGTGGACAAGATTACAGTACAGGGCCCATCCTATATGAGTCCTAGAGAAGTTGGATTCTACTTTTTAACCTAAACAGAGTCTCCATGTTGAAAGGGGTGTACTTGATCTGTCAGACTTATAGGCATTCTTTCTTGTATTCAGTTATGGACTTCTTGCATGGCTGTTCTTAAAGCCTGCATTTGCTTGCTTAAAGTTAATTCCTCTAGTTCTTGGAGATCACCTTTAATTTGACTTATGATTAGGGCAGGCCGACTGAACAAACTCTAATAAGGTGAATACCTAGTTTGTTTGGTGGGGGTGCACCTGACTTGGAGGAGGACCATACGAAAGAGCTGATCTTATCTCAGATGAGTTTCTTGGCAGTATTTCTTCAGTAGCTGCTTGAGTGTCCAGTTCATGCGCTTTACTTTCCTTGAACTTTGTGACTGATAGTCTGTGTGTAGCTTCTATTTTATTTTTAGCAGACTTGTGAAATCTTACACTATTTCAGCTACGAATGCTGGCCCATTGTCTGACTTTAAAGGTAGAGCCAGTCCAAACCTGGGGATAATGTCTTTTATCAGTACTTTAGTCACTTCTTGCACTTTTCCCCTGGTGGAGAAAGCCTTAACTTATCTTGAAAAGGTGCAAATAAGCAATAGCATATACCCATAGCCTCTGGCACGGGGCAGTTCGCTAAAGTTTATAAGCAAGTTTTCACAAGGCACGGCTCCTACTTCTTGAATTCTTGGGGCTGAGTGGGCCCCTGTCGTGGGTTATTCTCAGCACAGGTTAATCATTGTTCACAAACATCTTGAGTGACAGCAGAGAGCCACGGCACATAGAAATGGCACTTTCGTGACCCAGCGCAGTGGCTCATGCCTGTAATCCCAGTACTTTGGGAGGCTGAGGCAGGCAGATTATGAGGTCCAGATTTGAAGACCAGTCTGACCAACATGGTGACAACCCATCTCTACTAAAAATACAAAAAAAATAGCCAGTCGTGTTGGCAGGCGCCTGTAATCCCACCTACTAGGGAGGCTGAAGCAAAAGAAACACTTGAACCTGGGAAGCAGAGGTTGCAGTGAGCCAAGATCGCACCACTGCACTCCAACCTGGGCGACAGAGCAAGACTCCATCTCAAAAAAAAAAAAAGAAAAAATGGCACTACATAACGTTGCTAATGCTGTTTTTCTTATATGATTTTCTTGATGGATTTGCTTCACAAACTTAGGAGCTAACATCTTTGGAATGGCTAGTCTCCTATAGAAGAACTTCTTTTACTTTCTTTTCATACATTTTATATCTTCTTGGCACACCAGGATCTTTGATTTGGAGTATAACTTGGGTCGTCTTGGAGAGGAGGTTCTGGGAGGAGAGGCATAGCTAAGGCTTCCTCTTTAAAATGCAGCGTGATCATTGCTGCCTGCTTTGCCTCCCTGTCTGCTTTTCTGTTTCCTTTGGCTTCTGGCATCCTTGCCTTTTGGTGGCCTCTGCAATGCATTATAGCTACTTTTTCTGGAAGCTATACAGCCTCTAAGTGCTGTAGAATCTCTTCTTTGTACTTTATTTCTTGCCTCTAGCTGATAAAAGTCCTTTCTCTTTATATATAGTTCCATGTACATGCAAGGTAGTAAAAGCATACTTAGAATTAGTGTAAATACTGACTTTCTTCTCTTTTGCTAGCAACAGTGCTCTTGTCAGGGCTATTAATTCTGCCTTTTGAGCTGATGTTCCGGTAGGCAGAGGCTGAGCCTCTACTACTGAGTCTGATGTTACCACTGTATACCTGGCATGTCCAAACTCTTCCAGCACAGAACTACTTCCACCTGTGAAGTACTTGACATCTGGGTCTCTGAGGGGTCTGTCTGTAAGATCTTTCTCATTGGGAAATACCTCGTCTACTGTTTTGACACAGTTATGGAGAAGAGCTGCCTGTTCGACTGGGAGCAGAATAGCCAGGTTAGGGTGTTTAGTGTTCTAAAGTTGTGTAAGGGTTTTCACATAGAAGCCCTTGGTACCAAGTCATCCTCAGGTTTGATAACTAATGGTGCCTTCTTTGATCCATCAAAGTTATGACTGAATGTGGCACCGGGACAGTTAGTTGCTGTCCTAGAGTTAATTTGCTAGCTTCTTGTGTTAACAAGATGGTGGCAGCTAATGCCTTAAGGCAAAGAGGCCATCTTAACACCATGGAGTCTAGTTGTTGGGATAAATATGCCACTGGGTGACGCCATGATCCTATAAGTTGAGTCAGAGCCCCTATAGTCATTGTTTTTTGTTCATGAACATATAGAAAGACTTAGTTATGTCTCATAGTCTTAAGGCTGGGGCCTGGGTTAAAGCTTCCTTGATCTGTTTGAAGGCTATTTCTTGGTTAGTTTTTTAAAAGAGGGGCTCCTTTTCCCCTCCTTTTGTGGCGTCATATAACAGCTTAGCCATCAGTGAAAAACTTGGAATCCAGATGTGGCAGAATGTTGCTGCGTCTAAAAATTCCTATTTGTCATCGGGTAGTCGGAGTTAGAAGTGCACAAATGGCTTGCTTCCTCTCATAGCCAAACCAGTGTTCCTCGTGGCTCAATATGACACCTAGATATGTAACCTCTTCATGGAAAATTTGGGCTTTCTTTTTTGATATTTTGTAACTTGCTTTCTATAGGAGATGGAGGAGATCCTGGGTTCCCCGATAACACTCCTCTCAGGTTGGGGCAGGCAAAGAAAGCTCGTCTATGTACTGCAACAAGGCACAGTTGTTACTTGGCAGGGTATAGGCCATGAGGTCTGAGGCCAATGTTTCTCTAAAGATTGTGGGAGAGAACGGGGCATGGTGGTTTGCGCCTCTCATCCCAACACTTTGGGCGGCCACATGGCTGGATCATGAGGTCAGGAGTCCAAGACCAGACTGGCCAAGATGGTGAAACCCTGTCTTTACCAAAAATACAAAAATTAGGCAGCCATGGTGGCAGGCGCCTGTAATCCCAGCTACCCAGGAGGCAAAGGCAGGAGAATTGCTTGAACCGAGGGGGCAGAGGTTGCAGTGAGCTGAGATCGTGCCACTACACTCTAGCCTTGGTGACAGAACAAGACTCTGACTCAAAAAAAAAAAAAAAAGATTGTGGTAGTTGTTTTTGTTGTTGTTGTTGTTTTTGAGATGGAGTCTTGCTCTGTCACCCAGGCGGGAGTGCACTGGCGTGGTCTCGGCTCACTGTAAGCTCTGCCTCCCTGGTTCACGCCATTCTCCTGCCTCAGCCTCCCGAATAGGTGGGACCACAGGCCCCCAGATTGTGGTAGTTTTTAAACCTTTGTGGGAGTCTAGTCCAGGAGAGCTGTGACGCTTCTTTTCTCTTATGAAATGCAAAGATAGGCTGACTAACTGGTGCCAGACAGATAACAAAAGAAAGAAAGCATCCTTTAAGTCTAAGACTGTAAGCTAGCACTTGCTGGAATAAGAGCTATCAAAGTATACGGGTTGGGTACCACTGGATGGATAGTTACTGTGGCCTGGTTTATAGCATGCAAATATTGCACTGGCCTGTATTCATTTGAACCTGGCCCTGGCAATGGCTTCTGAACTGGCAAAAGCAGAGTGTTCTAAGGCGACTGGCATTGGACTAAAATCTTATGTTTATAGAGCCGTTCTAAATGCTTGCAGATGCCCTGTACAGACTTTTGGGGAACTGGGTACTGATGAACCCGAACAGGAGTTGCTTCTGGTTTTAATTCTGCTACTACTGGTGCATGATTTACAGCTAAACCAGGTGGGTTGTCCTCAGCCTATACTCCAGGAATTTCTTTAGCTAACTGAAATAATGATTTTTGTTCTTCTTGCATATGAGGTTGCACTGGTACCTGAAAAAGAGGCTGGGTGCTGTGGCTCACTCCTATAATCCCACCATTTTCAGAGACTGGGGCAAGGGCATTGCTTGAGTACAGGAGTTCGAGACCAGCCTGGGCAACATAGTGAGACCCCCCCGTCTTGGCCAAAAATAAATAAATAAATAAAATGAACCAGGCATGATGGTGCACACCTGTGCTCCCAATTACTCTGGAGGCCAAGGCAGGAAGATCACTTGAGCCCAGGAAGTCCAGGCTGCTGTCAGCTGAGATCATGCCACTGCACTCCAGCCTGGTCAACAGAGTGAGACCCTGTCTCAAAAGAATAAAAGGGGTGGGGGACTTTGGGTTCAGATGAGTGGGTGAGTTCACTGGGTATGATTACTTGTGACATGTTGACTTCTGTGTATATAATCTAATAACTTAAAATTTGTTTAAATTATACAGATGAGATTGAGAACTTAAAAATTCCTATCTATAAGGCATGTACATTGTATAAATCTTGGCATAGAGGTCAGCTTCCACTTGGAATCCCTATTCAGCCAGAGGGCAGTGACTTATTCAGTTGTGAATTACTCTGTTCCCTTTTTGCAGGATGGGGTAGGAAGTGGGGCAATGAAGTGGGAAAAAAATCTATTTCTGTTATTACATAATACTTTTAATTAAATTAATTAATAATTAGTATTTTGAGACAGGGCTGGCTCTATCGCCCAGGATGGAGTGCAGCATGATCTCTTCTAACTGCAGCCTCGACCTCCTGGGCTCAAACCATCCTCCTACCTCAGCTTCCTGAGTAGCTAAGGTCACAGGCATGAGCCACCAAGTCAGGCAAGTTTTGTACATTTTTGGTAGAAACGCGTTTCACTACGTTTCCCAGGCTGGTCTCAACATCCTGAGCTCGAAGGATCTTCCTGCCTTGGCCTCCCAAAATACTGGGATTACAAGGATAAGCCACCACACCTGGTCTACATAGTACTTTTCAAAAGGGATATCAAAACGTGGTGGCCCCTGCCATTAACCACAGCACTTTGGGAGACAGAGGCGAGTGGGTCACCTAAGGTGAGGAGTTCAAGAGCAGCCTGGCCAACATGGTGAAACCTGGTCTCTGCTAAAAATACAAAAGTTAGCCAGGCATGGTGGTGTGCACCTGTAGTCATAGCTACTGGGGAGGCTGAGGCATGAGAATCACTTAAACTTGGGAGGTAGTGGTTGCAGTGAGCAAAAATCCTGCCACTGCACTGCAGCCTGGGTGGCAGAGCAAGTCTCCATCTCACAAAAACAAGCAAACAAAAAATAAAAAACAAAAGGGACATCAAAAGTGCTTTTGTTTTCATGTGTAATAGATTTACTTTATTTTATTTCTGTTTCTTCAATTCTTTATTTTACTTATTTATTTATTTTGCAGTTTGAGACAAATGTTAGTTTCGGGTTTTTTTGTTTTTTGTTTTTTTTTTTTTGGCAGAATCTCACGCAGTCACCCAGGCTGGAGTGTAGTGGCATGATGTCGGTTCACTGCAACCTCTGCCTCCTGGTTTCAAGTGATTCTTTTGCCTCAACCTCCTGAGTATGTGGGACTACAGTCCCGCACCACCACACCCAGCTAATTTTTGTACTTTTAGCAGAGATGGGGTTTCACCATGTTGGCCAGGCTGGCCTTGAACTCCTGACCTCAGGTGATCCACTCGCCTTGGCCTCCCCAAAGTGCTGGGATTACAGGCATGAATGACCATGCCCGGCTGAGATAAATCTTAGTTTTCAAAATTTCTTTTTTAATTCATAATCACAGAGAGGAGTCTGCAATGCCGAGTGGAGGAAGGAGGAACCGGAGTGTGAGCAGTAGCTGGGTGGGCAGCATGGCTGGGATCACCACCATCGAGGCAGTGAAGCGCAAGATCCAGGTTCTGCAGCACCAGGCAGATGATGCAGAGGAGTGAGCTGAGCACCTCCAGTGAGAAGCTGAGGGAAAAAGGTGGGCCTGGGAACAGGCAGAGGCTGAAGTGGCCTCCGTGAACGGTAGGATCCAGCTGGTTGAAGAGGAGCTGGACTGTGCTCAGGAGCGCCTGGCCACTGCCCTGCAAAAGCTGGAAGAAGCGGGAAAAGCTGCTGATGAGAGTGAGAGAGATACAAAGGTTATTGAAATCTGGGCCTTAAAAGATGAAGAAGATGGAACTCCAGGAAATCCAACTCAAAGAAGCTAAGCACATTGCAGATGAGGCAGATGGGAAGTATGAAGAGGTGGCTCGTAAGTTGGTGATCATTGAAGGAGACATGGGATGCACAGAGGAACGAGCTGAGCTGGCAGAGTCCCGTTGCTGAGAGATGGATGAGCAGATCAGACTGATGGACCAGAACCTGAAGTGTCTGAGTGCAGCTGAAGAAAAGTACTCTCAAAAAGAAGACAAATGTGAGGAAGAGATGAAGATTCTTACTGATAATCTCAAGGAGGCAGAGACCCATGCTGAGTTGGCTGAGAGATCAGTAGCCAAGCTGGAAAAGACAATTGATGACTTGGAAGATAAACTGAAATGCACCAAAGAGGAACACCTCTGTACACAAAGGATGCTGGACCAGACTTTGCTTGACCTGAATGAGATGTAGAATGCCCCAGTCCCACCCTGCTGCTGCTCCTTCCTCTGACCCTGACTCTGCCTGAGGCCAGCCTGCCCGAAGCTGACCTTTACCTGAGGGCTGATCTTTAACGGGAAGGCTGCTTTCTCCTTTTGCCACCCCCTCCTTCCCTGCCTCTTTTTCACCAAACTGTCTCTGCCTCTTCCTGGAGATTCCAGCTGGGCTAGAGGCTGAGAACCTTTGCAAACAACATTTAAGGGAATGTGAGCCCAATGCATAATGTCTTTAAAAATCATGTTGTGAAAAAAAAAATACATAATCACTTCTGAAAGATGCCTTTGTCACATCCTATAATCAGCTCACATCATTTTTTTCTGTACAAGTATATTTTCCAGTTATTTACCTGTTGACCCCAGAATTTGTTAGATTTTTAAAAAAACAATTTCTAAATAGTTTCTGTTTGAAACTAGTTGCGTCCAGTTCAGATCAAGGTCTGCATGCTTTCTAGTCTTTATTATTTATTGGAAAACTTCGGTACCTAATACAAAAGTTTGATTGTTTCAGTGTGTACCTGGTAAAGAATCAGTGACCTTTTACCTTAACATCAAAATGTAGTTTAACCAGTTAATGTATTTTTCAGTTTTCTTTCCTTATGTCATCTGTGAACATCTTGAGCTGTGAGCTATTAAGTGCATGTTTCCCTCAAGGCCCTCTGGTCCATTCTGGACTAATGTTGAAAGATGGGATGGATTGGCATGGAACTGTTGGGGTGATCAGACCCAACACCGGGCTGTGGGGGCTAAGAAGTCCAGTGGAGTCAAAGGAATGAGAAAAGACAAGTTAAGAATGCATAAGGTGGGTCCAGGGGGCCAACGCTAGTATGGAGGCTGCAATAGACCTGAGCTCTGGAAGCCCACACTATTAGTGATCAAACAAAGCAGCAGGTGGTGAGGATGTGGGGTTTGAAAGGAAGCAGTGCATCAAGCACATGATCTATAGGTGTGTCAGGTTAACATTTATATGGAACATGTTCTGCTACTTGAGATCATGGGGAACATATTCTTCTAGTTTAAGATACAATCATTTTATGAGTCTGGGAGTGCTAGAAGCAAAGAACCATCAAGTCTAGGCACATTCCAGAGGCCACGAGGGGTTTTATGCCCTGAAACCTGGATTCCATCCAAGCCACAAGGGGTTTGTTGGGGAAAGAAAGAGAGATCAGACTGTTACTGTGCCTATGTGGAAAGAAGAAGACATAAGAAACTCCATTTTGTTCTGTACTAAGAAAAATTCTTCTGCCTTGAGATGCTGTTAATCTGTAACCCTAGCCCCAACCCTGTGCTCACAGAAACGTACTGTGTTGATTCAAGGTTTAATGGATTTAGGGCTGTGCAGGATGTGCTTTGTTTAAAATGTGTTTGCAGGCAGTATGCTTGGTAAAAGTCATCACCATTCTCCAGTCTCAAATACCAAGGGACACAATGCACTGCAGAAGGCCACAGGGACCTCTGCCCCAGAAAGCCTGGGTATTGTCCAAGGTTTCTGCCTGCTGAGACAGCCTGAGATATGGCCTCATGGGAAGGGAAAGACCTGACTGTCCCCCAGCCCAACACCCGTAAAGAGTCTGTGCTGAGGAGGATTAGTGAAAGAGGAAGACCTCTTTGCAGTTGAGATAAGAGGAAGGCATCTGTCTCCTGCTCGTCCTGGCAATGGAACGTCTCGCTGTAAAACCTGATTGTACATTCTATTTACTGAGATAGGAGAAAACCGCCTTATGGCTGGAGGTGAGACATGCTGGCGGCAATACTGCTCTTTACTGCACTGAGATGTTTGTGTAAAGTCAAACATAAACCTGGCCTACATGCACATTGAGGCACAGCACCTTTCCTTAAACTTATTTATGACACAGAGACCTTTGCTTACGTTTTCCTGCTGACCCTCTCCCCACCATTAGCCTGTAGTCCTGCCACATTCCCCTCACTGAGATGGTAGAGAGAGTGATCAATAAATACTGAGGGAACTCAGAGACCAGTGCCGATGCGGGTCCTCCGTATGCTGAGCGCCGGTCCTCTGGGCCCAGTGTTCTTTCTCTATACTTTGTCTCTGTGTCTTATTTCTTTTCTCAGTCTCTTATCCCAGCTGATGAGAAATAGCCACAGGTGTGGAGGGACTGGCCCCCCTTCAGGGTTTTATGCCTTGGGCTTAGGTTGTAATTTGGCAGGGCAGCCTTCCACCCTTTGGCACAGAGCTGGGTGTTCCAAAGACCACAAGGGGTTTTAGGCCCTGGACCCCGGCATGTTCCAAGACTCTTTATATTATGTCAGACTAGCAAGCCCTGCCTCAGCTTTTCCCCAACATGGAACGCTGTTCTAAAAGCACCCATGATTCTTTTTTTTCTTTTTTTTCTTTTTTTTTTTTTTCAGATGGAGTTTCGCTCTTGTTGCTCAGGCTGGAGTGCAATGGTGTGATCTCGGCTCACTGCAACCTCCGCCTCCCGGGTTCAAGCGATTCTCCTGCCTCAGCCTCTCGAGTAGCTGAGATTACAGGCATGATCCATTGCTCCCAGCCACCCATGTATTCCTGATTGAAAAAATTTGCTTATGTCTTAGTTCTACAGCTGACCCTCTTTCGCTATTTTCAAGGTCAATAGCTGTGTGTTCACACTTCTGCATTTTATAAATGTTACTGTGATTTTCTTCTAAGGAAAAATTAAATGTCAGGAATCAGTGGCATCAGAACCTTGCAAAAGAAGTTTCTTTAGCCCAGGCCTGTGAAAGATGCTTCTGTAATTTTCAAGGATAGGGGTGATAAAGACCAAGCCTTCCCATTAGCCCTTCCAGGCCCCCATGTAAGAATTCAGGCACACCTTCTCACTCATCTCAGACCTTCTCAGGGTAACTTGGTGAAAATTTCCCTGCTCTGAGCCCCAGTGAGCCTCCCTGCAACTTGGAGATGAGGGGCTAGACCAGAAAAGCTCAACCCGAGTGACCCAGTCCCCTGAAATGATCGGCAAAATAGTGCATGTCTTGGCGTGGCCTTTCTTCTGGCAGAGGGGAGTGCCCAGCTGTAATTAGAATTTTAAATGGGATGCAGTACCCCAAAAATAAAATTAAAAAAAATTTTTTAAAAAAACGTGAAAGAATGGAAGAAATAGAGGTGTAGACTCAGACACAGAGACCATCTTCGAGGCCTTTCTCTGTATGAGGACATCACAGCAAAATCTAAAGCAGGTCACGTCAGTCCCTGGCAGGGAACCCTCCACCAGCTTCCCGTGTTCCCCAGAACAAAAGCCCAACTCCTCACTGTGGCTCCACAGCCCTGTGACCAGGGCCCCTGCCAGTGTCCAGCCTCCTCCTGGGAGCTTGCCCTCATCTCATGACTCCCTCTGCCCCAGTCACATTTGCTTTTCTGTTTTCCCAGATATCAAAACCCTTCCTGTCTCAGGTTGCTGTCCCTGCTCTTACCCTATGTCCCTAAATGATCACGGCCCTGTGCCTTTCTTCTTCAGGTCTAGGCTCAGAGATGTCTCCCATGCCCTCCCAACCCCATCTGAAGTTCCCTCTGCCCATCAGTCTCTATCATGTTACTCAGGTTTTATTATCTCTACATCAATCACATCAGAATTTTTTTTTCTTTTTTTTGGAGACAGAGTATTGCCCGGGCTGTGAGTGCAGTCTCATGATCTTGGGTCACTGCAACCTCTGTTTCCTGGGTTCAAGTGATTCTTGTGCCTCAGCATCCCACGTAGCTGAGATTACAGGTATGTGCTACCACACCTGGCTAATTATTGTATTTTTATTTTTATATATTTTTTTATTTTTGAGTCTCACACTGTCACCCCAGACTGAAGTGCAATGGCATGATCTTGGCTCAGTGCAACTGCCACCTCCTGGGTTCAAGCGATTCTCCTGCCTCCACTTCCTGAGTAGCTGGGATTACAAACAACCACCAAGCCCAGTTACTTTTTGTATTTTTAGTAGAGATGGGGTTTCACTGTGTTGGCAAGGCTGGTCTCAAACTTCTGACCTCAAGTAATCCACCCTCCTCAGCCTTCCAGAGTGCTGGTATTACAGACATAAGCCACCAAGCCTGGCTCAGTTTTTTTATTTTTCGTAGAGACAGGGTTTCACAGTGTTGGCCAGGCTGGTCTCAAACTCCTGAGCCCAAGTGATCTTCACACCTCAGACTCCTAAGTAGCTTGGACAACCATGCCTGGCTAAGTTTTTGTATTTTTGGTAGAGATGGGGTTTCACCATGTTTCACCAAACTCCTGAGCTCAAGAGATCTATCTGCCTCAGCCTCCCAGAGTGCTGGGATGACAGGCATGAGGCACCAGACCCAGCATCTGCATGGGGTTTGGTCAGGGCTGGGTCTAGGGACCCAGGGCTGGGTCAGGAAGGGGAGCCCATTCCAGCCCAGCTCCCACTGTTGCAGCGTGTGTGTGGGCTCCTCTAGGAAAGAAGTGCGAGTTTTCCTGTGGCAGTTTATCATCCCTGGTGCAGTGGGCAGCAGACGGGACCATATTTCCCAGGGTGAGGTCGCCTTTGTATGTGTGGTTGTGTTCCACGGAGGTGGCGTGTTGATTCTGAGCAATAAACAACATATTTCTAACATTCAGGATTGACTTCTAAAGACTCTTGGTACGTGAGGAAGAAACCCGGAAGAGGAAGAGGAGAGCAAAGGAGTCAGGGATGGCTTTTTCTCAGGTGAGATGATATTTTCAGTGGATTGTTCTGTCTCCTTCCTTTCAGAAATGCTGGGCCTTGGAGTTGGGAATCTTCTCTGAGTCTGAAGCATCCTGCCTGACAGGTTTGCTCACATTCACCCATGCCTTCCCTCAGTCCCTCTTATCTCGCTTAGATTCCATCTCTCGTGATCCAGTGAGATGAACTTGGGAAGAGGCTGCACTGGGCATGGTCTTGGGAAGGGCTCACACCCAGACATGGATGGAGACGGGGTGAGGGTCCCATGGTGTCAGTGCTGTTGGACAGCAGGGATTGTTCAGGGGCCACATCTGGACGTACTGTCAGCTCTCTGTGGACCAGTATTAGAGCAGCTGCCAATGGAAGTCATGTATTCATGTGCACAAAGTATGTGGTAAATTCTAGAAAAGGTGACCAAGATCGAGAAATGTTTTCTGCCTGATTTTATAATACATTTTTAGTTTTTTGAGTGAGTTACTGTGTTTCTGACTCCAAAAATCTTAGTAATTAGAATGGAAAGTTCATACACAGACATGAAAGATAGAAGATGTTTTATTCTGTCATTATTTTAAGAATAGGAAATCAACCTGAACAATAGCAGGAGATTCATTAAACCATTCTTAGCACATTACGCTCATGGAGACTGTGGTGTTACCGTGGAGAGGCTTGTGAAACAGGTGTTTTCATTAAACGTTTTTATAATTTTTATTATTATGTTATGATAATATTATATTTTAAATATGCAGAGTCTTGCTCTGTCACCCAGGCTGAAGTGCAGTGGCATGATCTTGGCTCACGGGAACCTCCACCTTCCGGGTTCAAGTGATTCTCCTGCCTCAGCCTCCCAAGTAGCTGGGATTATAGGCGTGCGTCACCACGCCCAGCTAATTTTGTTGTATTTTTATTAGCGACGGGTATCACCATGTTGGCCAGGCTGGTCTCGAACTGCTGATCTCAGGTGATCTGCCCACCGCAGTCTCCCAGAGTGCTGGGATTACAGGTGTGAGGCACCATGCCCAGCCCCACCAATTATTATTAAATACATATTTTTATATTTAACCATCACATGATGTATCCATTTGTTTTGTGGTAAAACTCCAAGCAAAGCTGCAGCTTAGATTTTTTGCCATAATGCATCTCCTTTCCCTGTCACGTCCTCCACCCTCCTTCCAGCCTCACTGGGGAGCCACTACTGTCAGTTCTGTGCCAGGTGTCAGAGCAAGTCCCGTTCACGTGTATTTCTACATCGTTATGAGACTTATGAGATGATATCGTTATGAGATATAATCGATGAGATATAATGGATTTCCATACTTTGACTAATCTAGTTTTCATATATTTTCTTTTGAGACTGGGTCTCACTGTGGTGCCCAGGCTGGAGCACAGTGACGTGATCTTAGCTCACTGCAACCTCCACCCTAAGGCTCAAGCCATCCTCCTACCTCAGGCTCCCAAGTAGCTGGAACCACAGGTGCCTGCCACCATGGCTAGCTAATTTTTTTTTTTTTTTTTTTGAGATATAGTCTCTGTTGCCCAGGCTGGAGTGCAGTGGTGGGATTTCAGATCATTGCAACCTCTGCCTCCTGGGATCAAGCAATTCTCCTGCATCAGCCTCCCATGTAGCTGGGATAACAGGCATGTGCCGCTGTGCCCAGCCAGATTTTAGTTTCTCATCTTTCACTGTGAATGTTGTCATCTCTGAAGACATCACCCGTACTCTGTCTCATCTAGATACGGAATGTCACTTGCTGTGTCAATAAAAGTTTCTGGGCCGGGCGCGGTGGATCACGCATGTAATTCCAGCACTTTGAGAGGCTGAGTCAGGCAGATCACGAGGTCAGGAGTTTGAGACCAACCTGGCTATTACGGTGAAACCCCGTTTCTGCTAAAAATACAAAAATTAACTGGTTGTGGTGGCATGCACCTGTAATTTCAGCTACTCAGGAGGCTAAGGCAGGAAAATCGCTTGATCCTAGGAGGTGGAGGTTGCAGTGAGCGCAGACAGCACCAGTGCACTCCAGCCTGGGTGACAGACTGAGACTCCACCTCAAAAAAAAAAAATTTTAGTAAAACACAACTGGGAAGACAAAATGCGGTGAAAAATCCCTTACTCAGATTTGTTAGAACATTCACTGCATTTAAATCCATGCCTTCACCTCTCTTCTTCTCATTTTCTGTAAAGATAAGAACTCCTCTCATAACCATTTGGTTAAAATGTGTTTTCATTTCAGGGTCTATTGACATTCAGGGATGTGGCCATAGAATTCTCTCAGGAGGAGTGGAAATGCCTGGACCCTGCTCAGAGGACTCTATACAGGGACGTGATGCTGGAGAATTATAGGAACCTGGTCTCCCTGGGTGAGGATAACTTCCCTCCAGAAGTGGGAATGTGCCCTTGTGTATCTTTGTATTTTCTCTTGTTTTTAGATACAGTGTCTTGCTCTGTCACCCAGGGTAGAGTGCAATGGTGTGATCATGGCTCACTGCAGTCTTGAATTCCTTGGCTCAAGTGATTGTCCCACCTCAGCCTCCCCCGGTAGCTGGTACAGGTGCATGCCACCATGTTTGGGCAAATTTTTTAGTTTGTTTTCTTTCCAGACAGGGTCTTGCTGTGTTGTTGAAATTCATCTTGATCTCCTGAGCTCAAGAGATCCTCCTCAGTCTCCCAAGTAGCTGAGATTACAGGTGCCAACCACCATACCTAATTATTGGCTTTTATTTTTAAGATTTTTGCATATGTGTGGCCGGGCTTGGTGGCTCACGCCTGTAATCCCAGCACTTTGGGAGGCCAAGGTGGGTGGATCACGAGGTCAGGCGATCGAGACCAGCCCGGCCAACATGGTGAAACCCCGTCTCTACTAAAAATAGAAAAATTAGCCGGGTGTGGTGGCATGGGCCTGTAATCCCAGCTACTTGGGAGGCTGAAGCAGGAGGATCACATGAACCTGGGAATCGGAGGTTGCAGTGAGCCAAGATCACCACTGCACATCTGCCTGGTGACAGAGTGAGACTCCATCTCAAAAAAATAAATAAAATAAAATGAAATATTTGCATATGTGTGTCCTTAAGGCTAATATGAGTCTATGAGTTTCTTGTAGACAACATGTAGTTGGTTCCTATTGATTCAGCCAGTCTTTGGTTTCTGAATGCAGAGTTACTTACAGTGGAAGTATTACTGATGGAGAAGACCTTACCCTTGTGATTTTGTTACATATTATCTGTGTTTCTTGTAGGTTTTTTTTGTTCTTCATTTCTCATTTACTACTTTTTGTGTTTAATTGCTTTTTTGTGTAGACATGCTTTGACTCCCTTCTTTTATTTACTTCTTTTGTTTGTTTGTTTATGATGGAGTCTCACTCTGTCGCCAAGGCTACAGTTCAGTGGTACGATCTTGGCTCACCGCAGCCAGCTCCGCCTCTCGGGTTCAAATGTTTCTTGTGCCCCAGTGGCTCACGCCTGTAATCCCAGCACTTTGGGAGGCTGAGGCAGGCAAATCACCTGAGGTCAGGAGTTCAAAACCAGCCTGCCTAACATGGCGAAACTCCATCTCTACTAAAATACAAAAATTAGCCGGACACTGTGATGGGCGCCTGTAATCCTGCTACTCAAGTGTCTAATGCAGGAGAGTCACTTGAACCCAGGAGGTGGAGGTTGCAGTGAGCCGATTGCACCACTGCACTCCAGCCTGGGCGATAGCACGAGACTCTGTCTCAAAAAAAAAAAAAAAAATTCCATAACCTGCAAAAACTATTTCTCCACTAGAACTCTGTATTTATGTCAGAATTATTTCTGTGTATGTTGCACTTTCATCAACCTATATGGATACTGTGTTTTCATGCTTTTTTCTTCTAAATAGGAAAAAAAGTTGAATTATGAAGAAAAGGTACACTTATAACAGTTTATGTGTCCTTTTATTTGCCTGTTCATTTATTTATTTATTTGTTGATGAGATGAAGTTTTGTTCTTGTCGCCCATGCTGGAGTGCAATGGCACAATCTCGGGTCACTCCAACCTCCAACTCCCAGGTTCAAGCAATTCTCCTGCCTCAGTGTCATGAGTAGCTGGGATTACAGATGTGTGCCACCACGCCTGGCTAATTTTGTATTTTAATAGACACAGGCTTTCTCCTTTTTGGTTAGGCAGGTCAGAAACCCCTGCCCTCAACTGATCCACCAACCTCGGCCTCCTAAACTGCTGGATTACAGGTTGAACCACCGCACCCAGCCTGTCTGTCTTTTTATTTACCTTTACTGGAGAACTTTATATATATCTGTGGGTTGGAGTTACTCTTTAGACTTCTTTCATTTCTTTCTTTTTTTTAAGATGGAGTCTCGGTCTGTCACCCAGGCTGGAGTGCGGTGGTGCGACCTCAGCTAACTGCAACCTCTCCCTCCCAGGTTCAAGTGATTCTCCTGCTTCAGTCTCCCAGGTAGCTGGGACTACAGGCACATGCCACCACACCCGGCTAATTTTTTTTTTTTTTTTTTTTTTAGAAACGGGGTTTCACCGTGTGAACCAGGATGGTCTCGATCTCCTGACCTCGTGATCCTCCTGCCTCAGCCTCCCAAAGTGCTGGGATTACAGGTGTGAACCACCATGCCTGGCCAGCCTCAAAGTTTTTAAAACATGTTATTGCTATTAGATGGCTTCAAGTATTGTTAAGATTTATAGTACAGGCTCTAAACTTCCTTTGTTTAATCAGATTTTTCAGCCCTCGGTGATGTTGATGAGATGCTCCTGTTCCTGTCTCAGTCATTTCACTGTCCTGTCAGAAATAGCTTAGACTGGCCACCCGAGGTGGCTCATACCTCTAATCCCAACAGTTTCGGATGCCAAGGTGGGCTGATCACTTGAAATCAGGAGTTTGAGACCAGTCTGGCCAACATGGTGAAACCTCGAATCTACTAAATACAAGAAATTGGCCAGTTGTGGTGGCTCAAGCCTGTAATCCCAGCACTTTGGGAGGCTGAGAGGGGCAGATCACCTGATTTCAGGAGTTCGAGGCCAGCCTGGCCAACGTGGTGAAACCCTGTCTCTACCAAAAATACAAAAATTAGCTGGGCATGCTGGCGCATGGCTGTTATCCCAAGTACTCACTAGGCTGAGGCAGGAGAATCACTTGAACCTGGGAGGTGGAGGTTGCAGTGAGCCAACATTGCCCCACTACACTCCAGTCCAGGTGACAAAGTAAGACTCGGGCTGAGGCGGGAGAATCTCTTGAGGCAGGAGAATCATGCCACTACACTCCAATGTGGGTGACAGAGTGTGACTCGGTCTCAAACACAAACAAAAAGAGAAATAGCTTAAACTGGGAGGCTTCAGACACAGAAATTTATTTCTCATGAATTTGGAAAGTGGGAAATCCAAGAGCAAGGTGCCAGCCAAATTGGTTCCTGGTGAGAGCATTCTTCATGGTTTAGCCCAGCCATCTTCCTGCCGTGTCCTGACATGGTGGAAACAGGAACAGGCAACGAGCTCTTTAATATCTCTTTTTATGAAAGCACAAGTCCTATTCACGAGTAGTCAACACCCGTGACCAAATTGTCTCAAAGGCCCCATCTGCAGAACATCCTTTTGGAGAATAAGAACTCTGAACATGGCTTTTGGCCAATATGAACATTCAGACCAGGTAGCCTGCATCATATTTTTTATGTTTTTATTGTGCAATTTGATTTATAAAATGTTTTCTCTGATCTTAGTTTAAAATTTTTCCCAGTGCACATTCTGTGTTTTATATTTTGTGCATAGTGAGCTAGATAATTAAGGTCAACAATGCACAGGTGCAATCTCGGCTTACTACAACCTCCACTTCCTGGGTTCAAATGATTCTCCTGCCTCAGCCTTCCAAGTAGCTGAGATTACAGGCACCCACCACCACGACCAGCTAATTTTTTTGTATTTTTAGTAGAGTTGGGATTTCACCATGTTGGCCAAGCTACTCTCGAACTCCTGACTTCATGATCCGCCTGCCTCAGCCTCCCAAAGTGCTGGTATTACAGACCGTGCCCGGCTGTTAGTCAATTCTTATTCCTTATAATGCTGTGCACTTCTTTGACCTCATAAATCAGATGGTAGTGATCTTAACATGTATTTCAGTTTTTATATTGTGTGCTGGTTGTAAGTAGAAGTTTGGCGTTTTTCTTAATGGAATTGTTTAGAATTTTGCAGGTTGTATAAATGTACTTATTCTTTGCTTCCTGGTTTTATGGATTACAATATTTTACTAATTAATTTTTATGATTGTACATGAGGCTTTTCGGTATGTGGTATGCAATATAACTGACACAGTCCACTAGCTAATGTCACACAGTGCCACCAGATGCTGTGGCTCACACCTGCCATCCCAGGACTTTGAGAGGTTGAGGCGGGTGGATCACTTGAGGTCAAAAGTACGAGGCTGGCCTGGCCAACGTGTTGAAACCCTATTTCTACTAAAAATACAAAAATTAGCCAAGCATGGTGGTGTGTGCCTGTAATCCCAGGTACTCAGGAGGCTGAGGCAGGAGAATGGCTTCAACCCAAAAGGTGGATGTTGCAGTGAGCCGAGATCAGGCCATTGAACTCCAGCCAGTTGCAACAGAGTGAAACTTCATCTCAAAAATATAAAAATAAAAAAAATGTTTTAATGTCACAACGTGCCTTTTCTTCATGGATATAGGTAATTTTATGACAGTTATTCAGAAAAACATTGTATTAACTTTTTTTTTTTTTGAGGTAGAGTCTCACTTTGTCACCCAGGCTGAAGTACAGTGGTGAAATCTTGGCTCACTGCAACCTCTGCCCCTTGGGTTCAAACAATTCTTGTGCCTCAGCCTCCCGAGTAGCTGGGACTAGATGTGGGCCACCACGCCTGGCTACATTTTGTAATCTTTTCTTGTCTTCTCAGTGCTATGACTGTTTGACAATACAGAATTTCCATTGATTTTGGTTATCCTTACATGAGCTTGTTGTGGATTATTTACCAATATAGTATATCGTGTGGTCCTTTAGCATTTATTTGTATACAGTAAATATGCTGTAAATATGAAGAATATATACTTTTCATTGATATGACAGTGATATGTTTTTTACAAACTGTTAGACACTTTAGGGTCACAATGGAAAAATATTCCTTACTTTAGGCTACACATGTTTGTGCCCTGTCAATGTTTTGTCACGATCTTGGAAATAGACTTCCGTAAAAATAATTTGAAGCACATGTAATCGCCCTTTATTTGTTAAAGAATCTTATGCTTTTCTGTTCCTAAACTTTGAGGGTCATGTTTGGAAAGTTTAAAATAACTATTGTTTTTTGTGTCGTATTTACACATTTCAGCATTATTTACCATCTGTACTTAATTTGAAAGCTTTCGGTGTTTATGTTTTGTAGATATCTCTTCCAAATGCACGATGAAGGAGTTCTTGTCAACAGCGCAAGGCAACAGAGAAGTGTTCCATGCAGGGACATTGCAAATACATGAAAGTCATCACAATGGAGATTTTTGCTACCAGGATGTTGATAAAGATATTCATGACTATGAATTTCAATGGCAAGAAGATGAAAGAAATGGCCATGAAGCACCCATGACAAAAATCAAAAAGTTGACAGGTATTACAGAACGATATGATCAAAGTCATGCTAGAAACAAGCCTATTAAAGATCAGCTTGGATCAAGCTTTCATTCGCATCTGCCTGAAATGCACATATTTCAGACCGAAGAGAAAATTGATAATCAAGTTGTGAAGTCTGTCCACGATGCTTCCTTGGTTTCAACAGCCCAAAGAATTTCTTGTAGGCCCAAAACCCATATATCTAATAACCATGGGAATAATTTCTGGAATTCTTCATTACTCACACAAAAACAGGAAGTACACATGAGAGAAAAATCTTTCCAATGTAATGAGAGTGGCAAAGCCTTTAATTACAGCTCACTCTTAAGGAAACATCAGATAATCCATTTAGCAGACAAATATAAATGTGATGTATGTGGCAAGCTCTTTAATCAGAAGCGAAACCTAGCATGCCATCGTAGATGTCACACTGGTGAGAATCCTTACAAGTGTAATGAGTGTGGCAAGACCTTCAGTCAGACGTCATCCCTTACATGCCATCGTAGACTTCATACTGGAGAGAAACCTTACAAATGTGAAGAATGTGACAAAGCTTTCCATTTCAAATCAATACTTGAAAGACATAGGATAATTCATACTGAAGAGAAACCATATAAGTGTAATGAGTGTGGCAAGACCTTTAGGCAGAAGTCAATCCTTACACGCCATCATCGACTTCATACTGGAGAGAAACCTTACAAGTGTAATGAGTGTGGCAAGACCTTTAGTCACAAGTCATCCCTTACATGCCATCATAGACTTCATACTGGAGAGAAACCCTACAAATGTAATGAGTGTGGCAAGACCTTTAGTCACAAGTCATCCCTTACATGCCATCGTAGACTTCATACTGGAGAGAAACCTTACAAATGTGAAGAATGTGACAAAGCTTACAGTTTCAGATCAAATTTTGAAATACATCGGAAAATTCATACTGAAGACAATGCTTACAAGTGTAATGAGTGTGGAAAGACCTTTAGCCGGACATCATCCCTTACATGCCATCGTAGACGTCATACTGGAGAGCAACCTTACAAATGTGAAGAATGTGACAAAGCTTTCCGTTTCAAATCAAACCTTGAAAGACATAGGAGAATTCATACTGGAGAGAAACCATACAAGTGTAATGAGTGTGGCAAGACCTTTAGTCGGAAGTCATACCTCACATGCCATCATAGACTTCATACTGGAGAGAAAGCTTACAAGTGTAATGAGTGCGGCAAGACCTTTAGTTGGAAGTCATCCCTTACCTGCCATCGTAGACTTCATTCTGGAGAGAAACCTTACAAGTGTAAGGAGTGTGGCAAGACCTTCAATCAGCAGTTAACCCTTAAACGCCATCGTAGACTTCATAGTGGAGAGAACCCTTACAAATGTGAAGATAGTGACAAAGCTTACAGTTTCAAATCAAACCTTGAAATACATCAGAAAATTCATACTGAAGAGAATCCTTACAAGTGTAATGAGTGTGGCAAGACCTTCAGTCGGACGTCATCCCTTACATGCCATCGTAGACTTCATACCGGAGAGAAACCTTACAAATGTGAAGAATGTGACAAAGCTTTCCGTGTGAAATCAAACCTTGAAGGACATAGGAGAATTCATACTGGAGAGAAACCTTACAAGTGTAATGAGTGTGGCAAGACCTTTAGTCGGAAGTCATATTTTATATGCCATCATAGACTTCATACTGGAGAGAAACCTTATAAGTGTAATGAGTGTGGCAAGAACTTTAGTCAGAAGTCATCCCTTATATGCCACCATAGACTTCATACTGGAGAGAAACCTTACAAGTGTAATGAGTGTGGCAAGACCTTTAGTCAGAAGTCAAACCTTACATGCCATCGTAGACTTCATACTGGAGAAAAACAAGTGTAATGAATGTGGTGAGGTTTTTAATCAACAAGCACACCTTGCAGGTCATCATAGAATTCATACTGGGGAGAAACCTTAGAAATGTGAAGCATGTGATAAAGTTTACAGTGGCAAATCAAGCCTCAGAAGACAGGAGAATTCATACTGGAGAGAAAGCTTATAAATGTGAAGAATGTCACAAAGTTTACAGTCGCACATCAAACCGTGAAAGACAGGAGAATTCATACTGGAGAGAAACCATAAAAATGTAAGAGTTTGTGACAAGGCTTTTGGGCATGATTCGCACCTGGCACAACATGCTAGAATTCACACTGGAGAGAAACCTTACCAGTGTAATGAGTGTGGCAAAGCCTTTAGTAGGCAGTCAACACTTGTTTACCGTCAGGCAATCCATGGTGTAGGGAAACTTTACTAAGGTAATGATTGTCACAAAGTCTTCAGTAATGCTACAACCATTGTGAATCACTGGAGAATCCATAAGGAAGAGAGATCATACTAGGGTAATAAATGTGGCAGATTTTTCAGACATTGTTCATACCTTGCAGTTCATCGGTGAACTCAACGCTGGAGAGAAACCTTACAAATGTCATGACTGTGGCAAGGTCTTCAGTCAAGCTTCATCCTATGCAAAACATAGGAGAATTCATACAGGAGAGAAACCTCACATGTGTGATGATAGTGGCAAAGCCTTCACTTCACACCTCATGAGACATCAGAGAATGCATACTGGACAGAAATCTTACAAATGTCATCAATGTGCCAAGGTCTTCAGTCTGAGTTCACTCCTTGCAGAATATGAGAAAATTCATTTTGGAGGTAGTTGGTCCATATGCAATGAGTAGAGCAAACCATCAAGCATTAATTGACATTAGGGTCAATTCAGCATTGACTTGAGTTTGTATTGACTTAACATTGAGTTCAAGCATTAATTGACATTAGTGTTTATGTTAAGAGGATTGGGCCAGGCACATCAGCTTACACCTGTAATCTGAGCGCTTTGGGAGGCCAAGGTGGGTAGATCACTTGAGGTCAGGAGTTTGAGATCAGCCTGGCCAACAGACGTGAGCCATTTTCCCAGCCTGTTTTTTGTTTCTTTAAAAAAACTGATAGGGATTTTTATGGATATCATGTTGAATCTAAATCACATTGGGTTATTATATAATCATTTCACAATATTAATTTTTCCAAGCTATCAATATGGGTTGTAGCTCAATGTTTTTAATCATTTTGATCAATGTTTGTAGATTTCAAGGTACAAACTTCTGACCTTTGTACGTTTATTTCTAAGTATTTCTTTAAGTTCTCCAGCAAATGGAAGTGTTTTAAAATTTTCTTTTAAAATTGTTTATTGTTAAAGTATGGAAATTCAACTAATTTTTGGTGCTGATACTGTATTGTGCAAATCCACTGACTATGTTACTTAGTTCCAGTAGTATTTTGGTTGGCTCTTTGTGATTTTCTACACAGAAGATTATGTCATCTACAAACAAATATAATTTTACTTCTTACTTTCTGATTTGGATGAGTTTTATTTCCTCTGCTATTTCATTGCTCTGGCTGGGACAGCCAGTATTGATTGAATAGAAGGGGTGAGAGCATTCTTGCATCATGTGAGAGCCTCCAGGAAAGGCATTACATTTTCCCTGCTTGACTGTTTACTCATTGGTCATTTCATGGACGGTCTTTCTATTGTTGAGGTAAATTTCCTTTTCTGTCTATTTTGTTTAGGATTTCTATGATGACTGGATTTTGAATTTTGTGAAATGCTTTTTCTCTATTAAGATGATGTGGTTTTCATCTTTTGTTCTGTTCAAGTGGTATATCACATTGATTTGCTTGAATATGTTGAACCATCCTTGCATCCCAGAAATAAGTGGCACTTGAATATCTACATTTTTTTAATGTCCTCTTGAATACAGTTTTCTAGTACAATGGATCTTGAAGAAGTTCATGGAAAAATACCTATTATGAGAAAATTTGCATGAATTTTAGTTTTTGCAACAAAACACTGGTACAAGTCTGTTATGTCTGAACAGGCTGTAGTTTAAGGCACTCAGAAGGATAAGACATGAGTTTGAAAAGAGACTCTATCAAAGCAATATAAATTCTGCTAAAATTGAAACAAGAAGAAACATCAAATTTACGATGAGATCAGATGCAGTGTCTCAGGTCTATAATCCCAGCACTTTCAGAGGCCATGACAGGTGGGTCACATGAGCCCAGGTATTCAAGACGAGCCTGGGCAACATGGTGAAACCCCCTTGTCTACAAAAAATACAAAAATTAGCTGGGCATGGTGGCATCTGACTGCAGGGCCAGCTACTGTGGAGTCTGTGGTGGAGGATGGCTTGAGCCTGGGAGGTCGAGGCTGCAGTGAGCTGTGGTCATGCCACTGCACTCCAGCGTGGGTGATGGAGTGAGATACTGTCTCAATAAAAGAATAATTATGGGCCGGGCGGCGTGGCTCAATCCTGTAATCCCAGCACTTTGGGAGGCTGAGGCGGGTGGATCATGAGGTCAGGAGATTGAGACCATCCTGGCTAACACGGTGAAATCCCGTCTCTACTAAAAATACAAAAAAAAAAAAAAATTAGCCGGGCATGCTGGAGGGTGCCTGTAGTCCCAGCTACTCAGGGAGGCTGAGGCAGGAGAACGGCATGAACCCGGGAGGCAGAACTTGCAGTGAGCCGAGATCATGCCACTGCACTCCAGCCTGGGGGACAGAGTGAGACTCCGTCTCAAAAAAACAACAACAGCAACAACAAAATTATGGTAAAGTTTGGGAAGAGGAATAATGGAATCATTGATACTTTATGAAAAGGTTATGGAGATGATGCCCAAAAGAAATAAACCATTTGTAAATGGATAACTCATTTCGAATTGGGACAAGACAGTGTTGAAGGTGATGCTAGGAGCGGCAGGCAGATCACATCAGTTTTTTGTTTTGTTTGTTTGTTTGCTTTGAGGCAGTGTCTCGATCTGTTGCCCAAAAGCTACGTAGAGGCCAGGCGCAATGGCTCATGACTGTAATCCCAGCACTTTGGGAGGTGGAGACAGGCAAATCACCTTAGGTCGGGAGTTCAAGACCAGCCTGACCAATATGGCGATACCCTGTCTCTACTAAAAATACAAAATGAGCCAGGTGTGGTGGCGCATGCCTGTAATCCCAGCTACTCGGGAGGCTGAGACAGCGAAGGGGACCTGCCCCTCCACATCTGTGGGTATTCCTCATCAGATGAGAGACTGAGAAAAGAAATAAGACACAGAGACAAAGTATAAAGAAAGAACAGTGGGCCCAGGAGACTGGCGCTCAACATGCGAGGACCCGCACTGGCGCTGGTCTGAGTTCCCTTAGTATTTATTGATCACTATTTTTACTATCTTGGCGAGGGGAGTGCGGCAGGGCAACGGGGTGACGGTAGGGAGAAGGTCAGCAGGGAAACAAGTGAGCAAAGGAATCTGTATCATGAATAAGTTCAAGGAAAGGTACTGTGGATGTGCACGTAGGCTAGATTTATGTTTCACTTTACACAAACATCTCAGTGTAGCAAAGAGTCACAGAGCAGTATTGCTGCCAGCATATCGCCTCCAGCCATAGGGCAGTTTTCTCCTATCTCAGAATAGAACGAATGGTCGGCTTTACACTGAGACATTCCATTCCCAGGGATGAGCAGGAGACAGAAGTCTTCCTCTTATCTCAACTGCAAAGAGGCCTCCCTCTTTCACTACTCCTCCTCAGCACAGACCCTTTACAGGTGTCAGGCTGGGGGATGGTAAGGCCTTTCCTTTCCCATGAGGCCATATCTCAGGCTGTCTCAGTTGGGGGAAACTTGGACAATACCCAGGCTTTCTAGGGCAGAGGTCCCTGCGGCTTTCCGCAGTGCATTGTGTCCCTGGTTAACAGAGAATGGAGAACAGCGATAACTTTTACCAAGCATACTGCCTGCAAACATATTAACAAGGCACACCCTGCACAGCCCTAAATCCATTAAACCTTGATTCAATACAACACATGTTTCTGTGAGCACAGGGTTGAGGCTATAGTTACAGATTAACAGCATCTCGAAGCAGAACAATTTTTCTTAGTACAGATCAAAGTGGAGTTTCTTATGTCTTCCTTTTCTGCATAGACACAGTAACAATCTGATCTCTCTCTCTTTTCCCCACAGAAAGGAGAATCACTTGAACCCAGGAGGAGGAGGTTGTGGTGAGCCGAGATTGCGCCATTGCCCTCCAGCCTGGGCAATAACAGTGAAAATCTGTCTCAAAAAGAAAAGAAAAGAAAAGAAAAAAAGATATATACTCCCCTAAGAAAAGAAAAAAAGCTATATACTCCCCTCACAAACTGGGGACCTCAAGATCTCCACCCTAAAATAGTTATTTTGAATTTCCCCCTGGCAATGTAAACCGAGAGCTTATCTGCACAGGTGTGGGACAGAACCAATCCCTCTGCACACCTGAGACAAATGCCTATCTGATTGCTTCCCCTGCCCTATTGTTTACATAAAAACGCAGGGTCACTGAGGCAGTCGAAGGCATAAGTGACTATTCCTCCTCCCGCTCTCACATATAAATTGTGTATTTAGTGAAAGGTTGATCAAAGACTCAAAGAATGTGATCATTTGTTATCTACCTGTGACCCGGAAGCCCCCCAATTCCAGTTATTCCACCTTTCCAGACTGAACCAATGCATATCTTACATGTATTGATTGATGTATTATGTCTCTGCAAAATGTGTAAAACCAAACTGCAGCCTGAACACCTTGGGCACACATTGTCAGGACCTCCTGAGGCTGTGTCACGGGGGCATTTTTAACCTTGGCAAAATAGATTTCTAAATTGACTGAGACCTAGTAGATACTTTTAGTTCACAAGCTCATGAACGCAGAAGAAATTGAGAGAATAAGAAAAAAGCTAGGTGTCATGGAAAGCACGAAATCAGTTCCAAAATCTGAACTCCTTCATATTTATTCAACATAGGGAAATGCTCTTCAACTTTGTGTGATTAGATTCCATTTGCGAATGATATATATTTCTAGTATTTGATTAAAATAACCCATTCTATGTAATTTTAGCCAACTTAAACTGCAAATAATAAATGATCAATTATATACATACATAAAACTTCCTAATATTTCACTTAGTATTGCTATTACTATGTTCTTGGGGCAGAAGCTCAGTCTGTCAGATACATTACGAGAGACTGGTGTCTCCATAATTGTGCTTAGGACTATGTTGCATGAATGGATAAACTGTTAAGCAGGAACCTAGGAGAGCTAGGGTGACAAAGTTCAAGTCCATTAAAACTAGCAAGACATATTCCTTACAGCTCATGCACGAGTCACCGTCATAAGATGTTTATGGTTAAGGAAAGCAGCTTATTGATACCTGCAAGGACAAATTTCTACAGAAACACAATGTCCAGATGACCCAATATCCCATGACAATGTATGCTTTTAAGATAGCAGGCTGGTCTCGGACTCCTGACCTCCGGTGATCCACCTGCCTCGGCCTTCCAAAGCGCTGTCAATACAGGCGTAAGCCATTGCGCCTGGCCAAGGATAGCTTTAAATCAACAAAGTAATAAGTTTTGTTACAGTGTCAGCCCACCCGCAGGTAGACATACCTTAGCTTTTACGTAGGCTTTGGCCGGGCGCGGTGGCTCACGCCTGTAATCCCAGCACTTTGGGAGGCCGAGGCAGGTGGATCACGAGGTCAGGAGATCGAGACAATCCTGGCTAACACGATGAAACCCCGTCTCTACTAAAAATACAAAAAATTAGCCGGGCGTAGTGGCGGGCGCCTGTAGTCCCAGCTACTTGGGAGGCAGAGGCAGGAGAATGGCGTGAACCCGGGAGGCGGAGCTTGCAGTGAGCCCAGATCGCGCCACTGCACTCCAGCCTGGGCAACAGAGCGAGACTCCATCTCAAAAAAAAAAAAAAAAAAAAAAAGCTTTTACGTAGGCCTCTATGTAAGAAAAACTTCAGGAGGAGGCGTTCCCCCTGCTTTCTGAGGACGCCCTACTGCGTAACTGGTAGCTTTCAATAAACTCTCTCGCCTCACTACACTCGGACCCTCGCCTTGAATTTTTTACTGCGCAAGATCCAAGAACTCTCACATGGGGTGTGGACTGTGACACCATTTTAGGCAACAAAACGACTGAACGTTATACAAAAACAGACAATTAATCCAATTCTCACAAAAGCAGGAATTTGGTAGTCCTCATCCAGCATGCCAAGCAAAGATCCACACTGTGGAGTCAGCGCTCACGAGAACAAAGGGGCTGACAGCTGGGAAACATGGGTGGATGAAGGGTGAGGCGCTCAGCAGCCGCCAACTGGGATTATTGGAAAGGGCAATAGGGTATTGAAAGGCGGAGGACACGGTCTAAAACGATACAAAAGCTGCAGAGCCACTGGGCCTGCGAGCTTCCCATGGGGAAGCCGGGACTCCCTGACAACTGCACAAACTCGCGTGGGGATTTCAACATCCCGAAGCACCCAGATTCCTTCTGGGCGGGTTCTGGACAGAGAGCGGGGACGGAACGGGAGGGGTAAAGGTCGCCGAGGGGGCCGGGCCAGAACAGGTGCTGGGTCGGGGAGAGAGGGTGGAGGCAGCTTTGGAAACCGGGCCTGGTTAGAGGGTGGGGGTGGGGCCTGGAATGGGAGTGGGCGGGGCAAGAGGGAGGAGGCTGCCTGGGGGCCGGGCTGGACAGCAGGAAAAGGCGGGACCCGAGGGTTAGCGTCATCTTGGGGGTGGGGTCTGGAAGGGGTTTTTTGTTCTGAAGGGCGGGGCCTGGAGGGGGCGGGTCCGGATTCTTTTCTCAGCTGGGCCGTGGATGTCGCCTGCTCTCATCCTCTTGCCCTCCAGGACTGGGTCCTCCGGGTTCTGATTGGTGGATTGTTTCTGATGTGCCATGATATTACCCCTAATATCACAGGGATGCTTCCTGCCCGTTGAAGTTACTATTTCGAACAATCGAAGGTAAAACAACATATTGTAGTGGGCCACCTGTACTGAACGTTGAATCGTTTTTCCTCTTAAGTTGAAAATAGTTTCAATGCAAAGAGCTTTTTTGGAGAAGGTAGAGTCGCGCGTCCTGCAGGCGGGGCAAGCTCCCCTCAGTCTGGGGCAGGGCGGTGGAGAGGGTCAGGGACCTCGGTAAAGGGGTGGAGTGGGGCGCTGGTTGCAGCGGGCACAGACAATTAGAACGGCTTATTAAACTAAGCAAGGTCCTGGGTTGGGTTGTTTGAGTGGATAATGGAAACTGAAGGGTGACAAGCAGAACTGCCTATTATACACAGGAGGTGAAGGACAATTTCATATTTCATGGAAATAAAGTCAGGGCCCGGAGCGGTGGTTCACACTTGTAATCCCAGCACTTTGAGTGGCCGAAGTGAGAGGATCGCTTGAGCCCAGGAGTTTGAGATCAGCCTGGGCAACATGATGAGACGTCGTCTCTAATAAAAATATAAAAAAATCAGCCAAGTGTGGTGGTGCGCGCCTGTGGTCCCAGCTGCTGGAGCGCTGAGGTGGGAGGATCGCTTGAGCCAGGGAGTTGGAGGCTGCAGTGAGCCCTGATCTCACCACCACACTCTAGCCTGGGTGTCAGAGCTAGACCCTGTCTCAAACAAACAAGCAAATAAATGAGAGGTGTAATTCCTCCTGTGAAAATAAAGAGATTTACTTTCCTTTCGTCTCTTTTCTTAGGAGACTTATTTAGAAAATTTGTAAATGGATTTTGTCTGTCTTCTGAGGTTTTTTGTTGTTTTGTTTTTGTTGTTTGTTTTTTAGATGGAGTTTTGCTTTTGTTGCTTAGGCTAGAGTGCAATTGCACGATCCCAGTTCACCGCAGCCTTCAACTTCCGGGTACAAGCCCGGTTTCGAACTCCTGACCTCAAGTGATTCGCCATCTTGGCCTCTGAAAGTGCTGGGATTACAGGTGTGAACCACCACACCTGGTCTGAAGTGGTATTTTTTAGAAACTAACTAAACCTTTTTTCAGCTTGATGACCCAGGGATGTATTTCTGAAGGACTTGGGAGCTCTCTTTGAAAGGCAAAATACAAGGGAGACAGTACCTGTATCTCAGTAGGAAATTAAATAATTCATACATCAAATAATTCCAATTTAAAGCTATGACCTTTAAATAATTATGAGCCTTTGAAGAGAGAGGCCATTTCTCTTACTGTCTCCTGTCTCTGAAGTAAAAGCTGAAAAACAACAGGAATGAAGTCAGTGGCAAGACCAGCTGGTGCCACTGATGACCAGGCCTGAGGTTAAAATATTAACCCCCAACTCTAACCACATGTGCTCTCAATCTATCATGACCCTTTCACGTGGAACCCCTTACAGTTGTAAGCCCTTAAAAGGACCAGGAACTCCTTCTTGGGGGAGCTCGGTTCTTGAGATGCCAGTCAGCCGATGCTCCCGGCCAAATAAAGCAACTTCCTTCTTTAACCCTGTGTGTGAGGGCTTTTGTCTGTGGCTCGTCCTGCTACACCTTGAGAGAAATGTGCTCATTCAGCTTGAGTCCAGTGGAATGCAGGCGTAACTTCTACGAGTTTTCCTTGCCACGTGTGGTGGCCCACACCTGTAATCTCACCACTTTGGGAGGTCGAGGTGGACAGATCACTTGAGGTCAAGAGTTTGAAACTAGCATGGCCAACATGGTGAAACCACCTCTCTACTAAAAATACAAAACAAAAGGCCAGGCGTGGTGGCTCACACCTGTAATCCCAGAAAATTGGAAGGCTTGGGCGGGTGGATCACAAGGTCAGGAGTTTGAGACCAGCCTGCCCTACATGGTGAAACCCCATCTCTACTAAAAATACAAAAGTTAGCTGGGCTCCTAGCTACTCGAGAGCCTGAGCCAGGAGAATCGCTTGAACCCGGGAGGCAGAGGTTGCAGTAAGCAGCTGAGATCGTGTCATTGCTCTCCAGCTTAGGCAACAGAGCGAGACTCTGTCTCAAACAAAAAAAAACAATGGTGGCATGCACCTGTAATCCCAGCTACTTGGGAGGCTGAGGCAAGAGAACTGCTTGAATCTGAGAGGTAGAGGTTGCAGTGAGCCGAGGTCGCCCCACTGCACTCCAGCCTATGCAAGTCTTCCTCTTATTTACAGGAAAAGTTTTCATGTAAATAATTAGAAAGACTAAGCAACCCCAGAGATAAGACCTCCTGAGATCATTGTCCCTTTTTATGGAGTGATAAAGTAACCTTCCTTGAAGTGTATCACTCTGTCACCAATCAACTTGCTGCAACCTATGCACTGGTCTTGAATGGAAAATGTGATTGTCCTAAAGCTTCTGTCTTTCCCTGTGTGTGAAACCTAAACGTCTCTACTATGGAACGCTGATCCCATTCATTTGGAGTTGATGTTTGCCAGTGGCTATCCTCATGCTTTGTGTTCAGATAAACTCTATATTTAATCATAAATTCTAAATTTTATTATTTACTGCTGACATCAGTTTCTGTCGGATTTTAGGAGCCTCACTACAGAGGGCACCTGTCGCCATGTTGTAAAACTCACACTTGTCAAAAAAACATGGGTTAGGGTTTCTTCCCCTCCTCGGCATGAAGCTACTTAGCTGACACAGATGGTTACCTCCATTACCAAGTAGAGCCAGGATGAACTATGTGTGACCAAGGGTGTTGTCAAGTCCTCTTCCCTGAGGACTGATTAGTGTTTATCTTGAAAACATGTACTTAATGGGTTGTATAGAACAGTGAAGTTTCTTTCTCTCTTTTCAACCTCTTAGCTGTTTGTCTATTTCGCATCATAATCTGGCCTAAGGCTTATTTATTAATGAAATGGTTTTAATTTCTTTCTCTATTGTCGTCGTGGAGATGATTTCTCATTGGGGGGAAGACTTTTTGTTTGTTTTCAATTATGTTTTCTCAACAATTGGAAAGTGAAGTAAAAAGTATTTGTTGGGCCAGGTGCAGTGGCTCACGCCTGTAATGCCAGCACTTTGGGAGGCCGAGGCAGGCGGATCACTTGAAGTCAAGAGTTTGAGACCAGCCTGGCCAACATGGTGAAACCCGTCTACAAAAATACAAAAATTAGCCAGGCATGGTGGCACGCGAATGTAATGGCAGGTACTCCGGAGGCTGAGGCAGGGGAATCGCTTGAACCCAAGAGGGAAGAGGCTGCAGTGAACCGAGATCCCGTTACTGCCCTCTAGCCTGGGCGACAGAGAAATACTCTGTCTCAAAAGAAATAAGTAAATAAATAAAGTAATAAATCTCTTCCACAAACGTGCTGAGACAACTAACTGAATATCCAGATGGAAAAGAATACTGTTGGATCCCTATCTCACACAATCAAAATTGTATTTTAAAACATTAAAAAAAAAAAAGGAAAAAAAGAGACGAGGAAGGAAGCGCTGCGGGAGGGGGTGTTACTTTGTCGCTCAGGCTGGCCTGGACCCCCAGGCTCAGCGATCCTCCCGCCGCTGCTTCCTGAGTAGCTGGGACCTCAGGCTCCTGCCCCCGCGCGCGCATCCCTCCCACCCCGGCGCCCCATCCAGCAGGTGGTCACCTCACTCCTCCCTGGCCTGAGCACTCCGTCCCGCATCCATGGCGGTGGCTTTAGGGAAATCTCTGAAGTTGAGCACGGGGTGGACTTGCCCTCCTGAGTGAATGGAGAATAGAAAGGGGGAGGATTTCTATTTTGTTTTGTGGGCCGTCAGCATGAAATCG
This sequence comes from Homo sapiens, assembly GCF_000001405.40. Taxonomy (NCBI): domain Eukaryota; kingdom Metazoa; phylum Chordata; class Mammalia; order Primates; family Hominidae; genus Homo; species Homo sapiens. Next base: position 53,467,450 of record NC_000019.10, read on the forward strand.
TACCTTCCGCCCAGGCAGGGCTTTGCATTTCACATTCTAGTTTGCATCCCCGTTCCAGACAATTCCAGGGCTTTTGAATAGTGCCTCAACCTTACTGGCCGGTCTCGACTCCAAAACCCTAAAACAGGCGCTGGAGCGAGGGTGACGGACTCACAGGTCCCACCCCGGCCCCGCCCTCTGCGCCTTCCAAAGGGCAAAGTCTCTCCGCCTCTCGCCCCGCCCCTGCTTCGTCAGGCCCCGCCCACCTCCCAGGTCCCGCCCAGGCCTGGCTTCTGTCCTGCGCGCAGATTCGCGAAAACCCGGAAGCGGATCGCGTGGAGTGACGGTCCCACGGCAGCGCGTGAGTTTGGCTCTGTGTTGTATTAGGTCTGCACTTCCCAGGTCCCTGGCGCTTCTGTACCTGGGGCGTGGGGTCCCCACAAACCTGGAAATTCTCAGCCGTCTTCCTTCACCCAGAGCAAATTGAGACGACCCCGTGAGAGTCCGGGGGTCGCTTCCTTTTGTGTTTAAGGTCGCCCTGAGGCTGGTCCCGTCCCGGGTCTTTCTGCTATAGGGCAATGTATACACTTTCTATCGCGCATTTTTCCTGCTCTAAACCTTTCTCTGACTCCTCCCACCCCGCGCTTTTTGAAGTCCTCACCCAAGGGGTGGATTCTCGCCCACTTCGGCCGGTGGAGCGCAGAACCGCGGCCCCAGTCCCGGGAAGGCCGCGTCCTCTGTCTGGTCCCGGGATCCTGCAGACCCCACCCTTGTCTTAAGGCGCCCTCGCGCCCCCCCCCCCCCACCTCCCTCCTCCTGCCGGGCCCTGCTGCTTCCTAGGTCTCCCCTCCGCAGTCACGGCTTCCCCTGAGCCCACGTTGGGGAGGTGCCCGGGGCTTGTCCTGTTGAAGGAGGCCAGCCCTTCCACACCTGTGGGTATTTCTCGTCAGGTGGGAAGAGAGACTGAGAAAAGAAATAAGACACAAAGACAAAGTATAGAGAAAGGACAGTGGGCCCAGGGGACCGGCGCTCAGCATACGGAGGACCGGCACCAGTGCCAGCCTCTGAGTTCCCTCAGTATTTATTGATCATTATTTTTACTGTCCTAGTGAGGGGAGTGTAGCAGGGCAACAGGTGGGGAGAGGTCAGCAAGAAAACATGTGAGCAAAGGAATCTATATCATGAATAAGTTCAAGGAAAGGTACTGTGCCCAGATGTGCACGTAGGCTAGATTTATGTTTCTCTTCACCCAAACATCTCAGTGTAGCAAAGAGTCACAGAGCAGTATTGCTGCCAGCATATCTCGCCTCCAGCCACAGGGCGGTTTTCTCCTATCTCAGAATAGAACGAATGGAAATGGTCAGCTTTACACCTAGACATTCCATTCCCAGGGACCAGCAGGAGACAGAAGTCTTCCTCTTATCTCAACTGCAAAGAGGCCTTCCTCTTTCACTACTCCTCCTCAGCACAGACTCTTTACGGGTGTCCGGCTGGGGGATGTAAGGTCTTTCCTTTCCCACGAGGCCATATCTCAGGCTGTCTCAGTGGGGGGAAACTTGGACAATACCCAGGCTTTCTAGGGCAGAGGTCCCTGCGGCTTTCCGCAGTGCATTGTGTCCCTGGTTAACTGAGAATGGAGAATGGCGATGACTTTTACCAAGCATACTGCCTGCAAACATATTGTTAACAAGGCACACCCTGCACAGCCCTAAATCCATTAAACCTTGATTCAATACAGCACATGTTTCTGTGAGCACAGGGTTGGGGCTAAAGTTACGGATTAACAGCATCTCAAAGCAGAAACAATTTTTCTTAGTACAGATCAAAATGAAGTTTCTTATGTCTTCCTTTTCTGCATCCACAAAGTAACAGTCTGATTTCTCTTTCTTTTCCCCATATCCTGTGACATGGGGTGTTCTTCCCTGCCCAGCTCCAGCCCCTTGAAAATGCGCTCCCCTGGTATGTAGCCATCTTACTCCAAACCGTCATGTGATTCTGTGGGCTAAAGGGATCAGGAGACACACGCAGTAGAAAACCTGAGAAAGAAAAGAATGAGAAAGACTCATAACAGATGGCAAAGTAGAGAATGGGTGAGGGATTTGCCAAGAGACAACGAAAGTGAAAAAAATATATATAAGAAAGCAGGAGGAGAAAAGCAACTGGAGACATGCAGAGAAAAGCTAGATGTACAGAGAGATGAAGGACAGCAAGGTAGGGAGAGGGGCAGCAAAGAGGGAGGCTCATCAGGGTGAGGGAGAGGAGGAGGGATTTGGAGCCAGGGCAGACAGAGCAGAGTGGTGCTGGTGGCAAGAACAGAGGGAGAAGCACAGCAGGGAGGACACCTGGGGATCTAGGCTGCCAGAGAGTGGGGACAGGGGGTATAACAGGGAAGAGAGAATTTAACGGGGAGAGCAGAGGAGGCGCAGAGATGGTGTTGCGGGAAACTGAGGACTAGAGAGACTGCTATGGGGGAGACAGAAGGATGTTTACTTAAGGTACGCACCGGCTCAGTGGATTTACATCTAAAAAGCTGAGCATTTCAACAAAGAGTGGGGTTTTTATAAGCAGGCTTACAGAAGCAAAATAAAAGCAGTTAATCATGTAATGATTGGTCACATAATCTATAGCATAGCATAACTTGTGGCCTTGCATAGCTGGTGGTCTTGCAGCTGCATTGAAAGAAAAGCAAGAACAGCTAAATACATTTGTTTTCTTTCTTTCTTTCTTTCTTTTTCTTTTCTTTTCTTTCTTTCTTTCTTTCACTCTTGTTCTAAAGGGGAGGAGGTGTCTGGAGCCCATTCCTTTGGCTTCGACTTCGCAAACAGCGTTATGTTATAACTGTTCTCTAAGTGAGCTTGCTAGGCAGAGGAAAACTTGTTCTTCTCTTTTTAACCCTTGCCTTGCCTGTTACTTTTCTTGGAGTGAATGAATGCATATTTTTTTTTTAATTTCTGCCTGAGTTTTCTCCCTTTGCTTTTTATAAACAAGATTTTAATAGAAAGCATCACTATTACTTGATTATTCATGAAAAAGCAGGTTTTCTTCTTTAGGCACAGGCTGATATTTATATGGAGCTATTAGCTGAGTGGTAGTCTGCCTAGTGACAATTGCTTCTATAGTTGATTGAATGTTCCTTAACAAGGAGAGGTAAGAGGTAAGGGAGTATTAAACCAATTCTTAGTATTTCTAGAACCACTCCTGTTAAGGTTTTGAATCGACTGAAGGAGGAAAACCAGCCGCTAAAGAGGGACTCAGGAGTCTACTTTGTCTAAGTCTGGACTGGAACATGGGATAATTTTTTTATTCTTGCAGTTATTTCTATAACAGCCTTCCTATTGTCATTGATTTCTAGGCAGCAATTAGTTAGATTAAACTTTCTACATACTCCTCCTTCCTGGGCTAGGAGGTAGTCGAAAGCTAATCTATTTTGGTAGATGGCATTTCTCATTTTTGTGGCTTGCTGGGCCAGTAAGTCTAATGCATTTGCTGTTTCATTAGTGATGATTTCAAGTACTGCTTGCAACTTTATGATGCGGTTAAGCATGTAAATTGGGGTGCGGTACCTTTATGACTTATTTTGTGCCCAGGTAGCTGGCCTAGAGTACTGAATTAGTCTTTCAGGGGGCCAATCTGTGTCTTTCTAGTCTTCTATTTTTATGTCTTTTCTTATGTCTATATCTCTTTTGTTTTTTTCTTTAATTTTATTGTAGACAGGATACCTTCAAGTTTCTCCCTGTTGCAGTGGGAGTGAGAAGAAACATGGTCTAATTGTTTCAAGTACACAAGCCCTTGTCCTTTTTCCTGGCAACTGTCGGTAGGCCCTTGGTGCACAGATCTAATAGAGACCAGAGGGTGCTTGCCAGGTATTTGGAGCTTCAAGCTGATACTATGTGTGGTTTAGAGAAGAGAAACAGGAGAATGGGTTTGGATGAGGTGATCTGGAGTCATCTTTGCCTTGCCACAAAGTTTTCTTTAGTGTTTTATTATAATATTCCTGTCTTAAACAAGTTAATTCTTCTAGGGAGTCTGTAAAAGCTTTTCCTTAGTGAGCAACACAGTATCTCCTGATAATGGAAGTTTTTAAGAGCTAGGGGCTTAAGGCTGGGTGCGGTGGCTCACACCTGTAATCCCAGCACTTTGGGAGGCTGATGCGGGTGGATCACAAGGTCAGGAGATCAAGACCATCCTGGCTAACACGGTGAAACCCCGTCTGTACTAAAAATACAAAAAGCAATTAGCCAGTCTTGGTGGCGGGCACCTGTAGTCCCAGCTACTCGGGAGGCTGAGGCAGGAGAATGGCGTGAACTTGGGAGGCGGAGCTTGCAGTGAGCCGAGATCACGCCACTGCACTCCAGCCTGCGTGACAGAGTGAGACTGTCTCAAAAAAAAAAAAAAAAAGTGCTAGGTGCATCGGTTCGGGGGAAGAGTCAGTTAGAGTTAAATTATCTTGTGACATTAACTCTTTTGCTTCTTAAGGCCATTGGTCTCCTATGTTAGTCCTTCTACAAACATAACATGAGAAAATGCTTAAGCTGCTAGCAATGTTTTCAGCTAGCCGAGCAAACAGGTTTTTAGCTAAAGGATGATGCTCTCGTAACTTCTAGTCTGCATGCTTATGGAATGATTTAAAAACTCGGAATTGTTGCTGGTCCGGGTTCCTTTTTGATAACATATAGGTAGGTTTCTGGGTAGGTGTGTGTGGAGACATGTATGGGGTAACCTGCAGTCCACACGGGTAGGTCTGGCTTTAGAATGGTGAAATTTACTGGATGACAGGTTTTTGTTTCACAGTCTGGTTTTACTGGCATTTCGATAAGCATAATTGGCCTTTGTTGTGTGCTGGGGTGCCACGATATGCAATACTGAGAATCTTTTTCTGGGTCCCAGGGGACAAGGTGGCATGCATACATATTTGTAGTCATTTCTATAGTATCTTTATACAGGTAGGTTACCACAGACGGATGAGTCTAGGTCTGCTGCTGGACAAGCATCAAAATACAGAGAAATAGGCCATCGGTAAAAGGGAGGGACCTTGGTTTGGTTTAAGAGGGAACTTTCTTTTGACCTTGCATGTATTTTAAACTATTCACCAGGTGAAAACTTTGTGTTATAACATACATAAGGTTGGTTATTTCCTGGGTCACAAATTGAGTAGATGGTCTGATTATAAGTACAAGTCTTTCTTTTTTTTTTTTTTTTTTGAGATGGAGTTTCACTCTTGTTGCCCAGGCTGGAGTGCAATGACATGATCATGGCTCACCACAACCTCCACCTTCTGGGTTCAAGCAATTCTCCTGCCCCATCCTCCTGAATAGCTGTGATTACAGGCATGTACCACCATGCCTGGTTAATTTTGTATTTTTATTCAAGACGGGGTTGTTCCATGTTGGTGTGGCTGGTCTCGAACTCCCGACCTCAGGTGATCCACCTGCCTCGGCCTCCCAGAGTGCTGGAATTACAGGCATGAGTGACCACACCTGGCCTTTATAAGTACAAGTTCTTAAGCGAGTCCTTGTACACTCATAATAAGTATGGTGCAGTAGAGTCTTAGTTATCCTGTTCCCTGACCAGGTAGGTAGTATGTGTACAGTGGGGACACATTTCTATAGTTGCTTTTTCTACCATGGTTAAGGAGGGTAGCAACAGCAAAACAGTGTACAGCATGTTCATATCCAGCAAGGACAGAAGAGGGCCTTGCCTGGCAGAGGAGGTTGAGCACAACGACAGAACAATAATAAAACAGTTAGTATTACAAGGAAAACTACTAGTCTTAAGATTTCTAACCACATTTACTTGCTTGATGAGTCCTCAAGCTTCAGCTGTGCGTAGACTAGTCAGCTTCTGGTGTGTGACTAGAGCAGGGCTTGTCCCCTCCAGCTTCAGCTGTGCATAGGCTAGTCAGCTTCCGGTGTGTGACTAGAGCTGGGCTTGTCGTCCCCTCCAGCTTCAGCTGTGCATAGACTGGTCAGCCTCCAGAGTGACCAGAGCAGGGCTGTCGTCCTCAGCAGCAGCTTGGTCTCATCTCAGGATCAGCTGAGTTGGATGGTCTGGGTCTTGCTGGCTGGTCCACTTGCCCTGAGCTGCCAGTTTCAGCTGACTGTGGTGGATCTACGGCATGATTCCTGCAAATTTAATAGCAGTGGGAGTGGACAAGATTACAATATAGGGCCCATTCTATATGGGTCTTAGAGAAGTTGGATTCTACTTTTTAACCTAAACAGAGTCTCCAGGTTTAAGCGGTGTACTGGATCTGTCAGACTTATCGGCATTCTTTCTCATATTCAGTTATGGGCTTCTTGCATGGCTATTATTAAAGCCTGCATTTGTTTTCTTAAAGTTAATTCCTCTAGTTCTTGGAGATCACTTTTAATTTGACTTATGATTGGAGAGGCCGACTGAACGAACTCTCATAAGGTGAATACCTAGTTTATTTGGTGGGGGTGCACCTGACTCAGAGGACAACCATATGAAAGACCTGATCTTATCTCAGGTGAGTTTCTTGGCAGTATTTCTTCAGTAGCTGCTTAACGTCTGGTTCATGTATTTTACTTTTCTTGAACTTTCCGGCCAATAGGCTATGTGTAACTTCTATTTTATTTTTAGCAGTCTTGTTAAATCTTGCACTATTTCAGCTGCAAATGCTGGCCCATTGTCTGACTTTAGAGATAGAGGCAGTCCAAACCTGGGAAGAAGTCTTCAGTCACTTCTCATGCTTTTTCTGTCCTGGTGGGGAAAGCTTTAACCTATCTTGAAAAAGGTACAAATAAGCACTAGCATATACCGACATCCTCTGTCGGATGCACGGAGCAGTTCGGTAAAGTTTATAACCAAGTTTTCACAAGGCATGGCTCCTGCTTCTTGAATTCTTGGGGGCCAAGTGGGCCCCCATAACGGTTATTCTGAGCACAGGTTAAACATTGTTTACAAATGGCTCAAATGACAGCAGAGAGCCACAGCACATAGAAATGGCACTTTCGTGGCCGGGCGCGGTGGCTCATGCCTGTAATCCTACCACTTTGGGAGGCCAAGGTGGGCAGATCATGAGGTCCGGAGTTCAAGACCAGTATGAGCAACATGGTGACGTCCAGTCTCTACTGAAAAAACAAAAGAAGTAGCCAGTCATGATGGCAGGTGCCTGTAATACCAGCTACTGGGGAGGCTGAGGCAGAAGAAACACTTGAACCCGGGAAGCAGAGGTTGCAGTGAGCCAAGATTGCACCACTGCACTCCAGCCTGGGTGACAGAGCGAGACTCAATCTCAAAAAAAAAACCAGAAATGGCACTTTCATAACGTTGCTAATGCTGTTTTTCTTATATGAGTTTCTTGATGAGTTTGCTTCACAAACTTAGGAGCTAACATCTTTGGAATGGCTAGTCTCCTATCAAAGAACTTCTACTACCTTCTTTTAATATATTTTTTATCTTCTTGGGCAAACCAGGATCTTTGATTTGGAGTATAACTTGGGTTGTCTTGGAGAGGAGGTTCTGGGAGGAGAGGCATAGCTAAGGCTTCCTCTTTAAAATGCAGCGTGATCATTGCTGCCTGCTTTGCCTCTCTGCCTTTCTGTTTCCTGTGGCTTCTGGCATCCTTGCCATTTGGTGCCCTCTGCAGTGCATTATAGCTACTTTCTCTGGAGCCTATACTGCCTCTAAGAGCTGTAGAATCTCTTCTTTGTACTTTATTTCTTGCCTCTAGCTGATAAAAGTCCTCTCTCTTTATATATAGTTCCATGTACATGCAAGGTAGTAAAAGCATACTTAGAATTAGTGTAAATACTGACTTCTCTTTTGCTAGCAACAGTGCTCTTGTCAGGGCTATTAATTCTGCCTTTTGAGCTGATGTTCCGGTAGGCAGAGGCTGAGCCTCTACTACTGAGTCTGATGTTACCACTGCATACCCGGCATGTCCAAACTCTTCTAGCACAGAACTACTTCCACCTGTGAAGTACTTGACATCTGGGTCTCTGAGGGGTCTGTCTGTAAGATCTTTCTCATTGGGGAATACCTCGTCTACTGTTTTGACACAGTTATGGAGAGGAGCTGCCTGTTCGACTGGGAGCAGAATAGCCGGGTTAGGGTGTTTACTGTTCTAAAATTGTGTAAGGGTTTTCACATAGAAGCCCTTGGTACTGAGTCATCCTCAGGTTTGATAACTAATGGTGCCTTCTTTGATCCATCAAAGTTATGACTCAGTGTGGCACCCAGACGGTTAGTTGCTGTCCTAGAGTTAATTTGCTAGCTTCCTGTGTTAACAAGATGGTGGCAGCTAATGCCTTAAGGCAAAGAGGCCATCTTAACACCACGGAGTCTGGTTGTTTGGATAAATGTGCCACTGGGCGATGCCACGATCCTATAAGTTGAGTCAGAGCCCCTATAGTCATTGTTTTTTTGTTCATGAACATATAGAAAGACTTAGTTATGTCTCATAGTCTTAAGGCTGGGACCTGAGTTAAAGCTTCCTTGACCTGCTTGAAGTCTATTTCTTGATTAGGTTTTCAAAGGAGGGGCTCCTTTTCTCCTCTTTTTGTGGCTTCCTATTAACGACTTAGCCATCAGTGAACAATTTGGAATCCGGAATCTTGCTGCCTCTAAAAATTCCTATTTGACGTTGGGTGGCCGGGGTTGGAAGGGCACAAATGGCTTGCTTCCACTCATAGCCAAGCCAGTGTTCCTTGTGGCTCACTATGACACCTAGATATATGGAACCTCTTCAAGGCAAATTTGGGCTTGCTTTTTTGATATTTTGTAACTTATTTTCTATAGGAAATGGAAGAGATCCTGGGTTCCCCGATAACAGTCCTCTTAGATTGGGGCCGGCAAAAGAAGCTCATCTGCATACTGCAACAAGGTGCAGTTGCTATTTGGCAGGGTATAAGCCATGAGGTCTGAAGCCAATGTTTCTCTAAAGATTGTGGGAGAGAACCGGGCATGGTGGCTCGCGCCTGTAATCCCGGCACTTCAGGTGGTTGGGGTGGCTGGATCACGAGGTCAGGAGTCCAAGACCAGACCGGCCAAGATGGTGAAACCCGGTCTCTACTAAAAATACAAAAACTGGCCACATGCGGTGGCTGGCACCTGTAATCCTAGCTACTCTGGAGGCTAAGGCAGGAGAATTGCTTGAACCCGGGGGGCAGAGGTTGCAGTGAGCTGAGATGGCACCACTGCACTCCAGCCTGGGCAACAGAGCAAGACTCCATCTCAAAAAAAAAAAAAAAGATTGTGGGAGAGTTTTTTTGTTTGTTTGAGACGGAGTCTCACTCTGTCGCCGACGCTTAAGTGCAGTGGTGCGATCTTGGCTCACTGCAAGCTCCGCCTCCTCCCGCCTCCTGGGTTCACACCATTCTCCTGCCTCAGCCTTCTGAGTAGCTGGGACTACAGGGGCCCGCCACCACGCCTGGCTAATTTTTGTATTTTAAGTAGAGACGGGGTTTCACCTTGTTAACCAGGATGGTCTCGATCTCCTGACCTCGTGATCCACCCGCCTTGGCCTCCCAAAGTGCTGGGATTACAGGCATAAGCCACCGCGCCTGGCTGTGGGAGAGTTTTTAAACCTTTGTGGGAGTCTAGTCCAGGTGAACTGTGACGCTTCATTGTCTTATGAAATGCAAAGATAGGCTGACTAACTGGTGCCAGACAGATATAAAAGAAAGCATCCTTTAAGTTTAAGACTGTAAACTAGGTAGCACTTGCTGGAGTCCTATCACAGTGTACGGGTTGGGTACCACTGGATGGATAGTTACCGTGGCCTGGTTTACAACATGCAAATCTTGCACCAGCCTATATTCATTAGACCCTGGCCCTGGCAATGGCTTCTGAACTGTCAAAAGTGGAGTGTTCTAAGGCGACTAGCATTGGACTAAAATCTTATGTTTATAGAGCCTTTCTGAACGCTTGCAGATGCCCTGTATGGATTTTTGGGGAACTGGGTACTGACGAACCTGAAACAGGAGTTGCTCCTGGTTTTGATTCTGCTACTACTGGCGCATGATTTACAGCTAACCCACGTGGGTTGTCCTCAGCCTGTACTCCAGGAATGTCTTTAACTAACTGGAATAATAATTTTTCTTCTACTTGAGTGTGAGGTTGCATTGGTGCCTGAAAAAGGGGTTGGGCACAGTGGCTCACTCCTGTAATCCCACCATTTTTGGAGCCTGGGGCAAGGGGATTGCTTGAGTCCAGGTATATGAGACCAGCCTGGGCAACATAGTAAGACCCCCATCTCTGCCAAAATAAATAAATAAAATTAACCAGATGTGATGGTGCACACCTGTACTCCCAGCTACTCTGGAGGCCGAGGCAGGAGGATCACTTGATCCCAGGAGGTCCAGGCTGCAGTGAGCCGAGATCATGCCACTGCCCTCCAGCCTGGTCAACAGAGTGAGACCCTGTCTCAAAAGAATAAAAGGGGTGGGGGACTTTGTGTTCAGATGAGTGGGTGAGTTCACTGGGTATGATTACTTGTGACATGTTGACTTCTGTGTATATAATCTAATAACTTAAAATTTGTTTAAATTATACAGATGAGATTGAGAACTTAAAAATTCCTATCTATAAGGCATGTACATTGTATAAATCTTGGCATAGAGGTCAGCTTCCACTTGGAATCCCTATTCAGCCAGAGAGCAGTGACTTATTCAGTTGTGAATCACTCTATTCCCTTTTCGCAGGGCTGGGGTAGGAAGTAGGGCAATGAAGTGGGAAAAAAATGACTTTCTGTTATTACATAATACTTTTAATTAAATTAATTAATAATTAATATTTTGGGACAGGGCCTGGCTCTATCACCCAGGATGGAGTGCAGCATGATCTCTTCTAACTGCAGCCTCGACCTCCTGGGCTTAAGCGATCCTCCTACCTCAGCTTCCTGTGTAGCTGGGACCACAGGCGTGAGCCACCAAGTCGGACAAGTATTGTATTTTTTTTTTGTAGAAACGGGTTTCGCTATGTTTCCCAGGCTGGTCTCAAAATCCTGAGCTCAAAGGATCTTTCTGCCTTGGCCTTCCGAAATACTGGGATTACAGGGATGAGCCACCGCACCTAGCCTACATAGTACTTTTTAAAGGGGACATCAAAACGTGGTGGCTCCTGCCAGTAAGCCCAGCACTTTGGGAGATGGAGGTGAGTGGGTCACCTAAGGTGAGGAGTTCAAGACCAGCCTGGCCAACATGGTGAAACCTGGTCTCTACTAAAAATACAAAAGTTAGGCAGGCGTGGTGGTGTGCACCTGTAGTCACAGTTACTGGGAAGGCCAAGGCACAAGAATCGCTTAAACCTGGGAGGTAGAGGTTGCAATGAGCCGAAATTGTGCCAGTGCACTGCAGTCTGGGTGGCAGAGCGAGTCTCCATCTCACAAAAACAAGCAAGCAAACAAAAAATAAAATAAAAAACAAAAGGGACATCAAAAGTACATTTGTTCTTATGTGTAATAGATTTACTTTATTTTCTTTGTTTCCTCTTCATTGCTTTTTTTTTTTTTCAGTTTGAGATAAATTGTAGGTTTTTGTTTTTTGTTTTTTGTGTTTTTTTGGCAGAATCTTATGCAGTGACCCAGGCTGGAGTGTAGTGGCATGATGTCAGTTCACTGCAACCTCTGCCTCCTGGGTTCAAGTGATTCTTTTGCCTCAACCTCCCGAGTACGTGGGACTACAGGCCCACGCCACCACACCAGGCCAATTTTTGTACTTTTAGCAGATATGGGGTTTCACCATGTTGGCCAGGCTGGCCTTGAACTCCTGACCTCAGGTGATCCACTTGCTTCGGCCCCCCAAAGTGCTGGGATTACAGGTGTGAGCAACCACGCCCAGCTGAGATAAATCTTAGTTTTCAAAATTTCTCTTTTAATACATAATCATGGAGAGGAGGCTGCAATGCCGAATGGAGGAGGCAGGAACCGGAGTGTGAGCAGTAGCTGGGTGGGCACCATGGCTGGGATCACCACCATCGAGGCAGTGAAGCGCAAGATCCAGGTTCTGCAGCTGCAGGCAGATGATGAGGAGTGAGCTGAGCACCTCCAGTGAGAAGCTGAGAGAGAAAGGTGGGCCCGGGAACAGGCTGAGGCTGAAGTGGCCTCCGTGAACGGTAGGATCCAGCTGGTTGAAGAGGAGCTGGACTGTGCTCAGGAGCGCCTGGCCACTGCCCTGCAAAAGCTGGAAGAAGCGGGAAAAGCTGCTGATGAGAGTGAGAGAGATACAAAGGTTATTGAAATCTGGGCCTTAAAAGATGAAGAAGATGGAACTCCAGGAAATCCAACTCAAAGAAGCTAAGCACATTGCAGATGAGGCAGATGGGAAGTATGAAGAGGTGGCTCGTAAGTTGGTGATCATTGAAAGAGACATGGAATGCACAGAAGAATGAGCTGAGCTGGCAGAGTCCCGTTGCTGAGAGATGGATGAGCAGATCAGACTGATGGACCAGAACCTGAAGTGTCTGAGTGCAGCTGAAGAAAAGTACCCTCAAAAAGAAGACAAATGTGAGGAAGAGATGAAGATTCTTACTGATAATCTCGAGGAGGCAGAGACCCATGCTGAGTTGGCTGAGAGATCAGTAGCCAAGCTGGAAAAGACAATTGATGACTTGGAAGATAAACTGAAATGCACCAAAGAGGAACACCTCTGTACACAAAGGATGCTGGACCAGACTCTGCTTGACCTGAATGAGATGTAGAATGCCCCAGTCCCACCCTGCTGCTGCTCCTTCCTCTGACCCTGACTCCGCCTGAGGCCAGCCTGCCCGAAGCTGACCTTTACCTGAGGGCTGATCTTCAATTGGAAGGCTGCTTTCTCCTCTCACCACCCCCTCCTCCCCTGCCTCTTTTTCACCAAACTGTCTCTGCCTCTTCCTGGAGATTCCAGCTGGGCTAGAGGCTGAGAACCTTTGCAAACAACATTTAAGGGAATGTGAGCCCAATGCATGTCTTTAAAAAGCATGTTGTGATGTAAAAAAAAAAAAAAAAACATAATTACTTCTGGAAGATGCCTTTGTCACATCCTATAATCAGCTCACATCATTTTTTTTCTGTACATTTCCCAGTTATTTACCTGTTGACCCCAGAATTTGTTAGATTTTTGAAAGACAATTTCTAAATAGTTTCTGTTTGAAACTAGTTGCATCTGGTTCAGATCAAGGTCTGCATGCTTTCTAGTCTTTATTATTTATTGAAAACCTTTAGTACCGAATACAGAAGTTTGATTATTTCAGTGCCTACCTGGTAAAGATGTCAGTGACCTTTTACCTTAACATCAAAATGTAGTTTAACCAGTTAGTGTATTTTTCAGTTTTCTTTCCTTATGTCATCTGTGGACATCTTGAGCTGTGAGCTATTAAGTGCATGTTTCCCTCAAGGCCCTCTGGTCCATTCTGGACTAATGTTGAAAGATGGGTTGGATTGGCATGGAACTTTTGGGGTGGCCAGACCCAACACCAGGCCATGGGGGCTACGAACTCTGGCGGAGTCAAAGGAATGAGAAAAGACAAGTTAAGAATGCATAAGGTGGGTCCAGGGGGCCAATGCTAGTATGGAGGCTGCAAAAGACCCAAGCTCTGGAAGCCCACACTATTTATTGGTGATCAAACAAAGAAGCAGGTGGTGAGGATGTGGGGGTTGGTAGGAAGTGGTGCATCAAGCACATGATCTATAGATGTGTCAGTTTAGCATTTATATGGAACATGTTCTGCGACTTGAGATCATGGGGAACTTGAGATCATGTTCTTCTAGTTTAAGATACAATCATTTTATGAGCCTGGGAGTGCTAGAAGCAAGGAAGCAGCAAGTCTGGGCACATTCCAGAGGCCACGAGGGGTTTTAGGCCCTGGACCCTGGCATGTTCCAAGACTCTTTTTATATTATGTCAGACTAGCAAGCCCTGCCTCAGCTTTTCCCCAACATGGAATGCTATTCTAAAAGCACCCATGTATTCTTTTTTTTTTTTTTTTTTTGAGATGGAGTTTCACTCTTGTTGCTCAGGCTAGAGTGCAATGGTGTGATCTAGGCTCACTACAACCTCTGCCTCCTGGGTTCAAGTGATTCTCCTGCCTCAGCCTCCCAAGTTGCTGGGACAACAGGCACCCAGCCACCATGCCCAGCTAAATTTTTGGATTTTTAGTAGAGATGGGGTTTCATCATGTTGACCAGGCTCGTCTCAAACTCCTGACCTCAGGTGATCTACCCACCTCAACCTCCCAAAGTGCTGAGATTACAGGCATGATCCATTGAACCTGGCCACCCATGTATTCTTGATTGAAAAACTTTGCTTATGTCTTAGTTCTACAGCTGACCCTCTTTCACTGTTTTCAAGGTCAATAGCTGTGTGTTCACACTTCTGTGTTTTATAAATGTTACTGTGATTTTCTTGTAAGGAAAAATTAAAATTTGGGAATCAATGGCATCAGAACCTTGCAAATGAAGTTTCTTTAGCCCAGGCATATGAAAGATGCTTCTCTAATTTTCAAGGATAGGGGTGATGAAGACCAACCCTTCCCATTAGCATTTCCAGGCCCCAATGTAAGAAGAATTCAGGCACACATTTTCACTCATCTCAGACATTCTCAGGGTAGCTTGGTGAAAATTTCTCTTTCTCTGAGCCCCAGTGAGCCTCCCTGCAACTAGGAGATGAGGGGCTAGACCAGAAAAGCTCAACCTGAATGACCCTGGTCCCTGAAATGATTGGCAAAATAGAGTACGTGTCTGGGTATGGCTTTTCTCATGGGAGAGGGGAGTGCCCAGTTGTAATTAGAATTTTAAATGGGATGCAGTACCCCAAAAATAAAAAAGAATAAAAAAATGCAAAAGAATGGAAGAAACAGAGTTGTAGACTCAGACACAGAGACCATCTTCGAGGCCTTTCTCTGTATGAGGACATCACAGCAAAATCTAAAGCAGGTCACGTCAGTCCCTGGCAGGGAACCCTCCACCAGCTTCCCGTGTTCCCCAGGACAAAAGGCCAACTCCTCACTGTGGCTCCACAGCCCTGTGACCAGGGCCCCTGCCAGTGTCCAGCCTCCTCCTGGGAGCTTGCCCTCATCTTATGACTCCCTCTGCCCCAGTCACATTTGCTTTTCTCTTTTCCCAAACATCAAAACCCTTCCTGTCTCTGGTCATTGTCCCTCCTCTTACTCTATGTCCCTAAATGATCACGGCACTGTCCCTTTCTCCTCCTTCAGGTCTAGGCTCAGAGCTGTCTCCCATGCCCTCCCACCCCCATCTGATGTTCCCTCTGCCCGTCAGTCTCTATCACGTTACTCAGGTTCTATTATCTCTGCATCAATCACATCAGGAATGCTTTTTGTTTTTTTTTTTTTTTTTTTTTTTTTTTGAGAGACAGAATCTCACTCTATTGCCCAGGCTGTGAGTGCAGTCTTGTGATCTTGGCTCACTGCAACCTCTGTTTCCTGGGTTCAAGTGATTCTTGTGCCTCAGCCTCCCAAGTAGCTGAGAGTACAGGTGTGTGCCACCACACCCAGCTAATTATTGTATTTTTATTTTTATTTTATTTTATTTTATTTTATTTTTGAGTCTCACATTGTCACCCAGGCTGGAGTGCAGTGGCACGATCTTGGCTCACTGCAACTGCCACCTCCTGGGTACAAGTGATTCTCCTGCCTCAGCCTCCTGAGTAGCTGGGATTACAGACACCCACCAAGCCCAGTTGCTTTTTATATTTTTAGTAGACATGGGGTTTCACCATGTTGGCCAGGCTGGTCTCTGACTTCTGACCTCAAGTAATGCACCCTCCTTGGCCTTCCAGAGTGCTAGTATTACAGGCACGAGCCACCGTGCCCGGCTCAATTTTTGTATTTTTAGTAGAGACAGGGTTTCACCATGTTGGCCAGGCTGGTCTTGAACTCCTGAGCTCAAGCGATCCTCACACCTCAGCCTCCTAAGTAACTGGGACCACAGACACACAGATGTGCACAACCATGCCTGGCTAAGTTTTTGTATTTTTGGTAGAGATGGGGTTTCACCATGTTGCCCAGGCTGGTCTCAAACCTGAGCTCAAGAGATCTACGCACCTCGGCCTCCCAGAGTGCTGGGATGACAGGCATGAGCCACCGCACCCAGCCTTTGCATGAGGTTTGGTCAGGCCTGGGTCTGTGCCCTAAAGGGGAGCTCATCCCACCCCAGCTCCCCACTGCTGCAGCGTGTGTGTGGGCTTCTCCGGGAGGGGAGTGGGAGTTTTCCTGTAGGAGTTTATTGTCCCTGGTGTGGTCGGCAGCATAGGGGACCGTATTTCCTCAGGATGAGGTCTCCTTTGTATGTGTTGTTGTGTTACAGGGAGGGGATGTGTTGATTCTGAGCAATAAACAACATATTTCTAACATTCAGGATTGACTTCTAAAGACTCTTGGTATGTGAGGAAGAAACCTGGAAGAGGAAGAGGAAAGCAAAGGAGTCAGGGATGGCTCTTCCTCAGGTGAGATGATATTTTTGGTGGATTGTTCTGTCTCCTTCCCCTCAGAAATGCTGGGCCTTGGAGTTGGGAATCTTCTCTGAGTCTGAAGCATCCTGCCTGACAGGTTTGCTCACATTCACCCATGCCTTCCCTCAGTCCCTCTTTTCTCACTTAGATTCCATCTCTTGTGACCGAGTGACATGAACTTGGGAAGAGGCTGCACTGGGCATGGTCCTGGGAAGGGCTCACACCCAGACATGGATGGAGACGGGGTGAGGGTCCCATGGTGTCAGTGCTGTTGGGCAGCAGGGATTGTTCAGTGGCCACATGTGGATGCTCTCTCAGCTCTCTGTGGACTAGGATTAGAGCAGCTGCCAATGGAAGTCACATATTCATGTGCACAAAGTACGTGGTAAATTCTAGAAAAGGCAACCAATATGGGGAAATGTTTTCTGCCTGATTTTATAGTACATTTTTAGTTTTTTGAGTGAGTTACTGTGTTTCTGACTCCAAAAATCTTAGTAATTAGAATGGAAAGTTCATACAGACATGAATGATAGAAGATGTTTTATCCCATCATTACTTTAAGAATAGGAAATCAACCTGAATCATAGCAGGAGATTCATTCAACCATTCTTAGCACATTACGCTCATGGAGACTGTGGGGTTACTGTGGAGAGGCTTGTGAAACAGGTGTTTTCAGGAAAATGGTTATAATTTGTATTGTCATTATTATTAAATTATGATAATATTATTGTATTTTAAATATATGAAGTCTTGGTCTGTCACCTAGGCTGAAGTGCAGTGGCATGATCTTGGCTCATGGGAACCTCCATCTTCCAGGTTCAAGTGATTCTCCTGCCTCAGCCTCCCAAGTAGCTGGGATTATAGGCGTGCGTCACCCCGCCCAGCTAATTTTGTTGTATTTTTATTAGTGACGGGTATCACCATGTTGGCCAGGCTGGTCTCAAACTGCTGATCTCAGGTGATCTGCCCACCTCAGTCTCCCAGAGTGCTGGGATTACAGGTGCGAGGCACCGTGCCCAGCCCCACCAATTATTATTAAATACATATTTTTATATTTAACCATCACATGATGTATATATTTGTTTTGTGGTAAAACTCCAAGCAAAGCTGCAGCTTAGACTTTTTGCTATAAAGCATCTCCTTTCCCTGTCACGTCCTCCACCCTCCTTCCAGCCTCACTGGGGAGCCGCTACTGTCAGTTCGGTGTCAGGTGTCAGAGCAAGTCTCATACACGTGTATTTCTGCATCACTATGAGACTTAAAAAAAATTCTGCTGTAAATTAAAAAAAAATACTTTTTTGCAAAAATTAGCTGAGCACACCTGCATTACTACAGATATCTGAAGATCCCTCCAGGTCAGGCAGTTGAAAGGGTGATTGCTTCCTCTAGGATGGGGCATTTCCTGTTTTCTTAGATCTGAGAGGATTCCACCCTGCCCCCAACTGCCAATGTGTCCTTTTCCAGCAAGATGAGATCCCTCTTCAGTTCAACAAAACTTGCTACTTTTTATATTTGTAAAAACTTTATATACACACTCACATATACAATATACACACACATATACATCTCCATACATATACACACACACAAATGTATATATTTTGAACAACTTTTACAGTTTGAAAATCTGGGGAAAATGACAACCCTTTGTATTAACATCTAGTTTTTTGTGAGTCTCTGTAGGTTTCATTATTTTGTTGACATATATGTATGTCATGACATATATACATGTATGTCATGACATATGTATGTCATGATATATATCGTGATATATACATGCATGTCGTGATATATACATGTATGTCATGACATATATACACATACACACACAATGGATTTTCATACTTTGAGAAATCTAGTTTTCATGTATTTTCTTTTATTTTAAGACTGGGTCTCACCGTATTGCCCAGGCTGGAGCACAGTGGCGTGATCTTAGCTCACTGCAACCTCCACCCTCAGGCTCAAACCATCCTCCTACCACAAGCTCCCAAGTAGCTGGAACCACAGGTGCCATGCCAGGCTAATTTTTATGTGGTTTTTTTGTTTTCGTTTGTTTGTTTGTTTGTGTGTTTGTTTTGAGATGGAGTCTCTGTTGCCCAGGCCGGAGTGCAATGGTGCGATTTTGGATCATTGCAACCTCTGCCTCCTGGGATCAAGCAATTCTGCTGCATCAGCCTCCCGGGTAGCTGGGATAACAGGCGTGTGCCACCATGCCCAGCTGGATTTTAGTTTCTGATCTTTCACTGTGGACGTTGTCATCTCTGAAGGCATCACCCATACTCTGTCTCATCTAGATACTGAATGTCACTTGCTGTGTCAATAAAAGTTTCTGGGCCGGGCGCGGTGGATCACGCATGTAATTCCAGCACTTTGAGAGGCTGAGGCAGGCAGATCACAAGGTCACAAGTTTGAGGCCAATATTGTGAAAACCCGTTTCTACTAAAAATACAAAAATTAACTGGCCATGGTGGTGCGTGCCTGTAATATCAGCTACTCAGGAGGCTAAGGCAGGAGAATCGCTTGATCCTGGGAGGTGGAGGTTGCAGTGAGTGGAGACTGTGCCATTGCACTCCAGCCTGGGCAGCAGAGTGAGACTCCACCTCAAAAAAAAAAAAAGCATAATAAAACACAGCTGGGAAGACAAAATGTGGTGAAGAACCCCTTACTCGGATTTGTCAGAACATTCACTGCAATTAAATCCATGCTTTCCCCTCTCTCCTCTTCTCATTTTCTGTGAAGATAAGAACTCCTCCCATAACAATTTCCTTAAAATGTGTTTTCATTTCAGGGTCTATTGACATTCAGGGATGTGGCCATAGAATTCTCTCAGGAGGAGTGGAAATGCCTGGACCCTGCTCAGAGGACTCTATACAGGGACGTGATGCTGGAGAATTATAGGAACCTGGTCTCCCTGGGTGAGGATAACTTCCCTCCAGAAGTGGGGATGTGCCCTTGTGTATCTTTGTATTTTCTCTTGTTTTTAGATACAGTGTCTTGCTCTGTCACCCAGGGTGGAGTGAAATGGTGTGATCATGGCTCACTGCGATCTTGAATTCCTGGGCTCAAGTGATTGTCCCACCTCAGCCTCCCCCAGTAGCTGGTACAGGTGCATGTGACCATGTCCGGCTACTTTTTTAGTTTTTTTTTTTTTTTTTTTTTTTAGAGAATGTTCTTACTGCGTTGTTGAAGTTGGTCTTGATCTCCTGGGCTCAAGAGATCCTCCTCAGCCTCCTGAGTAACTGGGATTACAGGCACCAACCCCCATAACTAATTATTGGCTTTTACTTTTAAAATTTTTGCATATGTATGTCCTTAAGGCCAATATGAGTCTTCTGTAGAAAACATGTAGTTGGTTCCTGTTGATTCAGCCAGTCTTTGCCTTCTGAGTGCAGAGTTAAATATTTACATTTGAAGTATTACTGATGGAGAAGACCTTACCATTGCATTTCTGTTACATATTATCTGTATTGTAGATTTTTTTTGTTCTTCATTTCTCATTTACTACTTTTTGTGTTTAATTGCTTTTTTGTGTAGACATGCTTTGACTCCCTTCTTATTTACTTTTTTTGTTTGTTTGTTTATGATGGAGTCTCACTCTGTCGCCAAGGCTACAGTTCAGTGGTGCGATCTTGGGTCACCGCAACTGGCTCTGCCTCTCCAGCTCAACCGATCCTTGTGCCCCAGTGGCTCATGCCTGTAATCCCAGCACGTAGAGAGGCCAAGGCAGGCAAATCACCTGAGGTCAGGAGTTCAAAACCAGTCTGGCTAACATGGCAAAACTCCATCTCTACTAAAAATACAAAAATTAGCCGGACACTGTGGTGGGCATCTGTAAGCCCTGCTACTCAAGAGGCTAAGGCAGGAGAGTCGCTTGAACCTGGGAGGTGAAGGTTGCAGTGAGCTGAGACTGTGCCATTGCCCTCCAGCCTGGGCAACAGAACAAGACTCTGTCTCAAAAAAAAAAAAAAAAAATTCCATAACCTGCAAAAACTTCTCTTTCTCCACCAGAACTCTTTATTTATGTCAGAATTATTTGTGTATGTTGCATTTTCATCAACATATATGTATATTGTGTTTTCATGCTTTTTTTCTTTTAAATAATAGAAAAAAAGTTGAATTATGAAGAAAAGGTACACTTACAACAGTTTCTGTATCTGTACTTTTATTTGCCTATTCATTTATTTATTTATTTGTTGGTGAGATGAAGTTTTGTTCTTGTCGCCCATGCTGGAGTGCAGTGGCACAATCTTGGGTCACTCCAACCTCCAACTCCCAGGTTCAAGTGATTCTCCTGCCTCAATTTCCCGAGTAGCTGGGATTACAGGCATGTGCCACCATGCCTGGCTAATTTTGTGTTTTAATAGACACAGGGTTTCTCCTTTTTTGTCTGGCCGATCTCAAACTCCTGCCCTCAGGTGATCCATCAACCTCAGCCTCCGAAACTGCTGCGATTACAGGTGTGAACCACCGCGCCCTGCCTGTCTGTCTTTTAATTTACCTTTACTGGAGAACTTTATATATATTTGTGGGTTGGAGTGACTCTTTAGACTTCTTTCATTTCCTTTTTTTTCTTTTTTTTTTTTGAGATGGAGTCTTGGTCTGTTGTCCAGGCTGGAGTGCAGTGGCATGATCTTGGCTAACTGCAACCTCTGCTTACTGGGTTCAAGTGATTTTCCTGCCTCAGTCCCCCAAGTAGATGGGACTACAGGCACATGTCACCACACCCGGCTAATTTTTTGTATTTTTTTTTTTTTTGTAGAGGTGGAGGCAGGATTTCATGGTGTTAGCCAGGATGGTCTCGATCTGACCTCGTGATCCTCCTGCCTCAGCCTGCCAAAGTGCTGGGATTACAGGCGTGAGCCACCGCGCCCAGCCGTTAGTCAATTCTTATTCCTTATAATGCTGTGTATATTTTTGACCTCATAAATTAACATGTAGTGATCTTAACATGTATTTCAGTTCTTATATTGTGTTCTGGTGGTATATAGAAGTTGTGGCTTTTTTCTTAACAGGGAATTGTTTAGAATTCTGCAGGTTGTATAAATGTACTTGTTATTTGCTTGCTAGTTTTATGAGTTACAATATTTTACTAACTAATTTTTATGATTGTACATAAAGCTTTTCGGTATGTGGTATGCAATATAACTGACACAGTCCACTAGTTAATGTCATTTTTTTTTGAGACAGAGTTTCACTGTTGTTGCCCAGGCTGGAGTGCAATGGCGTGATCTTGGCTCGCTGCAACCTCTGCCTCCTGGGTTCAAGTGATTCTCCTGCCTCAGCCTTCCCGAGTAGCTGGGATTACAGGCATGAGCCACCACACCCGGCTAATTTTGTATTGTTAGTAGAGACGGGGTTTCTCCATGTTTGTCAGGCTGGTCTCGAACTCCTGACCTCAGGTGATCCGCCTGCCTTGGCCTCCCAAAGTGCTAGGATTACAGGCATAAGCCACCGTGCCTGGCATTAATGTCACATTAACTGGGGCACTGTGGCTCGTGCCTGTAGTCCCAGGACTTTGGGAAGCTGAGGCGGGTGGATCATTGAGGTCAAAAGTTCGACCACAGCCTGGCCAACATGGTGAAACCCTCTATCTACTAAAAATACAAAAATTAGCCAAGCATGCTGGCATGTGCCTATTATCCCAGGTACTCAGGAGGCTGAGGCAAGAGAATGGCTTGAACCCAAAAGGTGGAGGTTGCAGTGAGCCAAGATTGGGCCATAGCACTCCAGCCTGTTGTGACAAAGTGAAACTTCATCTCGAAAATAAAAAAATACAAAAATTTTTAAAAGAACGTCATAACGTGCCTTTTCTGCATAGGTATAGGTAATTTTATGACAGTAATTCAGAAAAATATTGTATTAACTTTTATTTTGAGATTAAGTCTCACTTTGTTACCCAGGCTGAAGTACAGTGTTGCAATCTCAGCTCACTGCAACCTCTGCCTCTTGGGTTCAAGCGATTCTTGTGCCTCAGCCTCCTGAGTAGCTGGGACTACAGACGTAGGCCACCACGCCTGGCTACATTTTGTAATCGTTTCTTACCTTTTCAGTGCTATGATTGTTTGACAATACAGAATTTCCATTGATTTTGGTTATCCTTACATGAGCTTGTTGTGGATTATTTACCAATATGGTATATCATGTGGTCCTTTAGCATTTATTTGTATACAGCAAATATGCTGTAAATATGAAGAATATATACTTTTCATTGGTGTGACGGTGATATGTTTTTTGCAAACTGTTAGACACTTTACGGTCACAGTGGAAAAATACTCCTTACTTTAGGCTTATACACATTTGTGCACTGTCAGTGTTTTGTCGTGATATTGGAAATAGGGTTCCGTAGAGATGATTTGAAGCACATGTAATAGCCCTTTATCTAATAAAGAATCTTACGCTTTTGTGTTCCTAAACTTTGAAGATCATGTTGGGGAAGTTTAAAATGAGTATTTTTTGTGTCACATTTACACATTTCAGTATTATTTACCATCTGTACTGAACTGGAAACCTATTCGTGTTTATATTTTGTAGATATCTCTTCCAAATGCATGATGAAGGAGTTCTCATCAACAGCACAAGGCAATAGAGAAGTGATCCACACAGGGACATTGCAAAGACATGAAAGTCATCACACTGGAGACTTTCGCTTTCAGGAAATTGATAAAGATATTCATAACTTAGAGTTTCAGTGGCAAGAAGATGAAAGAAATAGCCATGAAGCACCCATGACAGAAATCAAAAAGTTGACTGGTAGTGCAGACCGATATGATCAAAGGCATGCTGGAAACAAGCCTATTAAAGATCAGCTTGGATCAAGCTTTCATTCGCATCTGCCTGAACTCCACATGTTTCAGACCCAAGGGAAAATTGGTAATCAAGTGGAGAAGTCTATCAACGATGCTTCCTCAATTTCAACATCCCAAAGAATTTCTTGTAGGCCCAAAACCCATATTTCTAATAACTATGGGAATAATTTCCGGAATTCTTCGTTACTCACACAAAAACAGGAGGTACACATGAGAGAAAAGTCT